>NC_000021.9:20465808-21715808 GCF_000001405.40 Homo sapiens | reverse complement strand
CATCTTAAAGGATAAGGAAACCAGACACAATGAACCTGACCTAACTGAGCCCTTTACATTGGACGAAAAGGTCATCAATTCTGCCTGCTGAGTCTTCTCTAGGCCTTGGGGAAAATTCAACTAAATTCAGAAAGAGATATCTTTCTAAAAACCATTGTAAGATATTGAGTCAGAAACAGCAATACTTCAGTGTATTTTAAGCCACAATAAACGGTCTATTCTGTCAAAGGCAGCTTGTGATATCTAATATGATAAAGACTAAAGAGTAGGCTTTAGATTTAGAAACCGGATACTTTATTTTTGACCCTGACACAAGCTCCTTTAGAATATATGGAGAAAGTGAATGGTGACAACTCTTTCAAAAATTTCTGTGGTAAAACACAGGAAACAAGTAAGATTATGTCCTCATGGATATTGAATGCGTACATTGAAGACCAAGAAGCTTCCGCTGTATTTTGGTGCATGTCAGCCTGTTTGTTTTAATGATGGGAGAAAATTGAGCCATGTTTTGTGAACATATAATTAAATAGTAGAAATTTGGAAGTCAAGGATCTTGGAGAAAAACAGTTAAGCAACATGATAAGGTGCAGAAAGGAATATAGGGATGACCTTTATAGAAGATACGGAGAGGTGAGTCTTTACTAGAAGCAGATCTTCCTCCATTAATGATGGGAGAGAAAAAGAAAGAGGTGAGTACAGATGCCGAAAGCCTTATAGAATTGGCAGTGGAAATTTGAGTTGGCATCCGCCTGATGACTTCAATATTCACTGTAAAGTAAGAAGTGACAGCATTTATAAGGGTAATGGTGTATAGGTGAGGAGGAAAGTAGGGATGACATTGAGAAATTTGAAATACTAGAGAATGGATAGTAGGTGAATTTTTCAAAGAGAGATGAGACAGTATTTCCCATCTCACATGCTCTTCAGCACTGTGGCTTTACCACTTTCCAATTAAGAACTGAAGTCGATTTTTCAGCCTTCCTGAATCTCACTAGTTACAGTGACTGCTTTTGCCAATAAAACACAGGCAAATTGACGCTGCCAATCCCACATATATCCTATAATGGGAAATTCAGCTTTGATTCTCCTTCTTGGAAGACAGGACCATATTAGAAGTGTGGTTGTCCTGAGTCCATCATGTTATGAGAAGCCAAAGCTATGACAAGTGATCCCAGAGATCAGATGCCATACATAGAGAGCTAAAGAAAGGAGCAACAAAATACCGAATGTGTGAGTAAGAAAGCCACATTGGAGCCAACTCATGTGGCTGCAATTAAGCAATTCAATTAAGAATTCAGATGACTCTATCCCCAGACACTATCCATATGCAAGGAAAAGATATAACTACTCAGCTGAACAAAGGCAATCCATAGAACTATGAGACATATATATGATAAATTATTGATTAAACCACTAAGTTTTGTGAATAGTTTGCTATGCAACTATAAATAATTAGAATAACATTGAATATGTTATTTTGCAGGGTGCTAGAGCAGGTTAACAAGAGGAATACCGTAAGATAAATAAAACACGTTGAATGTCTAAAAAGGTGTTTATTTTGGTAAACTCTCCATTTATAAAGCCATCCAGCTATAGTCATTAGCTAAGTATGGGCCCTGAGCACGAAGAAAATTAGTTGGGTTTAATCTAACGTTAAGGTTTAGCCAAGGCAAGTACAATAAAATGAAAATCAGTCGAGAGAGCAGAAGATTATAACAAATAATTATTTCAGTTGTTATTTTAACCTAAATTGAGTATCTCATTGGCTTTTATTATTTTATATCATCTTTACTCAAACTGTGTTCTGGAGTGCTCTGAGTCACCATCCTCATCATCCTCATTACCCCCAAACTTGCTCTTGCATTGAATGTAATCACAGTTTCTCTCCATCAAAATAGTGGGTGGAAATCACTACACTGTTCCTTTGGGTTGCTGTATGTCATTTTTAATCTTTCTCAAATGATTGGCATTAATTATAGATCATCATTCTTGAGAGGATATGTGTTTTTCAACGGGCTGATTTGGCACTGAAGTTTCTCTTTGTTCCTCTTCAAGTGGATGCTTATAATATAAAACCTGGGAAATTGTATTGGATCTTGAAATAGCAGGCAGGCTGTACTTTACAACAGTTTCCCTCTAAGTAAAGTTATTTCTGTGATGTTGTTTCTTTTCTCTCTTCTTTTTTTAAATAAGAAACGAGAGCTGTATTTTGTTTTTTAGGATTACACTTGAAGGTTTTATCAGAGATTAGAAAAATTATTTAGAACAGGAAATGAACTTCCTCTAGATTTATTTTTTTAAAGGCATCTTGAGTTTGTGAAATTGTTGGTCTTAAGCGAGAAACTTTATGATGTTAAATCACACTTACATTTTCACCACTCTCCTGAACTGTGAGTCACAGTTACAATTGCCAAGAAAAAAAAGAGTGCTTTAAATTTTAATAACTGATTTGCTGTGTTTTCTGTTTTGCTGGCTGCCAGAAAAGAACTGCTAGTCCTTTTCCATGCCAATGAAAACTGAAATAGAATGAGATGCATTTACACTGATGGTGCCAAAGGGGAAGGATGTGAGAAGCTGATATAAATGAACTTGAAATGTTCTTTCTAGTTTTATTTCTTCTTTGAAAAGAGATTTTCCTAAGAAAATGCAAGAATCTCGGAAGAGTAATTTATTTTGAATTCCTTTGTAAATGAATTAAAAATTGAATTGGCTTCAAATATATTCCCTGTGTTCTTCAGTAATGCGTAGAAATAATTACTTGATGGAAAATTTTTAACATAGCCATGCAAAGAAGTATGCAGAACAATAGGCTACTCCTTGGACAATGAAAATGCAACCCCACCTTCTCTATTTGGTCATGCAGCCTACACACGATTATCTAGTTCAATCATTCTGTGTAGTAGGGCAGTCATGTCCAAGAAAGAATGAAATAGAAGGAAGGCAATTTATTTTCTGAGGTAGCTTAGCCAGTAGAGTTTATCCCCCTCTGTTTTATAACACAGTCCCTATAGATATTCAAGTTTACTATTATTTACATGAGAATTAGATAAGTTCACATTTACATTCTTTTTTCTTTTACAAAGCTCTAGCCAGTTTTCTGGAATTGTGTGATTTTTTTTTTTTAAATAAGTCAAGGACCCCTATCCATCATTACTGCGTGATTTTAATATTTCTCTTGATTCTCTAACCTGTGAAGACTTACATCCACAGATGGAAAACAAGAGGTCCATACTATGTTGTGGTAAACCCAGAGACGCCTGACATTTGATTCCTTTCTGTGTTAATAAATCAGCTTTGTAAGCTTTTAGACAAGTAGATGGGCATACATTCTGATGTTGATGATTTTCATTTTCAAAGTGAACACCACACAAGGCAGTGTTTATCCATTAAGACTTTGGATCATTGTCTGTTGTGTATACCTGAGCTTTGACATGAATAGTACACTCTTATCTCATAGGTTTGGGAAATTGCTCAAGTAGAAAATTTCAGACCCCGGCTGTTGAATACCAGTCTCGACTGACACTTGCAATTATCCTCCATCCCATAATCCAGACACAGAGCAGGGCTGACTGAGGCTGTCACTGTGAATCCCCAAAGAACTTTCCTCTTTCTGCTTAAAATAACTCCCCAATCACCTGCGTCAAAACAGCTGCTTGAAGATTCTGCTTGCTCCCTTCCATTCTTCACACAAGATTATCTCCACATTGTTCTGTGGGCGCAGTTCTTATACTGGCAGAATTGCTACATGCCAGGACTTTTTATCAGAGACCTTTGCCTCCTGATGAAGTGTCACATTCAGAAGTAAAGCTTCTGACATTTTGGAAAAAGTCAAGGTCTTAAAGTCTAAACATTGGTTACACAGTAGCATTGAAGACCTCAGTTTTGTATGGATTTGGATGTCACATTTGACAAAGCATTCTGTCTCTCGTAGTCACATATTTCTAAAAAATCAGAGTAGATACTATTATCCCAATGCTTTGCAGCTAGTCAGAACTTGGGCCCACAGGGTCAGGGAACATACGTAGAGCAGATAAATAGAGTTCGGATTCAGATTCAGTCAAGAGCACGTCCACTGTGACTTTTGTGCACAGATAAGTAGAGGGGGAGAAAGAGTGACGGAAAGTAGAATGAACTGTATCGTTTTTGAAAGGAGTCAGAATTATTTTTTAAATATTGGTACATATATGCAATGATACATGATTAAATCCAAGGAGTAAGTTTTGGTCAATTCTGGAAAGTTATTTTAGTAAATTAATTATCAGTAAAGATGGTTTCTAAATGTTCCTTTCTTTGAATAGTAAAATAAATTAATATGAGCAAGGCATCCTTTCTATCTGAACCTGTAAGTGTTGTTTTATTTCTTTTCCAAATTAGCGTTTAAACTTTTACGAGAATAAAATTTACTGATAAACTAACCCCCCAAACTCCATCTTAAATGATGCAGTGCTACAGTCAGATGATATTTATAAAAAATATTAAGCATAAAGTGGCTTATTTTTTGGAATATTGAATACTGAAATTTAAACATCTGAAGCATTGGGATATTATAATTATCATAGTGATTTGCTAAAACATATAACTTTATTAAAATTGTGAATATGCCCTCCTATCAATCATTCCATAAATAATGTATAACAAAATATTTTTATCATTCTATGCTTAATTGACAATATTTAAGAAATTAGCTATTATGATAATTATTCTAGTTCAGGTTTTTGTGTTTATTCATTTTTTTCATTTCTATGGTTTTTATCCTGCTATCTGAATAAGTAATGTTATTCAGTCTTGTTGTTCTTGATGGCTTAAATGTCCTAAGCACATATAATCATCTGTATATTTAAAGTCAACTATATGTCTGCCTTAGAGAAAACCTTCAAAAGGTCCCTAATATTATAGTATCTTTTAACCTGCTTTCTTATATTACCTAGAACAGCACTGACCAATAAAAATATCATGCAAATTAATTAAAAATTAATTTTTAATTTTCTAGTAGCCATATTAAGAAAGTAAAATGAGTGGGGGAATTTACATAGTAAGCTATGTTACATAAACTGATATGTTCAAAATGTTATGTCAAATATAATCAATAGAAAATTATAAATGAGGCATTTTACATTTTTATATTATATATGAAATTCATTGTGTATATTTCAAAGTAACTAAGAGAGCAATTTCAAATTTCTCACCATAAAAAATGATGGGTGAGATGATATATATTAATTAACTTTATTTAATCATTCCACATTGTATTCATACATCAAAATAATAACATTTTATTCCATAAATGATTACAATTATAATTTATCAATTAAAAATAATATTTACGAAAGAAATGCATTGTGTGTTTATATCACATTACATTTCAATTTGAATTACACACTTTTCACTTGAAGAGAAATGTGGGTAGTGGATAAACGTGGGTAGCAGATACACGTGGGTAGTGGATACCATTTTAGACGATGTAGTTCTTAGCTGACTTTGCGGCTTTTTAAGTTGCTCTTTCCAGACTAGTGCATTAAATGTTGCTTCAAGATAAAATAAGCACACAATGTTATCACTTTCTCTAAATGTTAACATTGTTTTTAACTTTTATAATGGAAAATTTCTAAAAAATTCAAAAATAGACTCAAAGATATAATGGATTCCTTTTGTTCATTACTCAAATTTCACAGTTACCAGCTTATGATGGTACCTATATTTTATGTCAATTCACGTTTAATCTATATCTCCACCCACTTCTTCCCTCTATTTTTATTAGAAAATATATTCCAGACATCACAGCATTTCATTCACAGATAGTTAAGTATGAATCTCCAAAAGGCAAGCCTTTTTGAAAGCATACTGTCATTAGTAGTATACCTAAAATATCTGCAAATACTTTAATATTCAATGTCAATGTTCACACTTCCAATTGTGTCAAAATTGTCACACATTTTTAACCATACTTTGGAAGACATTTAAATTGATGATTTTTTAAGGTTTTTTTTACTCCAAAGATTATTTTTTTGTTTTTTCTCTCTCCCTCCTCTCTCTTCCTTCCTGCCTTCTGACCCTTTCTCTCCTTTCCACTTATTTGTTGAATAAATTGTTTTTGTTTTCTTATTTTATTTTATTTTGTTTATTTTTTCTTTTTTTATTTTATTATTATTATACTTTAAGTTTTAGGGTACATGTGCACAATGTGTAGATTTGTTACATATGTATACATGTGCCATGTTTGTGTGCTGCACCCATTAACTTGTCATTTAGCATTAGGTATATCTCCTAATGCTATCCCTCCCCCCTCCCCCTACCCCACAACAGTCCCCGGTGTGTGATGTTCCCCTTCCTGTGTCCATGTATTCTCATTGTTCAGTTCCCACCTATGAGTGAGAACATGCGGTGTTTGGTTTTTTGTCCTTGCAATAGTTTGCTGAGAATGATGGTTTCCAGCTTCATCCATGTCCCTACAAAGGACACGAACTCATAATTTTTTATGGCTGCATAGTATTCCATGGTGTATATGTGCCACATTTTCTTAATCCAGTCTATCATTGTTGGACATTTGGGTTGGTTCCAAGTCTACTATTGTGAATAGTGCTGCAATAAACATATGTGTGCATGTGTCTTTATAGCAGCATGATTTATAATCCTTTGGGTATATATCCAGTAATGGGATGGCTGCGTCAAATGGTATTTCTAGTTTCAGATACCTGAGGAATTGCCACACTGACTTCCAAAATTGACCACATAGTTGGAAGTAAAGCACTCCTCAGCAAATATAAAAGAACAGAAATTATAACAAACTGTCTCTCAGACCACAGTGCAAACAAATTAGAACTCAGGATTAAGAAACTCACTCAAAACTGCTCAACTACATGGAAACTGAACAACCTGCTCCTGAATGACTACTGGGTACATAACGAAATGAAGGCAAAAATAAAGATGTTCTTTGAAACCAATGAGAACAAAGACACAACGTACCAGAATCTCTGGGACACATTTAAAGCAGTGTGTAGAGGGAAATTTATAGCACTAAATGCCCACAAGAGAAAGCAGGAAAGATCTAAAATTGACAACCTAACATCACAACAAAAAGAGCTAGAGAAGCAAGAGCAAACACATTCAAAAGCTAGCAAAAGGCAAGAAATAACTAAGATCAGAGCAGAACTGAAGGAAATAGAGACACAAAAAACCCTTCAAAAAATCAATGAATCCAGGAGCTGGTTTTTTGAAAAGATCAACAAAATTGATAGACTGTTAGCAAGACTAATAAAGAAGAAAAGAGAAAAGATTGAAATAGACTCAATAAAAAATGACAAAGGGGATATCACCACCGATCCCACAGAAATACAAACTACCATCAGAGAATACTATAAACACCTCTATGCAAATAAACTAGAAAATCTAGAAGAAATGGATAAATTCCTTGATACATATTTTATTTTATTTTATTATACTTTAAGTTCTAGGGTACATGTGCACAACGTGAAGGTTTGTTACGTATGTATGCATGTGCCATGTTGGTGTGCTGCACCCATTAACTCGTCATTTAGCATTAGGTATATCTCCAAATGCTTTCCCTCCCCCCTCCCCCCACCCCACAACAGGCCCCGGTGTGTGATGTTCCCCTTCCTGTGTCCAAGTGTTCTCATTGTTCAATCCCCACCTATGAGTGAGAACATGTGGTGTTTGGTTTTTCGTTCTTGCGATAGTTTGCTGAGAATGATGGTTTCCAGCTTCATCCATGTCCCTACAAAGGACACGAACTCATCATTTTTTATGGCTGCATAGTATTCCATGGTGTATATGTGCCACATTTTCTTAATCCAGTCTATCATTGATGGACATTTGGGTTGGTTCCAAGTCTTTGCTATTGTGAATAGTGCCACAGTAAACATACGTGTGCATGTGCCTTTATAGCAGCATGATTTATAATCCTTTGGGTATATACCCAGTAATGAGATGGCTGGGTCGTATGGTATTTCTATTTCTAGATCCTTAAGGAATCGCCACACTGTCTTCCACAATGGTTGAACTAGTTTACAGTCCCACCAACAGTGTAAAAGTGTTCCTATTTCTCCACATCCTCTCCAGCACCTGTTGTTTCCTGACTTTTTAATGATCGCCATTCTAACTGGTGTGAGATGGTATCTCATTGTGGTTTTGATTTGCATTTCTCTGATGGCCAGTGATGATGAGCATTTTTTCATGTGTCTGTTGGCTGCATAAATGTCTTCTTTTGAGAAGTGTTTGTTCATATCCTTCGCCCACTTTTTGATGGAGCTGTTTGTTTTTTTCTTGTAAATTCGTTTGAGTTCTTTGTAGATTCTGGATATTAGCCCTTTGTCAGATGAGTAGATTGCAAAAATTTTCTCCCATTCTTTAGGTTGCCTGTTCACTCTGATGGTAGTTTCTTTTGCTGTGCAGAAGCTCTTTAGTTTAATTAGATCCCATTTGTCAATTTTGGCTTTTGTTGCCATTGCTTTTGGTGTTTTAGTCATGAAGTCCTTGCCCATGCCTATGTCCTGAATGGTATTGCCTAGGTTTTCTTCTAGGGTTTTTATGGTTTTAGGTTTAACATTTAAGTCTTTAATCCATCTTGCATTAATTTTTGTGTAAGGTGTAAGGAAGGGATCCAGTTTCAGCTTTCTACATATGGCTAGTCAGTTTTCCCAGCACCATTTATTAAATAGGGAATTCTTTCCCCATTCCTTGTTTTTGTCAGGTTTGTCAAAGATCAGATGGTTGTAGATGTGTGGTATTATTTCTGAGAGCTCTGTTCTGTTCCATTGGTCTATTTCTCTGTTTTGGTACCAGTACCATGCTATTTTGATTACTGTAGCCTTGTAATATAGTTTGAAGTTAGGTAGCATGATGCCTCCAGCTTTGTTCTTTTGGCTTAGGATTGTCTTGGCAATGCGGGCTCTTTTTTGGTTCCATATGAACTTTAAAGTAGTTTTTTCCAATTCTGTGAAGAAAGTCATTGGTAGCTTGATGGGGATGGCATTGAATCTATAAATTACCTGGCACAAGACAGGGATGCCCTCTCTTACCACTCCTATTCAACATAGTGTTGGAAGTTTTGGCAAGGGCAATCAGTGAGGAGAAAGAAATAAAGGGTATTCAATTAGGAAAAAAGGAAGTCAAATTGTCCCTGTTTGCAGATGACATGACTGTATATCTAGAAAACCACATGGTCTCAGCCCAGAATCTCCTTCCACTGATAAGCAACTTCAGCAAAGTCTCAGGATACAAAATCAATGTGCAAAAATCACAAGCATTCTTATACACCAATAACAGACAGAGAGCCAAATCATGAGTGAACTCCCATTCACAATTGCTTCAAAGAGAATAAAATGCCTACGAATCCAACTTACAAGGGATGTGAAGGACCTCTTCAAGGAGAACTACAAACCACTGCTCAACGAAATAAAAGAGGACACAAACAAATGGAAGAACATTCCATGGTCATGGATAGGAAGAATCAATATCATGAAAATGGCCATACTGCCCAAGGTAATTTATAGATTCAATGTTTTCTCATTTTAAAAAGTTTGTTTCCATAGCATTTCTTACATTCTGGATTTTGTTGATTGTATTGATGTAAAATAATGAAACTGTATTCTCTGTTCGTTGTATTCCGTATGCATTGAAAGGTGAATCTAGATGCAGGTTTTATATATTTTGACACAATTATTTTATAGTATATATGTGCACTGTTTTGATTTTTTTAATCAGAAAATTCATATTTTGTATTAGGAGAAACATATGAGCTGGTTATCATCTTGTTATGGTGCTAGCAGCTACTGGTGATTATTGCACAGATTATCTTATTGAAAATTGCAAAAAGTCAATATTCTAATCCAAATGTTTACTCTTTATTTTTTATCTGCAAAATCTTTCAGCCTGGGCGACAGAGTGAGACTCCATCTCAAAAAGAAAAAAAAAATAGAAATTATCATCAATTTCTGCTTGATCACCAAGTGGTATAATTCCTAAGGAAAAATTTAGAATAAATACTTCTTTCTTTGAATTTATCAGGTTTCAAAATAGTTTTTTTCTCAAGCTTTAAAAAATAAAGTATTTTTAAGAAATATAATCAAATTACAGATATGATTACATTTGATAGATTGATTTTTTTGTGAAACTAAGCATGTGCCATCTTTTGTCAATGGAAACTTCTATTAGATTTCTGTGTCTTTGAAAGCATCCTTGTTATAGAATATATCAGCGGCTGCAAACTCATCTTGTATATTATCTTGTCCATAGCTAAGTAAGTAATTTATGCTCTGTACCTTGGCACTCGGTAAAAGTATTATTAATAGGGGATAGCCCATATTTCCTAGGTGTTTATAGTAAAAAATTAGGAAATTTTTGTTGTTATTTTTTCTTCGCTGATTTCCAAATAAAGTCCAAAATGAGTTTACGATAATACTTCCCATTTAAAATGCAGATTATAGGGTTTATACTCAATCCATTTTACCTTCTAAATTTGTATCTCCTTTACCTATGCTGAGAAGCTCATTTCTCTAGGACATTGGGAGCAAAAGATTTCAAAGATTACACAGTTATTTATTGTTTAATTTGTATACCTTAGAAAACTACAGGCTGGGCGCGGTGGCTAACACCTATAATCCTAGCACTTTGGGAGGCCTAGGCGGGCGGATCACGAGGTCAAGAGATCAAGACCATCCTGGCCAACATGGTGAAACCCTGTCTCTACTAAAAATACAAAAAATTAGCTGGGCATGGTGGTGGGCGCCTTTAGTCCCAGCTACTCAGGAGGCCGAGGCAGGAGAATCGCTTGAACCTGGGAGGCGGAGGTTGCAGTGAGCCGAGATTGTGCCACGGGACTCCAGCCTGATGACAAAGTGAGACTTCCTCTCAAAAAAAAAAAAAAAAGAAAAGAAAAAAAAAAGAAAACTACAACCATCTCAAAATAAAAATACCAATACTACCATAAGTAATATGATTGTTTAAAATTTTTTATACCTATTTTTGTTCCACTATAAATTTATAGTCAAATTACTGTGTTTTAAATCCATTTGGCATAATTTTCACTTGTGGATATGCCCAACTGGGTGCAAATTTATGTTTATTGCATTTTATTTTGATTGTGTTATTTGAGATTTTTAATTTAATTTTGTGTAATAATTATATGCAATATTAGCATGAATTCAAATAAAACAAATAAAACTTACAAAACAAATACTATTTTAAAAAGCATAGTTTTTTTTTTAATCAAAGTCCTCTCTATCTTATTTCTACCATTATAGATAGGCTTCTCTTTCAATTGTTTATTCCTTCATGTTTTGTTTATTTTAAGCAAATATTTTTATGTTCTATATCCTTCTTAGATTAACTGCACCATACTATAGAAGGCATTATAATACTATATAGACATAAAACCTTAACATTTTAAAAAATAAGTCACTTATTAAAAATATTTAACTTTTTTAATGGAAGGAGTGAAAGACTTATATTTTGCTTTGCTATTATAGACTTTCTGGGATAAGAAGTTCACAGTTACTCAAAAAGATAAAAAAGAATTTATGGTCTTCATGTGAAAGGAAGTCTTTATAGTCTTTTATAAAATTTACACATTTTATTAGGATATATATTTGAAACCAGAGTATTCTTTCAGTTTGCTCCTGCAAGGGAAGAGGGCATAGATCTGTTTGATTCTTTGTCAAATTCTGTTTGATAGAGTTAATTGTCACTTAGAGTTGGAAAACAAAGTAGCCATTGGGCCTGCTTCATTTTGGAAATTGGTATATGCTTCTAGAAATATCTCCTAGAAATATTTCCTCTGGATTTGAGAATATATTCTGCCAAGTAGGCAGTAAAAATTACCCTCAGCTAGAAGCACTTATCTTCTATAACTCTAATTTTCAATTAAGCTTTGTATTTTAAATAGTGTTTATTAATATCTCTGATTTATTGGATGATAGATTCATATGAGAAGATTTTGCTTTAAGTAATGTAAACCAATTCAGAATTACCATAAAGTGGTGACTTTGAATTGCTCCAGTCATAGCTAATTACCAAAGTTTTAAATCCTTTCCATTTGTCTTCTCTCCTAAATTTAGCAAAGAGAAAAGATGTTGATGGCTGAGGTACTGTGTGATTTTCTCCAATCAGAGAGTTTTTGTCAGGTGTTTGTATTTGCCCTCTCCAGTGAAGGTTTACGTGCCTAAAACGTCTAGAAACAAACTTAGTAGGAATCATAATTGTCGTACTGCCTTAAATACACATCTAGGGATTTTCAATGTGTTTGCTTTAACCAAAAAAGATATTTAAAACAATGTATAGAGACAATTTTTTTAACAACTTGTTATGAGAAGGTCAGAAGTAAATTGATCTACATGCAACATATAGAGCTAACAGAAATCAAATATCCTGTCAACTAGACTACATTTCTTTTTTTAATGTAGACACTTAGGAAATCAATTCTCTCTCAACTTTATATTCCTTTATTTCATATTTTGGTACTCACAGATATGAAAAAGAACTTAGTTAAAGAATGAAAGAAAACTTTCACCAACTACCTGGAGTGGAGCATGCATGTATTATAACAAAGAGCACACATGAGCAAAAGACACTAAAATATGGGTAACTAAAATGTTCTGAAAGAAAGAAATTGTAAGAAAATGCAACTTTCCTTTAAGTATAGATAATATCATTCTCAAGAGAGTAATAAACCATCCAATTGCAGAGATACATATTTCATTTAATAAGCCATCTTAACACAGCCTTGGCCTATTTAGACAGGGGCCAAAGGTAGCACTGATGATGATGATGATGATAAATTATGCTTTGGAAAATGGTCCATCAGCTTACATTGGTTTTGAGGTGTGCCCCTCTGTGGTCAATATAAATTATAAACTGATTTCAGTACTTGATTTTTGGGAATTCAATCAAAAGGATGAGGCTTAAGGCAGTTGGATGCAAGTACAAAAGAACAGAAATGTAGCTGAATATGTGTGCATAGGGTAGGTAACTGAGTGTTGGGTAGAATCTCTGTATCCAGTCTTATGGCCAAAAGTATTTACCGATTCTGCCATATTATGATATTCAAATTATATATATAGTTTATATATCAATTTGATATAAATGTGATACTTATATATTTGTATATATTTATATATCATATTTATATCAAATTATGTAATTATATATAATATCTATATATTAATTTGACATAAAATTGATATTTATGTATCAAGTTTTTTGTATCAAACTAAATATATCAAACTATATATAATATAATTATATATAATTTTGTTATATGTTATTGTATATAATTTGAATATTATAATATAGCAGAATCAGTAAACAGTTCCTGATCATTACCCTGCATAATTTAAAGTTGCATCTAATCATTTCATTTTTATACACCCGAGGAAATGATTAAAGATTTTATAATTGAGAAGAAAAATATGAACATGCCGATACCTAAAGATAATCATTACAAAACAAAGCCATTGAAAGTGGGGAAAAAATAAATAAGCCAAGTGTCTTATTCCTTTCCATTGTCATCTTCACATTGCCTTTCTGGCAATTAAGCTCCTTTTAATTTGGCTTTTGCAGATATCGAATTCTAAATATTGAAGAAACCACATTTCATTGAAAAATGCCACACTTTCATTTTGGAATAAAAGATTTAGTCCATAAGAGATGAGATTCTAATCTGAATTTTCCTTTTAATAGTATTACATTCCATTATATGGCAGCCCTACATATAAATGAGAATGATAGGTTTTTTTTTTCCAAAATTAGGATATTTAGAGATGCCTTCAAAAAGGTTCATGTACTTTTTAAATAAGGAAATGTAGGGTCTGAATCAATGGGCTATTTTAAGACTGAAAATAGTGTGTTATTCCATCTAAAGTTCCACTCCACATCTTCAAATGGGTCACCCACTATTTTCATAGCCATGGTTTCCAGATGTGAGGTAGGTGGCCAAATTCCTAATCATAAAATCTTTACTAAGCCTCATTCAAGGGAAGAAATGACAATTGCCTTTACCACTTCAGCGCCTGGAAATTTTCTACAAAAATAACTTAGAAATGCATGGGGGCCATTAGGATCCTACCCACATCGTCTATTCTGTCTTTAAAAGTTGTAAGATCAGAGGAAAAGTGGTTTCAAGGCATTTCATAAAACCTGTATTTGTGAGCTCCTAATTAAGTGCTTACATAAAATAAAACCCTAACATTTAAATTAGTATTAGTATAGGAAGGGACGATACTATTTCCACTTTACATGAGGAAACTCCAGTCTGAGAATTGACTCTAAATCCTGCTCAAGAAGCAGCAGCTGGTAAGATAAAAACAGGATTTTAACCTGTAACTATTTGGCTTCTAATACACTTTTTCACCACAGGCTCTTGAGGGCTAGGCTAAAAAAAAAAAGAAAAAAAAAAAGAACCTAAATGCCTTGTAAGATACATGGACGTAATTCCACATTCTCTCTTTACCTCCTAGTGTTGTACATCTTGGTATTAATTTTAGGTCATTTTTGTCATGCTTGTTTATATTAATTCCCTCAGGCAATTTTCCAGTGATATTGTTAAAGAAAAATATATTCTGACACTTGTCACAGATGGTAATGAAGATTTTATACAAAGGACTCTGCAATAGGGTTTTGCAGCAGAAGAGAAAAATTGAGCTCAACTCCTAATACAGCATGAATAAGAGGGATTTATATCCAAGGAACAGAGAGAGGATCAGTGGATGAAAAATTACTAAAAAGAAACATCAGGGATAAGGGTACATTCTGGTTAAATAAACAAGATTCTTGCTGAGGACAGGACGGGGTGATCAGACACCCCTGGGGGGTGGCGAAAGATGAGGAATTTGATTAGATATTGAGAGTGAGTAGATACTGAGGGTGAGGCTTCTTGCTAAACTGACTATACGAGGTTCATGCTACAACTAGGCTCTTGAGATCAAGGCCCAAGAATGAGAATTAGTCAAAGAAAAACTCAGAGGAACCTGTCTAGAATTTGGTCAAAGAGAGAGTCTTTGTCAATATTAACACTGACCTTTAAGCTAATACTAACAAAATCTGCACCTCAGTCCCATTTTGCATCGGTATTTTTTAATCTCTTGTCCAACTCTATTAATCTCATTATAAATGATCCATGAATGTCTTTAAAATAAATCTAATGTTTGCTATTCTTCCCAACGATTCTATAATACCCAGTAGTTCCACCATTGCAGTTAAACCTCGCTAATTGATTGCTTTTTTTCCTGAACACCCCAAGTTTACTAGATTTTGGGTTATAGGCGTGGTTGGTCTCTTTCCACTAGTCCCTCCTTACCAATCCCATTGCAATCCCAATGCTAGTACTTGGAGAAACATGTTATATATGGAGTAGAGCCATCTACCACAAGGTGATACAAATACACATATTTCAAGTAACTTTACAAATTAGTTTGAATATTTCCATAATACATGTATGCCAAAAAATGTGATTAAAATTGTCTTCTATGGGTTGATAGATGCAGCAAGCCACCATGGCACATGCATTCCTATGTAACAAACCTGCACATGCTGTATAGAACTTAAAGTAAAACTTTTTAAAAAGTCTTGTAATACAATATTATTTTAAAACTCTGACTGTGCAACTGATATGATGCTGAAATAATTGCACTTCATGTAAGATCTTGATCTTGGAAGTATCATCTCTAGATCTTCCAAATTCCTCAGACGGCTCTATCATATGTGACTCCTTTTCAAATAATATCTGAACCCCTAAGAACTTTTGCAGAACAGCTACTCTATTCTAACAAAGAACAATGAGGAAAAGAGTTTTCATTGCTATGTTATAACATATATTATGTTATAACATTGCATTGCTATGCTATAACATTGCATTTCTGATAACTTCACCCTTTCATATCTCATTCTGAGTATTTTACTATTTCAATTAGAATCCTTTTATGTTGCCACCATAATCATCTTCCTGATTTTTAATCAATCTTTCAATATCTATATTTGCCATCAGCCACTGATCTTGCTACCCTGCTCTTCGTTGTATCGCTGTTATATACAATTTACTGAGTGTTCTTATCTCAGATAAAGAAAATTTCCTTATGTTATGTTATATGTCCGTCTATTTGACTTAAGCTAATATTATTTTCTCAATTTGCTTTCAAGTTTTCTTTTCTTCTTCATCAATATTTACTTTCTTAGCTATTTCTTTTGACTCCACAATTAATAAATGAATGGCAACTCTAGATATTGCTTAGTCCTTTCAGTAGAGGCTAAAATGATTGTTGCCATGTTTTATAAATTATTCTATTTCTATTTGCTATTAAAATGGAAGGTTATTTCCCTCTAGGTATTACAACCAATAGCCCATTTTGATAAGACACTAATGTTGAACACACTTTCCCTCTTTTTTTGTTGTCTTCTTTTTCCTGTAGCAAAATATTAATCAGTAAACAAAGATCTAGACCTGGAGTCATAAAACCTGAGTTTAAATCTCTTGTTCTTCCACTGAAAAGATCTGTGTCTTCCTCTACACAAGTCATTTAAAATTTCTGGTCTTTAGTTACCTCAATCACAAAATGATAAGGTAGAGTTTGTAATATTTAATTTTTCTTCTAGATCTATAAAATATGGAGATATCCATTAACCATATATCTTATCTCTAGCCTATATCAAATCAGACAAAAGCAGAAACAAATCTTTTTTTTTCTCTTTGTGAATGTGTAGTACATTGGATAAGATAAAACCTCCCATGTTTATTAAATATTTAAGTGATTGAATAATTAAGGAAACGCTTCTTGTTATTCACTGAATAAAGTTCATTTAGGTAGCTAATGGTTTCAAAAACTATAAATGTTAAGAATTATATCCATAGATTTAACCAGATTTAACCAGATTTAACCAGACCTAAAGAGAATAATGGTTTAACTAGTAAAACCACTAGTAAAATTTATCAAAGCAATATAAATTTTTAGTAATTATATAAAGGTTTTTGATGATATACTTATTCAATACCTTTAGTACCTAGCACATAGTCTGTGCTCATTATATAATTGAGTGATTTAATGTCATAGTAAAAAAATATTCAGTGAATCAATAGAAACCAATGTTTAACGGTTGCATATTGGATAATGCAGCCCCATGAGTAATGGTGTAATGAGTAACTGGCAATGATGATAAGGGAATGTACGTGGCAAAATCTGTATTGTTATAATATGGATTCTGAAATGCCACAACCTTGTGCTGCCCTTTTTAAATGTGAATAATATGAAATTAGCCAGCAACTGCACATATGACAATTAATTTTAAAAGAGAGGGGCCGGGTGCAGTGGCTCACACTTGTAATCCCAGCAATTTAGGAAGCCGAGGTGGGCGGACCCCCTGAGGTTAGGAGATCGAGACTAGCCTGACCTACATGGAGAAACCCCATCTCTACCAAAAATATAAAATTAGCCAGGTTTGGTGGTGCATGCCTGTAATCCCAGCTACTCGGGAGGCTGAGGCAGAAGAATCACTTGAACCCGGGAGGCGGAGGTTGCAGTGAGTTGAGATGGTGCCATTGCCCTCCAGCCTGGGCAACAAGAGTGAAACTCTGTCTTAAAAAAAAAAAAAAAAAAGAGAGAAAAAAGAGAGAGAGAGAGAAAGAGGTGGTTCCTTAACCAAAACAGGAAAATATGGACAGTGGAAAAATCTTTACAGGACTTTATTGAATAATAAACAAATATGCCAGTGTCTCTTCTGTATTTATTTTGATAAATTTTATTGATAAATCACTATGACTCACGTCATTAATAAATATTGTAGATTTATAATTAAAGTGTACATACAGGTAGAATCCAGCAAGAAATATTTGTCTGTTCCTGTACATTCTATATGTGACCTTGACTTTGTCACACATCCAGTCTTCTCCTGTTATAGAGAGTTAGTTCCATAAAGTTATATATTATGATAGCATGTGCAAACTAAAACCATCTACAGCTACAAAGCTCAAGGGTTGCAGTAAGTTAAATTTCTAATTAAAAACCTACATTGGTGGGATTCTATTATTCCAAGAAATTTCTAATCCAGACAGATAAATTGCAAAAAGCATTTGCAAGATGAAATTGCAAATAACATTGCTTAAGAACTGTCTGAATCTCCTTTTATCCAAACACAAGACCCCTTGCACGGTCACGGCCATCATTCTTTTCTCAGAGAAATAGATGGTTGTATTTTGAATCTCACATCAAAATGTTCAACTCAACTCACTTTGAGCACTATTTGTAAATCATTCTTTTGCAAATGCTGATTAAGATACTAATTTTAAAAATCTACCTTATAACAGTCCCGAACTCTTGTAAGTATCATAACTATAACCTCTCTTCCCCATATGCTACCAAGACTCTACAGAGGTAATAATAGTTTTTGCTTTAGTAACCAATAAACTCAGGGTAAGTTTGATGGTATCTTTGGGACTTGACCTAGACTCACAGTTAACGTTCTTCAGTAAATATATGAAGAAATAAAAAAGGAAATATTTATTTTCTTTGAAAATAAGACAATTTTAAAACATAATGATATATATTAAGCAGTATTTTACAACATTTATTACAGACTGACTACCATAAATGAGCTAAAGAAGAGCCTGCATTTTTTTCTTTTTCTTTCCTTTTTTTTTTTTTTTTTTTTTTGAGACGGAGTCTCGCTCTGTCGCCCAGGCTGGAGTGCAGTGGCACAATCTCGGCTCACTGCAAGCTCCGCCTCCTGGGTTCATGCCATTCTCCTGCCTCGGCCTCCCGAGTAGCTGGGACTACAGGCGCCCGCCACCACGCCTGGCTAATTTTTTGTATTTTTAGTAGAGACGGGGTTTCACCGTGTTAGCCAGGATGGTCTTGATCTCCTGACCTCGTGATCTGCCTGTCTTGGCCTCCCAAAGTGCTAGGATTACAGGCGTGAGCCACCGCCCCCGGCCGAGCCTCTACATTTTAAGAAGACATTTATAAGGGAGAGGTAGCCTTATGTGCGTTCTATATCCATATTTCTATCCTTCCCAACTATCCTATAACACAAATACCCAGTAGTTCCACCATTGCAGTTAAACCTCGGTTATTGTTTTTTTATTTCCCTGAACACCCCAAGTTTACTAGATTTTTGGTTATAGGCATGGTTGGCCTCTTTCCACTAGTCCCTCCTTACCACTCGCATTGCAATTCCAATGCTAGCATATAACGTCTATGTAAAAATAATATTGCAGGCCGGGAGCAGTGGCTCACGCCTGTAATCCCAGCACTTTGGGACGCTGAGGCGGGCAGATCACGAGGTCAAGAGATGGAGACCATCCTGGCTAACACAGTGAAACCCCATCTCTACTGAAAATACAAAAATTAGCCGGGCGTGGTGACAGGCACCTGTAGTCCCAGCTACTCGGGAGGCTGAGGCAGGAGAATCGCTTGAATCCGGGAGGTGGAGGTTGCAGCGAGCTGAGATTGCGCCACTGCACTCCATCCTGGCAGCAGAGCCAGAGCGAGACTCCATCTCTAAATAAATAAATAAATAATAAAATTGCAAGGAACATTCCAAGTAAGTTTATCAATAAACAACGGAAAAGTCAGTTTCAGACAACCCATGTTCTTAAATTTTTTAAAATCTCTTAATTGTGCAATTAGAAAAAAATATATGCCTTTTTTATGTTAAAAAGTTTTTAGCCACATGAAATTTAACAGAGTTGAATTTCTTGCAAAAAGAATGATTTGTGAATAGGGCAGCCTCCTGTTCCAGAGTAGGCTCAGAAAGACTCCAGCTCAGCCATGCATTGGAAGAAGATTTATAGACAGAAAAAGGAAAAATGAGTATAGACAGAAAACATAAATGAGGTACAGAAACAGCCGGATTGGTTACAGCTTTTACCTCATTTGGACATGGTTTAAACAATTGGTCCTCCTTAGTTAGCCAAAATTTGGTGATTGGCACAAAAGGTTACAGTCTGTTTACACCTCCACTTAAGTATACAGGAAAATCTTTAGGATGAATTTAAAGTATGTGAGGAGGCAGCTTTAGGCTAAACTCGGTCGAATAATTATGAATACCAAATGTTTTCAAAAACTGATCTATTCCTTTGAATAGATCAGTTCTATTTTAAGAACTGATTTCCAAAGTTCGTATTTCCATTTTAATATAATGTTAATCACCATCTTAAAATCTAATGCATTTAATATATCACTTATTAAGTACTATTTTTCTCTTCTATAGATCTTATAATTTAAAAAAGTTCTGGTATTCTTATTTCATAGATTGACATGGTTTAGTTTATCAAATGTATGGAAAATGTCAGGTGAGTCACATTTTTACTTTCCACAGAAATCTGTGTAGCACCTGTGAACTTTTGCTTCAGGTTTTGGTAACAAATATGGTTATAAGGATAAATGAGAATAAATGAGAACCATTCTGTGTCCTAAAATAATTTATAGTTAAATCGAATTCTAGAGAAGTAAACAGGAAAATATAACACAGTTTTACTTTAACAATTAAAGTGGATATAAGAAGCAAGAAGAGGAACACATATTCCAGGGTTGGAGACAGAGAGCAGCTACCTTACTTAACATTTTCTAGAAAACTAGATTATGGTATGAATATATTATATCATATGAGAGTTTTTATAGTTGACAACAGCAATGTTTTCTGCCTGTCCGGTAATGAGGGAGGACCACCCATCCATAATTAACAGAATGTTATGACACCTGAAGCTAAACTATTAAACGACATCTTTAACAGTTTTTAGTTCTTTTGTGTTAGATTCCTTTTTCTTCTAAGTAGTGTGATTCACTTCCTTTTCAAATATGTGTTTGAATTTCAGATATATGTTTTACCTTATTTACTGAGCTTCTCCTTTTTAAATGAATATTTACATTTTTTAGATGTAGATTTACATTGTTGACTTCCTTTGCTTCTTCAAAAATGCAAATTTGAACAACTTTCCAAGTGTACATTATTAGGTGTGGGAATTTCCTTTAGTCTGGAATGAAAGGGCTTTTTCTCCTCCTTCCAGTCTCAGAATAATAACTGGAAATGTGGAACGATTTGGAAATGTACTTATACGAATTATGTTTATAGTTGGTGAAATAATACCCTGTTTCTAGATGTTGGTCAACCACCTCATTTCTTCCCTTAGTAGCTATTCATTAAACAACATAATACAGGTTTAGCAACATGTGTTCTCATTTCTTTAAATTTGTGCTTTTATTTATTTTTTTTAATTCTGGTTATATTGGGATAATTTTTTATCCTCACAAGTCCCATCATCCCAAGAGATGAAACTCAGAAATACTGAAAATATCAGCTTCTATAGGACTCAAGATTCAGAGATATAACGTTGGCTTTACTAGTCTGATAAATTCACAAGATAATTCAATTTGGAGGGGATGATTTGGTAAAAGAAAGCATATGTCCACCTTTCGAAGGCTCTTGTTATTTGAAAATTGAGCCCCTTCTTGTATCAGCGTCTGCACTGGCTATGGGAGTTTCTTCCGGAGCTCAGAGCAGGCAGCAAAGCTGGAGAAGTTTCCTTAGCATCCTCTTCTGTGCTTTAGCAAACTTTCTCTCCAGCGTGGCTCTCCTGTCCTCAGCACTTCCATGGACTATCAAGAGACAAATAAAAAGAAAACCAAAGAATTCCCCTTCTGTTTAATCAGTTAAGAGCTCTATCTGTTCCAAATAAAACCGATTACTATGACTTCTAAATGATTAAATCATGAAGACTCTGACATTAGAAAGCCTAATTTTTTAAACTATCTTTACACTCAGAAGCTGAGGAGCATCAGAGGAAACCCAAAAAAAGGTTTTAATTCATCCATGAGTGTATTAGTCACTGATGAATGAATGACAAATTACCCCCAAATTTAGCAATTAACACATACTTACATTACAGTTTCTATGGGTCAACAATCCAGCTATGCTGTAGCTAGGTCCTCTGCTTCACTGTCTCCCAGGAAACTGTAATCAAGATGCTGGTTTAGGATCTGTGGTCTCACTCAGGTCTTAACTGGGGAGGAAACCATTTGCAAACTTGCTCAGTGAATGTCGCAGCACTTTGTTGCTCCACACACTATTGGACTGAGGGCCTCTATTCTCTGCTGGCTGTTGGCCTGAGGCTGCTGGCACTTCTGTGCCATAATGGCCTCTCTCATAGGGAAGTTTGCTTTATCAAAGCATGCAAGTTGAGAAGGTAATTGAGAAAGTGTACTAGCAATTCAGAAAACACCATCTTTTGTAACCTAATCCAAGAAGTGACATCTCCTCAATTTTGCTGTATTCTGTTGGCTAGAGGCAAGTTACTCAGGCAGAACATATAACACAAGGCTGTGGATGTCTTGAAGTGAGAATTATTGGAGGCCATTTTAGAGTTTGCCTAACTCAATTAGACATTAATTACCCTACATATAATCTTTCTTATGCTTAGCATTAAAAAAAGTCTTAAAAATAAGTCCTCTTGTTGAAAGCTGTGGAAGGTGTTCACGAATAGCTAAAGTAATTGCACTTGTTATTACTAAGTTATTAACATAGAATAATTTAGTAGGAGATGTGAAGTTCAATTATTCGTGTGCCTTGTGCAATTCAGAAATTAACAACCTAGAAGCTATAGCATAAAAGAAAAAATTAAATATCTGGTGTAGAGGAAAAAAGATAGCTTATGAAGTAAGATTTGGAAACTTTAGAAGACATCTACAGACAACTTCTTTGTAATAACTGTTTCAACAATGATAAAAAGAACTTACTACTTAATTGCGGACTATTGTGAATTAACAATTGGTTACAAAATAATTTGCATTGCAGAAATGAGACCAAATGAAGAAATCTTAGACAATAAAAAGGAAACCATTACAGCCTAATGAAATATTTGATCACAATCAAGAAAATTTTAATTTTACTAATTATTTGGCTTATACATGATTATTTTTTAATATTATAGTAGTAATATGACATAAAAATATAGAATGTGGCTCCCCAAAGACCATCAGAATAGCCTGTTCATCACCAAAAGTGGAGTTTATTACCTGCTGTAGTATGGAAGAGCATGGGCTTGACAAAGTGATAACACTGCCTGGGAAAAGGGATGTGGTGTTGCAGGCCTGTAATCCCAGGTACTTGGGAGGCTGAGGGATGAGAGGGTCACTTGAACCCTGGAGGCTGAATTTGCACTGAGCTGAGATCATGCCACTGCCCTCCAGTCTGGGCCACAGAGCAAGACTCTGACTCAAAAAAAAAAAAAGTATGGAAAATATACTTTATCTCTGAACACTAACATTGGAAAACTAAGAAACATTACTTACTTCTTATTTTCTCTTTATTGTGGAATATTTGAAATATTCGTGCTTTTACAACAAGCATGTATTGCTCCATAATTAAAAGTAAAATTAAATTTTATCACTGAACAAAGTTCTAATAGCAAGATCCTAAAAATATCTGGTAAAAATAGCACTAAAATAAGTGCCAGTAAATCTATCTTTACTAATAAAACTAGTATTATTATATATAACTTTTAGGTAAATGACATTATAAAAGTCATTACTTTTTAAGTAAAAGTCATATCTTTTCTAGGCTCAAGTTTCTCATATGTAATTGAGGCATTATTACATCATTATAAATGTCTCTTCCAGTTGTACTATCCTCTGATTCTAAATAATAATAAACCTGAATATCCATGGAAAAAAAATAGAAGTAGGGAGAATGGTGACATAAACAGCATGAAAGTTTACATACAAAAACAAGAATCCTCATTTCTAAAAGTATGCCTTAAATTTTCTCCATGATTGTACAAGATTTATTGGATATATCTGCTGACTGCAATTTATGAAGGTTAGGGAAAAGAAACAGTCTCTTAGGTGAGAGACCCAACTTAAATTCTCAAACAGTTTTCTCAAACCAGGATCTTCCGAAAACCAGAGGCAGACTCATTAGGGGAAACGCATAAAATATGCATATCCCTGGGCTACATCCAAGATCTATTGGATTAGAAAGTGACACTGGATCTCAATAATCATCATTTATGGTAAATTGGTCAAGCGTTACTGATAAAATCTGAGAACAACCTGTAATTAGAATTAGTAAAAAAAAAAAAAATGGCAGCCAGTAATAACTACAAAAACAGAAATTACAGGTTAATTGCAGATATCATTATACCTGCTTTAATTTTTTTTTAAACAAATCTGCCATAAGTCATCTATTCTGTATCTGGATGACCACTGGTTCCAAGTTAAAGGAGTCTAAATTGATAAACTTAGAAAGAATGTTGTGGTTCTATAGCTAAAGCAAGATTTTTCAGGTTAGTATAGAGCTAGACTTTAAGATAAATACAGTAACAGAGAGATGGCAAGTAAGTTGGGAGGGAGTCTGTTCAAATAGTTCAGTGAAACCATAGGAAGCTTTACTCCTTATAATCACTCCCATAGCAACCTGACTGAAAGCTCTCAAAAACAGTGCAATTCCATCGACTTTCTGAGTATTAGTTCTGGGCGAAAATGTGGCTGCACTACCACAATCTCAGAGAATGTGTTCAAGGACAAAGTCACTATTCCAAAATTCGGGATAGTGAGCCAATAGATGGCTGATTTGTCATCTGCTCTACGAGAAATGACAAAAATACAAATGTAAAACTAAAACATGATTTTTTTTAGCAGCCCGCTTAAAGCAAACCATTTCAAAGGATTTTATTCAATAAATACATCCATTTTATGTCAATGAATATGTCCATACATTATAACCGATGCAAGTGAGTTAGAGAAAAACATTTGGGAGGAAAAATTAAGAAGAATATTTCTATATGATTCTTTCACTGGAGCGATACATTTGTAATATATTTTTGGTAAGATCACTTGTTATTTGATTAACAGATGTTTACAATGTCATTAAAGCAGTGACTGTAATTTCACCAGGGTCACACACACAAAAACTTTAAAAATGATGAAAACTTTGGAATTCTCACAAGCAAAGTGTATATATACAAGACATTTTCATGTTTTCCCAAATCTCTTGAATCTCATTCATGGAGCATTAATTGTTATTTTGGAGAATGTTTCTGTAAAAATAGTGAAAAAAGTAATAAATGTAAATTGATCTTATTAAAGATTTAGCTTTTCAAATCTGTCAGAGGAAAAGGTGCTTTATGATTTTTAACTGTCAATCACACCAAAGCATTAGGTAGGTTGTTCTACATATTAGTCATTGAATTTTATCTGTCAAAATGGAAAATACGTGGGTAGTCACTTGAAAGTTCAAGCAAATTTAAATGAATTAAAGGTTCAAATAAGTAATTACTGTCATTGAATAAAAGGTTACTTAGGACTAAATTTGACCACTCCATCTATTTTATAGTCTCCAGTCAAAGTTTAGGTGGCTGTATATCATTGCCACTGTTTTTAAAAAGCTGACATAGGCATTAGTATGATGACATTGAAACTAATTTTACAAGATATTTTGAATGTAACTAAGCATGCGACCTGTGGTCTAAAGATATCCTACTGCTCTTTAATTCTAAGGACAAATCTCTGACAGATTAAGTGCTGTAAATCTTTTACAGATGCTGTCATGAATGCCTTCAAAGGCCACTCAATTTCCCCACAGTTCTGCCAGGAAAGAAAGATCAACTATGGGTACATATACAAGGAAGGAAGCAAGATAATCATTTTTTTTCTAGGAATTGCAACGCTGATTGGAATTCCATAAAATGTTATTAAAATGCTCAAAAATGTAATTAATGACAGTTGAGAATCTCAGTACTAAGCTCTAAAGCTTTGACAGCAAAATATTAAAAATAAGAATAATAATATAAATGTAAAAAACAGAATAAGTACATTACATGATGTCTAAATAATGACATGTAATTAATAAAATAATAATAGTTTGTTGAGCATGTAGTATATGCTGAATATATTTTATTTATAAAGTTTATTTCATCTACAAAAGCTGTACAAGGTTGTGTTCCCATTTTTTTCTTAGGGCCCAAATCAAGTGCGGCAAAATTAAGAGATGAGAGTCAGGCAACTGCAAAGTATCAAGCTCCAGATTCAAAGTCAGGTCTTACTGGTCTCAAAAGTTACATCTTTTTTCAATGAATTGGAGATTTTGTAATCATCTAGATTATAATATCAATGACGTTAACTAGATAAATAACCTGGTTGGTATTTATATCAATTAACCTTTGCTACGTCACAATGTGCCCCGCAATTTCCCTCAAAAAATTAGTAGCACGTAACAAAACAACAAGATTTTCTTTGACTGTTACTTGGCTAGGTGGTTTGTTTGTTTGATCGGGGTTGGGTGGTCTTGGATGTTTTCCCTCCAGGGTCCAGCTGGAACTAAGACACTCAGGCACTTTCTCTGAGTGGTCTCTCATCTTTTAAAATATTATCCCCGACCTGTTCATACAATGACAAAAAAGCATCTCAGAGAGAAGAGTGGGGCAAGTCTCACTGGGTGAGCACTTTTCAAGGCGTGGGTTACTTCATCTCTTCTTCCATGAACCAAAACAAGTCACGTGGCAAATTCTTTCCACAATACAATGCTCTGATAGAAATGGACTCAATTCTATGACTATTAAACCAAATGCTTTAAAAAAAAATCAGTGTTAGCCTTACCAAAACAAACAAAACATTTTTTGAATGAACAGAAACTTCCACATATGTGGTAAGTTTTCATACTTAATTAAAACAGAAGCTTTGCTCCTCCCTACCACTCCCTGCCACACCTGCTCCGCTGCAGTCTTCTATGCATCCAGCTGATGGCGACGCGGCCCTTCCAATTCGTTTGGCCCAAACAAGCCTCTTTCTTGACTCTTCTTTTTCCTTTTTCACATATCTCTTTTCTTTTCCAATCCACCAGGAAATTCTGCGGCATTTACATTGCAAATATGCAGAAAATGGCCACTGCTCACCACCTCCATTACTAACATGTTGGTCCTCGACGCTGTCATCTCGTTTGTATTTCTGCAATGGCCTCCTAATTAATTTCCCTAAGTCCACTCTTACAAACCTACACTTAACCCGGTAGTTAGAGTGACTCTGTCAGATCATGTCAAAACCTAATACTGGCTCCATATTTCAGTCAGAGTATAAGCAAATTCCTCACAGTAGCCCACAGTTTCCTACATATATCTGCACACTCTACCATCCTCTTTCCCTCAGTACCTTTTCCTTGAATATCTCATTTCAGGCTTACCAACATCTCAGAGGTTTCGCAAACAGGGAAGGCACACTTCTGCTTTATGAACTTGCAAATATCCTCACAAATCAGTGTTTTTCCTCCTTTTATTTGTTGCTCAAATGACATCTTCCCAATGAGGCCTGTATTGATTCTGATCAATATCTTTATAATTATAAACCATGATACACATCCTTGACTCCCCAAACCTCTATTTCATCTAATGTTTCTATTTTTCATAATATTTATCACATATAAACACATCATATAATTTACTTATTTTGTGTTTGTTGTTCTACAAGAGAAGGAAAGAAACTTTTGTTGTGT
This sequence comes from Homo sapiens, assembly GCF_000001405.40. Taxonomy (NCBI): domain Eukaryota; kingdom Metazoa; phylum Chordata; class Mammalia; order Primates; family Hominidae; genus Homo; species Homo sapiens. Next base: position 21,688,331 of record NC_000021.9, on the reverse strand, counting down.
TTAGTGGTTTATTTCAAGTACCTAAAAGGTGCTCAAGAAATTTTGAATGAATGAACGATCATAATAATACAGAGGATTAAGATATTTTGATATTTTAGCAGAAAATAACCATATTTGACTATTTAAATTGACCAAAATAACACTGAACAGCAACAAAAATTTACATATATATATGATATACATATTCTCAAGTAAAGGTTCAGTATAGTAAACCAAGCTCTCTCATTTGTGCTCATAAACTTTAATCCTGCCTTTATAGGAAATAATTGAGCATAATCAATATCTCTGATGAGCAATCCATGAGGAATATCATACTTATTTTTTTCTGAAATCCCTGCCATCATTAATATGGAGTCAGATGAAGTGAAGTTACAACTAAGTGTAATGATAAAGCATTTAATATTCCTAGACAAAAAATGAACTTGAACTAATTTTATTGTTCATAACTTTCATTTCCTAACCATTTGTAAGTGACACTTACCAGCACATTACTTGGTAATGACCCTTTACAATTAAAAACAAACACTTTAATTAGCATATTTAAACTTTTTTTCCAAAATATTAATTGCCTAATAATTATGTGGTAGATTTTGACTCCAAGGTACAGAAGGGATTACTACATTCATATTAATTCTATGATTAGTGGTTTGTTGAATATTTTTATAATAATGATCTTGAATTATTTTTAGGGAAATAAGGAATTAAAAATTATCCCTGAACTATTTATAATAAAAATGTTTTATTGAATGCATTAAATCATTTATGTTTTAAAAACTCTACATTTATCCACTCATTCATTTATTTTATTTTTTATATTAAATGTGTAGATAACATACATTCATTTTATGTTCACTTAGCATTTGCCTGGGAAGCCTCAGAATAAAAAGGAGTTATTAAGCAAACTGCTACAATCATGTATGCATTTGGGTTAAAAAATGTGTTACAATGATGCTATCATAAAGAGAAAAATAAGTAGTTGTAGTCTTTTACCAATATGCTATGTAGAACCAAATAACACTGAAAATGGAGAATTTATCTGCATCTTCATTATCTTTCTCTTACACATCCCATTTCTTGTATCTCAACCTAGAATATGACTATTTTCTAGTTATACTCTATGTAGATTAAACATGCTAGCTAAGTTACTACTTCAGACTCTTTTCTCTGGTCTGTTTAAGGAGCCATCTCTAGCAGCATTCTTCTATTCTCTCCTACCCCTCACCAGATACAGACGGTGATCTTAAAACATAGATCCAAATTCATGTGTATATCAAAACATCATTGTGTACACCTTAAATATATGGAATAAAAATAAATTTAAAGATAACATTTTTAAAAAGAAATCTTTATATTTTCAAGTTATTCCCAGACATTGGAGTCTGTCTGTAAACAAACCATTCCCTCTTTGCCAAATCCTAATTATTGATGCAGAGAATGGACAATCATAATGTAATGGTGACTATTTCAAGCCATTAAGTTCCAGGTAGTTTGTTATACCACACTGAATAACTGGAACACCAGGTATGCACCTTAATGACTGATGAGAGTGATTGTGTGACTGAATAATTGATTGTAACCTCTGTTCTATAATCATGATGCATTTAACGAGAAATTCAAAATTTTGGACAGAGCTTTGTTAGATACTTCATCATGAAAAGAGAAACAGATACCGGTCGTCTGTCAAGGCACAAACCTACAAAATCTGTAGATTTCCTTAACCATTTCACTGATCATGGTCACCAAAGCTGATCACAAGCAGCACTTTCTAGATCAGTTTATCAGAGAAAACAATAATGCTTTGATCAATGATATAGTTCCGTTGTGCTTCCACCCACATTTCATCTTGAATTGCAGTTCCCATAATTCCCTTGTGTGGTGGGAGGGACCCAGTGGGAGATAACTGGATCATGGGACTGTTTCTCACATACTGTTCTTGTGGTAGTGAATAAGTCTCATGAGGTCTGAAGGTTTTATAAGGGGTTTCTCCTTTCACTTGGCTCTCATTCTCTCTTGCCTGTTGCCATGTAAGATGTGCCTTTTGCCTTCGATCATGATTGTGAGGCTTCCCCAGCCACATGGAACTGTGAGTCCGTTAAACTTCTATTTCTTTATAAATTACCCAGTCTTATGTATGTCTTTATCAGCAGCATGAAAATGGACTAATACAATAAACTACACCATTGCAGTCAGGGGTGTCGTTCATGTAAGACCTGAACTGATTTTATGGCTATGATACAAATAATCTCTTGTTAATTAAAGAAGAAAAAGGAGGAAGATAAGAACTGCTGCTCTTCTCAATAGAGGCAGTGAAAGCTAACAAGATTTAGTTGGTAAACTCCAAATCATAATTTTTACTTTAAAAACTATTTTCTGATAGTTGTTAAATGTAACTTAAATTCAGTATCACCAATAGTGCTTACAGGAGACACTGTAAGGTGTTGAGAGTAATTAAGTAACATTAATAATTTTTCAAATTACTCAAATTAATCTGCAAATAAAATAAAGAAATGTGATTAACATTTATGCTGTGTCAGATCATTTACAAAATAAAAATTTTTGATCAAAATTTTTATAGCTGGGTTTTAACCAGCAACGCAAATTATAGGAGTAAGTAGGTTTAGTAAATATTTTGATTTTAATTATAATTAGTTTTACCTACAGCATCAGTTTTACTAATAATGCATTTCAATAATGTTCATTTGCTTATAATTTTATTTTTATGTAGAGTATATTCAATTTCCATTATATATAATACCTCTACATGTGTGTAATTATTAATACATGTATATAATTATGCCTTATCAACACTAAAGCTCTGTTCTAAAATCAAAATGTTAAAATATAGAGTTACATTAAAAGGCATTACCTTCTGAAATTACACAAGAAAAGTTTTTTCATTTACCTCTGTGATGGTTAGTGTAAAAGAGCAACCAGAATTATGGCAATATTTCTGTAAAAATGAATAAGCTATGAGAATAAGAGCTATTTGCCAAACAAATTAAGTGAAAACCAGAGAACTTTGTTTTTTTGATTTTTTGCATTACACAGAAATATTGAAATTATTTTACTTCATTCACACATTCATTTTGTTATATATTTTCTGTTCTGAGAAACTTATGAGTTATCTTGTCAGAATGATTTTTGAGAAGTTTAATAATAATGAGAAAGTGTGAAATGACCTAAGAGAGTAGAAAGAGGAATGGAATAAAAGTATATAGAATTTCCACATAGTACTGGGGCTTCTAACTACAAATAAATGCATCTTCTTGAGGGAATAGGTTATGTATTAACTCCTTTTGTGTATCCACAATATTGGTAGAGTATCTACCACATGACTTTTACTAAGTATTTGTTGAATTAAATTGAATGAAAATGAATGCTGCATCATTTTTACTTAACCCTGACCTAATAATATATGACTTCTCATGTTTATCTACAATTATATTATAGGAAGAAAGAAAAAAAATTACATTTGTTGTCTTGATTCATTTTTACCACTACTGCTGGGACATAGATCAGAAGTCCTGGTGTTTGACAATATTGCTCTGTTTCTATTATATCTCTCTTTTTGGGGGTGGAATTTGCTGGTGTCCATTCTTACAAAGGCATTTGCAAGCTTAGAGGAAGAGAGGACTGTCTTTGCTTGTGTCATCTCTATGGTGACCAACTTAGGTGATTCTATAAAAGAAAACCAAACAGTTTACAAGGATTTCCTTTCAGAACTTATTCTTGAGGTTGTACTGCTGGACTCAATTTATCTAACCCTTCTATCACTCAACTTTCTCTTCCATATTTAAAATGGGCTTCCTCTCTCAAATATCCTTGAACTTTAATTGCCTGTTGTCAGCAGACTATTCTAGTGAGAGAAAGAAAAAAGCTGTCTTCATTTTTTCTCTTTTCCCTAATATCACCTCCAGGGTTCATTTCATGACACTCACAACCTAAGAACAGCCTGCCTAGGGGTCAGGGTATGATAATTATTCATTATAAGTACCCCTGGGGTTTTTTGAGCAGTCCTGATGACACTAGCTCATGACCATTGAATCAAATTAAATTGTAATTTTAAATATCATGCCAAACCTAATTTTATGTAGTAATTAAAATGACTTACAGCTCTCTCATTTTTCACTTTTTCTCTCTTTACTGAACACCTCATGCACTGCATTGTGCTTAGCAGAAGAGAAAGATAATATTGAGAAGTATCTTATGAGATCCTTTTCCTCAGGACATTTACAATGTTAATAGGGTGACAAGAAATGTGTGCATAAGATTTTTAAAACGTCTGCCAAATTTTTGTATAATAATGAAGTCCAGAGAATTACATTTTTGGCATAGATGAGTTTAGTTTAAATAGTGTCAGTTAAATGGTGTCAGATGATAGAAATGCAGTCAAGTGGAAAAGTCCTGCAGGCAGTAGAAAATGCAGGACTAGAGTTCGAAGAATGGTAAAAACTAGAGATTAAGATGAATTATTCTGTTGCATAGAAGTGGGTGAGTTTTTAAGGAAGCTCATCTCCATGAGAAAAATAAACAGTGGAGATGTATTTTAATAAGATGCATTCAATAAGATGACTGAAGACTGTTGAGATCTTTGAGTCAAAGCATGGATTATAACTTAGTTCTATATCTGCTATAAAATAAGTTTTGACCGCTGGTACCATCAAAAGATCAACAATAACAAAGAAAACTGTTCACCAAAGAAAGGTAAGTAAATTATTCTTACTGAAAAGAAGAGTCTTGAGTCTGCAGCATTTCAGAACGGAATGGACAGAGGAGGGTATTTACAAGATGCCTACACCTGTGATACTGCAGATTATTTCTGTTCATTCAAAGAAAGAAGATAATTAGGTTTGTGCAAAGATGGTGACATAATTAAGATTGGTGGACACAGTTAGATAATGGCCTTGATAAGTAAACTGTTGTAAAATAAGCAAGCTGTTTGGACAGGTTAGCAATCTATTGCCTGAGGGGAGACTTGCTTGCCTAAATTATCTAACTCTTTACTTGAGGAAAAATAATATGGCTTTGAAAAAATTTCTTAGGAAAATGTAAAATTGTTTACTAATTTATAGGCTTATTTTCCTAGGTAAACATTTCTGCACCAAATACATAAGTTATGCCAACACCCGCACCACTGATTGAGTGTTGGGGCCAGTAGACTAGGAACACCTTGGCCCCTATAGCATAGCAGATTTCTAACCTTGGGGGTCCAGAAAACAAAGCCAGAGCTCAGTACCAGCTCCCGATAGTTGGAACACACAACCAAGGAGTGCTGAGCCGAGCCTTGACCCACTAGAATCTTCCAGAAATGAAGACTGTAACCCACTTTATACCACCATAAAACCCCCAACAGCATCAAATAAGATAAAAGCAAAAAACTTATCCAAAGGATAGCATCTGCAAAGACTGAAGAAACTTCAGCACACGGATATGAGAAAGAACCAGCACAAGAACAACGACAGCTCAAATAGCCAGAGTGTCTTTTTTTCCTCCAAATACCCACATTATTTCCCCAGCAATGATTCTTAACCAGGCTAAAATGGCTGAAATGACAGACAGAGAATTCAAAATCTGGATAGGAATGATGATCGTCAAGATTTAATAAACAGTCAAAATCCAATCCAAGGACTATAAGAATACAACAGAATAATAAAGAAGCTGAAAGAAGTAATGGGCATTTTGAGAAGGAACTAAACTGATTTGATGGAGCTGAAAAACTCACTTCAAATTTTATAATACAATTGCAAGAATTAACAGTAGAATTAACCAAGTTGATGACAGAATATCAGAGATTAAAGACTTCTCCAAAACAACTCAGTCAGAAAAAAACAGAAAAAAAAGAAAAATGAAGAATACCTCTGAGAAATACGACACTATATAAAGAGATTAAAATCTATGACTCATTGGCATTCCTGAAGCAGAGGGAGAGAATGCAAGCAACTTGGAAAACATATTTGCCGATAAAGTTTGTAAAAATGTCCCCAACCACACTAGAAGACTAACACTCAAATTCAGGATATGCAGAGGACCCCTGTGAGATACTACACAAGATGACCATACCCAAGACACATAGTCATCAGGTTCTCCAACATTGAAATGTAAGAAAAAAATGTTAAATGCAGCTAGAGAAACAGGCAGGTCACCTACAAAAGGAACTCCATCAGGCTAACAGCAGAATTTTCAGCAGAAACCCTACAAGCCAGAAGAGTTTGTGGGTCTACTTTTAGCATTCTTAAGGAAAAGAAATTCCAACCAAGAATTTCATTTCCAGTCAAACTAAGTTTCATAAGTGAAGGAGAAATGAGATTCTTTTCAGATAAGCAAATGCTAAGCGAATTTGTTAGTACCAGACCTGTCTTACAGGAGGTCCTTAAGGGTGTACTAAATATAAAAAGGAAAGACCGTTCCGGGACAACACAAAATACAGTTTAAGTACATAGACCATTGGCATTATAAAACAACTATACAATCAAGTCTGCATAATAAATAGCTAACAATATGAAGACATGATCAAATCCACAAATATCAATATTAAACTTGAATGTAAATGGGATAGATGCCTCAATTAAAAGGCACAGAGTGGAAAGTTGGATAAAGCAAGAACCAACTGTGTGATGTCTTTAAGAGATCCATCTCACATGCAATGATACCCATGGGTTCAAAGTAAAGGGATGGAGACAGGTCTCATAAGCAAATGGAAAACCATCAAGAGCAAAAGTTGCTATTCTTATTTCAGACAAACCAGGCTTTAAACCAATAATTATCAGAAAGAACAAAGGAGAACATTTCATAATGGTAAAGGGTTCAATTCAACAAGAAGACCTAGCTATCCTAAATGTACATGCATCCAACACTGTAGAACCTAGATTCATAAAACAAATTCTTAGAGACCTGCAAAGAGACTTAGAAGACCACACAATAATAGTGGGAGACTTCAATAACTTACAAAGAGTAATAGACAGGATAGAGAGGCAGAAAGATAAAAAAAATATTCAGGACCTGAGTTTGACACCTGACCAAATGAAGCTAACTGACATCTACAGAACTCTCCACCCAAAACCAACAGAATATAGATTCTTCTCATCTGTATATGGCACATACTATAAAATTATCCACATAATTGGTCATTAAACAATTATCAGCAAACTTTTAAAAACTAAAAACATACCAGCCACACTCTCAGACCACAGTGCAATAATAATGGGTATCAATAATGAAAGCATCACTCAAAACAATACAATTATATGGAAATTAAACAGCCTTGCCTTAGTGACTTTCGGGTCAACAAAAAAATTAAGACAGCAATCAATAAATTATTTGGAACTAATGAGAACAAAAATACAACATATCGCAACCTCTGGGACACAGCTAAAGTAATGTGAAGACAGAAGTTTATAGCACTAAACAGCCACATTGAAAAATTAGAAAGACAAACTTGCAACATAATATGACACTTGGAGAACTAGAGAAACAAGAGCAAACCAACCTCAAAGCTATCAGAAGGAGAGAAAAAAAATTAGAGCTGAACTAAAATGTGAAAAACTATAGAAAAGATCAATGAACCTATGAATTTATTTTTTGAAAGATAAATAAGATTGATAGGCTGCTACCTAGACTAATGAAAAATAGAAAGATCCAAATAAACACAATCAGAAATGACAAAGGGGACATTACCACCAACCCCACAGAAATACAAAAAAAAAAAAAAAAACCAAAAACTGAGAGACTACTGATTACTATGAACACCTCTATGCACACAATCTAGAAAACCTGAAAGAAATAGATGATAACTTAATGAAACATACAACTCCCCAAGATAGAAAAGGGAAGAAATTGAATTCCTGAACAAACCAATAATGAGTTCCCAAATGGAATACATAATAAAAAAAAAAGTTACCAACCAGAAAAAGCACAAGACCAGATAAATTCACAGCCAAATTCTACCACATGTATAAAGAAGAATTGATACCATTAATATTGAAAGTATTCCAAAAACTTGACTAGGGGGGAATCCTCCTGAAGTCATTTGGTGAGGTCAGCATCATTCTTATACCAAAACCTAGCAGAGACAAACACACAAAAAAGGAAAATTTCAGGCCAATATCCTTGAAGAACATAGATACAAACATACTCAACAGAATTCTAGTAAACTGAATCCAGCAGCAAATGAAAAAGCTAATTCATCACAATCAAGTAGACTTTATTAATAAGATGTGAGGTTGATTCAACACACAAATCAATAAATATTATTCATCACATTAAAAAAAGTGAAAACAAAAACTACATGATCATCTCAATAGACTAAGGAAAGGTTTTCAGTAAAATTTATCCTTTATGTTAAAAACTGTCAACTGACTAAGTATTGAAGGAACACACCTCAAAATAATAAGAGCCATCTGTGACAAACTTACAGCCAACATCATACTATATGGGCAAAAGCTGGAATAATTCTCCTTAAGAACTGGAAAAAGAAAAGATACTGACTCTTACTACTTCTATTCATCATAGTACTAGAAGTACTAGTCAGAGAAATCAGGCAAGGGAAAGTAATAAAAGGCATGCAAATAGGAAGATAGAAAGTCACATTATCTCTTTTCACTGATTATTTGTTTCTATACTGAGAAAACCCCATAATCTCTGCCCTAAAGATCCTTGATCTCATAAACAACTTCAGTGAAGTTTCAGGATACAAAATTAATGCACAAATATCAGTAGCATTTTCAACAGCAAACAATGTACAAGCTTAAAGCCAAGTCAAGACACAATTTCATTCACAATAGCCACAAAATAATTAAATACCTAAGAATACAGCTAACAAAGGAGGTGAAAGATCTCTACAATGAGGATTACAAAATACTGTGCAAAGAAATTGGAGATGACTGAAACAAAGGGAAAAACAGTTCATATATGTTAATAGGAAGATTCATTATTGTTAAAATGGCCATACTGCCAAAAGCAATTTATAATTTAATGCTATTCATATCAAACTACCAATGACATTCTTCACATAATTCGAAAAAACTATACTAAATTTCATATGAGTCCACAAAAGAGCCCAAATAGCCAAAGCAATCCTAAGCCAAAAAACAAAAACAAAGAACAAAACAAAGCTGGAGGCATCACATCTCCCAACTTCAAACTATACTATAAGGTTATAATAACCAAAACAGCATGGTACTGGTACAAAGACAGGCAGATAGGCCAGTAGAACACAATAGAGAGCTTAGAAATAAGGCCACACACTTACAACCATTTGATCTTCCACAAAGTTGGCAAAAGTAAGCAATGAGGAAAGGACTTCCTATTTAATAAATGTTGTTGGGATAACTGGCTAGCCATATGCAGAAGATGGAAACTGGACCCCTTCCTTCCTTCCTTCCTACCTTACACAATATACAAACGTAAACTTAAGATGAATTAAAGACGTAAGTTTAAAACCTAAAATTATAAAAGCCTTGGAAGATAAACTAGATAAAACCATTCTGGACATAGGCCCTGGCAAAAACTTTATAATGAAAACACCAAAAGTAACTGTAACAAAAAGAAAAATTGACAAATGGGACCTAATTAAGCTAAAGAACTGCAAAGCAGAAAAAAAAATCAATAGAATAAATAGAAAACCTACAAATGGGAGAAAATACTTGCAAACTATGCATGTGACAAAAGTTTAATATCCAGAATCTATAAGGAACTGGAACAAATTTACAAGCAAAAACCAAACCACCACAGCAAAAAGTGGGCAGAGGACACTAACACTTTTCAAAAGAAAATGTGTGTGGCCACAAAACATCTAAAGAAACGTTCAACATCACTAATCATTAGAGAAATACAAATCAGAACCACAATGTGATACCATTCACACCAATAAGAATGGCTGTTATTGAATAAAGTTAAAAAAAGAACAGATGCTGGAACAGAGAAGAGGGAATGCTTATACACGGCTGGTTGGAATGAGTATTAGTTCAGCCACTGTGGAAAGCAGTTTGGCAAATTTATCAGAGAACTTAAAACAGAGTTACCATTTGACTCAGCCATCCCTGTATTGGGTATATACCCAAAGGAATATAAATTGTTCTACCATCAAGATGGTATTCATCCTGATGAAAACCAAAAGGTAGTTTAATATGAATAGCGTTGAATTGATGTCTACAATCACCACATATGTTCATTGCAGCACTATTTACAATAGCAAATACATGAAATCAATGTAAATACCCATCAGCAATAGACTGGATTTTAAAAATTTGGTACATGTATACCATGCAATACTATGCAGCCATAAAAAAAAAAAAAACAAAAAAAACAAAAAAAAAAAAACAAGATAATGTCCTTTACAGCAACAAGGATGTAGCTGGAGGTCATTATCCTAAGTGAATTAACATAGAAACAGAAAACCAAACACTGCATGTTCTCTCTGGTAAGTGAGAGCTAAACATTGAGTACATATGGACACAAAGAAGCAAACAACAGACACTGGGGTCTACTAGAGAGTGAAGGTTGGGAGGAGGGTGAGTATCCAAAAACTACCTATCGGGTGCTATGCATATTACCTGGGTGACAAAATAATCCGTACACCAAGCTCCTGCAACACACAGTTTACCAATATAACAAACCTGCACATGTACCCCCAAACACAAAACAAAAATTAAAAATAAAAGTACTTAGGGCAATGCTTGACTTATGAAAATCAATTTGATAAATTTTGTAATATTATTGTTATAATATTATTGTTATAGTAATATTATTGTTATAAATCAAAAATTTGGTGTTTATATTGCTTGTTATTCTTTCAACTTCCTGGATTTGATAGGATTTTATCTGTAAATAATTTTGGAAAGTTTTCATACATTACAACTTGGAATATGTCTTCCTGTCTCTTTCTTCTGGTTCTGATAATCCAATTCTGTTTATGAAACACCTTTTGAAATCATCCCATGTTCGTGGATGTTGAGTTCTCTCTTACATTATTATTCTTTCTGTCTTTAAATTTTACTTTACAAAATTGTATTGTAATTTCAAGCCCACTGAATCATTCCTCAATTTTGTCAAATCTATTGTTGAGCAATAGAAGGGATTCTTCATTTTCGTCGGGATGTTTTTTATTTCTAGCATTTTCTTTTTATTCTTTCTTACAGTTTCCATCTCTCTGTTTTCATTACCCATATGATCTTGAACTTGTTTCTTTTACTTTTCACTAAAGCCTTCAGCACATTGATTATTGTTATTTTAAATCCCTCATCTGATAATTATATCTGTATCATATCATAGTCTTGTTCTGTTAATTGTATTATTTCCCCCAAGGATATTTTTTCTTGCCTTTGGCATTCCATCTAATTTGTGTTGAATGCTTGACATTTTTTACCTGTAATATTAACTGAGGTAAATAGGCTTTTTATATTAGTATTGATGTAAATCTTGCTAGAGATGGGCTAGTTTAAGTTTTGTTGTAGCTATAGGTGCCAGTGGTTTACAGTTTTCTAATGTTTTTATTTTAGTCTCTTATTGATTTTTGGCTTCCCTAAGTACTCCTCAGTGACAATACATGTCTTGCAGCTCTTTAAGCTTCAATCCTTAGTTATTACACTGCATTGCTTTGGTGACAAATTGTCGGGGAGGAATGAGGCCATCTTAATTCTAAATCTTCAGTAGTTGAATGGGCATGTATCTTGAGAATACATTTTTTTAAATCTCCCTTCTCCCTAGTCCCCTCATTTGTTCAGTATTCCCGATCTATTTCCTTGAAGCTCTGACTCCTTTTCACTATTGTTTTTTGACACTGGCCCAATATTCCTACATGCCTGACACCCAAAAAACTGAAGCTTGAGAAACTTACTTATGTACAATGAGATACATCTGGCCCAGGGGGCAGTGGCTCATGCCTGTAATCCAAGCACTTTGGGAGGCCAAGGTGGGCAGATCACATGAGGTCAAGAGCTTCAGATTAGCCTAGCCAACATGGTCAAAACCCATCTCTACCAAAAATACAAAAATTAGCCAGGCATGGTGGCGGGGACCTGTAATCCCAGATACTCTGGAGGCTGAGGCAGGAGAATCGCTTGAACTCAGGAGGCGGAGATTGCAGTGAGCCGGGATCATGCCACTGCACTCCAGCCTGGGCGACAGAGTGAGACTCTGTCTCGAAAAAGAAAAAAGAGATCTATCTGCTGCCTGCTGCCCTCTTCCTTACCCCTCATTAATTCCTGTTTTTTCATATGTGGCTACAATAAGATGCTAAACCCCTCATTGGACCACCTGCTGTCTTTGACCAACTCCTCTTCCTTGCCTCTCTAGTTTTCCTCCCCCACTCTGTAAATCCCAAACATTAGTAGTTAAAGAAAGGATAATTTGGGTCTTGCCTCCCATCTCTCGAGCTGACGTTACCCATAATAAAGCCATCTTTCCTGGCAATACTCATAATCTCAGTGGTTGGCTTTCTGTGCAGTCAGCCCTAGCGTTTGTTTACATTTTCACCCACAGGTGATGTAGGAAGCCTAGCGGGGACTAGATTGGGAAGAATGCCTTTCCCTCTGCTTGAAAAAGACACTGGAGAAGTCTTTTTCCATAGAGAATAGACGTTTGTTAGAGAGAAGCCTCTAGGCATGTTTCACAATTAATTTCCCTCACCAGCAGGAGTCAACAATGGCATCTTTCTTAGACCTTCTCAGTGATAAATTGTTGATGTTACTAGAGATGATGCCCACCAAGGGTTGAAACTGTGGCCTCTGGGAATTTCTCACAGTGGACCACACTCAGTTTCCATCAATTGATAAAAATTAGTGTTGAAATACTTCTATCAGTTTATGGCTCAGTGATTTGCTTCAGTAAGCTGATCTCGACTATGACTCCATGGATGCACCTGTGTCTCCAGATTTTGGCACAGCATTCTGCTCTACAACCTCATTTATCTGAAGGATTTAAAATTTTGTGTCTTAAAATTCATCTACTTGTTCTTTTTGTAAAGATGCTCATGTTTATCGTAGACTTAAAAATTACCCCTCAAAGATGTTCATGTCGTAACTCCTGGAAACTCTGAATGTTATATGGCAGAGGCTCTTTTAATATCTGATTAAGTTAAGAATCTTGAGATGCAGAGATTATATTGGGTTATTCATGTGAGTATGATGTAATCACAAAGGATCTTAGAAGAGGGAGGCAGGAGTTCAGAGTCTGTAGTAGGTGTGATGATGGATGTGATAGGTTAAAGTGATGTGAAGAAGTGTCCACAAGCCAAATAATATAGGCAGCCACTAGGAGGTAAAAGGGCAAGAAAATAGATTCTTCCCTTCAAAGCTTGAAGAAGGAATTTACCCCGTTGACACTTGTTTTTAGCTTCGTGAGGCTGATTTTTGAACCTCTGACTCCAGAGATGTAAGACAAATTTACACTGTTTTAAGGCGCTGTGTTTGTTGTAATTTCTTATACCAGCAATAGGAAACTAATTTAACTTCTAAGTTCTTTATATGTCACAGTAAAATTGAAAGTCCTAGAGAGAGTATTTATTTCTTCCCATATTGAGAACATCTGGTGCTTGTAGAGATATGGAAGTAGGTGTGATCAGGTAGCACAATAGCAAGAATGCATGCCTGAAAAATGCTTTTCAAATCTGGCTGCCAAGTTAGAATTACTCAGAGAACCCATAGTAGAACAAACTGGAGTAGGCAGAATTCTAAGGATGTTTTCCAAAATTCCCATCTTTTGGTTATTCAAGCAAACACTCGTCTAGGTACTGCTGTAAAAAAGACTTTAGGTGAAAATAAGTTACCAATCAGCTCACCTTAAAATAAGGTGATGGTCTTAGGTTATCCAGGTGGGCACAAGGTAATTACATGGGCCTGAAACAAGCAGGAGAGGATGGAAAAGAATCAGAGTGATGTGGATGAAAGAGTAGGAGAGATGAAGCAGTGGGGTCCGGGGGAGGGCAGACCATGGAGATTGGATGCAGGAAAAGGGTTCAACTTGGCATCATGAGCTTTGAAGAGGGATAAGCAGTCACCACCTAGGGAATGTGGGTGGACTCTAGGATTTGGGAACAGTCTGTAGCTTACAGCTAGCCAAGGACACAAGGATCTCACTCCTATTACCCTCTTCAAGCAATTGAATTCCACCAGCAACCTGACTGAGTAAGGAAATGGATTCATCCCCAAAGCCTCTAGGATACTACTTGCTGACACCTGGCTTTCAGTCCTGTGAGACTAACCAGAGAAACCAGCCAAGCCACATTACACCTAGATGTCTGAACTACAGAACAATGAGATAATACATTTGTGTTTAAACCACTACGTTTTGGAAATCTGTTATGACAGCAATAGAAAACTAATATACAAACAATACAATACCTGACTTCATCTCAGACCAGTTCAAATATAATCTATTTGTAGGAGCTTGGGTGTGTTTTAAATTTATTTTTTTCTTGTACAAAAAACATCCTCAGATAATTTGGGTAAATGGTAAGAACCACTGCTAGGTTGACCAGCTTGTCGTGTTTTGGCCATGGATTTTTCTTACTTTTACCATTCTTGAGAAAGCCCTTAGTCCTATGTTAATGGAGACATTTGGTCACCTTATATCCACTGCCCTAAGTGAAACAAAAGCTGTATTGAATGTATAAGAGGCTTTTGACATTTTATCTTGGAAATACCTTTTAAAATCCTTCTAATTCCTCTTCAAATCATTTCTTTCATAACTAATCATGCAATTCTTCCCCTGCCTTCACAATGATTATTTGTCTATTGAACTTCTGTTTCTTCAAGCATTTTTGTGTAATTATGTAGATGTCTGGAACCTAACTAAAACTTTTACTGAATATCTTTGTTTCCTTGTAGGAAGTCCAGCCTTGTCATTTCACTTGCACACTTTTTTTTTCTTTTTCTTTTTCTTTTTTTTATTTTTTTTGAGATGGAGTTTCCCTCTTGTCACCCACGCTGGAGTGCAATGGCAAGAGCTCAGCTCATTGCAACCTCTGCCTCCTGGGTTCAAGTGATTCTGTGGCCTCAGCCTCCTGAGTAGCTGGGACTATAGGCATGTGCCACCATGCCTGGCTCATTTTTATATTATTAGTAAAGATGGGGTTTCACCATGTTGACCAGGCTAGTCTCGAACTCCTGACCTCAGATGATCCACCCACCTTGGCTTCCCAGAGTGTTCGGATTACAGGCGTGAGCCACCGTACCCAGCCTCATTTGCACACTTCTTATCAGCTATTATGAGTTGAGACTTTATTGAAACTTACCATTTATAAGTATATCAAACTTTGTATTTCCACATATAACAGCATTTCAATCAAGCAAAGATGCAATACCTCTCCAATTTACACTGAATAGCGATTCAGACATTTATGAATTGTTTTTACTATCTCTAAAAGAAAATCAGCATTCAATATTATGAAATATGAAATATTTAAACGTGTAATTTAAACATATTTGTCTTTTTCATTTGTTGGTGACTAAACACTTGTGGTTTATCTTAAACATGAGTTTTTATTCATTTGTATTTGACTAGTCATCAAAGAATCATCTTTTGTAATGAAAAACATATATCATAAAAGCAACTATTTCTGTTAATAGCTATATATACTATAAGTGCTCCCTTCAGTGATCACTTCACTCTTTACATTTTCTATTAAAACGTTTGTGCTAACCTGTATTCAAAGGAGCATATGTCAATTACTTGATACTTCTAAATGCATCTTTAGCACAAAAATGACAAGGACATTCATGTGGGACAGTTTACGTGTTTATACACTAGAATAAAATTTAGGAAAAAATTACAAATCAGGACAATTCATATGTCCAATTGATGAATTTGAGCTATATAATCTAAACAAATTAAAACGTAAAAGTAAACTCTGTAAGCAAGTACCAATTAAGATTTTTCCATTCATAAGTGGCAATCACATAGTAAAGATGAGAAGAAAGTCAAGTCATTTTGTTTTTGCTAAAGCCATCAAATACAACTTTGATTAGAGGAATTATAGGCACTAAAATTAATACAAGAAACTCTCATTTTTATTTGAGGATACCTTAACCTGTCCTCTGTCATATTCTTCAGGTGGATCTCAATAGTCATTAGGTTTTATTTTATACAAAAAGTCCTTAAGGCAGAATACCTACTTCAAAAATTGTTATACTTCATGTTAAATATTAACTTTTTCAAATGTATGTTCTATTTGTGTATTTTATGCTTACTCTTTGAAAAAGTGAAATGAGGTTAGAAATTATATTTGCCTTTATGTCATATCCTTTCTATATAAATAAACATGATGATTTTGGCTCAATTGATTTTTAGCTCAAGGAAATATAAATATAGAATGGATATGAATATCCTGTATTATTTTAACCAAAATCTCTCTCTAGTCTCAGTTTAGATTGATTGAATCTTATCTTTTTTTAAACTACTTCCAAAAATACCTTAAAATTTCTTTTTTCGAAGGACATTTAGTTATGACACACTCAGATCAAGTATTTGCTGAATAATTTAATAATTTTTTCACCTTAGGGAGGATTATGTCAATATTATTATATTTGATTAAGATAGTTCACAAGTTTGACCACTGTCTAAACATAGGACTTTGTATCAAATTGGATTTCCCATGCATGTCTCCACAATGACGTGTTCAAATGACCTGAACATATTTAATTTGCTCATTGTGATAGGCTTGGCCAAACCACAAGACTGAATCTCATATGAATAAATTAGTCTTTGTTAGTCCCACCCCAATTTGGTTATCTTAAAAGCAAGGCTAATAAGATGTTAAAACAAAGACTTATAAGGTAACCTGTTGTGCTGGGCATATACAAGGTGACCCCTATGTGTCCTGACCCTTGAAAAGTTTTTTTCCCCATAAGTTTGAGTGAAATCTCTGACTTGTTTTTACCAAAAGAATATGGCAAAGGTGATGGGGTAGCCACTCCTGTGATTCTTACGTAAGACCCCATATTAACAGAGTAGAGCCAGAAAGACTTTTGCTAGTCTTGAAGAAATAATCTGTCATGTTCTCAGAGGTCTGTAAGAGAACCTGAGAAAGAGCCACATGGAAAAAATTTCTGAGTGGCCTCTGGGAAATAAAAGCATCTCCCAGCTGACAGTCAGCAGAAAAGTGAGACCATACTCCTACAGTAGCTAGAAGAGAATTCGACCAATAATCATATGAGCTTGGAAGGGGACCTCAAGCTTCAGACAGAAATGCAACCTTGCTAATAATACATTAAATGCTGCCTTGTGAGACCCTGAGCAGAAGACCAAGCCATATTATTCCTGCAATTCTGACACACAAACTGTGAGATAATTAAGATGTTTTGTTCTAAACCTCTAAGTGTGTGGTAATGCATTGCACAGTAGTAAATACTTATACCCACGCATGCTTTGGCTTATTAAAGTACTTATACATTTTCTAGTAATATCTTACAACATCACGATAATTTGTTTTATGCAGTACACAGTTTGTTTCAAATGGATTTTTAAAATGTTTCCTCAGTTTTGCCATGATATTAAAATATACTCTTCAACTTTTCAATCTTAAGATTAACAATATAGTTATTCTTACTATAATCCCTTACTATAATTGGGACTATAAAAATAAATATAGTCCCAATTTATAAGGAAAATAATTCACTGATAATAAACAAAAACTACGGTAATCAAAACATCATATATCTACATTTTATTAGAAAATGTTTTGATACGCAATATGTCAATTGTTGTGCATGCAGCTCATAATCAAGCTTTAGCTATATCTAGATCTTCAACAGAAAAATTAAAGAAGAGTGTTACCTTTTGTTAAATCTGCACAACTCCTGTTTACACCTAGAGAACGGCACAGAATGAAATAGAGATAGAAGAGATTCAGCAATGTCAAATGGGGAAATAGTAACAGCTGGGGTTAGTAGTAAAGATAGCACCCCTGGCAGGGACATTGGAGCCAACCACAACCTGAGGCCATTTTGGTTGCTCTTGAACATGTCTAAGTGAGCCACTCTCTTCAGCTATTATGGAAGGGAGGACACTGGTAATGGGGTACCCTTCTTTTACACAGAGAACGAAACCTACTTCCATTGAAGAAGCAGACAGCCTGGCTATCCAGATGTTTGGGTGGGCCAAATTAAAATGTCAATTAAGAAAATCAGTATGAAAACATATATCTATTACCTAAGTTTCACATTGGTTTCTGTTGAAAAAACTTCTTTTCATACAGCACTCATACCTTCTTACATCTTCTCAAATTATTTGCTTTTCACTATAAAATCATTCAGTTTTATGTATCCACAAAGCTTTGGTGTGGAATTGGAACTTATGTTTAAAAGGGAAGCAGAGCATAAAAGTCCAGAAAATTTGCAGCCTGAAGATGCAATACAAAAGAAAAACCCTTTTTCTGAGGAGAAATTCAAGGTGGCTGCAGACCTTTGCATAAGTAATGAGGAGCCAAACGTTAATCTCAAAAGCAGTGGGAAAACTGTTTCCAGGGCAGGTCAGAGACTTTCGTGGCAGACCTTCCCATCACAGGCTCAAAGGCCTAGGAAGAAAAAATAATTTCCTGGGCCTGGCCCAGGGCCCCACTGTTCCGTGCAGCCTAGGTACTTGGTGCCCCGTGCCCCAGCTGCTCCAGCCATGGCTAAAAGGGCCAAGGTAGAGCTCGGGCCATGGCTTCAAAGGGTGGAAGCCCCAAGCCTTGGCAGTTTCCACATAGTGTTGAGTCTGTGGGTGCACAGAAATCAAGAATTGATGTTTGGGAACCTCCACCTAGATTTGAGAGGATGTATGGAAATGTCTGGATGTCCAGGCAGAAGTCTGCTGCAGAGGCAGGGTCTTCATTGAGAACCTCTGCTAAGGCAGTGCAAAAGGAAAATGTGGGGTTGGAGCCCTCCCACAGAGTCCCTACTGGGCACTACCTAATGGAGCTGTGAGAAGAGGGCCACCATCCGCCAGACCTCAGAATGATAGCTCCACCGACAGCTTGCACTACGTACCTAGAAAAGCTGCAGACACTCAATGCCAGCTTGTGAAACTATCCAGAAGGAGGGGTGTATGCTGAAAAACCACAGGGGTAGAGCTGCCCAAGACCATGGGAACCCACGTCTTGCATCAGTGTGACCTGTATGTGAGACATGGAGTGAAAGGAGATGATTTCATAGCTTTAATATTTGACAGGCCTGTTGGATTTTGGACTTGCATGGGGCCTGAAGCACCTTCATTTTGGACAACGTCTCCCATTTGGAACAGGTGTATTTACCCAATGCTTGTACCCACATTGTATCTAGGAAGTAATTAACTTGCTTTTGATATTACAGGCTCACAGGCAGAAGAACTTGCCTTTTCTCAGATGACACTTTGGACTATGGACTTTTAAGTTAATGCTGAAATGAGTTAAGACTTTTGGGGACTGTTGGGAAGGCATGAGTAGTTTTGAAATTTGAGGACATGAGATTTGGGAGGGGGAGGGTTGGAACGATATGGTTTGGCTGTGTCCCAACCAAATCTCACCTTGAATTGTAGGTCCCATAATTCCCACATGTTGTGGGAGGGACTCAGCGGAAGTTAATTGAATCATAGGGGTGGGTTTTTCTCCTGCTGTTTAAAAAGTCTCATGAGAGCTGATGGTTTTATAAATGGGAGTTCCCCTGCACAAGCTCTCTTGGCTGCCACCATTTAAAATATGACTTTGGTACTCATTCACCTTCTGCCATGATTGTGAGGCCTCCCCAGCCATGTGGAAGTATGAGTCAATTAAACCTCTGTCCTTTATAAACTACCCAGTCTCAGGTATGTCTGAATAGCACCATGAGAACAGACTAATATAGTCACCAAAATTTGGTGACCATCTTTTTTCAGTAAATACATCTAGATTTTTTTTTTTTAGCTCTCTGTTTGCAAGCAACAGAAACCAAAGTAGGGTCCTTTAAACAAGTATACAATCTTATGTAGATAGACAGGCTGATAGAACTTACAGAGAAGCTAAAAATGCTATTTTCATTTTCATATTTAAAATAGAAACTGGGGTAGCTCCAAGAATATAACTAACAGAAACCAAGAAACAGTTGATTCCAGGTTTCTCTGTTGGGATTCATCAGCTCTCACTGTTAAAAGTGATTATGCGCTCCATTCAAGATCCAAGAGAAGGGTGGGCACCTTGACACTTCCTATCAGGACTCAGGATTCTTCAGGATTCTGTCTAATATGTGTGTTATGTCGGGGGCAGTGATAGTAGATAACAAAGGCTAATTAGTATGAGTAGAGAAATAGTAGAATTGATGGGGTTCCAGCAGCCACAACAGATGCTCACTATATCTCTAATGCAATTTTAATGACTTATAAGTATTTCACTTAATAGATTACTTAATCAATGACTTTCTACTAAATGTTAACTGCTTAGCAATTTTTTTCATTTCATACATTGTAATTATCATTCTGGTAGCCAAGGCTTTCTAAGATCTCTCAAACTGGCTGATTCAGTGCAATGTAAGCATTTTTCAGCTAATTTCTCGTCATAAAGTTTGTACCAATTTAAACTTTAACCACAAGTTGAAGGGACAATCTATTTTCGAAACAAACAGGAGGAATTTATTTTGTTGTTTTATTTCATCGTTATTTTATTTGCCTTCCTTGGATCTCTGATTAGATCAAACATTTGAACATACTATTCCTGATGAGTATTTCTTTTATGTTTTCTGGCATAACAATGGTTCAATTTTTTTAATTTCAAATTTTATTTCAGATACTTGAGGTGCATGTGCAAGTTTGTTACATAGGTGCATTGCATGATGCTGAGGTTTGGGTACAGATCCCATCACTTAAGTAGTAAGCATAAAACCCAGTAGATGGTTTTTCAACCACTGCCCCCTTTCTCCCTTACCATCCCCACTGTAGTAGTCCACAGTGTTAATTGTTCCCATGTCCACATGCGCTCAGTGTTAAGCTCCCACTTATATGTGAAGAAATGCAAAATTTGATTTTCTCTTCTTGCATTAATTCGCTTAGAATAATGGCTTCCAACTGCCTTCATGTTGCTGCACGAGACATAATTTTGGTCTATTTTATGGCTGCATGGAATTCCATGGCATATATGCACTACATTTTCTTTTTGCAATCCACCATTGATGGGTACACAGGTTGATTTCATGTCTTTGCCAGTGTGAATAGTGTAATAAACATATTAGAAAGTCTGTCTTTTATTATAAGAGATCTTTACATATTTTCTTTTCAAATCTTTATATTTCATATATATTACAAGTATTTAAGAAATATGGTTGCTTATTGTTCACCACTTTTTATAATATATTCCATTACACAGAGGTTTTACATGTATATATACCCAAAGTATTTAGCTTTGCTTTTATAACATCTGCCTTTTTCTTGTTCTTGTTGCTTTCTAAGTTTCCTGGTGTGAAAGAAACCATAGAGTTTGTAATTGTTTTGTTTTTAATGATTAAATCAGTTCTTTCTGCATGATGACGTAGTGATTAATTCATCCTTACACAACATAATTGAAATGTTATCTTCATCATTTTTAAAAATGTGTATACTTGGTGTTGGTAATGAAAATTAAATGATAGGTGAGCACATGTAGAATCCAAAATTTCATCTTGCCATTCCCTCTTCTGCCTGAATTGTTTGAAAAAAGAGTTTCTCCCTGGAAATTATTTCTGTCTTGTATTCCACCAGAGCCCTGATTAAAATACCTTCCTGTCACCACCTTCCAATGTAGGGGAAAATTAGTTCTTTATAGACTCCCTTACTGGGTGCCTGAAAAACGAAGACATTGTGATGTATCTATCCAATAGGAAATTCAAATGTAAGTGTCCCAAACAAAATTATTAATTCACCAACAACCCTTTCTCAAGGTTTCTCCATTCCAAAAATATTGATCAGGAAATTATTTCCATAATTCTGTTACCAGTTCTCTGATCAATAAACTAAGCCAGAAATGCTATTTCAAATCTCTTGAGTTGATTTGTTTTCATATCCTAATATTTTTTCTGGCCTTCCTATTCAAATGAGTTTCAAGATTAGATTACATGCAATAATAATAATAGTATTTACTTCAAATTCAGTCTTATGTCACACTATAAATCTTCATGTAACTTTGTTTTAGTAAAAAATCTACTTCTCTTATTTAGAAATATACATAAAATCTTATAGATTAAACATTAGGTGACCACAATTTTTACTCTCTTTCTCCTGATTTTTGTTACTATACATGCAAAAGCAAGGTAGAGCACAAATTTAAAATGACCATTTTAGATAGCATGTTATAATGTTTTAGTATAATAAAAATGCCCATATTTTGGTTCTTTATCCCCATAAACCCTTATGTGAATATAGATATGCTACAAGTAAGTTACGAAAAAATTGTATATCTGCTACTTGCAGGGAAAATTCTGTCAATGTATTATCAGCAAGGCCAATGGTATTCAGGAACTGACGTATAAAGATTTAAAAGTACTTGAAGAAAAACAGCTACACATATGAACATATGCACTCTTTTGGCTACTGCTTCCTATAAAATTTTCAATATAATACATTTTGTTAATGAAATAAAATAAAATTTTGACATTTAATTGTTAATCAGTTCTCATATAGAGTTCAGGCCCAACTTAGAGTCCGAGGTATCACAAAATGAACAATCCTATTTTTTCATTTTGTTATATTATAATGTGAAAATAATAGACAATGTTTGTAAAAATATATCTTTAAAAGATAATTTAAAAGTAATGAAGCAGAATTATTTATGAAATGTATTGTCATAAATTTCCACAAATATATGAGGTTGACTACAGAAGTTAAAACAAAATATGTATTTATTTATACAAGACTTTGTATGAATACAAAGGTATAATGTTTATTTCACAAATCCACATTAATGCCACATATACTTTTAAAAGAAAATGTTGTCTAATTTATTTCCTCTGGATCAATCTAATATCTATATTGTCCTAAAGCTTGGAAATTTCATTATGTGGGTCAAATTTTTACTGAAGTTAATAATGGTCAGCTTTGACTTTTGTGATTTCATATAATTATAACAACAGTGGTATATTTTTTTGTCATGCTACACTCCAGAGTCTTGATACCAAGAAGGGACTCTTTAAAAAAAAATTAAGCCTGATTGTTCTTTTGTGCTTTTACTGTCACCAACACAACAGCAGTTGATTCAGAATGTGAACTATAAGGCGGCAAGTGAATCAGTTTGGGAACCAGAAGTTCTTGATTTATGTCCCAGCACTTTCTGCTGAAGATATGACCCATGGTGAAAGGAGTACAGCACAGTTTATTAAGCGTGGGCGGCTTTGTAAGCAGTGGAAATACATTCAAATGTAAGTCATATCTCTTTTTAGCTGTATCAACGTGGCAGGTTACTTAATCTTCTTGAAACTCGTTATTTTATAAATAGAGTGACTGTAAAAGAGTGACTGATGTTTTATGCCCAACATTGCTTAATATCTTAACCAGGAAAACATTCTAAATAGTTTGACAAAAAATCCCTCAAAATATGTTAGATATTTCTCACCTTCCTGTCTCTGTGCCTCAGTTGCTCTTCTATACATAATCCTTCCCTATGATTATATCCATGTACCCAATTGCCCCACTGGTTTTCTCCTGCCTAAAGCCCAATATTGTCCACTCTACTGAAAGTAGTACCTCTTGGATTATCTTTTTCTAAAAAGTAGACATACATGTTTCCATCCTTTTCCTTTACAATCTTCCCCTAATTATAGCTCTCATACACAGCTGGTTGTGCTCTCATTTTCCCCCCTCAAGTTTGGTAAGATTTGTGTTCTGTTTTAAAACCACGGTTATGTTTTCTAGAATGCGTTAATGAAATCAGTCTAAAAACATTCATACCAACAGAAAATACTCACATGCCTATGGCTATGAATATTTCTCAAAGTTGAGCAGAGGATTTTACTTGTTACACTTTAAATTCAATGTTATGTCTCTGCCACTCATGGGGAATGTTGCTGTCAACAAGTTTAAGTTGCATCTCTGCTTTTTATACCTCACAAATACCTTCAATCTGTCCTCAAGATTTTCAGGGTGCTTAGCTATATACCATTTCCATCCATGCCTTACTTTTACCGAGACACTTTTATCTTAAGCACTGAGTTGAAATTGACACACCAAGAGACTTCTATCCTCTACTTTCATGTTTTCTTTCTTCAGTATTAATTGTTTCATTCTCTTCATAAAATGTTAATTTTCACCTATGGATTTTTTTTCTATTATCACACTGGACTGATTCCTTGGAAGAATATGGAAATTTAGATATATAGTTATTTTTCCAGGAATCTTTAGACTATTTACCCTTTTTTAGCCTCTGGTGTTACTGATGGTATATCTGATACCAATTTGATTATCACCACTATTTATAGGTCTTTGGTTTACTTTCTGAATACCATCACCTCTTTTTTCAGTCTTAAGTAGTTGAAAATTTCACAATGTTATCATGACTAGGTCTTTCTGTTGTTGTTCCCGTAATTGTTTTAAATAATTAACAGGCTATTTCAATTCAAGGCATAAGTTCTTATTAAGCAATGGAAAAAAATCTCTATTTATTCTTCCCTCATCTATTTTTCCCTCCTCTATTTTCTAATTATCTGTTTTAGTAACTCTTTTATGTCTGGCATGGAGTCTCCGTATTTTATCCGTATGTTTTTTCCTCTTTTATTGCCTATTTCCCATCTCTTTGTTGTTTTGTTTTGTTTTTGTTTCTGAAACTAGATTTTCTTGGCTATCTCTCCCAACTTTCTTTTATTGTTGGCTTTAGTGAAGTCAAAGTGGCCTTTATTGCTACGGTTCGTTGCTTCATGTTAAACAGTTCCTATTTTGGTTCATGGATGCATTATCATCAAGCTTTTTCAGGATGTAATTAAGCTTTTTTTGTTTGTTTGTTTCTCTATTTTTTCTAATAACACTAAGGTAAATTATCCCCTCTTTGTTCTTTCTAGTTTTTTTTTAAATCACCTCTTAAAATATGCTTATGTTTTTTTGCCAACTTATTTTTAAAAATTAAATCAGAGATGTGTTTGTCAGTGCTGTTTTGGTGGCAGATTCGATGAATGGATAGATACCTAGCTATTTTACTGATGGAGCTTCTTATCTTCTGGAAGGTTGAGGTGAGAAATAAAGGAGATCAATTCCCCATTTAAAATTTTCCCATTGATTCCTATGGTTTGGGACTCACTTCTCACTATTGCCATACCTGGTACCTGCTTTCACTTCAACAATAATTTCCCTGGGATTTCACCAGTAGAATTATTGCCCTGTCCCAAACAGAATTTCCCATTCCCCAAATATTCAGACTATGGCTTCATTTTTTCTGGCAGTCAGTTGACATTCTTCTGCCCTCTCTTAATTCCATTGATTTGTTTAAAAATATCCCATGTGTTTACAATCTGTATTCCATATGGTGATTTTATAGCTATATTTTACTTATTCCTTTGCTATAATATCATTCTCAACTTCAGAAGAAACTATAAATCAATGTTTTCAGTGTAATACCCTGACTTAACCCTTTTAAGATTTAGAAGGAAGTGAAACACTGGACGGTGATTTTATTTGGACCCAAGAATTCCATAATTTGATACTCTGGAGTGATTCTCACTGAAAACTGGGAGCTGATCCCAAACACCTGGAAAGGTTCCCCAACATGTACAGCTTCTCCCGTCCTCCCATGCCACTTGAGAGAAAGCACACCACAGTCTCCAGAGAGAAGACCCTGAGCAAGTATTAAATCAAAGTAAAATAAGACAGGACTTGCCCAGAGCCTCAAATGACTTCTCAAACTTGGAAATCACTGATTGCAAATGCTTCTTTCATCTTGTCTGCACAGACAAATCCTATCTAAATATATTTTGTCATAGCCTCTTCTACAATCTCCATTATTTAGCTTGTTGACCTTTTTAAAGAGTTGTAATGTTCAAGCAAAATGAAAGGAGCTATGCTGAAAGGTGGCTGGTTAATAGTTCTGCTGCCTCTTTTACAGTGTGGCCTAATCAGAGTCCTGTTGAAGAGTAAGCCTACTTGCTCCTTTTTGTTAACAGCCTTCATGATTAATCTGTCTTACATCATGCTTCTCTTGCTTACATTTTAAAGTCGATAGCTTTTATTACTTGGGATCATCTTACTATGTGAGGATACTTACCATTTTCAGGATAAGCTTTAATTATTGATATAAGAGAATCATTTAAAATTGATTGTCGTCTTCTATTTCTAGCTGGTTTTACTACTAAGAAAGTGATATTTGCAAACCACTTTTTAAAAATTCACAAATGATCCATAAATCCCCTGATTTAAGTATCTGATATCAAAATGGCTGGGAAAGAGCCTGTCTTTTCATACATGTGGGAATTCACAAAAGGCAGAGCCAACAATAAGCTGGCTTCATAACATTCTTGAAATCCTAAAAAGGCCTTGTTGACAAGTTTGGAAATAACAAAGCAGTGACCTGGACAATCGAGTCCCATGCTATCCTGAAAGGCTAAAATTTGAATGAGAAGCAAAATGAGAGGCCAATATCAGAGAAGAGGTCAGATATATAGGAAATGATGGAAAAGTGTGAATGTAGAATTTGGGTTACAGATGCCAAGTTTTTTTCCTCTCTCAGTATTTTATTAGGTATTTGACACTTTGATCAAATTGCAAGCATATCCTAAACTTGAAAACTTTGATTTTTATATTTTATTTGCTCATCTTGCTCATAATTTTTTTAATAAGCTATATTCTTTAAGGCCCATTTAATTATCTTTTTTCCATAAAATCTCCCCATAATATACTATTCTATACTACTCAGAGTAGTATAAAATGTAAAATAAAATTTAATATCTCCACACATTAGTTTTTTTGTTTTATCTTTTTCCTTGCTTATTTGAAACTGAGCCATATTATTGCAATTAAAAAAAATGAATAAAGTTTTTAGTCTTTATTTGTTCTACAAAAAACATTCTTCATATAATCTTTTGTAAGTTAGCCTATATTCTGGCACTGTTGAAACATACACATCCCTTGTAAGTTGGATTCCTAGGTATTTTATTCTCTTTGAAGCAATTGTGAATGGGAGTTCACTCATGATTTGGCTCTCTGTTTGTCTGTTGTTGGTGTATAAGAATGCTTGTGATTTTTGTACATTGATTTTGTATCCTGAGACTTTGCTGAAGTTGCTTATCAGCTTAAGGAGATTTTGGGCTGAGACAATGGGGTTTTCTAGATATACAATCATGTTGTCTGCAAACAGGGACAATTTGACTTCCTCTTTTCCTAATTGAATACCCTTTATTTCCTTCTCCTACCTAATTGCCCTGGCCAGAACTTCCAACACTATGTTGAATAGGAGTGGTGAGAGAGGGCATCCCTGTCTTGTGCCAGTTTTCAAAGGGAATGCTTCCAGTTTTTGCCCATTCAGTATGATATTGGCTGTGGGTTTGTCATAGATAGCTCTTATTATTTTGAAATACTTCCCATCAATACCTAATTTATTGAGAGTTTTTAGCATGAAGGGTTGTTAGCCATAAAAAATGATGAGTTCATGTCCTTTGTAGGGACATGGGTGAAATTGGAAACCATCATTCTCAGTAAACTATCGCAAGAACAAAAAACCAAACACCGCATATTCTCACTCATAGGTGGAAATTGAACAATGAGATCACATGGACACAGGAAGGGGAACATCACACTCTGGGGACTGTTGTGGGGTGGGGGGAGGGGGGAGGGATAGCATTGGGAGATATACCTAATGCTAGATGATGAGTTAGTGGGTGCAGCGCACCAGCATGGCACATGTATACATATGTAACTAACCTGCACAATGTGCACATGTACCCTAAAACTTAAAGTATAATAATAAAAAAAAGAAACATACACAAAAATGGGAAGATTAGCCTAATTCATAGTAGATAAAATTCCATTTGCTCATGACCCCACTTCAGCAATTAGTTACATTTTGTCAATTTTTTAAAAATTTTTCTCTCCTTTCTCAGTTGATTGACTATATGAGTATAGTTGACCCTAGAACAACACGGGGGTTAGGAGTGCTGATTTCCCCACAGTCAAATACTTATGTATAACTTTGAATCCCCCAAAACTAAACTACGAATAGCTCACTATTGTCAAGAAGCTCTACTAATAAGATGTGCAGTTGATTAACCCGTGTTTTGTATGTGAAATATATTATATACCATGTTCTTACAATAAAGGAGGCTAGAGGAAAGAAAATATTAAGAAAATGATAAGAAAGGAAAATATATTTCATTAAGTGGAAGTAGGTTTTCATAAAGTTCTTCATCCTCATCATCTTCACATTGAGTAGGCTGAAGAGAAGACAGAAGAGTATGGAATGATCTTGCTGTATTTGGTTGGTGGAAGTGAAATAAAATTTGCATAAAAGTGGATCTGTGAAGTTCAAACTTGTGTTGTTTAAGGGATGAGTGTGTATAGTTTATAACTCTTAAATCCCAGTTCCGGTTATCATTAATCCCAGGGTGGACACCACATCTATCAACATTCATAAATTGTGCTTCTCTAAATTTCCCGTCAGTAAAAACCTATGTAGGTTATTGGAATAGTACGTACAAGGTGCCCATGTATTCTATCCAATACTTACATAGTGTGGTTATGTACAAATTACTTAATCCAGCAAAACAAGGATGTAGACTGACATACCCCCAAATTAATCAATAAGCTAAACTGAGCTTGGCAGTCGGACATTTATTATTTGCCTTTCATAGTCTTCTAATTCCTGATGCTAATATTCCTATCACACCACTTTCATTATTGATTCTTGTCTACTCTACATATTCACTGTCAAAATACTTCAACCTTGGAGTCAATGGCTATTACTCCAATCTCCACTTTATTATACTAATTTTTTTTTTGGTTGTCATCCAGTAAGCTATAGTCAGACTAGTACTCCCCCTCTAGAAATACATACACAGGAATGTGACATCAAATTTATCCTAACTTGTGATGGTTAATATTTGGTGTCAACTTGATGGGATTGAAGGGTGCAAAGTATTGTTTCTGGGTGTGTCTGTGAGGGTGTTGCCAAAGGAGATTAACATCTGAGTCAGTGGACTGGGAAAGGCAGACCCACTCTCAATCTGGGTGGGCATCATCTAATCAGTTGCCAGCATGGCCAGAATAAAAGCAGGCAGAAGAATGTGGCAATAGTAGACTGGTTTAGTCTTCTGGCCTGTATCTTTCTTCCATGCTGCGTGCTTCCTGCCCTCGATCATCAGACTCCAGGTTCTTCAACTTCGTGACTCGGACTGGCTTCTTTGCTCTGAAGATTGCAGACAGCCTATTGTGGGAGCTCACCTTGTGATTGTGTGAGTAAATACTCCTTAATAAACTCCACTTTATATATACATCAACCTATTAGTTCTGTCCCTCTAGAGAACCCTAATACATAAATTTCTTAGAAAATTGATGGAATTATTTAAGAATTTATTAAGATTCTTTGTATAAAACATTTTATTATTGTAAAAATTGGTAAGAAAAAGTATTAGTGAGATTTAAATTTCAGCATCATTGGAAACTGAAAGCAAGTATGCAGTGTGGAGGGCAGAAGTTTTGTGCCCATTTTTAACTGTCTAAAAAAGATTATAATTTCACAAATTATATATAATCTAATTTTATTTTTATTATTATCTTGACCAAAAAAAAAAAAAAAACTTATCTGAGTGTTCCAGCATCTTTGCTCAATCCCATCTCTTTTTTCAATCCAACTGTGCTTACATCAGCTACTTCATCAACTGGACAAAAATAGTAATTGTATCAATATGTAAAAACCAAAGAAAACCCCATACTTAAATGTTATCACCAAAAAGACTCCTAACTTTCTCAGAGAATTAATAAATGCTCAATAATTCATTTGTATTTATATTTTTTCAATGAAATAATCACATTATTGTTGATCTAATTTATGTAAAGATTTAAGTACTTCGAATTTTAACATTCTGGAAAAATAAAATTAAATTGGTTTATGCAAGTGAAAAGTCACAGAATTTCTTTCTGGCTCGTATGATCTGTAATTTTGTAGCAACTATGTTCTTCTCTATAACTTTCCTTATTTTTGAAAGACCCATAGAAAAATTGGTGCAACAGAAAGGACAGTTTATCTTTATACCATTGTTTTCTCCTGTTTCAGGTTATGTTTAATTTCTTCACACCACTCAAAACTCAGCTTCTGATTTCAAGAGTTCAACAACAGCCCTGAAGGATTCTGTCTGCTTTACAGCTATGTAAAATATGTTTAATCTTCAGATTCCTACAAGTTCCAGATGACAATGGAATATAAAAGACACAGTTAATAGTTCTTTATATTATACTTTAAGTTCTAGGGTATATGTGCACAACATGCAGGTTTGTTACATATGTATACATGTGTCATGTTGGTGTGTTGCACCCATTAACTCGTCATTTACATTAGGTATATCTCCTAATGCTAATGCTATCCCTCCCCCCTCCCCCACCCCACAACATGCCCTGGCGTGTGATGTTCCCCTTCCTGTGTCCAAGTGTTCTCATTGTTCAATTCCCACCTATGAGTGAGAACATGCAGTGTTTGGTTTTTCGTCCTTGTGATAGTTTGCTGAGAATGGTGGTTTCCAGCTTCATCCATGTCCCTACAAGGACATGAACTCATCATTTTTATGGCTGCATAGTATTCCACGGTGTATATGTGCCACATTTTCTTAATCCAGTCTATCATTGATGGACATTTGGGTTGGCTCCAAGTCTTTGCTATTGTAAGCACCGTCAAAAAGTGAGCGAAGGATATGAACAGACACTTCTCAAAAGAAGACATTTATGCAGCCAACAGACACAAGAAAAAATGCTCATCATCATTGGCCATCAGAGAAATGCAAATCAAAACCACAATGAGACATCATCTCACACAAGTTAGAATGGCGATCATCAAAAAGTCAGGAAACAACAGGTGCTGGAGAGGATGTGGAGAAATAGGAACACTTTTACACTGTTGGTGGGACTGTAAACTAGTTCAACCATTGTGGAAGACAGTGTGGTGATTCTTCAGGGATCTAGAACTAGAAATACCATTTGACCCAGCCATCCCATTACTGGGTGTATACCCAAAGGAATATAAATCATGCTGCTATAAAGACACATGCACACATATGTTTATTGCGGCACTACTCACAATAGTTTATAGTTCTTAAGGGTGTTGATATCACAAAAATTATTGTTTTTCTTAATAACACCAAATATTTGTTACTGTGATAGTTTATATTTTGAAATGGGCCGTATGGTTCTACAACAGAGAGTTTCCAAAAAAAAAATATCTTTTGGTTTATTTTATTCCCAGAGGCAGCTTCTGAAAAGCCACTCTGCCCTAAGAAGTCAGCCTACATAATTGAAGACAAGTGATGTAAATAATTTGCCCTGTGTAAGTAAAATGAAAACACAGCATGTTAACTATTTTTAGTTCCAATTACTAGGTAAATCTGCTATTAAATTATTGCATTCAAGGCTGCTGGAATAAGCTTAGAATTATACTTGGTATGCCATACCATTTTTAAAATGTGAAATCTAAATTATTTTTCTGTCAAGATTTAAGTTTAGTGATTGAACATGTACATGATCAATTTCTTGCTCTGATTGAACTTCCACTTTATGAGAACTATGTTATTGGATCAGATTTCTCCTAGAAATATCGTGTGAGAATTTGAGACAAAATTAATAATCACCCCAATTTTTAACTTTTCCACAGAGCCATCCATCTCATCTGTCCATGAAACACCTTTTAACTTCAAAGGATATTCAAAGTTCAGAAAAGATATATGATGTACAAAAAAGGCTTGTAGGGGGCATAATGGCACGCTGCATTAATGTAGCATTCTGAATTAAAATAACTTCTTTCCTTTTCAATAATATCTTGACATATTCGTGGTTCTTTAACAAAAACTTGGAAGGTGAGATGGATGAATTTAGATTTTGTATGATGCCTGCATAGTAAAACCACTGAGCACAGGAATCATTTAGAAGCAAATTTCAGTGGTTATATGTTTTTTAAATCAGTATTTAGGGAGAATATTTGCATAATAATATTACTAATTTCATATATTTCTCTATCAGACATGCATTAAAAAGACATTAAGTTATAGTACCATGGAGGAGAATAAGTTCTGAAGTTAAACATGAATGTGACTACCGGATGCATCAATACTAGCTTTTTATAAAACTACTTAAGCATCTTTGAACCCACCTGTTAAAGGTGGAGTTAAAATATAGCTTAAATATATCTTGGACAATGGGGTAACTTTTCAGTATAATTTATTTTTCTTTTCTACTAAATCTTCATTTGATAAATGACAATTTTCAGTTACCAATAAAACTAATGGGATAATGATTTATTCAGAAATCAATTACAGAGTCGTGCTGTGTATGTGGTCTTGAATTACACATAAATACAATGTTATCCTAGACCTTGGCAGTCTCTACCGTGTTTGTGTCCCTGAAATAAATTTGCATATAACCTGATCTTTGACATAAGAAACTCACAATGAAGCAGCTGTTAACATTTTATTATCAGCTGTTAACATTTTATTCTCATCTCTGGAATGAGATAACAAACAGAGCAAGGTGCTTTGGGAAGGAAAGGCTAGGTATCTTTTACTAGAAACTCTTATCTCATTATTTATATACAATATTATTACACAGAGAGTTTCATTTTAATGATTTTGAAGAACAATATAATAGCTGTGTGTAAAAAGATCGTTTTCATAAAGTCTCTTCTTTAATTTATATATTTAAGAGGAGAGAGGCTTTGCTTATATTTTGCCATACATGATACTCATCAAATACTGATTGTCTGACTGACTGTCCTAATTGAAGAACTAAATGAGGATAGGTGCTTTTGATGAGGAATGGCTTCTGTCATATGCTTTTCTGGTTGTATATTCAGAGTTAATGAATTTCTGCAGTGTCTGTATCTGTTAGTCTTTTCATGACAAACACAGTAACTATATGCTGTGATTTGTGTGTGTCCCCCAGAATTTATGTGTTGGAAATTTGGTTCCTCATGTGGTGATTTGGGAGGCAGTATCTTTAAGAGATGATTAGGTAATTAAGAGGGATTAATGCTGCTGTCACAGTACTGAATTAGTTACTGCGACAGTAGGTTATTATAAAGCAACGACATTCTTCATATTTTGCCACTTTCACACTCATGCCTTTGCCCTCTTTTCATGTGATAACTTGCACCTTTCTCTCACCAGATGCTGGTCCCATGTTCCTGGACTTCTCAGTCTCCCCCAGAACTGTAAAAAATAAATTTCCTTTCTTTATAAATTACCCAGTCTGTGGTATTCTGTTATAGTAAAGGAAAACAAGCTAAGGCATTATGTTAAATCTTGTAAAAAGAACCTCTTTCCTATGATTAGAGCTCCTCTCATATGCATATAGAAATCCAATGTTGAAGCTATCATAATTCTACTGAACCATCAACTTCAACCCACCCAGGTAAGATTATGCCTTCTTGAATATAAGAGAAACTTCCCCAATCCCTTACCCAACCAAAAGGATGAATCTTCGAGAAAAATATCAAAAAGCCCTGCTTCAAATCAGTAAATATTTGGTGGTAGGTGAGTGGTGTTTTCAAATAATAAATACAATCATTCACTCTCTGTTATGACTTTTTGAAGATAATTCATTTTTGTTTTTCTTCTCTTAAGGGCTGATTTAAACTTTCACAAATGTAACATCATATTGAATCACATCACATTGAATTTGTAATGAAAAAATGTGTTCCCCAGACGTCTTATGACCTCTGAAACTTGGAAACCAAGTTGGCAACTGAGGAAAAAACTATTATTTCCATCAAAAACTATGGCAACAAAAACATGGTCATGTTCATTTTAATTACTTCTGCCATTTTACTTGTCCCTCTTTCTAGTTATCTTTCTTAAGAATATTAATCAGTCTAAAGAGAATAAATGATTTATTATTTTCAGAGAGGTAGGTGTTTTGAACAGATCTTAGAGCCATGTGGGTCAGTGTTGTCAATCCCAGATTTATCTGTTTAAAATGCATGCCTCATGGACTTACACTTATTAATGTTATAATGTAGGTAAGAATCTTACCCAGTGCTCAGTACATACTAAGTTGTGGGTAAAACCTGCTTATTACTAATTATTCAACAATTCACAGAAAAATGGAAAATTCAGTTGTTCAAATTATCACCAATATGGGTGTTTTCTTTATAATGTGATAAGATTATTTGAATTTTATGACACATATGCCATGAATTTAAGATAAGTATAATATGGTTGCTTTAAGTTTTTCTTTTTCAATTACAATAATAATAATACAAACCTCCTTAGATCTATACACTTGAGATATTTAAAACACAATGTGTATGCAAAACATCATAACCTGGTTCCTCAAATCAACAAGGGACTATGAGTTTTATTTGTATGAGAGGTCTTGGACCTGTGGTATTTTGTTTACTACTTATCACTTTTGATGGCCACCCATTTGAATAGAGATCTAATCTGGCTCTGGGGGCAGGGAAGATCTTGGGACAGGAAAACTACCCCTTTCTTTAGGAGATGGCCCATTGATCTTTGCTTTTATCAGCTCCTGCAACTATCATTTGAAGGTAAAGATCAAGTTATTTACAAATTGCTTTAGATTGAAAGGCATTAGACTAGGCAAGGTGAAAATTAAGAGCTTGTGAATACATTGTAGGTGGAAATAATTTTTGGAAACGATTTCCCAGTATATATAATACACAATTTCTAAAATGAACAAAAGTTTGAAATAAGTTTTAAATAAGATGTTGAAAAGATGTAAGCGTAGCTGCTTTAATCTTAATCAATGCAACTTGTGATGAGGTAATGAAGAGCAGGCAATCAGTCAGAACCCAATCTACCCAAATGAAATCTCAAACAACAGAGGATATTTTTTACTTTAGTTTGTGTTAAGAGAGATGGGCAATGTAAGTGCTATGCAGATTTAATGTGCTAATGAAATAAATTCATCAAGATTTAAATTATGGAGGAAATTAAAATAAGAAACTGTTCTGTACACAAAAGAGACTATGTCCCAAGAGAATATCCAGCCTTGGTAAAGAACAACCCTAATGAATTTTAGAATAGATTTACAAAATATTATATATCACCTGTTTTTAAAGACTTTTTATTCTTTAGTTTCCTTAGTCAGTCCCTAGAATTTTTATTTAGGAAAGACCCTAGAAATAGAAATCTGAAATGCTCAGCCAACAAAAGCTTTGTGAAGTTGTTTGCCCAGCCAATGTATTGTTGGTGGTTAGATCATTAGTCTACTACTTCGATTTTGGGTGCTCAGTGAAGTACCTGGAGGCATTCAAGGGTGTGAGCACAGATAATTTAAGGGAATTAATTTCTAATTTAAATAATTTCATCTTTTATGTTAAATATTTCCTAAGGCCATTTGATGGAGCTTCAAGTTCTAATTTTCTTTTTTTTTTCTTTTGAGATGGAGTGTTGCTCTGTCGCCCAGGCTGGAGTGCAGTGGCATGATCTCGGCTCACTGCAAGCTCCGCCTCCCAGGTTCATGCCATTCTCCTGCCTCAGCCTCTCAAGTAGCTGGGACTACAGGCACCCGCCACCACGCCTGGCTAATTTTTTTTGTATTTTTTAGTAAAGACGGGGTTTCACCATGTTAGCCAGGATGGTCTCGATCTCCTGATCTCGTGATCTGCCCTTCCTCAGCCTCCCAAAGTGCTGGGATCACAGGCGTGAGCCACCATGCCCAGCCCAAGTTCTAATTTTCTGCCATGTTATAATAAACCTCTCCCAATTTTTCAAAGTAAAATATCTGTTGCCCAGCACTAAACTAGCAGGGTGATTGCCCCAGAAAATTACAAAGATCCTAGGCATCACTACTGAGACCAATCAAAATGTTTTTATAATGATTTTGAAAAAATAAAGAATTTTAATGACAGGATAAAAAATAAATACATTTGAAAATCAAATGATTCCAACTATCAGTTTTCAACAAAACTAAAGAATTTACCTACTTGGATTGTTTGTTGATAGGCCACTTAAAAATAATATTTGCTGAAGAATTAGAATGAGACATTTACAAACACCTGAAAAGAGTTGAAAGAATTCAATGTCATTGCTAGAATAGCACACTTATCCTCATCTATTTGTTTATGTGGACAAGTTATTTCAATACCTACATCTATAAAGATGAGTGTATTAGTTCATTTTCATATTGCTGTTACAGACATGCCCGAGACTGGACAATTTACAAAAGAAAGAAGTTTATCAGACTTACAGTTCTATGTGGCTGAGGAAACCTCACAAACATGGCGGAAGTTGAAAGGCACATCTCACATGGTGGTAGACAAGAGAAGAGAACTTGTGTAGGGAAACTCTGATTTTTAAAACCATCAGATCTGGCGAGACTCATTCACTATCAAGAGAACAGTGCAGGAAAGACCCGCCCCCATAATTCAATCACCTCTCACCAGGTTCCTCCCATGACATGTGGGAAGTACAATTCAAGATGAGATTTGCTTGGGGGCACAGCCAAACCATATTATTCCACCACTGGCCTCTTCTAAATCTCATGTCCTCATATTTCAAAAACCAATCATGCCTTCCCAATAGTCCTCCATAGTCTTAACTCATTTCAGCATTAACTCAAAAGTCTACAGTACAAGGTCTCTTCTGAGACAAGTCAAGTCCCTTCTGCCTATAAGCATGTAAAATCAAAAGCAAGTTAGTTACATCCTAGATACAATGTGGGTACAGGCACTGGGTAAATACAGCCATTCCAAATGGGAGAAATTGGCCAAAACAAAGGGGCTACAACCCCATGTAAGTCTGAAATCCAGCAGAGCAGTCAAATCTTGAAGCTCCAAAATGATATTTTGACTCAATGTCTTACATCTCAGTCATGCTGATGCAAAAGATTGCTTCCTGTGGTCTTAGGCAGCCTCGCTCCTGGCTGTTTCCATGGGCTTGTGTTGAGTGTCTGTGGCTTTTCCAGGCTCACAGTGCAAGCTGTCAGTGAATCTACAATTCTGGGTTCTGTAGAATGATGTCCCTCTTCTCACAGCTCCACTAGGTAGTGCCCCAGTAGGGACTCTCTGTGGGGACTCCAAACCCACATTTCCCTTCCATGCTGCCCTAGCAGAGGTTGTATATGAGAGCCCTGCCCCTGAAGCAAACTTCTGCCTGGGCATCCACTCGTTTCCATACATCCTCTGAAATGTAGGCGGAGGTTCCCAAACCCCAATTCGTCACTTCTGTGTACCAGCAGGGTCAACACCATATAGAAGCTGCCAAGGCTTGGGGCTTGAATCCTCTGAAACCATAGCCCAAGCTCTAGGTGTACCCCTTTCAGCCATGGCTGGAGTAGCTGGGATGTAGGG
The DNA here is from genome assembly GCF_000001405.40 of Homo sapiens. NCBI lineage: Eukaryota > Metazoa > Chordata > Mammalia > Primates > Hominidae > Homo > Homo sapiens. The sequence continues at coordinate 21,650,959 of NC_000021.9, read as the reverse complement.
CACCAAGTCCTGCGCATAGCACTGGGACCCTGGGCCCGACCCACATAACCACTTTTTCCTCCTAGACCTCCAGGCCTGTGATGGGAGGGGCTTGTGAAGAGCTTTGAAATGCTTTGGAGACATTTTCCCTGTTGTCTTTGGGATTAACATTTGGCTCCTAGTTACTTAGGCAAATTTCTGCAGCTGGCTTGAATTTCTCCTTAGGAAATGGGATTTTCTTTTCTAACGCATTGTCTGGCTGCATATTTTCTAAACTTTTATGCTGTGCTTCCCTTTTAAAACTGAATAGCTTCAACAGCACCCAAGTCACCTCTTGAGTGCTTTACTGCTTGGAAATTTATTCCACCAGAAACCCTAAATCATCTCTCTCAAGTTCAAAGTTCCACAAATCTCTAGGGCAGAGGCAAAATGCTGCCAGTCTATTTGCTACAACATAACAAGAGTCACCTTTGCTCCAGTTCCTAAAAAGTTCCTCATTTTTATCTGTGACCACCTCAGCCTAGACTTTATTGCCCATATTTCTATTAGCATATTGGTCAAAGGCATTCAACCAGTCTCTAGGAGGTTCCAAACTTTCCAACATTTTCCTGTCTTCTTCTGAGCCCTCCAAACTGTTCCAACCTCTGCTTGTTACCCAGTTCCAAAGTGGCTTCCACAATTTCAGGTATCGTTTCATCAGTGCCCCACCCTACTGGTACCAATTTACTGTATTAGTCCATTTTCATGCCACTGATAAAGACACACTTGAAACTGTGCAATTTAAAAATAAAGAGGTTTACTGGACTTACAGTTCCACATGGCTAGGGAGACATCACAATTATGACAGAAGGTAAAAGGTCCATCTGACATGGTGGCAGACAAGAGAAGAGAGCTTGTATAGGGAAATTCCCATTTTTAAAACCATCAGATCTCGTGAGACTCATTCATTATCATGAGAACAGTGCAGGAAAGACCTGCCCCATAATTCAACCACCTCCTACTGGGTTCCTCCCATGACACATGAGAATTGTGGGAGTTACAATTCAAGATTAGATTTGAGTGAGCGCACAGCCAGACCATGTCAATGACCTAAAAAATAGTAAGAATAGAATGTATGGTAAACTCTGTCCCATTGTAATAATAAATTAATCATTAATATAAATTACGTTCTCATAGAGAGCTGTGTTTTCAAAAATCACTTTAATTTGTTAAAGTTGTTTATGAAAACATGATAAGTTTACATCATTTATAACAGGGACTAATAATTACTAGAAGAATAACTTACTCTTGATTTTTTTTATTTACAGATGCTTATGGTCACAAATAATAAATTATATCAAGAAAATATTTATTTTTAAATATATATGCATTATAATGATTATTAAATAGTGATAGTTGAGTGAAATTGGTTTGAGGAGAAAAAGATAAAATTTCTGACTGTTAAACCAAACACTGTTAATTTTTTTTTGAAAGCAGATAATTCTGGATATTACATAATTATTGTGTTTTGATTCCATTGGAAATATTTACAGATATGATGTAAGACCTTCATCTTAAAATGTCAATATCCATGTTGTGCTAAGTATTAAACTCAATGAAACTATCAAAACTTACAATAAAATGGTAGATGTCTGCTTAAAAGTGTATTTGTGTCCATAATTTATACACACTTATATAAATTAAGCAGTCAGATTAAATGTTGATTTTGGTGGCTTGGATTTGCCTAGGTAAATTTGATGATTAGTAAACCTCCATACCCTACTGTAAATAAAAATTATAAAACTGAAAGTTTCCACTTCCCTATTGTAAAGTAGAATTCAGTTGACTCAATATACTTATTTCCATTATATCATTCAGCAAAATGTTTAAAGGGTTAAAATTTTCATTCACACTTATAATAGGCTACCTATTTTTAAAAATTCCATGATTATATCACTGAGACTTAATATAGCTCTGTGACAGAGTTATAATGATCTCTTAGAGATAAATACGTTAACATTTTGAATGGATAATGGAATTTTCTGTGATCATTGACCTATTATACAAGTGGAGGAGTTGAGATTCAAATCCAAGGAGTCCGCCATCATGGGGTGTGCTCTTAACCATTATTATTTTATGCCTTGATCTTTGTCAATTTCTGAGACAAGGACATTTTTTAAAAAGTGTGCTCATGAGTTGCTGGTTACTGTTATGTGTCAGTTTGACTGTGTATAACTTATTAACCATTATTTCTGAGTGCTTCTGTGAGGATATTGCCAGCAAAGATGAGCATGTTCATGTATGGACTGATTAAAACAGATGGACCTCCCCGATACAGTTGAGTATTATCCAATCTTTTGAAGGCATGAATAGAATAAAAGGGTAAAATAAGATCATTCTCTCTCTCTGCCTGTCTTTGAGCTTAGACATCAGTCTTTTCTTGCCTTTGGATTCAGACTTAGACTGGAACTTACACCATCAGCTCTCCTGATTCTTAGACCTTTGGACTTGGACTGGAATGATATTGCTGGCTCTCTTAGGCCTCCAGCTCAACAACTGAAGATCTTGAGAATTCTCAGCCTCCATCATCATGTGAACCAATTTCTTATAATAACATTCTCTCTCTCTCTCTCCACACACATATAAAAACACACAAATATATATATTTCTATTGGTTCTTTCTCTTAGAGAATCCAGACTCAATCCATTTTAATTGAACAAATGTCGTTCTACTTAACAGTGATATAAAATTGGTTATACTGAAAGTCAAATTTGGTTACCCTTCCATTTTGCTACAATAATTTTTTATATGTTTAAGAAAAACTTAAACTGCATAAATATTATGCTCAATACATTTGTACCTTGGTACAGTAGAAAATATTTATTTTCTAAATAATTTTACACTAAATATATACATCCTTATAAATATGAATATTTTCCCATATGATTACTGTAGATTACATATATCTCTATTAAATACGGACAACATAGAAAAAAGTTTTGGAGTAAAAAATCTAGTGGAACTACACAAGTTAAATAAGAAGAAAAATGTATTTATTCTTTTTCTTAAATTTCTCTCAAGGATATTCAAAATAATTATTAAAATGAAGAAATTTTATTAAATGCCTATGAAATACTTGTTACATTTCAAAGTAATTTTTTATACAAAATTGTTTTCCAAAGACAAATGCCAGTAAATTAGGTATGTAAATTAAATAGCTTACATTTATTACTCACCTTGTTGATGAATGGTATATATTTAGAAAGTATTCATATAGACTTTAACAAATTTCAAATATTACAAATGATAACCATATAAAAAGAAAAATAACAGATGATCAAAATGTATGTGATTTTCAGTCTTCTGCTTAACTGAGTTACTAAGTCACAACTGTTCTCTTTTCTTTCATTATTGTTAGATATTTGAACACTTTTTTTTTAACAGATGGGGCTATTCAGAGTGCTAATTTAGGCCATATAACACATGAAAGATGACTTACTTGGCAATTTTTAAGCCCAGAAAATATTAAACTCATAAATTCTGACATATAGTCTATAACTTCAGCTATCATCATAAATAAATTAATAAACTTTTGTTAGGTATAAAAGTTTATAGTCAAAGAAAATGATTTCTAGATAATGATATTTGATGTGCTCAGAAATTATTGGCTGATTCATCTGTGAAATACGTTTCCAGATGCAATATATTCCTAGAAAGCAGTAGATCACTGAGGAAGACCAATAGAAGAAGTCACACTCATACTGTCATAACCTGATGTATAGGTTTATACACATATATACCCTCATGTGTGCATGCATATATACCCATGTGCCCACATAAATATATAATGGCTAATAGGTGACAAAGAGAGTGTTATAATTTTCTTAGAGAGCTGTAAAGAACAGTGCATTAAATCTAATTAGGAATATCATGAATAATTTTTTAGCAAAGGGCAGCTACTGCTTTTTGTACTTGCCCACATGGCCTGGCATCTCACTCTTCACCATATCCTATTAACCACCAAGCACAATGCAGAAGATTAATACTTAGATAACTCTCCTTCTCATTCCTGTTACCATTTACTACATGAGCCTCTTAAGATCAGCTCAACTCTCCTAAAGCGAGAATCTTTCTTTCACTCAAATGCTTCACTGCTACCAAATATTTTTCTAGCATAGATCTGATAACAACATTAAACTTTACATACTTAATTGACTTTCCAATATCTTTGACATCACATTTTATAATATTAACTACATATGTAGGTGTGGAAAATTAATTTAAAGGAAGGAAGCAAAAGTAGGTTTAGAGAAACCAGTTAGTAAACCACTGCAGTAGTCTAGGCAGGAAGTGATACTAACATGAACCAGGAGAGACTGAAACATACAGAAAACAATTAACATATTCTAATGATATTTAATGAGTAAAATAAATAGGGTTTGGTAATGAATTAAATAGAGCACGGAAGAGGACACTGGGAGAACTGCAGCTTTTCTGAATTTTATCATTGTAAAGTCATTGGTAACATTGGCTTTGAAAGACTGTTGATAAAGTTTCATGGATTCACTTTTGGATAGGTTTAATTCAAGGTGCCTCTGGAAAAAATGTGGAGATGTGAAATGAACATTGGAACAAATGAGTGTGGATATTCAAAAATAAGTCAGTGCTGGGAGTCATAAGAGTAGAGAAAGAAAGAAAGAAGTTAATACAGAAAAATTACTTTGAAAATATGGCAAATTTAACCAGACTAAAGTTCCAAGCTTCAGGCAACATGAATATTTGATGTCTAGGTAGAGATGGATAAGGCAGGATGAGAGAAGATCAAGAAACAGGATGAAAACCAGGAGAATGTGCTATCAGAAAAGCAAAGTGAAAATACTGTTTCAAGAAGGACTTTAATGAGGATCAAATCTGGGACCTGATCTCCAATGTTAGTTAACAATTGTGACACTACATTCTACAGAGAGATGAGAATGTAATCCAGACTGAAACAGATTGTTAAAAAAAAGTAGTAAGTATATATACCTTCTCAGGTGGTTGACTCTGAAAAATGATTAGATAAAGAAGTTGAGAAAGAACAAGGCATATATAAGTTCCAATTATATACAGCTGGTGTACTAGTTTTCATGCTGCTGATAAAGACGTACCTGAAACTGGGAACAAAAAGAGTTTTAATTGGACTTACAGTTCCACATGGCTGGGGAGGCCTCAGAATCATGGTGGGAGACAAAAGGCACTTCTTATATGATGGCAGCAAGAGAAAAATAAGGAAGAACCAAAAGCGGAAACCCCTGATAAACCCGTTAGATCTCATGAGACTTATTTACTATCATGAGAATGGCACGGGAAAGACCAGCCCCCATGATTCAATTACGTCCCCCTGGGTCCATCCCACAGCATGTGGGAAATATGGGGGATACAATGCAAGTTAGATTTCACTGGGGGCACAGCCAAACCATATCATTCCATCCCTGGCCCCTCCAAATCTCATGTCCTGACATTTCACAACCAATCATGCCTTCCCAACAGTCTCCCAAAGTCTTAACTCGTTTCAGCATTAACCCAAAAGTTCAGAGACCAAAGTCTCATTGGAGATGAGGCAAGTCTCTTCCACCTATGAGCCTGTAAAATCAAAAACAAACTAGTTACTTCCTAGAGACAATGGGGATACGGGTATTGGGTAAATACAGCCATTCCAAATAGGAAAAAATGGCCAAAACAAAGGAGTTACAGGGCCCATGCAAGTCTGAAACGCAGTGGCGCAGTCAAATTTTAAAGTTCCAACATGATCTCCTTTGACTCCAGATCTCACATCCAGGTCACGCTGATGCAAGAGGTGGGTTTCCATAGTCTCGGGCAGCTCCACCCCTGTGGCTTTGCAGAGTACAGCTCTCCTCCTGGCTGCTTTCATGGGCTGGCGTTGAGTGTCTGCAGCTTTTCCAGGCACACAGTGCAAGCTATTGGTGGATCTACCATTCTGGGGACTGGAGGACAGTGGTCCTCTTCTCACAAATCCACTAGGCAGTGCCCTAGTAGGATCTCTGTGTTGGCTCCCACCCCACATTTTCCTTCTGCACTGTCCTAGCAGAGGTTCTCATGAGCACCCTGTCCTGCAGCAAACTTCTGCCTGGACATCCAGGTGTTTCCATACAACTTCTGAAATCTATGTGGATGTTCCCAAACTTCAGTTCTTGATTTCTGTGCACCCACAGGCTCAACACCATGTGGAAGCTGCCAAGGCTTGGGGCTTCCACCCCCTGAGGCCACAGCATGAGGTCTACTTTGGCCCCTTTCATCCACGGCTGGAGCAGCTGGTACACAGGGCACCAGGTCCCTAGGCTGTACACAGCACAAGAACTGTGGGCCAGGCCCACAAAACCACTTTGTCTTCCTGGGCCTTTGGGCCTGTGATGGGAGAGGCTGCCATGAATATCTCTGACATGGGTTGGAGACATTTTTCCCACTGTCTTGGGGATTAACATTTGGGTCCTAGTTCCTTATGCAAATTTCTGTAGCCAGCTTGAATTTCCACTCAAAAAAACGAGTTTTTCCTTTCTACTGCATTGTTAGGCTACAAATTTTCTGAACTTTTATGCTCTTTTTCCCTTTTAAAACTGAATACCTTCAACAGCACGCAAGTCACCTCTTGAATGCTTTGCTGCTTAGAAATTTCTTCCACCAGATACCCTAAATCATCTCTCTCAAATTTAAAGTTCCACAAATCTCTGGGGCAGGATCAAAATGCTGCCAGTCTCTTTGCTAAAAACATAACAAGAGTCATCTTTGCTCCAGTTCCTAACAAGTTCCTCATCTCCATATGAGACCACCTTAGCCTGGACCTTATTGTTCATATCACCATCAGTATTTTGGTCAAAGGCATTCAACAAGTCTCTAGGAGGTTCCAAACTTTCCCACATTTTCCTGTCTTCTTCTGAGCCCTCCAAACTGTTAGAACCTTTGCCTGTTACCCAGTTCCAAAGCCTCTTGCACATTTTCAGGTGTCTTTTCAGCATCACACCACTCCTGGTACCAATTAACTGTATTAGTTCATTTTCATGCTGCTGATAAAGACATACCTGAAACTGGAAACAAAAAGAGTTTTAATTGTCCTTACAGTTTTGCTTGCCTGGGGAGGCCTCAAAATCATGGTGGGAGGTGAAAGGCACTTCTTACATGGTGGTGGCAAGAGAAAAATATGAAAGAAGCAAAAGCAGAAACCTCTGTTAAACCCATCAGATCTCTTGAGACTTATTTACTATCATGATGATAGCACGGTAAAGACCAGCCCCCCTGACTCAATTACCTCCCCCAGGTCGCTCCCACAACACTTGGGAATTCTGACAGATATAACTCAATTTGAGATTTCAGTGAGGGCACAGCCAAACCATATCAGCTGGTTATGATGGATAATTTGCTCAGGACCTGAAGATTAAAACTGAAATAAAATAAGCAATTAGCAAGCTTTGGGCAGTAGGTCAAATTTCAATTTCTTTACTTTTTCCTTTTTAGTCCCAATCATTTATTAATTGAAGCTCATGGAATACATCTGCATGCCCCTACAATATGTAAGTAAGTTTGTAGCATTGATGAGTAAATGCAAATATTCCAAGGCAAATAAAACGTAGCAGAAAGCCACAGATTGGAAACATGTTGCCATCATTTAGGTGGAACTGTGGCCAGGTGATGTTAAAACAGGTAAATAATTGATGTTATTTATTTGTTAATTACTAGTTGTTATACTTGTCTATTAATTACACACCTACATACACACAATACACACACATATGTATACAAATATATGTATACACACACTCGTATATCTGCCTGCTTCTATAGCAATAAAAGAGTAAAACAATGAAATTGATGCATAAGCACATTATGAAACAGTTTTCAGTAATGTCTGACATTTATATTCAAACTTTCATTCTAAATGATTGGTATGTTCTTTACATAATGTATGCATAGCAGGTGTTTCAACCTCCAAAAAAGAAATTTCTCTGAAGTGGAAATAAAGTAATTGTTCTGCTTCAGCAACTGCAAAGATTTTTTTTGTAATGGGAGAAGAGTCATTTTTGCACCAAAATAGAAATATGAAAGGCAAGAAAAGGTCAATCTTATCTTAATTATTGATAATGGACCTTAATTATTGATAATGGACCTACAATGGAACTACAAGGTTAGTTCTCAAAGGCCTATAGTTGGCAAAACTCATTTGCATTAACATTAAACAACAACAAAAAAGAGACTCTGATTTGAATGTATACAAATACATAGAGTTAAATATTTAAAAAATCCAAGTAACTATCTAAATCACTAACTTATTATCCATGTACTAGTCTGTAGTATATTTTGCTGAAGCTGTAATTCTTAGTGAGAAAATAAAATAAAGTCAAAGCTTGGGATAATAATTTGAAATATTCAGTTATAGCTTGTTTTATTTTAACTGAAATTATCATTTGATTATTGCATATGGCATGATAGTGAAACGCACTTAGTTTTGTAAAGGATTATAGTTGGTTGATAATCTTGTATTTTAAAAGCGAAGGTCAATATTTCTTTCTATATCACTTAAAAAAAAGATGACAGAATTTTTCAAGAAAAAGAAATGTTTCAATTGATTTTACCAGCGAAGTAACTCAGAAATCCTTACTGAAGCAGGTAAACAACATACTATTTGGGATTTAAGGGTTCAGATATTGCTATAATTATAATTACTAAAAAACCCAGGAGAAACAGTTTTAAAGCAATTTAATGGGATGATTTTAAAAGTATATACACAATTCTGTAAATAAGAACAAAACAGATTCATTTTAACATAAAACTTGGTCTTTTTCTCTTTTTATGGCTTATAAAAGTGAGCAAATAGAAATGAAAATAAGACAATCAACTTAGTTAATATTTATCTTAGAATAACAATAAAAATTAGATGAGGGCAACCCATTAATCCAACTTTGATTTGAAATGGCGAAAAAAAAAAAAAAACACACACCAGGTGCAGTGGCTTATGCCTGTAATCTAGCACTTTGGGAGGCCGAGGAGGGCAGATGGCTTGAGGTCAGGAGTTCAAGAACAGCCTGGGCAACATGGTGAGACCCATTCTCTACAAAAACTACAAAAATTAACCAGGCATGGTGGCGCACACCTGTGGTTTCTGCTACTTGGGGGACTGGGAAGGCAGGAGGAACACTTGAGCCTAGGAGGTGGAGGATACAGTGAGCCGAGACTGTGCAACTGCACTCCCAACTGGGTGACAAAGTAAGACCCTGTCTCAAAACAAAACAAAAACCACAATAGCTTCCACCACAAGATTTCCAAATTATAATAGAATAGGCATCCACAAAGGTAATATTTAAATACAATCTATTCTTATTATTCACAGTGGTTATGTTTTATACTGTCAACACTGGTATAGCAAATACAGAATCATTGCTCCTAAGGAAAATACAGAGTTAGGTTGCTGCAAGATTCTGCTCACAATATTTTCATCAAACTTTTACATCACCTTGTGTTATGTGTGTTTATATTTAAAGGGGTCTTATTTAATATATCTTGCTAATTCATTAACATTGACTGCAAGACCAACAGCACTACAACACATGCCTGAAGGAAACTCATGTTACACATTATTTTCTCTATCACATTGTAGTCTTCTTGCACCTACGTACCCTAGACAGCACTTCAGCATTATACTTAGGGAACATTTTTAAACAGCAAAATCAAAAACAGAAAGCACAAAAAATGAAGAAAACATGCACAAAAAACATGCACAAAATTCAATACAAAAATGTATTCAGTGAGAGAGTGGTACATTTGACCTTAGCTGAAAATGTGTAATTTGGACGGCTCAAGTTTTTTGCTGTTCTGGGCATTTTTGTGAATGATCATCAAAGCTCTGGAAGTATCAATTTGGGGGCTGCAAATAATTTTAGGAAATTGACAAATTTGCAAATACTGAATCCGCATATAATGAGGATCTACTGCTTCTCTTTTTACACTCACAGTCCATGATAATAGAGCTCCAATGTACATGGGCAGATAGAATTTATGTTATTGTCAAGAGCACTTGAAAGACCTCAAAATAGAAAAAAAAAACACATAAGACGCATACTTGTTGAGAGTAAATTAATCAGAGCTCTGTCATTAAATACAGACATGAAAGACCATAGTTAACAACTAAAAATAAACAACACATCTGTAACCATTTTTTAATAGTTAAATTGGTGATGAGGGTTTTTTTGTTTTGATTTTGTTTTCTTCTTGTGAGGGACAAATACCATTTAAAAGGGAATTTAGAGAAAAAGTATGGAAGCATTAATCTGAAACTTGCATTCCCAGACCAGGGTAAGTCTATGGGTAAAATCAATATGTATTTTATGGAATCTGGGCTGCCATCTCTAACTGATTGACAATGGATCTATTCGGTGAAGTTGGAGCACCAGGGTGAATACAAAATGATTTTAAACTTATTATTCCTAAAGTTTTCCTGTTCTAAATTTCCAACCACCAAAGTTACAATATCTCACAGCCTCCTGGGTGACTGTTTCTCAAGAACAAATGCTGATTAACTTAACAAGACACCTGTGTATATTTGTAGACCACTGATTTTAAGAAGCTTCTTAAAGCATAGGCAATATTCTAAAATCAGTTTTAAAGTGATTTATATATTCTTATATGTGACTATGAAGCAAGTCAGGGATGTCACTAAAATCTGTGAGCAGAAACTTAGGGGCCTAAAAATAATTTCTGAGTTCTTTGTATGCTTTAATAAAACATTTACAAAATGCTAAGACTCTTGAGAATGCAAAGGAAGATTTTAAGGGGGAAAAGTGAGTCCGTTTGGAAACAACACTCAACACCACTCAACACCAAAAAGTGACTTAAAAAAAAGAATATTTAAAATAAATTCAAAGATTATCACTAATAAAAATTCTCCCAACAAAGAAAAGTTCAGAACCAAATGGCTTCACTGCTGAATTCTACAAAATATCTAATGATGAATTACTACAAATTCTTCTCAAATTCTTTCAAAAAATTGAACAGGAGGGAATTCTTCCTAACTCTTTCTATAAGGCTAGCTTAACCCTGATACCAAAACCAGATAAAGACACAACAAACATAACTACAGGCCAAAATCCCTAAAAAACATAGACTCAAAAATCCTTAACAAAATACTAACAAACTGAATCCAATGTACATTAGAAAAATGGTCAAGTGGCATTTATTTCAGGAATAAAATGATGGTTCAGCATACACAAATCAATAAATATTATACATCACATCAACAGAATGAAGGAAAAAACATGATCATATCAATAAATGGAGAAGATCTTTGATAAAATTCAACAACTCTTCATTTTTTTGGGCAAGGGGACAGTGTCTTGCTCTGTTGCCCAGGATGGAGTGCAATGGCGTGATCTCGACTTACTGCAGCCTCCATCTCCCAGGTTCCAGCGATTCTCCTGCCTCACCCTCCCGGGGAGCTGAGATTACAGGCACACACCACACACCCGGATAATTTTTTTTTTTTTGTATTTTTAGTAGAGACGGGGTTTCACCATGTTGGCCAGGCTAGTCTTGAACTCCTGACCTCAGGTGATCTACCTTCCTCGGCCTCCCAAAGTGCTAGAATTACAGACTTGAGCCACCACGCCCAACCTTTTCATGTTAAAATTCTCAATAGTTATATGTAAAAGAAAAGCATCTCAACATAATAAAAGCCATATGAGATAAAACCTCAGGTAACATCTTACCGAGTGAGAAAAATCCTAAAGCTTTTTTTCTAAGAACCAGAATAAGACAAGGATGCCCACTCTCACCAATCTTATTCAGCATGGCATTAGAAGACCTAGACAGAGCAATTAGGCAAGAAAAAGAAAGAAAGGGCATCCAAATTAAACAAAAGGAATTCAAATTGTCCCTCTTGCAGACAATACAATCTTTTTAGAAAAATCTAAAGATGCTACGAAAAACTCTTCAGATAAATAAAATCAGTAAAGTTGTAGTATACAAAATCAATATACAAATATTGTATATTGATAAAATGTTATATATTGATAAATACTAGTGTTTCTAAGCATGAAGGGCAAAGTGAATGGAAAAGAAATAAGAAGGCAATGCCATTTATAAGACCACAAAGAAGTTAAAAGACTTAGGATTAAATTTAACTAAGGAGGCAAAAGACCTCTACAATAAAAGCAAGAAGATACTGATGGAAGAAATTGAAGAGGATGCAAACAAATGGAAAGATATCTCATGCTCATGTTTTGGAAGAATTAGTATTGTTAAAATAATAATAATATATAAAGCAACCTACTTCTTCAATGCAAGCCCTATCAATATACTCCACAGAAATAGAAAAAATCTTAACTTTTGTAAAATTAAACTTTTAAAATTGTGTGAAATAATCAAATACACTATGTACACATAAGCAATCCTGAACAAAAAGAACAAAGCCAGAGGCATCACAATACCAGACTTAGAATATACTACAAAGTTGTAGTAACCAAATCAGCATGATACTGGCATGAAAATAGACATATAGACCAATTAAACAGAGTAGAGAACATGGAAATTAATCTGTGTATCAAATTCCAACTGATTGTTGACAAAGTTGCCAAGAACACTCATTGGAGAAAGGACAATCTCTTTAATAAATGGTACTGGGTAAACTGGAAATTCAAATGCAAAAAAAAAAAATCTGTAACTAGACCTTCCACCTCTCCCACTATAAAGAAATCAACCCCAAATAGATCAAAGATCTCAATATAAGACCCAGAACTACAAACCTACTAGAAGAAAACAAAAAGGAAACACTTCAGGATACTGGCCTTGGAAAATATTTTATGAATCAGACCTCAAAAGCACAGGCAACAAAAAAATATATATACAAATGTGATTACATTAAACTAAAAAGCTTCTGTACAGCAAAGGAAACAATCAATAGAGTGAGAAGAAAAGCTACATAATGAAAGAAAATATTAGCAAACTATTCATCCAACAGAAGATTAATATCCAGAATATATATGGAACTCAAACATCTCAGTAGCAAAAAAAAGCATTCCAAATAAAAATTGACAAGTGATTTGAACAGACGTTTTTCAAAAGAAGACACAAAAATGTCCATCAAGTATATTTTAAAATGCTCAACAACCTCACTAATCATCTGGGAAATGCAGATGAACCCCACAATGAGGTATCATCTCAGTCCAGTTAGGATGGCTATTATCACAAAGACAAAAAATAAAAAATGCTGGTGAATATGTGGAGAAAAAGCAACTTTTCTACATGGTTGGTGGGAATGTACAGTAGTACAGTCACTACGGAGAACAGTATAGAGGTTCTCCACAAAACTACAAATAGGACTACCATATGATCCAGTAATCACACTACTATAGATTTATCCAAATTAAAAAAACCTCAGTACATCAAAGAGACATCTGCATCCATATGTTTATTACACTATTCACATGGCCAAGATATGAAATTAGCCAAGGTGTCCAATAACAGATAAATGGATAAAGAAGATGTGTTACATATTCACAATGGAATACTACCGGGCAGTCATGAGAAAAAATGAAATTCTATAAGTTGTGGCAACATGAATCTAACTAGAGGACACTGTTAAGTTAAATAAGCCAAGAACAGAAAGTTAAACACTGCAATGTTCCCACTCACATGTGGAAGCTAAAAGAAGTTGATCTCACAGAAGTAAAAAGTAGAACAGAGAATACTAGACTGGGGAGGGTAGGAGGAAGGGGATAGGAAGAGATTTATTAAACAATGCAAGTTACAGCTAGGTAGGAGAAATAAATTTTAGTGTTCTGTAGTGCTGTAGGATGACAATAGTTAACAATAATATTTAGTTTCAAAGAGCTAGGAGGAGGATACTGAATGTTCCCAACACAAATAAATGATAAATGTTTGAGATTATGAATGTGCTAATTACAGTGATCAGATCACTATACATTATTACATTATATGGATGAAACATTACCATGTACTCAATAAATATGTACAATATTATATGTCAATTAAAAATAAAATTAAAGGCTGGTCACAGTGGTTTATACCTGTAATCTCAGCACTTTGGGAGTCCCAGGCAGGCGGCTCACCTGAGGCCGGGATTCAAGACCAGCCTGACCAACATGGAGAAACCCCATCTCTACTAAAAATACAAAATTAGCCATGCATGATGGCGCATGCCTGTAATCCCAGCTACTTGGGAGGCTGAGGCAGGAGAATCGTTTGAACCTGGGAAGCAGAGGTTGCAGCGAGCCGAGATGGTGCCATTGCACTCCAGCCTGGGCAACAAGAGTGAAACTTCAACTCACTAAATAAATAAATAAATGTTAAATTAAAAAGTTATTTTAACCAAAAATCCAAAGGGAATATGAAATATGAAATTCAAATATACTATGACAGGAACCACAGAAATTAAAACGAATAGAAAACTTTCCAGAAAATCTAGGTAGATGAACAACATGCAATTATTTTGTCTCCTATTCAAAATTAAAATAAAGAAAATAAGCTAAAGAAAAATGTAAATTAATAGGTGCAGCTGACCCTTTAACAATGTGAAGGGTAGGGGTGCAGATACTCTGTGTAGTCGAAATTCCCTATAAAACATTTGAATCCCAACAAACTTAACTACTAATAGCCTATTATTCACTGGAAGATTTACCTATAAAATAAATAGTTATTAACACATTTTGTATGTTAAATTTATAATATGCTGTATTCTTACAATAAAGTAAGCCGGAGAACATAAAATGTATGACAAAAATCATAAGAAACAGAAAATACATTGACTATTCATGATGTGGAAGCGATTGTTTTAAAAGTCTTCATCCTCTTTATTGTCCTCACATTGAGTAAGTAGACTGAGGAATAGGAGAAAGAATAGGTTGGGTTTGCCTTCTCAAGGATGGCAGAGCTGGAAGAGGTGGAGGAGATGCAAGTGGAAGCAGGAGAGGTAGGCACACGCGGTGAAACATATTTTGTAAAAAATCGTTATATAAGTGAAGCTGTGCAATTCAAGCCATGTTGCTCTGGGGTCAACTGTACAAACCCCAATGAGATTTCAACATTTTTTTTTAATCCAACAGAGATACAGTAGCTGACATGGCAGAGTTAAAGAAGAAATCATCTATGAGCAAACAAGCCCCATCAAATACCAGGAAGGTTCAGCACGTATGGTGCCAGGTAACTTGAACATAAGAATGAAAACTGGCAGCTTGAAGTTGAGAATGCAAACGGAATCAGGGGAGGTGGCGCCAGAAGAGTCAAGAAGAAAAATGGAAATTGAAGGCTATCAGACACATTTGAGCATTTGGGAAATAGTATTTCCAAAAACAATTTGACAGTTTTGATGCAGAAGATGGGCAAAACCTATTTAACTAAAAAATGAATCATAATTATAGCCTCACCTCTTTTTAGTTCTATGTGACTCATTGGTGGAAGTATTAACATAGTCTCAATATTTACACAGCTCAAGCAAATACTAATTCATAATTTGACCAAAAATCAAAATTCTATTTGAGGCAAAATGGAAGTAGGTGGTTAATATTGTCAACTAATTTGACAAGAAGACTATATATATTTGAAGTTGAAAACTTAAAAAGGAACAGTATAAACATATTATTTGAAAACATAGAGCTAATATATGAAAGAAGAGCTGAAAGACTTGAAAATATTTTTCTCTAGTACTGAAAGTGTTGGTGGAGAGAAGCAAAAATAGAACAGGCAGAAGAAAGCTAGTTTCACATAAGCTTTAGTAACATACTTTTCATGTACTTAAATGTGTTACTTTCACTAAGATAATATTTTTTAAAACACAAGAAATGCTGAAAGGGAAATTTGAGCAATTGCTTATAAGGGTATATGGTTTGGCTGTGTCCTCACCCTAAATTTCATCTTGAATTTTAATCCCCATAACTCCCATGTGCCAAGGGAGATACAAGGTGGAGATAATTAAATCATGGAGGCAGTTATCCCCATGCTGTTCTTGTGACAGTGAGTGAGTTCTCACAAAATCTGATGGTTTTATAATGTTTGGTAGTTCCTCCTGCATTCATTGTCCTTTCTGCCACCTTGTGAAGAAGGTGTCTTGCTTCCATTTCCCCTTCTGCCTTGATTGTAAGTTTCCTGAGGCTTCCCAGCCATGCTGAACTGTGAGTCAATTAAAGCTTTTTCCTTCACCACTTACCCAGTCTTGGGTATTTTCTCAAAGCAATACGAGAATGGACTAACACAATGTACTGGAACACTGCTATAAGATACCTGAAAATGTGGAAGCAACATTGGAACTGGATAACAGGCAGAGTTTAGAACAGTTTGGAGGGCTCAAAGAAGACAGGAAGATCTGGGAAATTCTGGAACTTCCTAGAGACTTGTTCAATGCCTTTCACCAAAATGCCGATAGTGATATGGACAATGAAATCCAGGCTGAAGTGATCTCAGATGGAGATGGAGAGCTTGTTGGGAACTGGAATAAGATTCACTCTTGTTATGCTTTAGCAAAGAGACTGGCAGCATTTTGCCTTTGCCCTAGAGATCTGCAGAACTTTGAACTTGAGAGAGATGATATATAATATTGGGCAGAAGAAATTTCTAAGCAGCAAAGCATTCAGGAGATGACCTCGGTGCTCTTAAAAGCATTCAGTTTTATGCATCCAAAAAGAGATAGTTTGGAATTGGAACTTATACTTAAAAGGGAAGCGGAGCATTAAAGTTTGGAATGTTTGCAGCTTGTTGATGTGATAGGAAAGAAAAACTCATTTTCTGATGAAAAATTAAAGCCTGCTCCAGAAATATGCATAAGTAACGAGGAGCCAAGTGTTAATCACCAAGACAATGGGGAAAATGTCTCCAGGACACGTCAGACATCTTCACAGCAGCTTCTCCCATCACAGGCCCAGAGACCTGGAGGAAAAATTGGTTTTGTGTAGTGGGCCTACGGCCTTGCGCTTTATGCAGCCTCAGAACTTTGTGCCCTGCCCTGCATCCCAGCCATGGCTAAAAGGGGCCAACATGCAGCTCAGGCATTGCTTCAGAGGGTGCAAGCCCCAAGACTTTGGCAGCTTACACAAGTTGTTGGGCCTGCGGGTGCACATAAGTCAAGAATTGAGCTTTGGGAACCTCCTACTAGATTTCAGAGGATGTACGGTAACACCTGGATATCCAGGCAGAAGTTTCCTGCAGGGGTGGAATCCTCATGGAGAATCTCTGCTAGGGCAATGCAGAAGGGAAGTGTGGGGTCTGTACCCCCATGCAGAGTCCACACTGGGGCACTGTCTAGTGAAACTGTGAGAAGAGGGCCACTGTCCTTCAGAACCTAGAATGGTAGATCCACCAACAGCTTACACTCTGTACCTGGAAAAGCCAGAGACACTCAATGCCAGCACATGAAAGCTGCCAGTAGAAGTTTTTCTTTTAACAGTTTTAAACAGCACTCAGGGCTCTGCTCAAAACATTCTTTGAAGAAGTTTTGAGAATGGCAGTCCTTAAGTTATCATTGCCTCTGTGTGAATTAGGACCCTTACAGTTACTGGTGCTATAAACCTAATTAAAACAGCTTACAAATAAAAGGGCTTTATCAGCTCACATCCTTGGAAAAGACCAGGAGTGGAAGAGATTCCAAGTATTGCTAGATCCAGGAATCCTTCCTTCTATACCTCTTAATCCTGCTTTTTTCAGTCTTGACTTTGTTTTCAGAAGGTTTTTGTAACTGAGAGACAAATATGACCAGGAGAACTTTCATGATTTCCTCCTACCAGCCTATAACCCCCATAGAAATAGTTCCTTCCACATTGTTCTGGTAAATCAAAAAGCAGATTATTCACTGGTCCAACTTGAGGCAGTGTGGCTAGGGGAAGAATATGCTGATTAACCAGACAGGAGTCATGTAAACACCCTACTGGTTTTTGAGGTTCATTTTAATCTTATTTTATCACAATGGTATGAAGAATGATGAAGTGCATTACCAAAGGAAAACTGAGCTGACAAAAGACAAACTTCCATCATTAGATCCCTCCTCTACCCTTCTATATATCCGGTTTACGTTATTTGACATTTAACATTTAGCTTATATTACTGTGGATGCATTGTGTTTGCTCATGTATGTTTATGAATGCATATGTGTTTTCTCATCTAGACCCTAAGTCTTTATGGGAGGCTACGTTTTATAGTTACTTTTTATATGTAGCTACCAGTTCAGTTATCTATGCCAAAGAAGGGTTCAATAAACATTTGTGGATAATGCAGAATTATAGGGAAGGATGTTTAGTAATCAATCAGCATATCTTATGCCATCTTGTGCATGAAAGGCTATGATGAGATGTTTCAGTAAACATCACATATTCAGTGTAAGGATCTGTTACGAAGAAATGTTATGTACAACAAATTCTAACCTATTAACTGTGGTTCCATGCTCCTAAAAACCAAAAATTGATTTAGTTGGTAAAGCTGCATATAAACAGGCAGAAAATAATTCTGACCTTATGCAACAATAGAGCATGGTATTTGTAAAACCAAATGTTTTAAAGAAACACATCATCTAATAAACTGGAAATTGTGGTGACATTTTAGAGCTTAAATGTGAAATGAAAGGGCATTTCATCGACATTCATGATGCTCTAAAAACAAAGGAAATTACATTATATAAACTGCATTAAGTAGCCACCACTGCTTCTCCATATTGTTGATTATTCATGAGTCATCTGGATCAATCTCATCTGGCTCGGACCCTGCCCTGCCTGGCGCAGTCCTCTGTGACTTTCATTCACTTGGTCACATCCAAAGCAGCCACACCTCATTCTCCTGCTTGTCCGGGGCCATGGCTGTGGCTTCTGAAGCCAGCTCACAGCTCAAGGTTCTCTGGCTCTGCTCCAGCTGAGAACTGAGCTGCTGCTTCTCATCCCTGGCTCGGCTCCGCATGAACTGAGCTGAGAGTTTGGTACAGGCAGAAAGCTCTGACATTCTATGGCCTATTTTCATCCCATTTAATTCTGGAGGAGAATATGCCTGCAGGAAAAGTCTCAATGGACCTGAAGAGGACAGGGACTCAGAATCTGTCTAGTGTGAAATTAATGATCAAGCTAAAAAATGACTGGGAGAATGTGGAAAAGCTACTGCAAAAGGGCAGGGAGACTGTTAGGCAGCAGATTAGAAAGACGGGGTAGAGGGCAACCTGTATAAAGGTGGTCTCATGGCATATAATATATTGTAGTCATTCTCAAAGTGTTGACTG
Organism: Homo sapiens; assembly: GCF_000001405.40. NCBI lineage: Eukaryota > Metazoa > Chordata > Mammalia > Primates > Hominidae > Homo > Homo sapiens. The sequence goes on along the minus strand of NC_000021.9, from coordinate 21,631,754 downwards.
GGGACCCCTGGGTATTCCAAGTCCCTTCCCTATCATCCAAGAGATCAAACGTACCATCCTTAATTTGACTTTTTTTGGGCATAAATTTATAATAATATCAAGATGTTATTTGTCTTTTTAAATCTTATTCTCTCAAAGGAATACAGTGGGTTTCTTCCAGAGATTCATAGCATGAAGATGTCATCATTTTGAGGACTAATGGACTGTGTGCTTATCTATTTGAGTTTTACATATATTAATATAAATGTGTAATACAGTGAACATCCAAAGATATAAACCAGGTACACAGAAGTTCTTTGGGTTCTTCAATATACTTATTCCTTGCCTTGCATGGATCTGACATTAATGGGTTTCTCCTAACAGGGTACTGTGCAAGGTGAGGGTTGCCTACAATTTTAAGTGTATAAGAGTGTCTTTAGACAAATGTGCGTAATGGAAAAATGATTGCTCTAGGAATCACAAGACCTATTTCCAATTCTGACTTATGATCCTACATAATTCATTTGAATGCTGACCCTTTGTTTCCCAATATAAAGAGGGCCTAAGGATTTCCATTCAGTCTACCTTACAGGTTAATCATGGGTGTTTGGTGGCAATCAAGATCATAGAAATGAAAAAGGCTTTAATAACTGTAAATCTCAATTATAACCTCTTTCTGATAACTGCTAATATGTGAGTAAAGTGATAAGCACTGCTGTATACAAATGATGTCTTCAAACTGATTTGGTCTTAAAACTACTTTATGAAATAGATACTATTACTACCTACAATTTAAATTTGATGAAACTGAAGCCTACGGAGGTTAAGTCATTTTGCTTTGAAATTTGTAAACTTTAAAGAGGTTTCAGATTCACAGCAAAATTGAGCAGAAAGTACAGAAAGTTCCCATATATCCCCTGTCTCGACACAGCCACATCTTCCCCCACTATCAACACTTCCCACCACCGGGGTATATTTGTTGCAATTGATGAACTTAAATTAACATGTTATTATCACCCATTATCCATCATTTACATGAAGGTTCACTCTTGCTCGGTGTTGCACATTGTATGGGTTTGGACAAATGTGTAATGGCATGTGTCCACCACTGCAGTATCTATCATACAGAATATAGTTTCACTGCCCTAAACATCCTCTGTGTTCTGCATTTTCAATCCTTCCCTCCCCCAAACCCTTGGCAACCATTAATCTTTTTATTGTCTCCACAGTTTGGCCTTTTCCAGAGTGTCATATAGTTGGAATCATACAGTATAGAGCTTTTTCAGATTGGCTTTTTTCACTTAGTAATATGTATTTAAGATTCCTCTGTATCTTTTCATGGCTTAATAGCTCATTTCTTTTCAGCATTGAATCATATCCCAATTTCTGAATGTACCACAGTGAATTTATACATTCACCTACTGAAGGACATCTTGGTGGATTCAAATAGTTGGCAATTATGAATGAAACTGCTATAAACATCTCTGAGCAGATTTTTTTCTGTGGCTATAAGTTTTTAATTGATTTAGGTAAATATCAAGTAGTGTGATTGCTGGGTTGTGTGGCAAGAGTAAGTTTAGTTTTGTAAGGAACTGCTAAAATGTCTTCCAAAGTGGCTATACTATTTTGCATTATTGCCTGCAATAAATGAGAGTTCTTACTGTTAAGTAACTTTTTAATTTGTCTAAAGTCATGAAGCTGGTAAGTGGCTGATGCAGAATTTTAACCCAGTTGTAGACTGGCAGGCTTCAGAGTTCAAGATTCCTTAAAGTGTATATATACCCAAAGGCTTCTCCAGTTCCTCCATACACACATAGGCATATAAAACTGACTGCTGCTCAGAGCTTTCTGGCAATGTTGGAAACTACTGTCTTGCCTAGTAGGAATAGCTCAGCACACCTTATAGTTGCACTCCAGGAACAGGATAAAATTGCCTATAAAACGCCACTAAACCAATTCCTGGAGTTTTATATGTAATATATTTGCAAATACTTAGGAAATAAGACTGCAACTCTCAACTATTCACCGATTGTATGAAACAGATTTTTAAAATGTTAATAATCAAGCCGATATTTGATATAAAGTAACTTAAAGAAGGAAGAGCTTCACATACCTAATAATGATGCATGACATGTATGCAACAACAGATTGAAAGTAATGGGAGAGAGTGGAAACATTCCATTGCCTTTCTTTGATCCATGAAGTAAGAACTATGCATTTTATAAAGATGTCTTAAATTATTTTTAAACAGATAGATCATACTTAATTATTCTCTAATACATGTTTTACTCATTATTATTTTTTCATTTCGTATTTCTATGCTCTTGACTTGCCAGTAAGCTTTCCAATGAAAGCTGAGAAAGAACTATAAAATATGGTAGCTGTCTTCTCTCCTTTTTTCTCTTCTATTCTCTTTTCCAACATGGACACAGAGATAGAAACCGCCAAAGAGAAATGAAAACGTGTTTCTGTTATGATGTTCTAGAAAACAACTAATACATATCAAAGGTAGCCCCTTCGACCTTTACGCCTTGTCATCAATCACCATCCACTCCAACACAAAAAATGCACTAAATTTGTAGAACTAATTGGTACCTGATTTAGGACAGTATGGTTGTTGATTTCTAGTGACCTTTTTTTATCACATTTTTGATGATAATTGAGTTTCGTGCCAGTGGGCCACACTACAAGATTTGGGAGGTAACAGACAATTACTCATCCCCAAGATTTCTTTTCTACTCTAGGTAGTTTTCCTGGAGCACTTCTGATTTATACTTTTCTCCAGCATTGAACCTGGATTTTATACTTTTTAATAAAGGAATGTTGTTAGTAGTTGCATGAAAATTAATGGGAGATGTTTTGGTAGAAATCCACTTGTATTCTTGTTCTTGCCAGGATCACCATTAGTGATATGTGTGGTGCATGCATAGTGAACAAAGCTAACAAGTGGTTAAATCTCACCACCAGCAGCATTAACCTATCACTCTTTGCCCAGCACCTCCCCACGGCAGCATACCTAAGGCCTCCTTTTTAACATGCCAAGCAACACTTAGTTATCAATAGTCTAAGAAAAATTGTACTGGACAGATTTAAACAGACAAGGAAGACTCTATTTAAAACTATTGCAATATGAAAGAGAGATTCACCTAAACAAACTTCACCTAAACAAACATCAGCTCTGATACCAAACGCAGCCTCTGGGTGACCTTCACTCTGGCTTTGAATTTGACTTTGAATATGTCTAGAGATAGCCTTTTTTGTCATTTAATTTTCTGGTATTCAAGCCTCTGCTACTGGATTATTTTATCCTTCAGTTGGACACTTATCTTTTTTATTCCAAATATTTATCTATTTAAAATAAGAAAAAATAGACCGGGGGCGGTGGCTCAATTCTAGCACTTTGGGTGGCCGAGGCGGGGGATCACTTGAGGTAAGGAGTTGGAGACTAGCATGGCCAACATGGTGAAACCCCATCTCTACTAAAAATACAAAAATTAGCCAGGCATCATGGTTCACTCATGTAATCTCAGCTACTCGGGAGTCTGAGGCAGGAGAATCACTTGAACCCGGGAGGCGCAGGTTATAGTAAGCTGAGATCCCACCACTGCACCCCAGCCTGGGTGACAGAGTGAAACTCCGTCTCAAAAAAAAATAAGTAAGATTTAAAAATAAGATAAAATAAGGAAAAATAAATATTGAACAGTAGACTATATTGCTGGACTAACCTTGACAGTAAGATAGCTTACTGTCAAAGGATAAAATAAGGTCCAATATTTCTCAGAGCAAGATGAGAACCTTAACTGTCACATTGGTTCAAATAGTATTTTCTAAATACTTCTATAGGACACAATTTACAATTTTTTTGTGGACAGCAGCATTTAGCTGGTCAGTAATTGCTCCCACAGACAAAAATATCAGGGCCATCAAAGTTACTGAAGTTGGCTTTTAGGGAAACTGGTGTAATTGTTATCATTTCTATCACTCAAGAAACCCAGCCAGTCATCTCAGGTGTGACTGAGGCATTAAGACACAACACCACTTTAAAAGCGCAATGGGTGTCCTGAGAAACAGATTTGAGGGACCATCAAAATGTCATATCTTTAGTTGGTAAATTATGAACTGTGAAATGTGTCCTTGAAACCACTTTAGATTCATTTCAAGACTTTTTTCCACATAAAAATGTATATTCAAACATTTATATTCAAGTACAAATTTAATGAGCACAGGCAATGTTGAAATATGACTTTGATAACCAAGCTGATGAGCATATTAAAAAAGAATCACTGTTTTGTGTTTTCCTAAAAAACATGTAGACTTAGAATATTGATTGTTGAACAGCATTCAAGAATTCCTCCGTCTCTCTCTGTTGAAACTACACACCTCTAATCGCCTGTTGATAATGAGAGTTTCCAAGAGGTCTGTATTGTTTCTTCTTTATACCCTTGTCAGTTTAATAGTGCTTGACATGGCTTCAGCACATAAAATTCACACCTTGCACTTACATAATAAGATACTGAGTCTACAGCTCAATTTGGATTCTGAGCAATGTTTACCAATATTCTAAGTCCATTCTTGATGGAATAGCCTGTTGATCTCCTGTTAATGGCATTGTGTCTGAGCTATTTCTAATTCCAATAAAGGGAAACAGACCTGTATTATACACCCAGTTCTAATGAGAAAATTTTAAACAACTGGGCAAAAGGTCAGAGCAATAGTCTGAAAGCTGATATTCAGGTATATGTCATATTTCCTCAAGAAATTCAAAACTACCATGACAATGTTTTAGAGTTTGTATATCATATAATTGTGCACTTTACAATCTGTTCTACTGTACATTCAGATGGAAAGACAAAAGTTACGTGAGATTTACAGTTCTAACACTCACTATATTGTAAGCCTCTGAAAAGACTTTTCTGTATCCTTTTATATCAAGCACCCAAGAATAGTATCTTTTTTAAGCCCTGTTCAATTCAGGTGTTTCGTTAGTCCTTTAGATAAAGTGCTTTGATTCTGAATATTAATAAGCCTACACTTCCCTACAATTATTCCAATACCCTTTGTTGATCATTATTGCTTTCACACTGTGTTTTGCCTCATATTAAGGTTCTTTAATGTTAACTCACTGTCCCCAACCACCCTCCTCAACTCTATGCCGAGAGAACCTTGGACCTTTCTCTCCTCACAACTGCACTCGAACCACATCAGCTTCACTTTTACTGGCTTCAAAGGTTGGGCTTCTGCATAACATTTCACTAGAAGAAAATAAAAATGTGGTGGAGTTCTGCTGAAACAAAAGTTTGCAATACAATTTTCTGGGACATAGCCTATAAGCTGCTAATTCAGAAAATTGGAGATTTATTCACTTTACCTAAGTGCTTTGTACTTGCCACTTTCAGCAGCCAAAACCTCTTGATTAATTCTAAACCAGTAAGCAAAGGCAGCACCAAAAGAAAATGTAGGAACCCTTTGTCCAAAAGTTAGCAAGAATTTCACGACAGTGATAGCATAACCTAAGACCATTCACAGGGTTCTTCTAAGCATGAGGCCATTGTGATTGCATAGGATGCAAGCTCATGAAACCCACCCACCCTGACCACGGAGAAAGTCTATGTTTTGATGCTTTAACTTGTAATTATCTGAGTATTTAAAACTATTTTTCTACTTGTTAAATTATAAAAGAGATACTCTTTAGTAAGTAAATAAAATCAGCTATTCAAGCGCAATTCCTTGTTGAGAGCTATATCCCTGAAACCTGTGCTGAAAGACTTGAACCACATTATCCTTCTTGGAATGTCAACACAGCGCCGTGTGGACAATAAACTTGAAGGAGAATGAGGGCATTTTTCAGCCAGCTTTGGCAAGTTACCTCTTTAAAATTCTTAGTTCCTTAACTGCAATAAATATCCACATTTCCAACCTCCAGAGGTATAAAAGAGAGTTGTAGCCCAATGGAGGTGATTTCTTGTTAAAAATAGGGTGAACAGTAGATAACCCTTCCAGGATTAAACCCCCAGCCACTGCAATGAGTAGGATGGCCATTGCTTTTTCCACAAGGATCACCCTGTAGTTTGAAGGCCATTGCACCAATAGGGACTTTAATTAAGCTAAAGTCATTTCTGTTTCAGTAGGTGTCCAGCTGGAGAAATGATCACAAGAATATTCTGAATGTGGTTAATATCCACAAAGGGTGTAAGGGGCGTAAGAAAGGTTTCCTTTGTTTTGGCATAAGTAGTTTTTATACATTTATTTTACATGTTTTTATAATTTGTGCAGTGTTCATAAGGAGATAGAAATTCTATATGAATATGCAGTTTTATGAAATAAGTAGAAAACATATGTTTAATAATCTTAACTTTTTTTAATTACATAAAATAATACTTGCTTGGGCTAACATCAAAATATGGTTAGAACTAAGCTGAGTTGCAATCATGAAAATTTTAGATTCCTAGGCCAGTTGCTCTGAGCAGTAAATTAATTTTGTGGAACATGAAATTCAATTAAGCCAACATTTTAATGCAATTGTTATATTCAAGTCATTTTTCTATTTCCAAGGAGACACAGACCTGCTGATATTAAGTTCATATAATGGTATGTAACCAGTTGTAATGCACATTAATATTATACATGTCATAGTATTCTAGTCAAGGCATTATGGAAGAGCATTTATTGAAGTATTACATTATTAGTTATAAAAAGGATAAATCAGGTTAGCTTCCACAATGTTGGTGACTGATGAGTTAAGTGTTGAAAGATAAGTAGAATTTAGACATAAAAAAGGAAAGTATCATCTAAACATAGAGAATAACAGAACAAAGGCACAGCCACAAAGAAGTTTTGACATTTAGGAATCATACACACAGCTTAAAAGACCCAGTTGCTTTTACCACAGGCATGTGTGGGTTATTAAAGAATCCTTCTCTGTTACTCCTTTCTCAGCTGCCTATTATCATCATATGATTCATTCTGTATGAAAAGACATGAAGAAATCTAAGGAGAGAAAAATAAACGTAATCAACTGGGTCATAAAATGGATGGCTTTAGGATAAGCAAGTAAATTTCTAATTCAACTAAGGTTGTTTAAAGCTGAACCTTTCTCTTTATCAGATGCCCAAGGGGTAAAGGTCGTATAACATGGAGTAGTTAGCTACGATGACTTTTTAAATTATTCATTAATCAGACTCTTTAGGATGCTTTAACATCCATTCTTTGGCAGTTACATGGTTTCGTAAATGCTTTCAGTCTTGTAAAATCTTATTGTTCCCTTTATTCACTCTCCAATGCCATTTGAAAACAATATAATGGGACTTTAGGAAGAATCATTTAAAGATTGGTTCCAGAAGTTCAAACACATTGCCTTGGATAGCTTTTTTGTTTATTGGTTGGTATTTAGTTATCCTAACATGTTCTAAATGAACTTCCACATAAAGGCTCTAAGATCTAAGATATTTGAAATGCCTAATGAAACTTTTAGACAATTTCTAATTATTCAAGTATAAATTTTGAACTCAAATTTTACACATTTTTGGTAACACCTCATGATTCAGCTTGTTTGTGGCTTAGTGATTTAATTAATTTATGGTAAGTAAATCATTTCTATAGAGCAAATACATTCTTTCTTTTTCCTTTTCACTAGTGAGGACAATGATGAACGACATTCCCTGAAATGGAGACTGGATCTATCAACATTGATTCAATTTACACTGAGCAGAAAAGAGAAAAACTTACAATTTTAGGATGAGTAACTCATGAAGATGCTGGTAACAGAGATAGGGAAAACTGAAAGGGGAGTGCACCGGAAGTACAGAGAATGAGAATTTGGGCTTCTTGTGGAAATCAAATTAGAAACACTATAGAGATGCTGTGGAAGAGGATGCTTTGTGAATAATTTTTAATTGAGTATATAATGTGAATAAGTGAATGAACAACTACAGTTTTAAATCTCAGGAAAGACTATAAATTTCAGAGTGAAGATCATGTTTGAAACTATGAGATTAGATAGATTATCAGGCAGATCATGAAAAGATAGTTGAGAAGACTAACAAAGATAGCTGGAAGAATATCAACAAATTCTAGTTTGTAAGAAGAAGAGTCAGCAATAGATTGTGAGAAGGTGTAGGAAGAAAGAAGGCGAACCAAAGTAAAGAGTGCTTCATACGCCAAGGGACATCAATTAAATGAGCATATAACAAAATCAAAGGGTTTGGCCCTTATGAGATAGATGATTTATTTAAATCTTTAGATACTAAAAATAAAAATATATTATTGTACGTTAAGGCACATTTATTCATATTTATATTGAGAAGTGAAAAATAAATATGATAAGCCAGTGTTGTTTAATTGAAGTTTTTATTGATTAGGTTTCGTCTAATCATGTCTTGCCTCATCCTGATCTACCTTTTATCCCAAGACCAAAGCTAACCCATTATTTCAGTTTCCTGTGAGTCAGATCCTGATCTAAACCTGAGAGCTGACTTTTAGCTAAAATTGAACAGAGATTTGGGGAATTTATAGTGCTTAAATTTAAGTAGATGAAAGCAACTACCTACAACCAATATTTCTGCTTCCATAATTTATTATGGGCCTATGAAGACCAAGAAGATTATGTCCTAAATGATTATTGTCCTTGACCATATCCTTTGCGTGCTTTCATGATAATTTCCAGAAATGTTTTGACTAAACTTTTGAGTGTGTAAATGAAAACACACACAAGCAATTAGAGAAGGCTGCTATAAAATGTGCTGACAAAGAAAAATCACACAATAAGTCTTCCTAACTCCATCATTTTAGAATTATGCAGATAATGTTTTGTCTCCATGCCTAAATTATTTTTTATTTGATACAGTGATAATAGTACCTACCCCACCTGTCATTACACAGTGCCTGTACAACAAAATGTATGGCATTATTTGAACATACTGAAAATTTCTCTGGTATATAAACAACCTGCTAAATTATATGTATGAAATGTGAATATCATTAAACACTTAACTTATTCATAAAATGCAAGGTACATTATTTTCCATATACAATATCACAACTTTCCGTTTTTAGGTCAAAAATTATTCAGACAATGCTGCATAAAAATTCCTCTTGCAGAGCAAAATGGCTGACTAAGCAGCTTCAAGCCTTCATTTCTTTGCAGAAACATTTAAGAAAAAGAAACCAGGAACTAGCTGGACTAACCTTTAAAGAGTTCCAGAAAACAATTACAGCTCTATAGCTGCCAAGCAAATGCTTAATCAAGAAAAAGCAACCTTTAAAATGGTAAGAAACATCCTGACATATTTACTCACCTTTGCTTCCACGATATTTGTACACCAATATTCATAGCAGCATTTTCACCATAGGCATAAAGCAGAAATAAAATGTCAACCAATGGATGAATGGAAAAAAAATGTGGCATATCCGTACAGTGGGATTATTATTTAGCCTTAAAAAGGAATGAAATTCAGGTACATGAAACAATGTGGATCAAACTTGAAAACATTATGCTAAGTGAAATAAGCTAGATATAAAATGATAAGTATCGCATGATTTCATTTTTATGAGGTACTAAGAATAGTCAATTTCAAAGAGACAGAAAGTAACAGAGTGGTTACCAGAGTTTATGGATAGGAGGGAATCAGAATTTTTGTTTAATGGCTACAGGGCTTAGTTTGGGATAGTAGAAAAGTTCTGGAGATGTTTGGTGGTGATAGCTGCACAATGATGTAAATGCCCTTAATGCAGCTAAATTGTCCACTTCACGGTTAACACAGTAAGTTTTATGTTGCATATATTTCATCACAATAAAAAAGTATTCCCAGCACAATTTTTCTCCTGAAATATCAGTGCTCCCTCATAGGATAGCAGGAGTCATTCTTGTAGCTTGATTAATAACCAGAAAAAAGCCATTAATAATTCTGAATTCAGTGTATAGATATCAGTTATATTTGCTGAAAGAAATTCAACATTTCCTACTATATCCTTTTAGGGAAAAACAGGTGTGGGAGAGTATCAACATGATTTTTAATTTGTTTTTAATGCTCCTGAGTGTAGTTTTCAATGCAGAAAATAGTATTCACACATTACCCTTTAGCCTCATAAATTAATATTCATTAAATTTTCAAACACCAAAATTTAACTTACTACAAGACTTCTTGTAAGTTCAATGTAGAAATATTATTCCATTTATAAACCTGGAATCTTTTAATCTTTTGCTTATTTCCAAATTTTGAACACATTTTCTTAAAAATAGAAATTACATTATTAATCTAATTGCAAGTATTAATTGTATCAGATAGAAGCAAAGTATGCTAATTGAAGAAATGTGAAAAGCTTTTAATATAAGAGAACAAACATGGCCAAATGCAAACTATTGGTCCCATACAATTACATGAAATTAAAAAGATAATAATTATTAAGAATGTACTAATATTTTAAAATCTTGTGTTACGCTAGGTTGCTCAAATTTTATTTAAACAAGTTTTAATGGTTAGAGCATTTATTTTAATAAACTTGTTTTGGAAAAGTCACTGAAATGAAAGTAGAATTTATAATGTAATTAAAATATTGTCATATTTGACTAAAGTACATTTAAAAATTTTAAATGCTACATTTGAATATATTAAAAATGTTTTCAAAGTTTCTGACTCATTAAAATAAATATTCTCTGTTGATTAAAAGGTACTATTACATGAAAGCCCACATATTGTAAGTACTCTGTTATGATCAACTTGCTGTTTTTATCAATTTGTTTTCAACTAAATTGCTTTCTAGAAATTAAGTTTCTGCCATTTCTCCTGGAACTTGTAAGTGCAGAAGAGTTTGGACATTTTAGCAGCTAGTTATGGCAGGGTGGTTGAATTTGAGCTATATTATAGCTCAGAGTTTTTATTTCCTATTGAATTAGTCCTCAAGTTTATCTTCCGTGGGTGAGCAAGAGTGAAGAAAGTTTGTAGGTACTTTTAAGTGATTTGAAATCACCTCACAGAAGTTAGGACACAATAGAAGAAAAAGATTAAAACAATAAGATTTATTCAACTGGGGCTTGAAACCATAAACTTGTCAGTAGCACAATTTTGTAATATTGTGAACATGTTTACGATTCTTATTACTTAAACCTATGACCCAAAGGGCTCTAGTTTAGACACTCTTGCTCGTTTCCCTCATCAGACTTGCCTGAGGTTATAAGCTTAGGTATAATGTGTATAACTTATCGATGCCACATAGAACTGCTGTGTGTTTCTGTTCTTAAATTCCAGCTTTTATTTCAACCCCAGGTTGCTGACTCTCTCTCCTCTCCCCCTCCTCTCTGGAACTCTCAATATTCCTCTACCTGATGCCCCACCATGTTTCTTATTCAACTAAAGGACCACTGAAAACAGAGATCAAACCTATTCATGTCTATTTTGCTCTAGAAGCAAAGAATTATATTGTGCATCATTACAACTAAATAAACAGACTGTGCATACACATGAACTTGGAAATTTAATAGAATACAGAATTCTCAGACGTTATAGAGGTTATGAAAGGTCTCAGACATAGACTGATGTAAACTAGACTTCATTTTGAGATGGTAACTATTCTATTTGTTCTACTGATCCTTTGTCTTTTCTTTGAAAATGATATTCATTGTATTTTTTATTTTTTGCCTTCGCCTTCACTTTCTGTTTATACAACTGAACCACTTGGTGCTCCTTACACCATTCTGTTACCTTCACTTTGCCACTCTTGATGTAATATGCCTATTTTTAATGGTAAATATGTACTTCGTATCTCTAAGAATCTTTATGCTTCCAATTCAGGAGACACAGGGCTGAAAATAACTTTCTATCATTTCCATAAAACAACTGTTATTTATGAACGCCATAGGAGTAAAAGATATTCACTTTACAACTTTTTACCCTCTTAGAACCCTCGTGTCTTTATTTTGCCAAATATTTATCAAAGTGCAACTTGTGCCAAGCAAGGTATGCAGTCAAAAATGCTGAGTTAGGCTGGGTGCAGTGTCTCACACCTGTTATCTCAGCACTTTGGGAGGCTGAGGTGGGCAGATGGCTTGAGCCCAGGAATTCAAGATCAGCCTGGGCAATGTAAGGAGATCTCATCTCTACAAAAAATTAAAAAACTAGCCAGGTGTGGTGGTGGGCGCCTGTAGTCCCAGCTACTTGAGAAGCTGAGGTGGGAGGATTGCTTAAACCCAGGAAGTGAAGGCTGCATTGAGCTATGATAGCACCTGTGCATTCCAGCTTGGGCAACAGAGTGAAACCTTGCCTCAACAACAGGTGTTTGAAGTGTATGGTTTTTCTTTTATTAATTCTAGCTAGTGTTTTATGTGTATTATGATGGGCTGCCTGTGTCCTTTTGAGTTATTCAAGCAATTCTGATTCCACTGAAGTGTTGAGAGTGGAGGTTGATAAAATTTGCATTTTCCAAATTCCGGTTCTATATTTGAGAATGTGTAGTATCATGGAAGATTATTACTAAAACTTTTATAACTTTTTGGAAGTTTATCTTCCTTGAAATTAAATTGTCATTTAAGTTTAAGCCAAAGGATAGGTTTACATTTTTAATTATTTTGTAATCATTTGAGATGTAAACTTTTAAACCTATTATTTGGACAACTGATTTCCTGCTTTTGTGCATTGAAATATACTTGGAGGGAAACTCTAGAATATTGTCACAATTTGTTAACAAATGGATTTGAGGAATTAAAAAAAAACATGAATTAGCCCAACTGGAATTTTCAGATCAAGAAAACTTTAGCTTTAGACACAACCAAAGGCTCTTGGGATAAATTTTCCAAGACATGTAAATGGGCAAACAAGCTTACTGGGTTTTCTTTCACTGAGATTCAAGACAGTGTCTAGTAGACCTTGAAGGATTATCAGATTTTATGTGTTTTTCACTTTTGATTTTTTTTATATTCACAAGGATATTTAAAAACCCTGTAGCGGTAGAGGTTGAATTGTAAAATTTGATGAAAATTGAAATTATTCTTATTCATAGCAACAAAATGATTTTTTTCTAGGGAAGGTAAAATGGATTTCTGCTCTTAGAAAATATGACCCCAACTGTTGCATTTCATTTCCCTATAAACTATGAAATATTTTCTATCTCTTAGCAAATTCATTTTAGATTTCTTGATTTGGTGTGTGTATACACACACGAACTATACAATGTTCTTCAACTTCTTCTTTGAACTTGTTTTAACATCTTACTAGTTCCTACATTAATTAATGAGTTAAAACGCTTAACACATGTTAATTCCATATTCATAGAATCATACTTTTATCTTTTTAATAATTACAGTTTAGCAGTACAAATAAGTCACAGGTCAGAGCTTTCTTGACCTTTCCTTCACAGGCCCTGATCCACATAAAAGTGGTTCTGAAGGTAAGAATTCTTCAAAGGAAAGAATTTTCGACCACTTCAAATGAACTGTGGGGGCTCTCCATGGAGTTGCTAAAATAGGAACAGCATTAGAGCTACTTTTGCCTCAGAAGCAGGAGTCAGAATGAAGTTTAACTCTCTGGTGTTCTCTTTGCTGATTGATCAGGAAGTCGCCTCTGTTTCTGTCCACTAAGAGGCTGGTATTCTGGATCACTTGTTAAAATTGAATGGTGCTTTACGAGTTTCAGTTGATTGGTTATAATCAGATACAATATAATAAAATACAAAATCTCGTTTTTCTGTCTCTTAGATAAGTTCTGCTCTCAAGCAAAAGTTCATTTTACATCTTTAAAGAAAGTATACATCTGAAAACAAAACTCATATTAAAAATAAAATTTTTTTCCTTTTAAGATAAACTTTTCAATTTCTTTTAAAAAGATTATGTTATCTGTAGATGTCGACAATTAATTTTTTTTTCCTAATTCCTGTTTTGTACTTTTGGCAAGCTCCAGAGCTAGATAAGGCTTAAAGAGTTTGTATTTCTTTTGTTTATAATTGCTACCTTTTATTGTATTCTCTCTATTCTGAAGTCTATCTTTGAATTTCAAAAATTAGCATTTTTATTCTGTTCTTTATATCTTGAATGATTAATTTTCCATATAACTGATTTCCTACAAACCTCAAATCTGTTCTTACTCTTTACAACATGGTGAGAAGTATCTTTTATTATGTTTCATGTTCTTCTAAACTAGATTCATTTTCAACAGACTCCTAGAATATATCCACCTCTCTGAAATAATGACATTCATAATGCAACATAGCTAAATGATTAACGTCCTTTATATTTTAAGGAAATCGCAATAATATTCTCAAGCTTTTAGAAAAAAAAGACACACTAGAGAGCCTTTTCATGTATTAATATCATTGGGGAAAATGATAATATGGAAGACTAACCTTATAAGAGATAATATACAATATTAACACTTTAATATAAAATGTATTTTTGAATGCCTTAATATGAGAATTATACCTTATATCACAATTATTTTGGATTCTAATATAGGCGCACATTTGAAGAGGCAATTATTTGTAAAACACTATATGCAGAAATGAATTTTTGTAAAACATTACATTTAAGCCAAGCAAGCATCTAAATATAATAGAGTTTTAAGGGTCCATACAACCTTGATAAAAACAAACTTAACAAACACAAAATACAGACTAAAATTGTTCTATTGGCTTCTATGAAAAATTTTTTAATCCATAAATATTTGATGATATGACCATTCAGTTCAATTTATATCAACAAGAATATTAAAGAACAATACTGCAAATTAAGAACAGAAATACATTAGCATTCAAATACATGTGGCTTGCTTAAATAACAAAGGAAACAGTCTTATTTGAGAGATATGCAATATGAGTAAATGGTTAAAAACATATTGTTCATTCATTCATCTAGTCAACAAATACATATTTATTAAAGAAATAAATGAATAACATCAAATGGGGCATAATTTTCCACATGAATTTATTTACTTGAAAAATACTACTTATTTCAGTTTAACATTTCTAAGATAATATGCTATCCAATTTAATACCATTCCAAAGTAGTTTTACAGAATTTTAATGTTAAGATCCTAATATTAGTGATAATAATACTAGTAATGATAATGTGTTTTATAATATGATTAGAATTAAATGTATAGAATTTTTAAAATATGACTATAGAGACCATGCAGTATGACCCAGTAACTTGTTCTGAACCATTCTTGTCATTGGCGTACAAATAACTAGAGAAGATGTGAGTTAAGCCTGTAGCATACTATTCATTTATCAGATATATTTGAATTGGGCTGGAACAAGAGTCTTCATTTTGAGCCTGTGGTTTCCACAGAATTTTATATTTTCTGCCAGTTTTAGTTACATTTATGGAAATAATGACATTTTTGTGTCTTTCATGAACTAGAGTCTATTTTAAAACACACAGTGAAAAGCCACTCAGAGACAATAGCCACACAATTGAGTTAGGAGTGGGATTACTCAAACTGGCCCTTCACATCCCCCTGCTACTCTCTACATTACACTCGGCTGAGGCTCAGCAGACCTTTCTTATTATGTACAGAGGTAAATTAGTAAATTATTTTTTTCCATCTAATTTTTAAAAAATAATGATGATACCAACAATAGGAACTGAAGGCAAGGGGTAATTCCTTAGGACAACTGCCTATCGGAGGAGGGTGTTTGTATAATCTTCCTTAACTATTTATTTAAGAGCTTGAAGTATTCACTGAACATACCTACTTCATAGATTTGTGGATTTTTTTTTTTTTACCTTAACTACTCCAACAAGGAATTTGCTTTAACATCCAAGTCAATGACTCTCCTATTTTTTATACTCCTATTTTTATACTTATAATTTTCTGCATTGTTGACATTACAGGTTCTTCACCTGTAGTTCTGAAATTCAGAAAGCACTAAAATCTAAAATAGTTTTCCCAACTCATTTAGAAGCCAAACCTAACTTGAGATGACATGAATTTTATAGTCTCTGTTTATTTTGCTTTATGTGAATATTCATTTATTTTTCTCCAGAATGATGTATTGAGGCATTGTCCCAGAACCTGCTGGTGACTGTTAAAACATATAGTGTGTATGCATTCTAATAACTTTATAAAGTATGAAAATTTCTATAGTTCAAGCACATATAGTCCTAAGACTTTTGGATAAATGTTTGGGAACTGGTATTGTTTATTTTCTAAATTTTATTTCCATAATTGCTTAAGCTAACAGTTAACCCATCTCTTTCTGCTTTTCTGATTACAGTAGTCCTCCCTTATCCACAGGGGATAAATTCTGAGACCCTCACCGGATACCTGAAACCACATCCTGAGAAGGACAAAGTAAAATAGCATGAGGTTTAGTTATGATACTCAGAATGGCATGCATTCTAAAACTTACGAATTGTTTACTTTGGGAATTTTTTATTTAATATTTTCAGACAACCTCCGTTAAATGCAGGTAACTGAAATCCCAGAATGTGAAACTGTAGATATGGGGAGACAACCACACTCTTTCTCTGTTTCTCCCAGTGACATCCTGTGTATCAGCTCTGTGTCCGGGGTCTGCACCACTTATTTGTATTAGCTATTCCCATGTAACTACCACAAAGCTGAGGGGTTTAAAGCAGCAATTCGGTATCATCATTCACACATCTGTGAGTTGAATAGGTGCTCAGAGGCCCTTGGCTGATCTCTGCTTCTCATTGAAGCTCTGCAGGAAGTTAAGGTGGCAGATTTCAGCTGCAGTGGATGGGACAATTCAGTTTCCAAGTCCCTCGTCTTTCTCCTGGAACCAGAAGGTTAGTTCATCCTATTTTCATGGTGATGCAGAGGTGCAAAAGAGCATATATTTACTATTAAAGTAGGGAGATGGAGGAAGTGGGAGTAGGGAGGAGAAGACAATAGATATTAGGGGAGCAAACGACTGTATCTGATAGATTTCTAAAATATGACACTTCTGCTACTTTGTTTCCTCCCTTCTATCATTACATCTCTTTGAGCATAGAGGAAGGAGATCATACTGGCTTATGTGGCCACTTGTGATGGGACTATGAGCACGGAAAATTAGAACATAAATAAAAACTGAAGAATAAATTGTCCTATTTCATCATAACCAACCCCTACATTTGGAAATAAAGAAACAATGAGATTTTACTATCTAAATAAATACTTCACAATATGATTTACTCCCAAGTTTACACACTGGGAATGTATTTTTTTTATTAAAATACTTCCAAGTGGAAAACAAGTATTGATCCTGTTCTGAAAGTCAAGTTTTATATTGTACAAAAATTTGTAGTAAGAACAGTCATTGAACATATGAAAAAGACTCTTCTATTTTAAACATCTCATTTTTGACATAATATGAGTTGGTGGTTTCCAGGAACAAAGGGAGAGGGGAGAATAGGAAGAAACTGCTTAATGAGTATGGGATTTTACTTTATGGATGGAAGTGTTTTGGAACTAGGTAGAGGTGGTTGTTGCACAGCATTGCACAATGTACTAACTGCCATTCAGTTGTTCACTTTAAAATGGCTGATGTTATGTTACATGAGTTTTACTTCAAAAAATTATTTTTTAAAATGCTTGGGAAAAAAATCTCATTTTTAAAATGCCTATTTCCAATGTGTTTCAATATTGTATTTACATACATACTACTTAACAATTAGTTTTTGACAAGTCTATGATATCAAATCTTTGCATTTGCAAGTACCAAGTAATATTAAATTTCAACTAAAATTATTCAAAAGCTTCCAGTAACAAATTTGTTGGGCATGCAAAATGTTGACATAGCTTTCAAGTGATGAAAGAGTTGCTCCTTCAGGTTTTGAAAAATAGATTTTGTTTCAGATTTCTGGGTTTCAAAATCTTTTTCTTTAAATGCAATTCTCAAAATGCTTGGGGCATTTGTTCAAAGTGCAGATGCCCAGTCTCTTCTTCAGCCTACTGTTGACGGAATTCTAATGGTGGGACCTAGGATTTTGCATTTCCATGAGCCCTCTGGCAACTTTTAATCACATTAATGATAGGAGGGCTCTGCAAGCTTTATAAGGCAAAGGGGTTTTATTTAGGTAATGCTACATATTTGCTGGCTCTAGTAAGTGCAGCATTTGTGCTCCAAAATAAAGCAAATTCTGATTAAACCAAGGACAAAATGCCTAATTATATTTATGAAAATTACCTTTTTCCAAATATATTTATAATTATGATGGGAACAAAATATGGGGATTAAGTAATAAATTCTACTATCCTAATACACTACAGCTGTGTCTACAAAAGTTGCCAGTCATTCAGATATAATTTTGCTCTAGTTGACAGCATCTAGTCCAGTTTTGGCCAAGATACAAAAACACTAAGATCTCTGTAAGGACAAAAAAAATTCTTTTTATCTGGGTAGTTTTATAGTTTATAGATAAACCATTCCTATAAAAAAATGAAAACTCATTGATTTTCAGTAATGAAGCTGGCAACTGTGAGAGAGTTTTTTAAAAAAATGTAAAACTATAATATTAATTCAGGGAAGTACCAGTTGTTCACTTCTCTGATTCATAAAAGCTGTTAAGTTTTAAAATGTAGTCAGGTAATAGTGCTGATAGTTTTTCCACTTAAGACAGAAAAATTAGTCATTTCCACAATTGTGGCAAAATGATTAAGAATAGTTTGTTAAAGAAAATCTTAAAAAAAAATGGGTTTAACCTACAGAACAGCCTTGGGGGCAAGTATAAATGATGGTTTCTGCTGTAAAGTTAATTTTCGTGAGCCATGACCATTCATTCTTTGTTTTCATCATCTCTTTGGAGGAAAATCAAGGAAGAATCCTTTTCCTCATAATCTCCCTTCTCATTTTCTTTTCCATTTCAAACCATGTAATTTCTCTCAGAAAAATTTTGATAAATGTCAGATGTGATTTTATAACTTTATTATTAATACTCTTTTTAGGTTTCCTAATGGTATTGCACAAGCATACATTATATGTACATGTTTGAATCACTTTCTGTTAGAAATACCAACTAAATATAAATTTTGAAAAACCGGAATATCCATCTTAATCACAGTTCAGTACTGTATATAATATTAAGGAGCCTACTCTCTGATACGAACTGTAATTGACTGATGGATCTATGAATCAGCTCTGACTCATCTCTCCTCAGTAACTTCCCTCCCCTTTACTCAAGTTCCTCTCCCAAGCCTGAATCTACTGAGCTTCTGGAACAGAATGTGACTGCTGGTGAAATGTGGAAACAAAGGCCATGGAACTCAGGGAATGTGTTTAAGCTTACAGCCCACATCCCATGCTTCAGAAAGAACTCCGTGATCTGGAAATTTGGTTTTACTTATGTTTTGCTTGTTCTACAGAAGCTAAAAGTGAGAAATAGTGAGGAAATAGTATTTAAAAATAACTACAGAAATTTGTTACTTTTTCAAATATCTTCTCCTTTTTCTGTATTTTAATTTTTGAAAAGACTCATTCATATTCACTGTAGTACTTTCATGGTTTCTAAAGTGTAAAACACTAAATTTGTACTAGAATGTAGAATTCTAGAAATTTCACTACTGTCTTGTATGACAATGGGTTAGGATGTGACATAGGTAACTAATGGGAAATAGATGCAAACTAAAATATATCTTCATAAAGGGACAGTGATCAAGGAAGAGATACCTATTGTCAAGCACGTGTGATTCTTTCCAGTTTTGCTGTGGAAAGTGGGATGTGGTAGTAGAAGTTTGTGAATCTCTTCATGGTGAATAAAAATTTGGGGGTGAAATTTTGAAGAGGTTCCACGTTATTTCTTTAGGATATAGATCAGCAATGAAAGATCACAAAAAAAATGACTTTGACTTTTTTAAACAACTTTGTAAAATGTCTTAGGTTTTAATTTTTATTATGTCAAAATTTCTTATTTTCCACTTATCCATAATGTTGAGCAGAAATACTCTAAGTCAGTATGGAAATTGCTTCCTTTAATAGCAGCAAGCAGCAGCTGGAAGTCAGAAGCCTAAAAGAATACTGAGAATTGGGCAATAGAAGCTATCAAAGGTAGATGGTAAACAACTGAGATTTAGAGGGCCGCTGCAGAAACAAAGCAAATGTGTTAGTCCATTCTTGTGTCGTAATAAATAAACACCTGAAGCTGGGTAATCCATTTTAAAAATAGGTTTAATTGGCTTATGGTTCTGCTGGCTTTACAGGAAGCATGATGCTGGCATATGTTTCTGGTGAGGGCTCAGGAAGCTTAGAATCATGGTAGCACGCGACAGGGAGCCAGCCCATGACATGGTGAGAGCAAGAGTAAGGGGGTGGGAGGTGGGGAGGTCCCAGACTCCTTTAAACAACCAGATCTTGCAGGTGCTAGCTGAGCAAAGACACACTCATCACTAAGAGGACAGTGCTAAACCATTCATTAAGGATCCACCACCATAATCCAATACCTCCCAATAAGCTCCACCTCTAACATTGCTGATTACATTTCAAGGTGAGATTTGGAGGGGACAAATATCCAAAATGCATCAAGTGAATTCAGAGGCAGCAGGTTGAGCCCAAGACAGGCTGTAGTCCCCAAGAGCAGAAATTGTCCTGTGAACAGTCACTGTCATTCACTACAGAAGCATTTTACAAATGCTTTTTTTTTTTCATACAAGCCATAGTCCCCACATAGCTATATTAGAACCCTGTTGGATGGGATGCCTATTTTAATATTTTTATGATATTCACCTCAGATCTACTCAGTCTTAATCTTCTAAAGTGATACCAAAGGTCTATGTTTAATAAGTGCTCCAAGTAATCCCAAAAGGATGTCAGGAATGGAAACCATGGGATAGATATTCTCCTAGTTGTAATCATATCAAAAAGTAATTTCCAGAGTACTCAATGCTTTGATGTTTTTGAGGGGCATTGATGTTTAGAAATAAGGGTGAAGTTCTCAATGGTGAACAAGTATATTCAATGTTCAAAGTGAGATAACACAAGACACTCATAACTTGACATTTTTCTTTTCTATGCTATTTATTGAAGAGATTTTCAAGGAGGCTATGGAGTAGAAAAGAATGCCTGGAATTATATATGACCAATCAGGTCATCATTATTGCTGTTACAAATATTTCTGGATCTCCTTGTGCAATATGGTGGTATTGCACTTCTGTATCTTGAAATTAGGCAGGATCACATGGCTTACTTTAGCCAAAGACATGTAAATAGGAATTAAGAATAAAATAACTGTGCTCCCCTAGAGCAGGGAGCTATTTTATGCAATTTCAGAATCCTTATACCTTAGATCTTTAGTACAGTGCCTAGAAAATTCTCAGTGGATTTGCACCATTATGCACATATGACTTTGGGCAAATTTAGCTATATGAAGTTGTAAATGTACACATATTCACAGAGAGAGAGAAAGTATACTCAAGGGCCACATAATGACTTTACCGTCTACCCTAGACCATATATACTATGGTGGCCCCATGAAATTTTAAGGAAACTGAAAAATTTCTATCACCCAATGTCATTGTAGCTATCATAACATCATAGTGCAATTACTTTATTCTTTTGAAATTTAGTGTAACTTAAGTGTACGTTGTTTACAAGGTCTATGGTATTGCACAGTAATGTCCTAGACCTTCACATTCACTCACCACTCACTCAATGACTTACTAGAACAATTTCCAGTTCTGAAAGCTCCACTGATGGTAAATGCCCCATGCAAGTATACCACTTTTTAAAAATTTTTTATACTATCTTTGTTGCTGTATTTTTGCTATGTTTAGCGGTTTTTCAATTCACAAACACTTATCACTATGTTACAATTGTCTCCAATATTCAGTATAAGAACATGTTGTAATGTAAAGATTCGTCAACTGAGAGCAATGGGATAAACCATATAGCCTTGGTATGTAGTAGACTATATAAGTCTATTTATATAGTATATACATATATACTACATATAGACTATATACGTAGTATTTATAGTAGACTATATATAGACTACCTTCTAAGCTTGTGTAAGGACACTCTATGATCTTTACCCAATGATGAAATCATCTAACAATGTGTTTATCAAAGTGTATCCTGTCATTCATTGATGCATGACTGTATTTAATGCCACTTACTCTGCCGACTTTTGTGCTCCATGAGAAATTTCCCAAAACAAGTATGAGCTAAAATATGAAAACTTTCTCTTTTATCAATTATGTATTGATGTATTCATTTCACAAATATTTATTGAGTGCCACCTAGTCTAGCTACTTGAGATCGTTGCTGAACCAAATAAAGATTTCTTGCCTTGGGGAGCATATGTTCTAGTGGAGGAGATGCACAATAACCAGTACACCTACAAATAATTACATTATGTGGCACGTTTAAATGCGCAAGCTACTGAAAATGGAAAAAATAGAGTGTAATAAGGAAAGATCAGCAGCATGATGGTGTCACTGGAGTACCTGCTATAGCACTAAATTTGGTGGTTTAGGTAGATCCCTGTGAGAAAGTCAGATATGAGAAAAAAACCTGAAGGAGGTGAGGGACTAGCTAAGCACATATCTTTGGAAAAAGTGTTCCAAGCAAAATGGATATCTAGAACAAGAGTTCTAAGATATTCTCCTGCATTTGTGATCAGTAGATTAGTAGAAGATAAAGACAGATAATTGGCAGGAGGTCTTATGGCCATTGTATGGAGCTTATTGTTTATTTGCTGCTCTGATGAAATAGAAATTGATTGTAAGTTTTAGTGCAGAAAAGGGATATGATCTGACTTAAATATTTGAAGAATTGATGGTAATTTTCAAAATAAAATAGACCATTTAAGGGGAGGATAGAAAGAGGGAGACCATTTAGCATCCAACTGCAGTAATAGTGACAAATGACTGTGATGGCTTAGACTAGGAATGTAGCAGTGAAAAGGAGTTAGGCACAGTTCTTACTTCTTATTTTAAAAAAATTATTGTAAGAAAACAAATAAAGAGAATAAAATAGAATCATCTATATGCAATCCCTTTTTTTGTTTGTTTTTAATCATTAAAGTATTTCTGAGCTAGAAAACTGTTGAGAAAATAAAACACTGTGAACCCATCTGTAATATAAACTATTCCAGAATCAAATAAAGTCTTGTGTATCCCTACACAGCGTCAGTCTCTATCCACTGTTCCCAGAAGTAATCACCTTTGCGATTGTAAAGGTGAAGAGAAACCTTTGAAAGTTTGTTGAAAATTGACTGACAAAAGGCGGATTAATAGGCGAAATGGCATGCAAATTTTTATTAATGTGCATGGAGGAAAATCACAGAGTGATTAACTCCAAACCAACAGGGGACAGGTGCTTATGTACGCTTCTTAGGGGAAAGGGATTTGGGAAAGTGTGAATAATTTTAGGGGGAGTAGTAAATGATTTTTAGGGGAATTCTGTGGGCTTGGAGAATATACAATGACAAAAGTCTGTCCCAGTGTGTTGACAGACTTTACTCTTCCTGTGAATGAAGATTCAGGAAGGGAGCAGAGGTAACTGTTTTCTTCTTTGGTGGGTCCAGATTTTAGGCAGATAAGGAGATGTCAGAGAATAACTTCATTCTCTGGTTTGGGAGAGACAGAAGATTGAGAGACAAGATGAGGGAAAGGTCAGAGAGACCATGTGGCTTCTTCTTTAGTTCGTCATTCAAAGTTTCATATTTTGGGATATCAGTTTCTGAGTGCCAGCACTATTTATAAATGCATCAATAAGCCAACATAAGCTTGATTAGTCTATTTTTAGATTTTTATATAGATGGTATCTTACTATATATGTAGTAAGAGATGATAAATATTCCACACATGTTTTTTAATAACAATTTTATTATTTAAGACTCACTCATGTTGATAACATAGGTGTAGTTTCTTTGTCTTAATTAAGCTATTTTATTCTACTGTATGAATACAATTTATCCATTCTTCTGATATTTAGCAAATGTCACAGGTATTCAGGGAAATGCAATTAAACCACAATGAGGTTACGAATGTGTTAGACAGGCTTACGCAGAGAAAAACAGAACTATGTAGAATACATATGAAGATACTTATTGTAAGGTATTGCCTCAAGTGATTAGGAAGACTGGGAAGTCCCTGTCTGGAAGCCTGGCAGCTGGAGTGTTAATAGTGCAGATTATCCCAGCTAATATCTTCTAAATATCCATGGACAGAAGATACCATTTATAATTGTTTTAAAGTTGAAACTTGTAGAACTGTGAGAAAAAAGTGCATGAGGGAAAAACAGAATAAGCAAAGGCATAAAGATGGAAAAATTACAGGCATCTTTAGAAAGAACCTACTTCCGATGGAATGAGAGGTTTGTAAAGGATGTAATATGTGGTACGAGTTGAGCATTTCTAATTCAAAATTTTGAAATCTGAAATACTCCAAAATCTGAAATTTTTTCAGCATCAACATGAAGCCACAAGTGGAAAATTCCATACCTGACTTCATGTGATGGCTCACAGCCAAAATGCAGTCAAAACTTTGCTTCATGCCAAAAAAGTATTAAAAATATTGTATGAGGCCGGGTGCGGTGGCTCACACCTGTAATTCCAGCATTTTGGGAGTCCGAGGTGGGTGGATCACTTGAGGCCAGGAGTTTGAGACCAGCCTGGCCAACATGGTGAAACCCCATCTGTACTAAAAATACAAAAAATTAGCCGGGCATGGTGGCATGTGCCTCTATTCCCAGCTAATCTGGAGGCTGAGGCAGGAGAATCACTTGAACCTGGGAGGTAGAGGTTGCAGTGAGCTGAGATTGCACCACTGCATTCCAGCCTGGGGGAAAGAGTGAGACTCTGTCTCTCTCTATATATGTATATAATACATATACATGTATTATATACATATGTATTATATACAATGTATTTAATACATATATGTAATTATATATATGTATTATATACATATAGAGAGTATGAAATTACCCTTAGGCTATGTTATATAAGGTATATGAAACAAAATGAATTTCCTGTTTAGACTTGGGTCCCATCCCCCAAATATCTCATTATATATATGAAAATATTATGAAATTTAAAAACATCTGAAATCTGAAACATTTCTGGACCTCCAACATTTCTACAGAAGGGATACTCAGCCTGTAAAAGGGCCGGTTAACATCAAATTGTAGAAGGCTTTGCACGACATGGTGAGGAATATATAGTCAGAGGACCGCGGATAATAAAAACAGCAATTCCACTCCCAACTAAAAAAAGAAAAAAAAATACAATAAGAAGACATATATGTTCATGATGTAAAACGGATAACAAATGTTAGTGAACAAGTACAGTTGTTATGCAGAGCAGTAAATACCATAAAACATTGAAATAGATTAGTATTAAGTAACAACTGAATGTTAGAAGAAATGAAAACAATTTTAGGGGAACAGATGGCTAGTGTAGTTACTGAGCAGATGAGGTTTTCGGGAGTAATAGCTAAAAATCTTGGGGTTGCTGACCATGTTGCTAGCACGTTATTCCTGGAAAAGCAGATTTGTGTCTATGGTTTGAGCATCCCCTGCCTAGAAAGAAGCAAAAGATCTCAAATCAGGGACATCTGCTGAAATCATCAATACCTTGTTTACAAAAGCCAGAGCAAGAAGAGCTTGCTGTAGCTCAGCTGTTATTGTGCTTCCATAATTAGAAAATAATATCTGATTTCATGGGAAATCAAGAAAACAAGAGCAGCATGAAACACCAAAAATGGAAAGCCTCAATGAAGAGTGATTTCAAGCATAATTGTTCTAGTCCTCTTTTACTCAAATCAATAACAAAAGGGTCATAATCAGATGGGAGGGATATGGTTTTACATTCTTTAAAAAAAAGTAGTTTAGCTCTGAATGAAAATATTATGCCAATATTATTTTCACCAAATACAATATTAAACTAAACTTCACCAAAACAATATTAAACATTGGGAAACATCTGTTAAGATATTCCCAATACATTTAAAAATATTTGGTTTGACATTTGGCCAAATATATCTATCTTTCATTTGCTATTATTTGCAAGCAGAATCAGAGCCAATTTTCATATCATCAACAAATACTTTCCCATATGCTTTTCAAAGGCCCATGTTTCTTTAGCAGAATGTAATACAAACTCAATAACATTAAACAGAACTTAAGAAGGTACAAACCACTATCATGACTGTTGTTAAAAAGCCATTTATTAAGTTTCCATCTGCACAGCTGCTCTCTGTACACTGCATAAAGTGAATGACCATAAACACTTCTTTGGCATGATATTTAACCAAGCTAACAAACAACTCTTTTTGGCAAAAATACATATGAATATGATGAAACTAACCTTTGTTGAGAGTGAGTGTCTTTATACAATTAAGTGAATTTAATTCTCACTATCTCCCTATGAGTTGCTGTCACTCTTCTTCCTGTCAAGATGGAAAAACTATAGCAAGCAAAACTGAAGCACCACGGCCAGTGTACTTAGTGGAAGATACAAATCCACATCTCTTTGACCCCAAACTTTGATAGTTCACATAAACGTCAAAATATGCTAAGCCAGACATACTTGAAGTTACTGTATCTGTCCCTCTGGCTCCTTTGTTCTTGGGATATTAAACATTCGACTGTTCTCTCTTACTTCCAGGACTTTGAAAAAGCATCTTCCAGATTCTTTCCCAACTTACTTATATTTCTAGAATCTTTGTTCCACATATGGATTCCTGGGTAAAAAGTCAAATATTTTGATTCAGTGGATATAGATAAAGGCAATCAACTTGGGATGTTTAAACCCCAGCAGGTGACTCTAATGCAAATGATCTATAAATCACACTTTGAGAAACACTGTTGTTTCTGAGAAGTCTTCCTTGATCACTCAAGCTTGGCAAGGTTGTCCCTCTTTATTTCATATATTGCTCTCTGAGTATTTATTTGTAATTCTCACCACACTATTACTGTGATTGTCCACTTACATAGCAGGCCCCTTGAGTAGGTGTAAATATTTTTGAAGGAGACATATATATTTTAGCTCTTTTATTACTCTTTACCCAAGTCAGACCTTGGGAAAAAGTAGATGCTAAATAAACGTTTGTCTAAGTGACTGGATAAATGATAGAGTGATAAATGCCATTTACAATTGATAAACAACTGGATGAATGAATGAATGAATGAATGAAGGTTTCTATCAATTTTATCAGTCAGGTTATTCTAAAGAACAGAATCGATTTTTACTGGTTGAAACCGAGACATACTTAATTAAAAGTGTATTAAATAGTGCACAGAATCATTATGAAACCTGGAAACACAGAATTGAGGCTCTGCTTCTAGGAAAAAAAATGTGAAAGAATGCAAAAAAGAAAAAAGTGTTCTAATAAAAACACTATTGAAGTTGTCATTGCTACCTCCTAGCACAAAATACAAAGACCTTGACTGTTCTGCAATCACCACTACCCCACAGAGATGCTACTTCTGAGTTGGAAACTTGAACTTTACTGCTGTTTGTAACACCAGACACCTCTACTATCCCCGATGGGCAGATGGCACATATCTACCATATCAGTAAATTATTTTCCTGCATCTATTATGTGAGAGATATTGAGCCAGGGTAAGGGGTAGAGAGGGTGGAATCCTCTTTTCATTTAAAAAGACTAAGATCCACTCAGTCCAATAATTAAAATATTACAATGGTGTTAATGTGGTCTTCTGTGGTGCTGAATTTTTGGAATATCTATATGTTATGTGAATTGACACATTTAGATAATCATAGGGGAAAATAAATTCTCCAAAACTTTTTGATTAACTTCAGAAAATAAATTTGAGTGGCACATTGGTATATAAGGGTAAAGCTCTTTCTTGTCTCCTGATAGTATTCATAAAACGGTGAAAATAAAAACTTGGAAAGAGTGACAATAAAATTTTATTACTAGAATGAACTTATTGGCATGGAAATGAAAGTCAAGTGAAAGTTATTTAAAATGAGGGAAAGTGGAGTACCAGATCTTAACAAGGACAAAAGACTACCTAAAACCTGACACACAGAGCATGCAAAACATTCTCAAAAAATTTCCAGATAAAATTCAAAATGCAGCCACAGGAAGAGGGCAAAATTTCTTACATTGTGTTTTAGTTCACACACATTAAATTTATACATTAAATTGATGTGGAATATATTCTTAAATATGCATGGTAGTTTTTATGAATTCATCCAGATAAATTTCAGTCTTGCTGAGTTCAACATTTTTTTTCTATTTTTTTTTTATTGTGGTAAAATGTCTATAACACAAAATTTACCATTGAAATGATTTTTAAATGTAAAATTCAGTGGTATAGGTAATTCACATTTTTGTTCAATTATTACAACTATCCATCTCCAGAGCTTTTTTCATGTTCCCCAACTGAAACACTGTATCCGTTGAACACTAACTACTAATTCCCTGCTGCCACAGCCCCTGACTGCCACCAAACTACTTTCTGACTCTAGACACCTTATGTAAGAAGAATCATCCAACTGTTCTTTTGTGACTGACTTATTTCACTTAGCATGCTGTCTTTAATGCTTATCCTTGTTGTATCATCCATGTTGTAGCATGTGTCTTCACTTGAATTATTGCTACTACCATCCATAACAATTTTCCTAGGAATTCAGAAAGTATTCAAAGTAAATGATATCCGCCCGCCTTTTTTTTTGAGGAGTCTCACCCTGTCGCCCAGGCTGGAGTCTCGGCTCACTGCAACTTCTATCTCCTGGGTTCAAGTGATTCTCCTGCCTCAACCTCCCGAGTAGTAGCTGGGATTACAGGAATGCACCACCATGCCCAGCTAATTTTTTTTTTTTTTTTGTATTTTTAGTAGAAACAGGGTTTCACTATGTTGGCCAGGCTGGTCTCTAACCGCTGACCTCAGATGATCCACCCTCCTCGGATTCCCAAAATGCTAGGATTACAGGCGTGACCCACCGTGCCCCGCCAAGATATCCTTTATATACAATGTAGAAAGTTGTAAGTCGTGCTTGATATAAATATATTTTCTCAAGTACCATATGCAACCTCTCACCTTGTGTCATTCTACCCCAAAGTAATTTAAAACTGTGTATAGTTCATCTCACCTTCATGGTTCCAGAATAACTTGAGTCAAAAAAAAATCTTTTGCCTATAGTATTACAATAGCTTTGCATCCTTGTTTCCTCATTTCCATTCTTCCAATGTCTCCGCATAGCATCCATGATAATGTTCTTACAACATGTCATTCCTCAGCTTACAATCTGTCTACATGATTTTCAATGCTCTTAGAATAAAATTGATCCTCTGACTTGGTCTTCAGGGTTCTATGTGACCTGGCTTCTCCCACCACTCCCAAATTTACCTCTTGGCAGTCTTGGATACACTACCTACCATCCAGCAGCTCCTCAGTGCTCCACACCTTCACCCTTCTTAGACTTTTTCTTTAATTGTCTTAGTGTGCTTGCCATTCAATTCTGTTTAAATATCTTTCCCTTCCCTGCTTTTTCTGTTTGTTTCCTTACAGGGAATCTAAGGGTTGTTCCCCCTCTTCTCAGTAACATTTATTACAATTTCAAAATTTATAATTGTGTGTATATTTGCTAAAAATCTGTATCTCCCACAAAAGTGAGCCAGGCACGATGGTTTTGTTTACCGTCATATAGCCAGAACTTAGCATGACACCTGGAAGATAGCAGACACTTCCATGAAAATATTGATGGGTGAATAAATTGATTAATTTAATTGATGAATGAGTGATGTTGTGCTATGAAGTTGAAGGATGATTTTTCTCTAAAACATATATCTAACAATGAACTCCAGGTTCATCTCAGGCTGCAAACCCCTTTAGACTTTACTCACTTGAGAAACCATGAGATGTATACTCTTTATGATTCTCACCTTAAAGCTTTTTATTTTAGTCATGGGTAATGTCTTCCTTTCTTCACACATGGTTATCATTAGAAATTAGGGTTAGAAGTTTCCATGACACTCCTTGATACCCTGAACTAAAACTCTGAGTTAAATAAGTAACCAGATGCTCAATGATAGAAGAAAAAAGAAAGGAGGAGGTAACATAAAGATTTCTTTAATTAATTAAAATTAAATCTATTTTGCTCACAAAAGGACAATTTTGAAGTAAAAGTTTTTTCCAATTTTGATTCTTTACTACTTTTTAAAATTCAAAACATTATTTGTGATTCTGCTGACTCTAATATTAAATACAATTAGCAATACTTCTTCAAACTGCCTTCTTAGGTGGTTGACATCATTAAAACAAAAGTGGCATTTTATACATTTAAAGTGCCTCACAAATATGTTCTGATAATATGTCTGTGTGAATGAGCTAAATTTCTATAAGATGGTAGTGAGTTTAATGTGTTGTGTTGGTGCAAAAGTAATTGCAGTTTTTGCCATTAAAAGTAGTGACAAAACCACAATTACTTTTGCATCAACCTACTTAAATTATTTTCGCTTTATTGCTAACAGGTAGGAAATTTAAAGGACGCATGCATACATTTTTTGATTTTTAAAAGAATAACACTGTAAACTAATGGAATCCTTACAGGTTAGTTAAAAAGATAACTAGGTCAATTCATTAATTGTGCTGTTGATTTATTCCAATGATAGTAGCTGAGAGCAATGGTCACTTTCCGTCTGACACGCTCTATATCACAATATAATTCCCAGTTTCCCACTTCTACTGAGAGTTATGCAGACTGTTTTCATTAAAACCATGGCATATTTTGATTTTCTTCTTCAGTTATCCCAAAAAGGGAATGTTTCTGAGACCAGTCATTTGTGCTGCATTTCCCCTTGAGAAGCACCGCTATTAATTGGAACAAAAATGTTTGAATAGCAAATGTCATTGAATCTCTCAGGATGTTTCAAGCCTCTGCAGCAATGAGAAAACATAAAGCAAGTCATCACTGCATTATCTAGATGAGCTAAGGAAACAAAAGGGTCCTTAAATTGTGCCAACCTGTTACAAATAGCCTGAGAACTTTGACTGAACTCACCAGTGAATAGCATTTACTACGTATCTGTTGTGTCTCGGGCATTTAACCTAGTTGTAAGGTTATAAAGAAGAGCAAAAAAGGGCCTCTATCCTTGTTGGATGTATGATACACTGAGAAAGAAAGACAATGTCAAGTCAAAATAATGTGGAAAACGGCAAATGAAGGACTGCAACGTGCTGTTAGCAGAGCAGGGTCGATTAAATCTGCCTTAGGATTTAGTACTTGTGGACTAGTTAGTTATTGCTTTTAGTGGATAATAAACACTCTGTCAACTTAAAGCCAAGGAGTCATCTTTTCGAAGTGAATGCCCAGTACAGGAGATGGACAGGGCAACATTTAAGCTTGTTTTTGCTAAGCATCAATGAGGATTGAGAATAAAGCCGTTTCTAACAAGTAAATGGTTTAGCATTAAACAGGATCTAACCAAGCTATGAAAATTTGCTTTTCAATATAATCCAAAATTTGGCTTTGCCCATATATAAATGCCATATTTTTATCAGATAAAAATATGTACAAAGTTTATGTTTAATTTATATACAAAACCAGGTTCTTGGTTTATTTATTAATTGAGCATGGAGGATCATTTTTAGCTTTCTTAATTAGTAAGTTGATTCTATTATTTCTTTTGAAAAAATTAAGCTATTTTATTGTTTTCAATTGTTTCAGTTGTCTTAGCCTCAATTTACATTTTAACATTTAAATATCGTTTTAATGATTTCACACGTCACATTCTATTTTCTATTTTCTGACCCTAACTAAACTTTTTCCAGATATTCATACATTCAAGTGATTTGTGCTAATCATGCTTCTTGTTTAAGCTTTTTCTTTTCACTGAAATATACTCCACTTTATTTGTGATCAATTCTTCAGCATTTAATTACTTTCTTAGCCCCAAAATAAAAGTTTTACTTGTGAAAATGATGTATTAGACTGAAATATGTTCTATCACTTTACACAAGTTTAATTAAAGTAGAGAATTCCAGATAAGTTTTTGTCAAAACAAATTTATAAATACGTTGACATTTGGATCCACCAAAAAATGAATTATTCACTGGAATCCTTGATTCCTGAATTCTATTGTTCTAGTTTTTTTTTGTTTTGTTTTAAAATTAGCCTATTTATTTTTAAAACCGAGTTTGTTGTAATACATTGGTGTAATGTTATACTAAAATGTTCATACATCTCTAGGACATTTTAACTATAAAATTTTAAATCCATAATCATCATATTTTCCATTTTAATTCTAACAATATCTTATCTAGTTGATGAATATAAATTATTACTAGAATAATTTAGAATAAATAATCCTACAAGTATGACTTTACTTTTTTTGATACTAAAATAAATTTTATGCATATTTGCTTTAGTTAAAAGTTACTTTCCTGGTTTACAAATTATACAATACAATCTCTGATGTTTTGTATACAAGAACATTGACTGCTGTAGATCAGTGTGAGAATCAGTTTTACTCATTCATCAAGCTCAAATTTCAAATTCCTAAATTACAAAATGCCAAGACATTATTAGTTACGGAAATGGAACTAATTTGTGTGCATTGATCTTGTATCCCAAGCCTTTAACGAAGTTGTTTATCACTTCTAGGAGGCTTTTGGCAGAGTGAGATTTCTAGGTATAGAATCATATCATCAGCAAACTTCCTTTTGTTTATTTGGATGCCATTTGTGTTTTTCTTTCACCTGATTGCTCTTGCTAGAACTGCCAGCACTATATTGAATAGTAGTGGTAAGAGTGGGCATCTTTGTCTTGTTCCAGTTTTTAAAGGGAATGTTTCCAGCTTTTGTTCATTCAGTATGATATTAGTGTGTGTTTGTCATAGATGATTCTTATTATTTTGAAGTATGTCCTTCCAATGCCTAATTTGTTGAAGGTTTTTAACATAAATATATGTTAAATTTTATCAAAACTCTTTTCTGCATCTATTAAGATGACCATGTGGTTTTTGTTTTTAATTTGGTTTATGTGGTGAATCACATTTATGTGTGTTGAACCTGCCTTCCATTCCAGGAATCAAGCCTATTTGATTGTAGTTAATTAATTTTTTGATGTGCTGCTGGATTGGTTTGCCAGTATTTTGTTGAGTATTTTTGTATCTATGTAAATCAGGGATATTGACCTACCTAAAGTTTTATTTTTTATTATGTTTCTGGCATGTTTTGGTATCAGATTGATGCACCCTTTGTAGACTGAATCTGGGAGGAGTCCCTTCTCCTTGATTTTTTTGGAATAATTTCAGTAGGATGGGTACTAACCCTTCTTTGTACATCTGGTAGAATTCAGCAGTGAATCCATCTGATTCATGCTTTTTTGGTTTGGAAGGTTTTTTATTACTGTTTCAATTTTTGAACTAGTTACTGGCTAACATTACAGACATAGAATCAAAATTTGGATGGCGAGGAGGCTCGTGAGATAAAATAATTCAAACTCTGAAATAGGACATAGTCCTTTCAAGAAAGAAACAAATGATCTTCTGGAATCAAAAAACTTACCAAAAGAATTTTAATATACAATTAGAAGTATTAATAATAGAATAGACTAACCTGACAAAAGAATCTCAGAGCTTGAAGGTCAAACCTTTGAATAAATATAGGCAAACAAAAATAAAGAACAAAAAAGAATTTAAAAAGATTAACATAACCTCTGAAAAGTATGGAATTATTCAAACTGACTCAACCTAAGATTCATTGACATTCCTGGAAGAGAAGCAGAGGGAGTAAGCAACTTGGAAAACATATTTGAGGATTTTGTCCATGAAAATGTTCCCAATGTCTCTAGAATGGTCAAAATGCAAATTCAAGAAATTCGGAGCACCCTCGCATGATGTTATGCAAGATTACCATCCCCAAGATACTTAGTCATCAGATTTTTCAAGGCCAACCTGAAAAAAAATGTTAAAGGCATTTAAAGAGAGGGGGCAGGTAACCTACTAAGGGAAATTTATCAGGTTAACAGTAGACATTTTAGAAGAAACCCTACAGGACAGGAAAGTTTGGGGACATATATTCAGCATCTTTAAAGAAAAGAAATTCTGACCGGGAGCAGTAGCTTACACCTATAATCCCAGTTATTTGGGAAGCCAAGGTGGCCAGGTCACTTGAGGCCAGGAGTTGGAGACCAGCTTGGCCAACATAGTGAAATTCCATCTCTAATAAAAATACAAAAATTATCCAGGCATGGTGGCACATACCTGTAATCCCAGTTACTCGGAAGGGTGAGTCATAAGAATCACTTAAACCCAGGAGGTGAAGGTTGCAATGAGCCAAGATTACGCTGCTACACTCCAGCCTGAGTGACAGAGTGAAATTCTGTCTCAAAATTAACAAAAAAGAAAATAAATGCCAACCAAGAATTTCATATTTAGCAAAATGAAGCTTCAAAGATTAGGAGAACTAAAATCTTTTTCAGACAAGCAAATGTTAAGAGAATGCACTACCACTAGACCTGCCTTATGAGAGGTCCTTGAGGGAATGGTAAACATGGAAATAAAAGGTTATTACCTGACACAACATAAACATAGTTAAGGACATAGCCCACTGACACTATAAACAAACTAAAAAATCAAACATACATAACAACCAGATAACAACATGATATGACCAAATTCTCACATTTCAATATTAACCTTGAATGTGAATGGGTTAAGCCCTCCACCTAAAAGACAGAGTGGCAAGTTGAATAAAAAATCAATACTCAATTGTATGCTGTCTTCAAGAGATCTATCTCACATGCAGTGACACTCATAGGCTCAAAGTAAAGGGATGAAAAGAAATAAGAAGCAAATGGAAAACTAAAAAGAGCAAGGCTTGATACCTAGGATCAGATAAACAGACTTTAAACCAACAACAATCAAAAATGAAAAAGAAAAGTATTACATAACAATAAAGGTTTCAACTCAACAAGAAGTCCTAACTATCCTAAATATATACACACCCAGTATTGGAGCACTCACATTTAAAAACAGTTCTTAGAGACCTACAAATAGATTTAGACAACCAACATGATAAAAGTGGGAGATTTCAACACCTCGCAGACAGTGTTAGACAGATTATCAAGGCACGTCTCAAAAATTCCAAAAAATCAAAATTATACCAACCATATTCTTTGACCACATTAAAATAAAAATAGCAGTTGATATCAAGAAGATCTCCCAAAACCATACAGTTACAGGTCTCAAATTAACAACCTAACATCATACTAAAGGGAACAAAAAATACAAGAGCAAACCAACCCCAAAGCTAGCAGAAGAAAAGAAAAAACCAAAATCAGAGCTGACCTGAACAAAATTAAGGTGTGAAAATCCACACAAACTTTCAGTGAAAACAAAAATTTTTTTGAAAGAATAAACAAAATTGATACACCATTATCTAGATTAAGAAAACAAAAGACAGAAGATTAATGTAAGCACAATCAGAAATGATAAAGTATCACTACAACTGGCCTCACAGAAATACAAAAACACCATCAGAGACTATTGTGAACAACTCTTTGCACACAAACTAGAAAACCTACAAGTAATTAATAAATTCCTGGAAACACACAATCTCCCAAGATTGAAAAAGGAAGAAACTGAAATACTGAACACACCATGTCTTAACACGTAGCTGTCTTTATTTGATACATAAATAAAATCCAAGATACTAGCAATCACCTCCTGCCTTTTTATTCTGGTATCCATAGAATAAGAAGGCTCTTTTACTCACAAATACACAAACATAAAAGAATTGGCTAATATCTATATCTATGTATATACATATTTAAAGTGATTGAAGTATACAGTTTGAAAATGTGAGGAATGTAAAGATACAAAGTCAAGTACATATGAATTTTTAAAGATATTTTAAATGTATATTTGAAGAAAGGAGACAGAGTAAACAAGATTTAATATGTATTTCAAAAACAAGTCTGATAAATTAAATATTGTAAAACTTATATTTGTTAAAAAAAGATTCAAATATGTGTGAAAATAAGGAGACTCACAATATTTGTTCAGAAGAATAAACAAAAGAGTTTTACAGCGAGGGAGAAAATCATCAGAGTATTTGTAAGTAAAGATTGAAAAGATTTGAAATGTCAGAATCTGTGACATAATCTCCTATTGATTTGGGGGAGTAAAAAATAACTGATCATTCTTCCCTCTGTGGATATATAAATGTACACATTTATAGCTCATTCTCCTTAGTCTATTATAATTTCTTTATTAGGGGAATTAATTATCTACTGCCACATAAGAAATTACCACAAAATTTAGTGATTTAAAGTAAAAAAATACTTATACTCACACAGCTCCTGATTATCAGGAATCTGAAAGGGGCTTAGCTGGGTGTTTCCTGTTCAAGGTCTTTCTAAGGCTGTAAAGAAGGTATCAACCAAGACTGCATTTATCTCTGGGGTTGACTGGGCAAGAATCCTCTTCTAAATTCATTCACAAAGCCGTTGCCTGAAATTATCAGTTCCTTGCCTTGTGGGCCTCTCCATAGAACTTCTCATTGTGTGAGATATTGCTTTCCCCAGAATAAGAAATCTGAGAGACAGAAAGCATAAATTAAGGGAAGATAGAGAGAGAGGGAACAAAAAGAGAGAGAGTCTCTCATGGTCTTTCATGGCTGATATGGTTTGGCTATGTCACCATCCAAATCTCATCTTGAATTGTAACTTCCACAATTCAAGGACGAACCCAGTGGAATGGAATTGAATTATGGGAGCAGGTCTTTCCTGCATTGTTCTTATTATAGTAAATGAGTCTCACGATATCTGATGGTTTTAAAAATGGGAGTTTCTCTGAACAAGCTCTCTCTTTTCCCGGTGTCATCCATGTAAGATATGAATTGTGTCTGCTTGCCTTCCACAATGATTGTGAGGCCTCCCTAGCCAGGTGGAACAGTAAACCTCTTTTTTTGGAAATTGTCCAGTCTCAGGTATGTATTTATCAGCGTATGAAAATGGCCTAATACAGTAAATTCATACCAATAGAGTGGGTCGTTGTTGAAAAGATACTAGGAAATGTGGAAGAGACTTTTGAACTGGGTAACAGGGAGTGGCTGGAACAGTTTGGAGGGCTCAGGAGAAGACAGCAAAATGTGGAAAGTTTGGAACTTCCTAGAGACTTGTTGAGTGGCTTTGACCAAGATGCTGATAATAATATTGACAACAAAATCCAGGCTGAGGTGGTCTCAGATGGAGATGAGGAACTTGTTGCAAGCTGGATGTAAGGTGACTCTTGTTATGTTTTAGCAAACAGACTGGTGGCATTTTGCCCCTGCCCTAGAGATATGCAGAACTTTGAACTTGAGGGAGATGATTTAGGGTAATTAGCAGAAGAAGTTTCTAAGCAGCAAAGCATTCAAGAGGTGACTTGGGTACTGGTAAAGGCATTCAGTTTTATAAGAGAAACATAGCATAAAAGTTCAGAAAATTTGCAGCCTGACAATGTGATGAAAAGAAAATCCTATTTTCTGAGGAGAAATTCAAGCTGGCTGCAGAAATTTGCATAAATAACAAGTTAGTCCCCAAGACTATGGGGAAAATGCCTCCAGGGCATGTCAGAGGTCTTCACGGCACCCCCTCCCATCTCAGTCCCAAAGGCCAAGGAGGAAAAAATGGTTTTGTGGGCCAGGCCCAGGGTCCCCATGCTGTGTCCAGTCTAGGGACTTGGTGCTCAGTGTCCCAGCCATTCCAGCCATGACTAAAATGAGCCAAGGTACAGCTCAAGCCATGGCTCCAGAGGGTGCAAGCCCCAAGCCTTGACAGCTTCCATGTGGTATTGAGCCTGTGAGTGCACAGAGGTCATAAATTGGGATTTGGGAACCTTCACCTAGATTTCAGAGGATGTATGAAAATGCCTGGATGTCCAGACAGAAGTTTGCTGCAGTGGTGGGGCTCTCATGGAGAACCTCTGCTAAAGTAGAGCAGAAGGGAAATGGGTTGGAGCTCACACTTGGAGTCCCTACTGAGGCACTGCCTAGTGGAGATGTAAGAAGAGGGCCACCATCCTCCAGACCCCAGAATGGTAGATCCATGCACACCTTGTACCTTGTGCCTGGAAAAGCCAAAGACACTCAAAGCCAGCCCGTGAAAGCAGCCCAGAAGGAGGCTGTGCCCTGCAAAGCCACAGGGACAGAGCTGCCCCAATAGCATGGCAACCTACCTCTTGCATGATTGTGACCTGGATGTTAGACATAGAATCAAAGAAGATCATTTTGGAGATTTGAGATTTGACTGCCCTGCTGGATGTCAGACTTTCATGGAACCTGTAGCCCCTTTGTTTTGACAAATTTCTCCCATTTGGAATGGGTGTATTTACCAAATGCCTGTATCCCCATTGCATCTAGAAAGTAACTAATTTGCTTTTGATTTTACAGGCTCATAGGCAGAAGGACTTGCCTTGTTTCAGATGAGACACTGGACTCTGGACTTTTGAGTTAATGCTGAAATGAGTTAAGACTTTGGGGGACTGCTAGGAAGGAATGACTGGTTTTGAAATGTGAGGACATGAGATCTGGAAGGGGCCAGGGGCAGAATGATATGGTTTGACTGTGTCCCCACCCAAATCTCATATTGAATTATAACTCCCATAATTCCCATATATCGTGGAAGGAACCTGGTGGGAAGTGATTGAATTATGGGGGGCGGGGCTTCCTGCACAGTTCTTGTGGTAATGAATGAGTCTCACAAGATCTGATCATTTTAAAAATGGTAGTCGCCCTGCAGAAACTCTTTCTGTGCCTGCTGCCATCCGTGTAAGATATGACTTGCTCCTCTTTGCCTTCAGCCATGATTGTGAGGCTTTCCAAGTCATGTGGAACTCTAAGTCCATTACACCTCTTCCTTTAGTAAATTGCCCAGTCTCAGGCATGTCTTTCTCAGCAGCATGAAAATGGACTAATACAATGTCCTAATAGTGGATTGACATCCACTAACTTCTCGTTTTTTGTATTTGTTACATGGGGAGTCTCTAAATCCAATTCACATTGTAGGAGAGGGAATTCCACAAAGGCAATGGCACTGTTGCATATTACATGAGAACAGTAATTCTTCAGTATAATTATTTGAAGAAAATAAATATTGTCAAAAGAAGATCTCTTTGTTAGAATCACTCAACTGAAAACAAGATTGTAAATGCCATATTGAATTTATTGTCCAGTAATTTTTTCACTACACCATTTTTGAGTCTTTATTGTGGTCTTCACTCAGTTAACTGTGGATACCACAGCTATTCTCCCTTTCAACTGCAATCCTAAAGCTTCTATTTGTGTACTAGAAACATAACACTGTCCTTCTGGGCTTTCCATATTTTTGTGGTATTACTAATTGACAGAAGATTCAGCTGATATGGCTATGATGGTGTGAAGTCGAGCCTTTGTCTAGAAGCCCTCAGTTCTGTAGAAAAGGACGTCAAAAGAGAAGGTAGTTTTGAGCAATGACTGTAAGCATTGGAAGAATATGGTGTAAGCCCCACTGTCAATTAAATTGAGCTCACATAATTATCATTATCTTTAGAGACTACTTACCACATTTTTTGTTTTTTTTTTCTATTTGTTTTTTACCAACTACCAAGACTTAAATCTGAGGTTTCCCAAATCCTTGTTTGAGACCCTTATGGAATGTGCTAAGCTCTGTTTATAGTCATTCTATGAATTATTCCATAACTCCAAAAGGGGAATGATTATTATGCCACCTCTAGTTGTTCAGGTTATTTAGTTCCTTTAATAGAAGACTGTAGCTTCTAACCATATTAATAAAGTTTTTTCCTGTTAGCCCTAAAAATTTTAACTTAAAGGGATCCTAGAACTATAATTTTGACACAATTTTAATGAGATATTTTACTTAACATACAATTTATTCCCTTACAGGGTACTACTTAGTGTTTTTTAAAATATATATTCACTGAGTTGTACAACCATCGTGGCAAAAAAAATTTCACAACGTACTTGACACCCCAACAAGAAACTCCATATTCATTAGCAGTTGTTTCCTCTTGCACCTGAAATCCCCAGCCCTGGGCAACCACCAGTCCAACTTCTGCCTGTATGTATTTGCCTTTAATGGACGTTTCAGATAAATGGAATCATACAATATGTAGTCCTTTGTGGCTGACTTTTTTCACTTAGCATAATGTTTTCAAGATTAATCCATGTTGGAGCATACTTCAATACTTTATTTCTTATATTAATGTTATCCTATTGTATGAATATACTACATTTTATTTATCCATTGTTAATGAAAACTGAGGTTGTCTCAACCTTTTGGCTATTAAGAATAGTGTTACTATGAAGATTAATGTAGAAGTTTTTGAATGGACAAATGTTTTTATATCTCTTAGATTTACCTAGAAGTGGAATTACTAGGTCATATGGTAAGTTTATGTTTAACCCTTTGAGGAACTGCCAGAATGTTTTCTAAAACAGCTGCACTTCTTTACCACCAGGAATTTATGAGGATAACATTTTTTCACATCCTTGACAATGTTTGTTAGATGTCTTTCATCATAGCCATCTTAGGAGGCATGAAGCATCATCTCACTGCAGTTTCGTGTTGCATTTTCCCATTTGACTAATTATGTTGAGCAATTTTTAATGTGATTATTGGCTATTTAACATTTTTTTGAAGAAATTTCTATTCTGATCTTTTGTCCATTTTTAATTAGATTATTTATATTTTTACTAATGAGCTGTAAGTGCCCTTTATGTATTCTGGAAGCATATGGCTTATCAGATACATAATTTTAAAATATTGATTCCCATTCTCTTTGTTTTCAATTCCTGGATACTATCATTTACAGCACAAAAATTTAAAATTATGAGTATGTATAATTTATGGTTTTCTTCTTTTGTCATTTGTGCTATTGGTGTCAGATCTAAGAAATCATTGCTTAACTTAAAATCATATATTCCTAAGTTTTCTTCTAAGATTTACTCCTGTTTTTCTAAAAGTTTTTTATTGTTCAATTCCTACCTATGAGTGAGAACATGCGGTGTTTGGCTTTTTGTTCTTGCAATAGTTTGCTGAGAATAATGGTTTCCAGCTTCATCCATGTCCCTACAAAGGACATGAACTCATCATTTTTTATGGCTGCATAGTATTTCATGGTGTATATGTGCCACATTTTCTTAATCCAGTCTATCATTGTTGGACATTTGGGTTGGTTGTGGGGTGGGGGGAGGGGGCAGGGATAGCATTAGGAGATATACCCAATGTTAAATGACGAGTTAATGGGTGCAGCACACCAACATGGCACATGTATACATATGTAAC
The DNA here is from genome assembly GCF_000001405.40 of Homo sapiens. Taxonomy (NCBI): domain Eukaryota; kingdom Metazoa; phylum Chordata; class Mammalia; order Primates; family Hominidae; genus Homo; species Homo sapiens. The sequence continues at coordinate 21,590,605 of NC_000021.9, read as the reverse complement.
AAACCTGCACATTGTGCACATGTACTCTAAAACTTAAAGTATAATAAAAAATTTTTAATTTAATCTCTTACATTTAATTTCTCCAATATATGATTGGGAAATTTCAGTGTATGGTGTGAAGAAGGACTCTTACATATTCTTTTCAATGTGTAAATCCAGTCATCATAGCATCATTTTTTGAAAGGGATATTTTATATATAGAACTGGTTTGGCACCTTTGTAAAAATTGATTTACTGTAAATATGAGAACTTATTTCTGTACTTTCAGTTCTATTTCATGGATTTACATGTCTATTCTATTGCAGTATCACACTGTTTTGATTACTGTAGCTTCACAGTCAGTTATGAAATCTGGAAGTATGAGACTTCCAACTTTTTTCCTTTTTCAAGATTGTTTTGGGTATTCTATGTTCTTTTTGTGTTAATTTGCTAGGGTTACTAAAGCAAAGTACTATGAACTAGGTGGCTTAAAAACATTTCCTCACTATTCTGAAGACTTAAATCTGAGATCAAGGTTTTGGTAGAGTTAATTTCTCCTGAAGCCTCTTTCCTTGACTTATAGATGTCCATCTTCTCCCATGTCTTCACATGGTCTTCCCTCTGTGTCTACCTGTGTTCAATTTTTCTCTTCTTACAAGGACATAATTTATATTAGATTATGACCCACTCTGGTGACCTCATTTTAATTTCATTACCTCTTTAAAGACCCTAATACTAAACACTGTCAAATTCTGAGATACTAGTGGTTTGGACTTTATTAATATAAATTTTGAGGAACAAAATTTATTCCATAACACTTGCATATCCACATGACTTTTAGGATCAATTTGTCATATAACAAATCCAGGGTTTTCACATGGATTTTTTGATTTTGGTAATATTGCCACCTTAAAAATACTGTTTTCTGATTCAAAACTTGGATTGTGTTTCCATTTATTTAGATCTTCTTTAATTTCTTTCAATATTTAATTTTACTTTTCAGTGTAAAAGTATCAAGCTTGTTTTGTTAAATTTATTTCTAAGTATTTTATTCTTCATACTATTACAAGTGGCATTATTGTCTTAATTTCATTTTTGGACTTTTATGGTTAGTCTATAGTAATTTTTAATATATATTATAATTCCATATACAAATAAAAATAATTTTAATGCTTCTTTTCCAATTTAAATGGCTTTTTATTTCATGGTTTTGCCTAATTTCCATGTTTAGGACTTCTAATAAAATGTTGAACGTAAGTGGTGAGTGATGACATCCTTGCCTTATTCCTTATTTTAAGGGAACATTAGTCAGTCTTGGAAATTTCATCAAAAGTGTGAACTATGTCACAGTGACTGGAGTCCAGTATTTTTGTATTATGTTACTCTTGAGGGCTTTGTAGGGGAGATGAACACCAGTGCTCTGCTCTTCGATGGATTTGCTGAAATACAGCTTCTGCAATACAGGGTTAGGTGGTATAAGAGTTTCTGCTCTCTGTCCCTCCCTAGATAAAACTGTAGTCCCAAACTGTGATGAAACCTATAGGGAGAAGGAGATCATCTTCTTAATTACACCAAGCTGAAGTAGAGCTTCCATCATACCGCTCTGCAGTTGAAGGGAACAAGTTGTGGCCAAACACCACCGGCATTGTTTCTACTGAGACAGAGCAGATTTTCCTAAATAAATGTTTCTCCATTTGATGTATGCCCTTAGCACCATTTACAGAGACTTCAAATGGTTGCTTATGATTTCCACATCCTTAATGGCTATTTAGTAGGGAGGGTGTCTTCCACCTCCCCACATCATCACTCTGCCGTTCTGAATGTCCTAGCTTTAAAATATGTAATTATAAATTCATTTGAACCTCATAAATGTTCACCATTCTATTATCTTAGGGCAATAAAACTCTTAAAGGTACTTAAAACTGTATCCAGTTGAATTTAGGATACTTGCATGACCAGCCATGAAAACAGAAGGTCATTCCAAGTCAGTCAAGTTAGACCATGCTTTCTAACTATTTTATTTATATTTACTAATTTTTACATTTTTCTTGGTAAAATAAATTAGTCAGTGATAACAAAATGATTAATGAACAAGACTCAATGGAAATGCATTGTTTTCTTCATCTTCATTAATACACTTGGTTAACATAGTATTTTTTGTTTCATTATTTATAATTTTTCATATTCACTGTAAATTAGACAAACTTAATATTCTTTTAATCTAAAATTGTCTCTACTTGGCCAATGTTTCTGTAAGTTTAGCTTGGCCCTTCAACATGAACCTTTTATACTTAAAAGACGTCTTGGTTTCTGACATAGCAATGTGTTTGAGGCTAACCTTTTACCTTTCAAATATCAAATATCAAATCAGCCATTTCTCTAAGGAGTCGTGATTCTGTTTAGTGGGAAACAGTATTAGAAACAAGAATTCAGATGCTTGTATGAATCATGGAATAAAATTGATCCCAGGACATTTCAATTGATATAGCTGGAAAAATACTATTTTGAATTTAGTTTAATTTTGCAATATATTGACATTTACAATGTCTGCAACAGGATACTGTTCTGCTTAAATTCTTAATTCTTTCATTGTACTTCTCAAAGTCAATGTTAAAATAGATGTGAGAAAGCAAGAGGCAGTTTTGCTACAGATCTGGTTATTAAATGAAATTATTTCTTTATGATGTAGAGGTTCACCAGGCAATCTTACTGCAGTGAAGGTCACAGAAATAAAGGGCTGAAAGAGAAGCTTAAGAAGTTCCAGATTCCAGATGAGAACAATAAAAAATACAAGAGGAAGAATCTGTGATAAGAATTCCATTCATGTCCTTTTCATTCTTTCAAAATCTCAAATCTCTGTATGAGATGAGATCCACACAGCCCTCCTTAGTCCTTTGCTTCTTGGAACATTCATTTCCTGTCTTTGACAAAAACAAGAGGGAAGTAACATGATATAGTTGTAGGTGGCTTGAACTCTGGTTCCAGACTGACCAGTAAAATTCTGACTTTGCCACCATTTAACTGTTTGACATAGCAAAATGTCATAATCAGTCTCAGCCTGAGCTTCCTTATTTGTGAAAGGGAGTAGATGATAATATTTCCGTTTATATGGTTGTTATAAGAATTAAATAAGTTAATGTTTACAAATATGTAGTATTAAATGAGACAGTATTACAAAACACTTCAACAATGCCTGGCAGAGATTGTTAAATAAATTCAATATAATCCTTAAAAGAATTTTTTCCTAACAAGTGTATAATCCTTGTCCAATCTTTTTCTGAGTTCTTGAAACATTTCTTGAAAAATATGGCTAAGGCATATATAAATGTTTAAAAAAGAAAAATTTTAAATTTATCCATGTGAAGAGTAAAAGCACGGATAAAGTATTTGCCAAAAAGTTTATCAATCTTAAATATTTATGACTAGTCTATAATAATTTACATTAAGATAATTTATGATTTGGGAAAAGAATACTTCAAAAAATTAAATTATAGCAATTTACTCTGAATATTCTGATAAAACATACATCATTTCAAAGGAAGATTTATAGTAGTGTAAGAAATGATTATGAAGGTGACTGCTCTTCCTTCTACTTGTATTTTATAGTGGGAATTTGCCTCAGTTGTTGTTTCTGATGGGTGCTATACCAGATGTCCTCCGGATGGTGCTAAAAACGTATGAGGTTCCTGGGGGTTAATTTCTGCTTCCATGGAAACTAACCCAGTGTGCCCCAGTTTTGAATAACCTCCTGCAGACTAACAACTGGAGGCACCTGCTCAAAAAAACAGTTTTCTTACGACTGGAGCAACCCACAAAATGAGAAAAAAAGTTTCTTATTTACCCTCCTCTGCATTAAATATTCCAGTTATCATTTTCAATCTCTTAAAAATAATTTCCATGCAATACACTTAGCTATGATTATTTTTAAAGGTGTTCATTTAAGTGCTTAGAAGTACTGACAGTTTAAGAACATCCCTTCTGACATGTAAGAGTTATTTTGTGCCATTAATAACAGAACCACCAATGGGCCATTTGTTCATTAAATAATTATTTAATTATTGATATTGATTTGATGTTGTTAACAAGATGAGAGTAATCAAGACATATATGCAGACACCAAGAAGTCAGCAATCTGGTTGAAAAATAGATCCACAGAAAAGATTATTCTAAGACAAACTGGAAAGTAAAATGTGTACTAAGTACACATGGTCATATGTGGATGTGAGTATTTAGAAAGTGTACATCACCAGCCATGGACAACAAGTCATACAGACCACTTGAGAGCAGGTTAAGAGCCTAAGGAACAGGACAGTGAGAAGATAACATAGGTGTGGAAAAAAGAAACAATGTGGTATTTGCATATATGTAGGATAGTAGGATAGGGTAAGTTATTCAAAATTGTCCAAACAGAAAATACAACGGAGGAAGTTTAAAAAGGTTTGAAGACACAGATAACATGGAGGGTCACATAATCATTGCAGTATGGCTTTCACCTATAAATTCTAGGTTAAGGGGAGCCATTGAATGCTTTCCAGCAAAGAATAAGCATACTTGGATTTTATTTTTAGGTAGATCTCTGGTGGCCATGTTGTAAATATGTCTGAGAGCAGAGGATATGGGAGGAGATGATAAGTAGGAGTCTAGATCAGAAAAGATGAAAGGCTAAAATAAAACAATGAATTAAAATATATAGAAGACAATGTTAAATATTTGCATGGAAAAATTAAATAAAAAGAACTTAAAGGTTTATTTGTATGGGAGAACTACCAACTAAGACTAATTATTCTTTTAGTTCACCGATGATTCCAACAACTTAGATAGTCAGTATTGGATATGAGTTTAAGATGACTGTGAGTTCCTCAAGTAAAGATGAGATGAGCTCTGTACTGAGTCTGAAGTTTAGGAGAAGACACTGAACTACACTAGAGACTAGGGGACTCATCCACAGAGAAGTAGTTACCAAATTCAAGTAATGGATATACTCACTTCGTGTAAACGAGTAGACCAAAACTAAGTATAGGATCTAAGTATAGGATCAAGTAATTGCTGAAATATTTGTGCTTCTCCTCCCTATGGATAGAGTCAGTTGAATGAAAAAATCCACTTCTCATATGTTTGGCAAAAAAAAAAAGTGAATAACTGGGAGGTCAGTGGAAACAGTTTCAGATTATTCTAATTTATAAATAATACACAACATACACATGAAAACTAAATCATTTCCTTTCTTCACTATACCTTTAATCTCAATTCACAGAAGTGACCTATGTTAATGGTATTAGTTTTTATTGCTTCTTTAACAACTATTCTTCTATTTCTTAACATATAAAGTTTTGTCAGTAAGTACTAAACCCCGTCTCATAAAGGATGATTAAGTTAGCATCTGGGTCTTGCTTTTGAATCTTTTATTAATTTTTTTTATACAGACATACTGTATTAGTCCGTTTTCATGCTGCTATGAAGAAATACTTGAGAATAGGTAATTTGAAAAGGAAAAAGGTTTAATTGACTCACAGTTCTGCATTATTGGGAAAGCCTCAGGAAACTTCCAATCATGACAGAAGGGACCTATTCACAGGGCAGCAGGAGAGAGAATAAATGCCAGCAGGGGAAATGCCAGACACTTAAAAAAATCAGATCTCATGAGAACTCACTCACTATCAGGAGAACAGCATGAGGGAAAGCAGCCCCATGATTCAATTACCTTTACTTAAACCTGCTCTTGGCTTGTGGGGATTATGGGAACTAATCCCAGTAATTCAAGATGAGATTTGGGTGGGGACACAGCCAAACCATATCATTCTTCCCCTAGCCCCTCCCAAATTTCACCTCCATTTCACATTTCAAATACAATCATGCCTTCCCAACATTCTCCCAAACTCTTAGCTCATTCCAGCATTAACCCAAATTTCCAAGTCCAAAGTCTCATCTGAAATAAGGCAAGGCCCTTCCACCTACGAGCCTGTAAAATCAATAGCAAACTTAGTTATTTCTTAGATACAATGGAGGTCAGGCATGGAGTAAATACACCCATTCCAAATGGGAGAAATTGGCCAAAACACAGAGGCTACAAGTCCCATGCAAGTCCAAAATCCAGTAGGGCAGTCATTAAACATTAAAGTTCCAAAATAATCTCCTTTGACTCCATGATTCCAGCATTACATATCCAGGTAACGCTGATGCAAGAGGTGGGCTCCCATGGCCTTGGACAGCTCTGCCCCTGTGGCTTTGCAGGTTACAGCTCCCCTCCTGGCTGCTTTTCCAGGCTGGCATTGAGTTCCTGTGGCTTTTCCAGTTGCATGGTGTTAAGCCGTCAGTGGATCTACCATTTTAGGGTCTGGAAGACAATGGCCCTCTTCTCACAGCTCCTGTAGGCAGTGCCCCAGTGGGGACACTATGTGGGGGTTCCAACCCCACATTTCCCTTCTGCACTGCCCTAGCAGAGAGTCTCCATGAGGGCTCCACCCCTGCAGCAACCTTCTGCCTGGACATCCAGGCATTTCCATACATCCTCTGAAATGTAGGTGGTGTTTTCAAACCTCAATTCTTGACTTCAATGCACCCACAGGCTCAACATCACATGGAAGCTGCCATGTTTTGGGGCTTGCATCCTCTAAAGTAATGCCCTGAGCTGTACTTTTGCCTCTTTTAGCCATGGCTGGAGCTGAAGTAGCTGGGACACAGGGAACCAAGTCTTGAGACTGCACAGAGCTGGGAGCCCTTGGCATGGTCCAGGAAGGAAACTATTTTTACCTCTTAGACCTCCGGGCCTGTGATGGAAGGAGCTGCCTGCAAGGTTTCTGACATGCCCTAGAGATATTTTCCCTATTGTCTTGGTGATTAGCATTTGGGTCCTAATTAATTATGTGAATTTCTGCAGCAGATTTTAGTTTCTCCAGAGAAAATGAGCTTTCTTTCCCACTGCATAGACTGGCTGCAAATTTTCTAAACTTTTATACTCTGTCACGTCTTGAATGCTTTGCTGCTTAGAAGTTTCTTCTGCCAGATTCCCTGAACTATCTCTCTCAAGTTCAAAGTTCCACAGATCTCTAGGGCAGGAGCAGAAATCTTCCAGTCTCTTTGCTAAAGCATTACAAGAGTGACCTTTACAGTTCCCAGCAAGTTTCTCATTTTTATCTGAGACAACCTCAGCCTGGACTTCATTGTCCCTATCACTATCAGCATTTCGTTCAAAGCCATTTAAAAAGTCTCTAGGAAGTTCCAAACTTTTCCACATTTTCCTGTCTTCTTCTGAGCTCTACAAACTGTTCCAACATCTGCTTATTACCCAGTTCCAAAGTTGTTTCCACATTTTTGGGTAGCCTTATAGCAACAACCCACTGTTTCCTGTACCAATTTAGTGTATTAATTCATTCTCATACTGCTATGTAGGGTAATTTGCAAAGGAAAGAGGTTTAATTTACTTGCAGTTCTGAATTGCTGGGGAGGCCTCAGGAAACTTGCAATCTGAAGAAGGCACCTCTTCACAGGGCAGAGGAGAGATAATGAGTGCCAGCAGGGGAAATGCTAGATGTTTATAAAACCATAAGATCTCATGAGAACTCACTATTATGAGAACAGCATGGGGTAAACCACCCCATGATTCAATTACCTCCACCTGGTCCTGCCTTTGACACATGGGGATTATGGGAACTACGACTCAAGATGAAATTTTGTTGGGGACACAGCCAAACTATATCACATACCTTGAAGATATTGTGGGTTTGGTTCCAGATCACTGCAATAGAGTAATTATCATAATAAAATGAATCACATAAATATTTTGTTTTCTGAGTGCATATAAAAGTTATGTTTACACTATTCTATAGTCTACTAAGTGTGCAATAGCATTATATCTAAAAACAATATAAAGGTCTTAATAAAAAGGTACATTATTGATGAAAATGCTAGCCATCATCTGAGCCTTCAGCAAGTCATATTCTTTTGTCTGTTGGAGGATTGTGCCTCTATGGTGATGGATTCTTACTGATCAGAGTATCGTTGCTGAAGATTGGAGTGACTGTGGCAGTTTCTTAAATAAGACAATTAAATCAGCCTCATGGGTTTACTTTTTTTTTTTTTCACAAACGATTTATCTGTAGTGGGCAATAATGTGTGATAACATTTTACTCACAGGAGAACTTTTGTCAAAATTGGAGTCAATTTGAAACCCTGCTATTGTTTTATCAAGTAAGCTTATGTAATACTCTAAATTATTTATTGTCATTTTGAGAAAGTTCACAACATCTTTGCCAGGAGTAGATTCCATCTGAAGAAACCACTTTGTTTGCTCATTCATAAGAAAAAAAAAAACTCATGCATTTACATTTGATCATAAAGTTATAGCAACTCAGTCACATCTTAAGGCTTCTCTTTTAATTTGAGTGTTTTGTTATTTCCACAATATCTGCAGTTACTTTCTTCACTTAAGTCTTGAATTCCTCAAAGTCATCCAGGAGGTTTGGAATCAACTTCCTCCAAAACAGTGTTAATGTTTATATCTTCACTTCCTTTCATGAATCAGGAATATTCTGAATGGCATCCAAAATGGCAATTCTTTTTCAGAAGGTTTTCAGTTTGCTCTGCCTAGATCTCCTAAAGAACTCACTATTGAATGCAGCTATAGCCTTATGAAATGTATTTCATAAAACTGAGACTTGAAAGTTGAAATTACTCCTTGATCCATGGGCTGCAAAACAGATGTTGTATTTGCAGGTATGAAAGCATTAATCTTCGTGTATTTCTTGATCAGATCTCATAGGTGACAAAGTGCATTGTCAATGAGCAGTAATATTTCGAAAGAAATCTTTTTGAATGAGTAAGAGTTCTCAATTGTAGGCTTAAAAAACTTAGTAAAACATGCTGTAAACAGACATGCTGCCATCCAGGCTTTTTTGTATTCCATTTCTAGAGCACAGGCAGAGGCAATTGGTGTAATTCTTAAGGGTACTAAGATATCCAGAATGGTAAATGAGCATTGGATTCCATTTAAAGTCAGCAGGTGCAGTAGCCTCTAACAAGAGAGTCATCCAGTCCTTTGAAGCTTTAAAGCCAGGCACTGAATTCTCTCTTCTAGCTATGGAAGTCCTAGATGGCATCTTCTTCCAACAGAAAGCTGTTTTATCTACTTTGAAAATCTGTTGATTAGGATATCTACCTCTATCAATTATCTTAGCTAGATATTCTGGATGACTTTGCTGCAACTTCTACTTTAGCATTGCTGTCTCACCTTGCACTTTTAGGTTATAGAGATAGCTTCCTTGATGAAATCTCCTGAACTAATCTTAACAAGCTTCAGACTTTTCTTCTACAGCTTCATCACCTTTTTGGTTAAGGGAATGTTGAGCCTAGTTTAATCTTTTCTCCAGACCACCAAACTTTCCCTCTACCAGCAATAAGGCAGTTTCACTTTCTTATTACTTGTGTGTTCATTGGAGCAGCACACTCAATTTACTTCAGGACCTTTTTATTTGCATTCACAACTTGGCTATTGGCAAAAAAAAAAAAAAAAAAAAGCCTAACTTTCACCTTATCTCAGCTTTCAACATGCCCACCTCACTTGGCTTAGTCATTTCCAGCTTTTGATTTAAAGTGGGAGACATGTGATTCCTCCCTTCACTTGAACATTTAGAGGCTATTGTGGAGTTATTAATTGGCCTAATTTAAATATTGTGTCTCAGGGAATAGAGAATATAAATACTTGAGGAGACGGAATAGATAAGGGGGATAACTGGTCAGTGGAGAGGTCGAAAGCATACCCATTTACAATTAAGTTTCCCATTTTATATGAGCACTCTTCAGTTAATGTTTTCTGTTTCTACCTAGCAAAGAATTACTCTGTCTTTGGTGTGTTGTGCTGGGCTCTGCTGTAGCTCATCAGTTGATCTGATCCTTGTTAATTTCCATTTTTCTGAAATATTCTAAATACCACTTTCAGCAGCCTGTGAGAGCAATGGAAAATTAACTCAGTGGTCATGTAACCCAATACTCTTTTACTATGCCTCCCTCCACTGAAGAGGCTGGAAAGTTAAAAGCAAAACAAATTAAAACCTAAATTTCCTAAATTCCCTTGCAAATTGGGTTCCACAAATTATATTCAAAAGTGAGTTGAATGCGGAAAGACAGGCTGGGTAATCATGAAATTCATTTTGCTGGTGAGAATTGTAGCATAGATGATCTTGCTCTAAAGACCCCAGTTCTGATGATGATCTTCTAATCCTTAGATTGTAGGAATTGTGTTCCTGGGGTCAACAGGCAACAGTTATTATGCTGGATTCAATTATAGTCTGGGGACTCATTACTTGACGCGAACATAAAGCCTGCTATTTTAGACTTTCTAACAATCTTTGTGTTTACCAAATTCTCTGTAGTAAATTATTTTTGCTTAAATTGGTATGTAGATATGATTTTTTTTACTTGCAAACAACCTTTGCCTGATACATATCTGTTTTATTTTGAGACAAGGTCTCCTTCTTTTGCCCAGGTTGGAGTAGAGTGGTGTGATCATAGTTTATTACAGCCACCACCTGCCTGGCTCAAGTGATCCTCCCACGTCAGCTTCCCAAGTAACTGGAACCCCAGGTGTGCACCACCTCTCCCTGCTATTTTTCTTTATTCTTCATAGAGATGATGTCTCCCTATGTTCTCCAGTATGGTCTTGAACGCCTGGGCTCAAGTGATCCTCCTGCTTGGGCCTCCCAAAGTGCTGGGATTACAGGCATGAACCACCAAACCTGGCCTTATTTTTTTATACTGTCATTGTTAGTATACTTTTTTGTGGCCTTTATTGAACTTCAGAAATCCTCACATTTAATGAGACCTTGAAAAGGAGGGTAAGTGGATAGCTGTACTCAGACTGATATATAATATATAAATCTTGGCCTGGCATGGTGGCTCACACCTGTAATCCCAGCAGTTTGGGAGGCCGAGGCGGGTGGATCACCTGAGTTCAGGAGTTCGAGACCAGCCTGGCCAACATGGTGAAACCCCGTCTCTACCAAAAATACAAAAATTAGCTGAGCATGGTGGCGAGTGCCTGTAATCCCAGTTATTTGGGAGGGTGAGGGAGGAGAATCGCTTGAACCTGGGAGGCAGAGTTTGAAGTGAGCCGAGATCGTGCCATTACACTCCAGCCTGGGAGACAGGAGCAAGACTCTGTCTCAAAAAAAAAAAATTATATGTATATATATATATCTTCATGTTTTATAAAAAATTATAAAACATGTAGAGCTCAAATATACATATTGTTATGAAAATTATGCTTAGATGCATCCTTTGTATTACATGGATTTAAATATTTCATATTTCAATTTATGTTTCATATATTTATCACTATGAGATGGTGTTAAAATTGTGCTAAAATTGGACATGAAAATATTACCCTAATGTTCACACACTCTAGGAATAACGGTTTACACTCCATTCTAAAATTGACTCTTTTGACTTTGAAGAATCCGGGTATCCATTGTCACTTACTCGAAGTACAGCACCTTGACAGTTGCTGAAGGAAAATGCACTGCCCAAAACCATCTGGATTAAATGCTAATGAGTAATTTTGCCTAAAAACTTATGCCAGAACAGACTGATTTGAAAAACATGGTTTGCTGGAGTGTCTCCTTGGATAATATTAACACCATGCTTACAAAAGCATTGCCCATCTGTTGTATATTTGCTTATTTTTTTCTGATTTTGTCAACATGAAATTAAGGTACGGAGAACATAATTTAATTTGAAAATCCTCCCACCTAGAAAAGAAACAAATTAGAGACTCCTTGGGTTGCATGTAACTTCACATTTAATTGTAATTTTGAGGTAAACACACAGACATATCTTAATAAGTTTTAGAAGTAGTAACAAGAAAATTATGGGGATAATTAATTTTATAAGAACTTGGGAAACAAGCTCATTCTGGTTAATGACTGTCTCTTATGCTCAGTGCTTCAGGTGTAAAGTTTAGAGTAACAAGGTGATTATATAGGGCTGAAAAGTAAATGAAACCCATGTACACACACCCATATGCATTGTGTGGCAACCGGGAGGCTCAATTTTCTAACTAACCTAAATTAAGTTCTTGATATTAAATCAGCATTTATGAAGTTGCATGGAATTCTAATTTCCAATTATATGTTGAAAAAATATTGCTTCATAAAAGAATACTTACATTCAAAATGATATAAAAGTTAATAGATGAAGACATTGTGAAACCCACACTAGATAACTAGAGCCATATGTAAAATTACTCAAGTTAATTTCTTCCTTATATTTGGACACGGTAAAAACTATTACATCTAAGGTAGGACAGTTACAGATAAATAGCAGCTTATTGGAAAGGAGATTGCTAAAGATGGAATACACCAATTGATAGGTGATATTTCTGGATTAGACTTTGCTTATTCTTTATACTTTCTCAGTCTCAAACTATTTATGAATGAAAGAATGGCGGCCAAAATCATATAAAAATAACAGGCACTTTTGGAACATATCCATGCCCAAGTCAGGATTGAAACTGGCTCCATACTAATAACCACATCAGAGAAATGTAAAAAGAAAAAAAAATACAGAGAGGAGTATGTACTAGGGTGTGTGTGTGTGTGTGTGTGTGTGTGTGTAAAACAGGACGGTGGGCATGAGAATAATTGTGCAGGAAGAAAAAGAAAGAATGTCAGGGGAACCCCACAATCTGCTTCTGCTCTCAAATATTGGATTAAAACTCTTCTCAGCTTGCACTGTACCTTAATGAGACATAACATTGGTCAATCGGTCTTAGTCACAACCTTAGATGACTGTCTCTGCTTTTGTCTTTCTAGCATATTCACATAAAAAATGTAACCAGTTTGTGTTGAACTCTGATTAAAATGAAAGACACTAATCAAGCAGGATACGAATACTAGTTTGAAACTGATTACACACAATTAAATTTTAAAAACACAGGGTATTTTACTATGAAAAGCATGAAAAGACATTTCTTAAAAATTGCAAATATGAAGGTCACATATCCCCTAAAGCAAGAATGCATGATTTAGATACGCCTGGGAGCAGCTGGAACTTGCCCTCTAGTTACAGAAACATCTTTTGATTCTAATATTTTCTCAAGTATTCATTTTACATGGTGAATTCTCATTTAGTGCCACCCCACACATGCAAAATTGCCCATACCATGCCTGAAAACATTCTATGGTTTTGTTTTTTTGGGATTTTAGATTTACAGAATTTTTATTACTGAAATAAAGTAAGGAGAAAAAATTATTTTACTCCTAGATTGAACTTTTTTATTTTATTTTGGCTTTTTTTGTCACAGAGTCTTGCTCTGTGGCCCATGCTGGAGTGCAGGGGTGGGATTATGGCTCACTGCCACTTCAATCTTCTGGGCTCAGGAATCTTCCCACCTCACCCTCCCAAATAGCTGGGACTGTGGGTGTGCACCACCACACCTGGCTTTTTTTTTTTTTTTAATTTTTGTTTTTAGTAGAGACAAGGTCTCACTATGTTGCCTAGGCTGATCTTGAACTCCTGAGCTCAAGTAATCCTCTCACCTCAGCCTCCCAAAGTGCTGGGATTACAGGTGGGAGCCATTACATCCTGTAAATTGTGCTAAAATTGGACAGGAAAATATTACCCTAATGTTCACACATTCTAGGAATGAGAGAGAGAGAGAGAGAGGAAAGAGAGAGAGAGGAGAGAGAGACAGAGAGAGTGAGAAAGAGAGAGAGAGACAGAGAGAGATTCACTCTTGTTGCCCAGGCTAGTACAATCGTAATCTTGGCTCAACTCAACCTCCACCTTCCAGGTTCAAGAGATTTTTCTACCTCAGCCTCTCGAGTAGCTGGGACTACAGGCACGCACCACCACACCTGGCTTTTTTTTTTTTTTTTTGGTATTTTTAGTAGAAACAGGGTTTCACTGTGTTAACCAGGATGGTCTCGATCTCCTGACCTCCTGGTCCACCTGCCTCGGCCTCCCAAAGTGCTGGGATTACAGGCATGAGTCACCGTGCCCGGCCTCCACCAATACATTGTTAAAGTTTAATATGCATTTCTGCCTTAATTCAGTTACCAAATATGCATACCATGACTAGATAATAAATGCTTTGTATCTACAGGTATTCTAAGAGTTTTATCATATTTCATATTTTCTTTAATTTTTCCCCTAAATAATCTTTAAGAAAAAAATGCAATGCAAACATAGCACTAAATGAAATTAAAAGTGAATAATATCAGGGTGTATGCGTTTAAACTTAAGCCAAAGGAAAAAATGGCATTGGAAATAAATGATGATCTAAAAACAATAGAAGTAACATTTATTGAACATTTACTATGAGGAAGATCCTGTGCTATGAAACTTCTGTGAGATTATCCTATGTAATCCTTGAGTATTTTCTGTAATCAGTTGTAATATCCCTGTTTCAAGGAGATAAAGCAACTGAAACTTGGAGAGTCTCACTGATGTGTCCCTGATCTCAAAGCTAACATATGGAGGAATAATGATTACTTGCGCTCACTGCAAAGCTGTCTCTATGCTTCTTAGGCTCTAAGAAGACTGTCCAGACTTCTTGGAGGTTTCTGGAAGCCTTGTGACTGTCCTGACTGGTGAACAGTGAAGGGAAGTCACGTGTGTCACTTCTGATGAGAGTCTTAGGAGCCATGATCGTTCTCCACAACTTCTCTTTCACTGATGCTGCAGCTACTGTGGCCATGAGATGACTTAGCAGAGCTGCAAGATAGAAGTGGCCTCTACCTTGTGCTACCAGGTGAATGTTTGTGCTGCATGTTGAAATCCTAACCCCCAAGGTAAGAGTATTAGGTGGTGGAAATTTTGGAAGTGATTAGTTCATGAGAGTGGAGTCCTCATGAATGAGATTAGTGCCCTTATAAAAGAGGCCCCAGAGAGATTCCTCACCCCTTCCACTATGAGGACACAGTGAGAAGGTGCCATCCATATCTGAACCAAAAAACGGATCCATGCCAGACACTGAATGTGCTGGCACCTAATCTTGGCCTTAGCCTCCAGAGCTGTGAGAAATAAATCTCTATTGTTTATATTCTACCAAGTTTATGTTATTTTTATAGTAGCCCAAATGGAGTAAAACACTTTGAATCATAAATGCCTATTGAGCATATCCACCAAATGTCACTGGACTTGGAGAGAAATCAAACTTTGCTTTGTTAAGCCACTGTAATTTCAAGATATACTGTGTCATTGAACAGCCTATCTTAGCTAAAATATAGAAAGGAAAACAATACCTTTTCCTGGTGTTATTAAAAGCAAGGAGAATAAACATCATACAGAGTCCATTTAAATGGAACATCACATACTGCATTGGCTAATATGGTAACAACTAGTTTCCAGTGACAATTTAAATTTAAGGTAATTAAAATTAAAATGTTATAAGTAGAGTTGCTAGTTACATAGCCACATTGTAAGTGCTTCATAGTCACCTGTGGCTAGTAGCTACTGTATTAGACAGCACATGGCACATTATTAACATCACAGGTTTCTATTGAACAGCGATGGTAGAGAATATTATGAGCAACTGATTCCATCTTTACTCTGTGTATTCTTGGTATTGACAGTGACTCCAGTATTAAGTGGATTTTGAAGCAGGTACTTCTGAAATTCTTTTGAGTCATGGCATTTTTAAAGAAAAGACTACAATTGCTTATGGAAATAATAAGAAAGAAAAGTCATGGGTTATCTCTTAAAAATGTATTTGCCTTTTTGATGATGATCATTTATAGATGTTTGTATATATGTGTAAATTTGACTATCCCTGTATTATATGTAATTGTACTGGGAAATGTCAGAATTTATACAGCCTGTCAAGTAATACAAAGCTACTAAATGAATAATAATATTTTTCAATACACACTCAAAAGTGCACAAACCCCACTTCTTCACCCTTTGCAATCACGATGTATTTCACTGCATGTAGAAAGGAAAGGTGTCAAGCAAAAATAGCTCTCTGTAAAGTAACATCTCAAAAAATATTTTCTATTCTTGCTCCTAAATTAATGTTTGCGACTTTGTGTCTGTGTGTAAAAGAAAAGGGGAAAATAAACTAATACCTGGAAGAGGTTAACGTAAATTGATAATATGAAACTTTCTGAGCCAAAATCAAAGCCAACTAAGGCATAAATACAGTTGTTACTTTGCAACACCTTGAGAAGCTACCTCAGCAAAGATTCAAGTTTTTTTTTTTCTCTTTAACCCAACTCTCCATGTCTCTTAGTAACAAATTAAACACTCTAAGAAATTAAAATCTTAAATGCTCTGAAACAAATTTTTCAGTGTTCCAGTTTTGCTTCAGGCTCTATGCTTACCCATTCTCATCAAGAAATACTATGCTATTATGAAATTCATTGTAGTACTGTCCAGGGAAACAGCAGCAGCTCCTTCTGCCTCAACTCGTAACCGTGAGAGTGGAAAGGAGAATCACAGTGGCCACTGGATTCCACTTTATCCTATGGTCAAATGCACCACTGGTATCGCCCAAGACAGGCTTCGTTCTTGACACTTGATTAATGGCAAGCCAAGGGAGAGAGAACATGGGGGCAGTCTGCCTTGTCCTAAAGGAACATTTTATCATTGACACTAATAGAATGACAATAAAAATGCAAAACAAATTTGAGTTGGCTTTTTAAATGTAGTTTTAAAATTCTCTACAGAAAACATATCCCCTAATTTCCAGCCCCACAGGCAGATCAATTTCGCTGACCCACCCCCATCTTGGTCACCTCTATTACTGGTCACATAAACCTGTAGTGACATGTATCCTGGGACCATGTCTGGTCTACAGTGTAGAAGAGGTCAAATAGGGCCAGGCGCGGTGGCTCACGCCTATAACCCTAGCACTTTGAGAGGCCAAGGTGGACAGATTGCCCGAGCTCAGGAGTTCGAGACCAGCCTGGGCAACACGGTGAAACTACATCTCTACTAAAATACAAAAAAAATAATAAATTAGCTCAGTGTGGTGGTTTGCGCCTGTAATCCCAGTTGCTTGGAAGGCTGAGGCAGGAGAATTGCTTGAACCCTGGAGGCAGAGGTTGCAGTAAACCGAGATTACACCATTGCACACTGCAGCCTGGGTGACAGAGTGAGACTCCGTCTCAAAAAAAAAAAAAAAGAAAGAAGAGGTCAAATAGTTACTTTTTCTCTAGCAAATCTATAATTCTATAAAAATTCAGCAGCTTTCTTCTAGTATAAATGGACTCTTCTTATCTCAATTAATTTACACATTTTGGAATAGCCTCTTTTCATTTTTTAACTGACTCTTCATTTAGTCTCAAATACCCTATAAAATATTTTCATTTATTCTGTCTATTCAATACTTTCTCAGATGTTTGTTTTGTAGCTTTGAATTATCCTAATATTCTTTAGGGCATAGTTGGTATAAATCATAACAGCAAAATAACTGTAAATTATATTATGAGTCAGTGCCAATTAACTTTAAAGGAATGGACTTTTTAACTCTGAGAAAAATGGCTTACAGCAGTCTGAGGGTGACATAAAAACTTAACAAAACTGAAGCCTTTGAAATCATAACATTTACCCTGAGGCTATTTAAAAACACTATGTTACATGGGCTTAGGGAAAAAATAGTTAATAAAATCCACATTCTAATAGAATAAATGTTGGAATTCAAAAAGGATGGGATTTTATTGAAGTCAATTTTTCCTCTGTTAGGAAAAAATAGATTAGAGGAAAAACTAAATGATGGAAATATATAACAGTAATTCACTTTAAGTGAAAAAGTTAGACGTAAGAATGTTCAATTATTTGCCATTAAAATACCAGATATCTAATGACTTGTCATTGAGGGTAAGTAATGTCTTATAATGTTCTTCTGCTTTTACTATGGTCTTCCCATTACACTCACACCTTTTCAGATTCACAATAGTGGTTCCCAATCTGAGGGAGCTAAACACAGAGAAAAGTAGTCAAAATATGGAAACAGGTGGAAGTATGTACTGACTGATTGATACACTTGCTGAATAAAAGGGAATAACTCAAAGAACCTCATGTTGCATTCTCTGAAAATGGAAGACAGGTGCAATGAGTAGCTACAGGAAAATCAACATGGTAAGGTGATTAATCAAAACTTTGTAATATGCAGCTGGGTGCGATGTCTCATGCCTGTAATCCCAGGACTTTGGGAGGATGAGGTGGGTGGATCACCTGAGGTCAGGAGTTTGAGACCCGCCTGGCCAACATGGTGAAAGTAAAATTACAAAAATTAGCTGAGCATGGTGGCAGGCACCTGTCGTCCCAGCTACTCGGGAGGCTGAGGCCAGAGAATTGCTTGAACCCAGAAGGCGGAAGTTGCAGTGAGCCGAGATCACGCACCACTGCAATCCAGCCTGGGTGGCAGAGTGAGACCGTGTCTCAAAAGAAAAAAAAATTAGCTTAAAAAAATAGTTCGTAATATGCAATCATATGCACTGGAGACATTTTCCTCATTGTCTTGGGGATTAACATCTGGCTCCTGGTTACTTATGCAAATTTCTGCAGCCAGTTTGAATTTCTCCGCAGAAAATGGGATTTTCTTTTCTATTGCATTGTCCTGCTGCAAATTTTCTGAACTTTTATGCGCTGTTTCCCTTTTAAAACTGAATGCCTTTACCAGTACCCAAGTCACCTCTTGAATGCTTTGCTGCTTAGAAATTTATTTTGCCAGATACCCTAAATCATCTCTCTCAAGTTCAAAGTTCCACAAATCTCTAGGGCAGGAGCAAAATGCCACTAGTCTCTTTGCTACAAAATAATAAGAGTCACGTTTTCTCCAGTTCCCAACAAGTTCCTCATCTCCATCTGAGACCACCTCAGCCTGGATTTCATTGTCGATATTATTATCAGCATTTTGGTCAAAGCCTTTCAACAAGTCTCTAGGAAGTTCCAACTTTTCCAATATTTTTCTGTCTTCTTCTGAGCCCTCCAAATTGTTTCAACCTCTTCCTATTACCCAGTTCCAAAGTCACTTCCACGTTTGGGGTATCTTTTCAGCTGCACCCCACTCTACTGGTATCAATTTATTGATTCTGATGATAAAGACATACACAAGACTGGGCACTTTACAAAAGAAAGAGGTTTAATGGTCTTACACTTCCACATGGCTGGTGAGGCCTCACAATAATGGCAAAAGGCAACAAGGAGCAAGTCATGTCTTACACGGATGGCAGCAGGCAAAGAGAGAGCTTGTGCAGAGGATCTCCTCTTTACAAAACCATCAGATCTCAAGAGACTTATTCACTATCACGAGAACAGCAGGGGAAAGACCTGCCCTCATGATTCAGTTGCTTCCCACCAGGCTTCTCCCACAACATGTGAGAATTCAAGATGAGATTTGGGTGGGGACAGAGCCAAACCATATCAGGTGTTAAATTTCCAATTAGAACAGTAAATAATAAGCAGTAGGCTCTTCTAAGGGACTTTTCTTACCCCTAGGGAGACAAGGTGAAAGCTAATGGGGTTTTTCCTACATGAGAGGGCACACCTGTCATAGATTAAAGAGAAGAAAAAAATGTATCTGCTTATAAAGGGGAAAAATTGATGTCCCTACTCCACTGAAAGCATCTCCTTATTTCAGAAATTTGACATATACAAAATTTTGATATATAAAAATTTTGATGAGCACCACATAGCTTTCATGTCACAGATATTATAACCTAAAGCTCTCTCCAAGGTCCAACGGCCTCATTATTCCTTGGAATGTAAGTATTGAAGAAGATAACCCCAATCTTCCTAGCTCCTCAGTGATTTAATCTAGGAATGTATTGGTGCTAGAATCATTTGAACCCTTCAGGCAGATAGAAGAAATTGCACTATCCTTTTGAATCAAAACAATTAATTAGACAAATGGCTGCAGATCTAATTTTCATGGTGTGTAAAGAGTCTCAGGAAACTATGACTTACTGAAATTCTGAGAAATCCAGGGCAGTGTTATTTCTTCACAGTTAGGAAACTCTAGGTCTGTTTAACTACTTTTATTTTTATTTACTATTTCAGCAGGCAGTCACCTTATTTAGGTTTAGCCCACAGCTTGGCCTACTTTTACAGGCTGTCAGTGGAGTTTTCAGAACTTTTGCAGTTTTGTTTCCGTCTGTGTGTTAGTCTGTTAGGGCTGCCCTAAGAAAAAATACCATAGACTGAATGGCTCATTAAAAAAAATATATCTCTCACAATTCTGAAGGCCCCAAAGTCCAAGATCAAGGAGATGACAAGTTCCTTGTCTGGTGAGGGTCCTTTTTCTGGTTCATAGAAAGTCATGGTTTCTGTGTCCTGACATGGTGAAAGGGGCACGGGAGCTCTCTGGTACCTATTTCAAAAGGGCACTAATGTCTAATGGGAGGTAATAGATATTTAGACCCTACCTCCTAACACCATCACATTGGGGATTAGGTTTCAACATATAAGCTATGTGGAGATACAGCATTCATATCATAGCAGTCTACCTGGCTTATTGGTTGCAGCTGGCATTCTACTTTGTCCTGCTGGTGTTGCTTGAGGAGGTAGAGGGGGCTTCCCCAGATTTGGTAGGTAGGGGGAAAGTGGTAACTCCCCTTCCTTCCTACACTAATCGGGCAAGCTTTCTCTGGGAAGTGAAGGGTAGTTTTAGTCCTATATAGACGAAGAGGTTTACTGGAAAGTAGTCTTGCATTTGATGGGAAAGGACAATGCTTGCCGTACAGCCTCTTCTTTATTTTGGGAAAGTGGGGGGCTCCTAATTGATTCCTTATTTCTGATGTTGTCTGAGGGACCTTTTGATTTATTCAGGGGAGAAATGAACTTATGTGGGCTGCCCTCTCTTGCTAGGCTTAGGTCGGTAAACGATGTGTCTGTGTGGCCTTGTGTGTGTGCGTGTATGTGTGTGTTCCTTGTGTGTGTGTGTGCTTATGCACATGCGTATGCATACACATGTCACTGTGTTGTTTCTCCAATCTTGTTTCTGTAACCCGGTCAACTTTTTATCACATTTCAGTGTACATTTTGGGTTGTCTGCTGGGCTATTTCCAGGGTTCATAGTATAGTGCTTAGTGGGGAAGAGGAGGGAAGAACAGAGAGGAATAGATCTAGATCATTTTCTCTGGACTGGGAGTTTCTCACTGTACTTCAAAGGCAACAAAAATAGAAACCCATGAGTTCAAGAGTTTTGATTTTTATGTTCCACAAGTAAGTGAAAACATATGATGTTTGTCTTTCTGTTCCTGGCTTATTTAGTGACTATAATGAATAATAACCTAATTGTACAGTTTAAAATAACTAAAAGAGTATACACAAAGGTTAAATGCTTAAAGGCATGGAGACCCCCTTCTCCATAATGTGATTATCATGCATTGCATGCCTGTGTCAAAATATCTCATGTACCCATAAATATATGTACCTACTGTGCCCCCACAAAATTTAAAAATAAAAATTAAAACAAGAAATCCAAGAATATATACTTCATGTATGTTTTTGGATAAGAGGACAACTGTGACATCATTCTCTATGAATATCTAAAAAATCAGTGTTAACACTGTGGAAGACACAACTACAACATTAGAAGGAAAATTGTCAAAAACAGTTGTGGAATCAGATTATTTTGCAAGTATCTTTGCATATTTACCTTAAAGAATAGAAATGGAAATTACAGAATATATACTGTTAGCGTCTTTCAGGAAAGAAAGACAATCTTATACACCATTCTCTAAGATTCGCTTTGCATGCCATTCCATAATAGTTTTATATCAAAAGATTTGTTTAAAGTACATACCTTTATAAGATTTAAATTTAAATATATATGGTTTTATGATTTTCAAAGACATTAGCTTTAACTGACTGATGACCAAACTATCACTAATGATCACAACCACATCAGGTATTTTTTTCACTGTATTTATTATTGTGGTGATTTGTTACTTTAGCTACCTAGCATAAGTATGGGTCTCTTCTCCATTTTCTCCTGTTTCAGCATATATGCACTGTGTTAGCCAGTGATGAAGTGATCAGTTTTCACAACATCTAGAGCACTGCTCTATGTTCAAGGATGGGCATAATATACAATCTGACTCAAAGAAATCAACTGGCATTTCAACAGAAATTGTCAGGGTAAAACCACTTTCCTACTAAATGTAGATGTAATCTCAGAAATTGGGTATATTGCAACCACATGGAGTTTCATGTGTAAAAATGAAATAATTTTGAAAGACAGAGCCAAGTAACAGAGAAACCAAATTTAATGACATTATTGAAGTCTTTTTTTTTTTTTTTTTAGACAGGTCCTTGCTGCTTTCCTCACGCTGTTATCAAACTCCTTTCCTCAAGCAATCCTCCTGCCTCAGCCCCCCAAAGTTCTGGGATTACAGGCGTAAGTCAACCCACCCAGCCTGAACACTTAAAACAAGTTGTACCTGAAGAAATCCCTAGCAATCCCTTCCTTTGAAGATAAGGAATCTTCAGTGATAGAGGATAGTAAATTCCCTATCTTAAACCAGTTTGAGTGAGGTTTTTTTTTTGTTATTAGTCGCATTACTTAGGAATATTTAGGATACAAATATACCTAAGTGATGCAACTATTACAAAGTGATTTCATATTTATTTATCTCATTATCTTTATTCACATCTTCCCTCATGGATTAAAGTTTGAAGAATCTGGATCCAATTTAACTGCAGGCTTTTTTTTGTGGAGGTGGTCAATTGGTAATGCCTCTTCAAATACAATTTCTCTCTTTCCAAAAAGGTATTTACTTACAGATAGAGTACCCCAGAAGGACCCATGAAAATAATGATTATTCTTCATTACTAGGATCAGAAGAAAAGTGGGCCATCTGTGATGTTCCCAATGGTAAATATTAAGTGGATGTCAAGCAAATAACAATGAGAGGCCCCAGCAGGGTCTTTAATGTTCTGATAATAGCAGAAGCTGTGAGTGACCTATATTATAATGGCCATAAATGATTATGGAAATGAATGAGTCATTAAGTTTTCCCTATTTAAAATTTTACACTAAATAAAGGACATCCTAAGATGGGAATGGGGTTAAGGGAGAATATACTTGTATTATAAACCATAAAAAGTTTTGCCTCAATGACATAAATTATATTAAAATTGAAACATTTAAAAGATAATTATGCTGCTTAGCCTTTCCAGATTTGCAATTCTAAAACATCTAAATGACGTTTTATTCTTTAGCTATATTCTGGCTTCAGTTACTTATATTCAAATGGATATTGCTTGTAGATTATTAGACAGTTCACCAATAAAATCAAATACCTGATCTCTCCTCATGCCTTATGTGTCACCTTGCTGTCACACAGCCATAGTGGTATCAAACCCAGTGACAGGCTTTTATTCCATTGAGGAACTAAATGACCATACTAATAGTTTCCATAATAATTATTCTGCAGGGTTGCTCAATGGCAAACCAAGTATATTATCTCTGTTGCCAGCAGAGAGCTCATCTGGAAATGTTTCAGCTCCATGCCAAGGACAACCTTCTTTGTTCAGCCTGTCCATTTCAGTTCTCTTTCAAAGAGGTCTACATGACTGGTTGCACACACCACATCCTGATACATATAAAGCTGTTAAAACTGTCCTAGCCTCTTCTCTACCCACTGTCCCAGTCTCTATATGTTCAGTTCATGAGGGAATTCCTATTCTTGTTTTCAATACCTCAAACCCTCTCCGGCCCTTACCTGTGATGATTCTTTTGGCCTAAATGTACTTTCTCTCTTCTCTGTATCAGACACTTCCTTCAGTTCTTTACGTTCTGGCTCAATTTAATTTCTGTGCAGGTTGTTTTTGTTTCAGTGCCCCAGTTGCTCCTTTCTGTTCTCACAGTAGCCTTTCCACGCCTTTATTTTATTGGTTTGTTTCTGGTTCCCCAAAACACTGAGCTGGGCAAGAAGAGACATTGTTCATTTTGCATAGCATAGTTTTTATTTAGTTTTGTGTTTTACTAGAACTCTTCAATGTTTAAATTAATTTAAAATGGTTTCAAGATTATTCTAGGGGTCAGATCCTTTGTATAGTTTTTCAATGGTGAAAAATCAATTATGATGATGGGTAGTTGGTTTAACTACTGATTGCATGAAAGTGAATTTTCTGTATATCACAATATTGAATATGATCAAGGTAATATTTTTATACAATGTTATTTTCAGTCACTGTCTTAATCCATTTTGTGCTGGTATAACAGAATACCTGAAACTAGGCAATTTATAAAGGACAGAAATGTATTTTCTCACATTTCTGGCACTGGGAGGTCCTAGATCTCGGAGCTGGCACCTGGCAAGCACCTTCTGGCAGCATCGTTTCATGGCAGAAGAGAGAAGGGCAAAGGCAGAGTAAGGGGGGCAGGAACTTGTCCTTTAATAAGGAATGCACCCCCACAATAACAAAGACACTTCCTGGATGATGGCATTAATCTATCCATTGGGCAGTTCTCCCACCACTCAAGCAACTCCCATTATATCTCATCTCCCAACACCAACATTGGGGATCATGGTTCCAACATTATGAATTTTGGGGGACACATTCACACCATAGCAGTCACAAAAATAACTTTTCTGCTTATGGTTCCTTTCCACATGTAAAACAATCAAAAAGACTAATTAACTACAAACAAAATCACCATGCCAAAAAACTTGAACTAGCAGAATTCATTCAAGGAATATTGTTGTTTTATTGAAACTGTTATGTTCAATGTGTTGGGTTTGAAAGTAAAGTGCAGGTTTTGCATTTCACTTTTTTCTTGGTCCTGTCTATTCAGAAAATAATATAACCTCCTTTGAGATGTCTTCATTATTGACATAATTATATATCCTATAAAACAATTTTTATCCGTTTCCATTATTTTTAAGGAGCTAATCAATTTAATAATGTACCCATCAAATATAATAATTATATAGTATTTACTGCTCCTAAAAAAGATCTACACATTAGTGAGGCAAAGGACCACAGGTAGGTGATATTCTACTTGAAATGTTAATGCTTTGCTGAGTTTGTTTTTATTTTGTGTTGTCCTGTATTTCTACACTACATTTTAGGATAAATTCTTCTATGTTTTCCACTGTTACCTATATTTAAATCACAGTGAAACTTTTATTTATACTTTTATTTTATTTTAATACTTGAGACACAGTCTTGATCTGTCACCCAGGCTGTAGTGCAGTAATGCTATCATGGCTCACTGCAGACTTGACCTCTTGTCCTCAAGCAATCCTTCCACCTCAGCTATCCAAGTAGCTGGGACTACAGGCATACACCACCATATCTAGTTATTTTTTGTACTTTTTGTAGATACAAGGCTCCTCCATATTGCCAAAGTTGGCTTCAAACTCCTGTGCTCAAACAATCCACCCACCTCTGCCTCCCAAAGTTGTAGGATTCACGTGTGAGCCACAGTGCCCAGCCTACTTACACTTTTAACTAGAATATGATTTTACTTTGCTTTTCTACAGAAAGGCTCGAACATACAATATCAAGTAAATACAAAATAACATGGCCATGTTCGTTTATGAAGATTACACCTAGTTGATGCAGAATATGTTGACCTTGGTTCTTTTCAAGGTTACTACATTATAAGGTTTGGCTCTGTGTCCCCACCCAAATCTCATTTTGAATTGTAATCCCCGTAATCCCCACGTGTCAAGGGTGGGACCAGGTGGAGGTAATTGATTCCTGGGGGTGGTTTCCTACATGCTATTCTCCTGATAATGAGGGAGTGTCACAAGATCTGATGGTTTTATAAGCATCTGACATTTCCCCTGCTGGCACTCATTCTGTCCTGCCATGCTATGAAGAAGGTGCGTGCTTCTCCTTTGCCTTCTGCCATGATTGTAAGATTTCTGAGGTCTTCTCAGCCATACGGAACGGTGAGTCAATTAAATCTCTTTGCTTTATAAATTACCCACTCTCAGGTATGCCTTTATAGAAGCATGAGAACAGAATAATACAGTAAATTAGTATCACATAGAGTGGGGTGCTGCTGTAAAGATAGCTGAAAATGTGAAAGCGACTTTGGACCTGGGTAACAGGCAGAGATAGGAACAGGTTAGAGGGCTCAGAAGAAGACAGGAAAATGTGGGAAAGTTTGGAACTTCCTGGAGACTTGGAGGGCTCAGAAGACAGGAAGATATAGGAAAGTTTGGAACTTCCTAGAAATTTGTCGAATGACTTTGACCAAGATGCTGATAGTGATATGGACAATGAAGTCCAGGCTGAGGTGGTCACAGATGGAGATGAGTGAAGGTCATTCTTCTTATGCTTTAGCAAACAGACTAGTGGCATTTTGTCCCTGCCCTAGAGATCTGTGGAACTTTGAACTTGAGATAGATGATTTAGTGTATCTGGCGGAAGAAATCTCTAAGTGGCAAAGCATTCAAGAGGAAGCAGAGCATAAAAGTTCAGAACATTTGCAACCTGATGGTAAGATAGAAAGAAAAACCCATTTTCTGAAGAGAAATTCAAGCCAGCTGTATAAATTTGCATAAGTAAGGTACTGCTGAATGTTAATCACCAAAACAATGGAGAAAATTTCTCCAGGGCATGTCAGAGACCTTCACAGGAGTCCCTCCCATCACCTGCCCAGGGGTCTAGTAGCCAAAAATGGTTTTATGGGCCTGGACCCAAGGCACCAAGTCCCTAGTGTGCACACAGCAGGGGGCCCCTGAGCCTGGCCCACAAACCCATTTTTTGTTCCTAGGCCCCAACGGTAAATGGAACCTCAGGGCATGGTGTCCTGTTTCCCAGCTACTTAACTCCAGCCATGGCCAAAAGGGGTCTACGTATAGTTTGGGCCATTGCTTCAGCGGGTGCAAGCCCCAAGCCTTGGTGGCTTACACATGGTGTTGGGCATGTGGGTACATAGAAGTTGAGAATTGAGGTTGGGGAACGTCTGCTTAGATTTCAGAGGATGTAAGGAAACACCTGCATGTCCAGGCAGCAGTTTGCTGCAGAGGTGGAGCCCTCATGGAGAACCTCTTCTAGGGCAGTGCAGAAGAAAAATATGCAGTCAGAGCCCCCACACAGAGTCCACACTGGGGCACTGCCTAGTGGAGCTGTGAGTAGAGGTCCACCATCCTCCAGACTTCAAAATGGCAGATCCACTGACAGCTTGCACTGTGCTCCTGAAAAAGCCGCAGACACTCAATGCCAACCACTGAAAGCAGCCAGGAGGGAGGCTGTACCCTGCAAAGCCACAGGGGTAGAGCTGCCCAAGACTGTAGAAACCCATGTCTTGCATCAGTGTGATCTGGATGTGAGACATAGAGTCAAAGGAGATCATTTTGGAGCTTTAAGATTTGACTGCCCTGCTAGATTTTGGACTTGCATGGGGATTGTAGCCCCTTTGATTTGGCCAATTTTTCCCATTTGGAATAGCTGTATTTACCCACAGCCTGTGCCCCTATTGTATCTAGGAAGTAATTAACTTGCTTTTAATCTTACAGGCTCATAGGTGGAAGGGACTTGCCTTGTCTCAGATGAGGGATTGGACTGTTGTCTTTTGAGTTAATGCTGAAATGAATTAAGACTTTGGGGGACTGTTGCAAAGGCATGATTGCTTTTAAAATGTGAGGACATGAGATTTGGGAGGGGCCAGGGGTGGAATAATATGGTTTGGCTGTGTCCCCATCCAAATCTCATCTTGAATTCCCAGGTGTTGTGGGAGGGATCAGGTGGGAGGTAATTTAATCGTGGGGGCAGGTCTTTCTTGTGCTGTTTTGGTGATAGTGAATAAGTCTCATGAGATCTGAAGGTTTTATAAAGAGGAGTTCCCCTGAACAAGCTCTCTTTTGGCATGCTGCCATCCATGTAAGACCTGACTTGCTGCTTCTTGCCTTCCTCCATGATTGTAAGGCCTCCATAGCCATGTGGAACTATAAGTCCATTAAACCTCTTTCTTTTGTAAATTGCCCAGTCTTGGGTATGTCTTTATCAGCAGCATGAAAATGGGCTAATACAACACCACATGTATGTATTCAAGACAAAATTATAAGGATAGATATTAAAGACCCAGTGCTAACAAAATAATACAAACTGACTAGGATTCATTTGAAAATAACCCATCATACTAACATTTAAGAATTCATAAGTTTATTGAAAAAATATGATCAACTAAGCCTATCACTGAAATGAATCAGATATCAGAATTATCTTAAATGATGTTAATGTAGCTATCTAAAAATCATTTCAATTATCAATTACAGATTATCTTGAAAGAAATTTTAAAATGGGAAATTCCAACAAAAATAAACGTTATAAAAGTATACAAATGAAAGTTTTAAAATTAAAACGTAAAATAGAATAAAAATATACCAGATGGAACCAGCAGTACAATGGATATGATAGCAAATAGAATCAATAGTGACCAAGCTGAGAATCAAATCAATAGGTTAACCCCTTTTACAATAGCAGCAAAAAAATAAATTTATTGGTTTATTTTTCTTCTTTCATCTTTCTTTTCTTCATTTATTCTTAATAAAGTGACAAACATTATTTATTTCATTTTTATCCATATTGTGTTTCAAACTTCTCACAACCATTACTTTTACATATAATTTTAAGGTACCACTTGTCTATTTCTTTTTATTTATTTATTTATTTATTTATTTATTTATTTATTTTTGAGATGGAGTCTCACTCTGTCACGCAGGCTCTAGTGCAGTGGTGTGATCTCAGCTCACTGCAACCTCTGCCTCTGTATTCAAGTAATTCTCCTGCCTCAGCCTCCCGAGTAGCTGGTATTACAGGCATGTGTCACCACCCTTGGCTAATATTTGTATATTTAGTAGAGATGGGTTTTCACCATGTTGGCCAGGCTGGTCTCAAACTCCTGACCTCAGGTGATCTGCCCTCCTTGGCCTCCTGAAGTGCTGAGATTTCAGACATGAGCCACTGTGCCCAGCTCACTTATTTTAATTAAAATTTATTTTTCTAGCAAAGCTACATTAAGATTTATCCAAAATGCAAAATAAATATTCCACTTCATTTTGAAAAACTTCAAGTTTTTCCACTTTAATTATCTCAGTTTATGGCAAGGTAGTTGTAATAATGATGGTTTGATTTCTCTGTAACTGTTTTCTGGCCTATGTTAAGATAAATTCCTTTGGCTGTGTAGAAATTCATGATTTATTTTATATTTTAAAAAATTAACCCAGTTTTGCTTGGATGTCCTAATAATTTTTGTGTCATCTGAATTTCTACTTGTCATTTTCACTGTATTTTATTAATACTTTTGAAAAGTCAGGTTTGTACAATCAATTTTGAATAGTGTTCCATGAAAGGCCAAAGGAGTCTAGAAACAAAAGAACAAGACAGACATATTTAGTTTGTCTCTAAAGGATAGTTCATCTGGGAACTTACAGACAGCGAAACATGGTCTTGGGTGGTAGCAAGACAGGTATAACTCCACACTGATACTCGCCAGTACCAAGGGCTATATACCATAGAGGAAAGATATAAGTGGTCTGAGCAACACAATTAAAGACAACCCTCCAGACTAGGTAACAATGCTACATGCCTCTACCCTACATTTATGTGATAACATCAAGTTTGCCTTATTCTTACACTAAGGACAGTGAAAAAATAAAATAGAAATCAGGAAGTATTCACAGGAGTAGGGCTAATCAGAAGTCAACATGGCAGATTAGCATCCAAGTTGGAGTCACTTTTATTTCTATAACTAGTTTCAAAATTTGTATTTTCACTGCTTGTAGGTCACAAAATTTACCTAAATAATATAAATGAAATAATTTAACTGTTCATCTGGAAGAGTATTTTCATTAAAATTGTCTTTAGTAGATAAGATGTCAAAGTGGAATAACAGTGAATGGCCTGGCTGGGTGTGGTGGCTCATGATTGTAATCCCAGCACTTTTGGAAGCCGAAACAGGTGGATCACTTGAGGTCAGGAGTTTGAGATCAGCTTGTCCAACATGAGGAAACTCCATCTCTACTAAAAATTAAAAAATTAGCTGGTGTTGTGGCATGCACCTATAATCACTACTCAGGAGGCTGAGTCAGGAGAATCACTTGAACTCAGGAGACAGAGGTTGCAGTGAACCAAGATCGTGCCACTGAACTCCAGATTGGGTGACAGAGTGAGACTCCATTCAAAAAAACAAAACAAAAGAACAACAACAAAAACTAATAGATTTAGCCAGAGAGAGCTTCTCCCACTGAGATAGAGGATACCATCATGCAGAGCAACACACTCTAATCTGTTCTTTGGAAAGAAGGTATTGAAAGTGGAGACAGGAAGAATGAAGACCCCCAGCTGGTGTGGAATCTGGGGACCCTGCATGGGATTGCTGAGCACTATGACCCGTTCCTGACCCTAAGCAGCTCATAGGTATTAGGTGAGTAACATAGGCATGGAGAGGCCAAAAAATGAACTTTTTAGATCCTAGATGTGGGAGACCCCACAACCCCCACTAGCTTATAGAAAGAAGTTCCCAGAGAGTTGGAAGAGACTGAATTTCAGCCTATGTGGAGCCCAGGTTTGGCATGGGAACAGCTATAGTGGAGAATATCCATGAGTATACATCTCTGAATGCTTGCTATGTTGCTTTAGGTGCCTTTAGCCTTTGTTAGATGCTAGACCTGGACAAAGCAGGGGTGTTGTGCTGGTAGGATGGGGTAGTCTAATCTTAGTGTCCCCCCTCCCTGCTGACCTCTCTAAGGGCTCCTGCCTGGCTGCATATGCTTGCAACACAGCCATAGTCTGCCAGTGGCCACTGCCATAGCTTTTTCACTGGCATACTCCTACTCATCAAAGTGCTTTTCCAGATGGAATCCCACAGGCATGCACCAGCTGCAGCCTTCTGGAGCCTGTGAGCACTCACCATTGACCTCCCCCAGCTGCCTTGCTGGTGTACACATGCATGTGAACCCACCACTGACCCACTGAAGTGCTTTAGTCAGCAGCCCCCATTGGAGTTTTGATGCCAGTAGAATGAAAAAACCTCTGCCCTTTCAGTGGAGTAGGTGTTTAACGTCGAGGGGCCAAACAACAAAGCTGTGGGCATGGTCCAAGCCCTGAAGTTTAGAGCATGCAGCCCAGGAGTGCTGAGCCTCCAGAAATGTAGCTGTATTAGTCCATCTTATGCTGCTAATAAAGACATTATTAATGTTTTTATTGATTATTAATAATTGTTAATATTTTAATCATTAATTTTAATTAAAATTAATTATTAATAATTATTAATTATTAATTTTAATTAAAATTAATTATTAATAATTATTAATTATTACCAAGATTGGGTAATTTGTAAAGGAAAGGAGGTTTAATGGACTCACAGTTCCACATGGCTGGGGAGGCCTCACAATCATGGAGGAACATAAGGGAAGAAGAAAGTCATGTCTTACATGGTGGCAGACGAGAGAGTGTGTGCAGGGAAACCACCCTTCATATAACCACCAGATCTCGTGAGACTCACTCACTATGATGAGAACAGCATCATGGCAGTAACCACTCCATGATTCAATTACTTCCCACCCAGTCCCTCCCACAACATGTGGGAATTATAAGTACTACAAATCAAGATGAGATTTGGGTGGGGACCCAGCCAAACTACATCAGAAGCCAATCAATTAAACCTAACTTATACTACAGTCAAACCTTCAAGGGCACCAAACAATATAAAAGCAAAAGCCCCACCCAAATGACAGCAATTTCAAAGATCAAAGGAACATCCAGAGACATAGTCAAGAAAGAATCAGCACAAGAACTCTGGCAACTACAAATATCAATGTCTTTTTGCCTCCAAATGGCTGTAATAGTTCTCCAGGAATGATTCTCAGCCAGTCTGATATGGCTGAAATGGCAGACATAGAATTCAGAATGTGGATAGCAAGGAAGCACATGGCGATATGGGAGAAGCTTCAAATCCAATCTGAGTAACGCTGCAAAAGGATTCAATAATTGAAAGGCAACATGACCATTTTAAGATAGAAACCAAATTGAACTTCTGCAAATGAAAAACTCACTACAGAAATTTCAGAATGCTACTGGAAGCATTAATAACAGAACAGACCAAGCTTAAGAAAGAATCTCAGAGCACAAAGACTGCTCCTCCAGTTCAAAGAAAGCAGAAAAAATAAAAAAGAAAGATTTTGAAAATTGAACAAACTTCTAAGAAATATGAGACTGTATAAAGAGGCCAAACCTATGACTCATTAGCATTCCTGAAAGAGAAAGAGAGAGGTGAAACAACTTAAAAAAAGTATGTGACGATATTGTCTATGAAAATTTCCAAAATACTGCTATAGAAGTTGACATGCAAATTCAGGAAATTCAGAGAAACACTGCAAGATACTATACAAGACAACAATCCACAAGATACATAATTATTAAATTCTCCAAAGTCAACATAAAAGAAAAGGCAGCTAAAGAGAAAGGCAAGTCATGTATAAAGGGAATCCCATCAGGCTAACAGCACATCTTTTGGAAGAAGCCTTACAAGCCAGAAGAGATTATGGGCTTGTTTCCAGCATCCTAAAAGAAAATAAATTCCTGCCTAGAATTTCATATCCAGACGAATGAAGCTTCATAAGGTAAGGAGAAATGAAATCATTTTCAGAAAAGGAAATACTAAGGAAATCCATTACCACCAGAACTGCCTTACAAGAGGTCCTTCAGGTAGCCATAAACATGTAAACAAAAGACCATTAATTGACACCTCAAAAACATACTTAAGTACATAGCCCACTGACACTATAAAGCTACTATACAACCTAGTGTACATAATAACAAGCTAAGAACACAATGGCAGAGTCAAATCCTCACATATCAGTGTTAACCTTGAATGTGAATAGGAAAAATGTCCCACCTAAAAGGCACACAGTGCCAAGTTGAATAAAGAAGCAAGACCCAACTTTCTGCTGTCTTCAAGAGATCCACCTCCCATGAAATGACATGCATAGGATCAAAGTAAAGGGACAAAGAAAGATCTAACAAGCAAATGGAACACCAAAAAGAGCAAGCATTGCTATTCTATTTAAGACAAGATAGACTTTAAACCAACAATTATCAAATAGGACAAAGAAGGGCATTACATAATGATAAAAGATTCAACATAAGAAGACCCAACTATCCTACATATATATACACCCACCACTGTGGCACCCAGATTCATAACGCAAGTTCTTCGAGACCTATGAAGAGACTTAGATAACCACACAATAATAGTGGGAGACTTCAACACACCATTAATAGTGTTAGACAGATCATCAAGGCAGAAAACTAACAAAGATACTTGGGATCTAAAATTAACACTTGACCAAACTGACCTGATAGGCTTTGACAAAATACTCCATGCACCCTCAACAAAACATACTTTCTTCCTATCTGCACACAGCAAACACTCTAAGATCTACCATACACTGGTGATAAAACAATTCTCAACAAATCCAAAAAAAACTGAAATCATATCAACCACACTCTCAGACCACAGCAATAAAAATAGACACCAAGGCTGGGTGCAATGGCTCAAGCCTGTAATCACAGCACTTTGGGAGGCTGAGGCAGATAGATCATGAGGTCAGGAGTTCAAGACCAGCCTAGCCAAGATGGTGAAACCCCATCTCTATTAAGATACAAAAAAATTAGCTGGGTGTGGTAGCAGGTGCCTGTAATCCCAGCTACTTGGGAGGCTGAAGCAGAGACTTGCTTAAACCTGGGAGGCGGAGGTTGCAGTGAGCTGAGATTGTGCCACTGCACTCCAACCTCAGCAACAGAGAGAGATTCTGTCTCAAGAAAAAAAAAGAAAGAAACCAATACCAAGATCTCTCAAAATCATACAATGACATGGACATTTAATAACTGTATCCTGAATGATTTTTGGATAAAAAATGACATTAAGGCAAAAAAAGATTGTAACTAATAAAAATACACAATGTAAGTACATCTCTGGGACACAGCTCAAGTACTGTTAAAAGGAAAGTTTATATACTAAATGCCTACATCAAGAAATTAGAAAGACTGCAAATTAACAACCTAACATCATACTTAGAGGTGCTAGAAAAACAAGACCAAACAAATCCCAAAGCTAGAAGGAGAAGATAACAAAAATTTGAGCTAAATTAAAACTGAAAAGCAAAAATCCATTCAAAAGATTAATGAAACCAAAAGTTTGGTTTTTTGCAAGAATGAACAAGATTGACAAACCACCAGCTAGATAAATAAAACCAAAAAGGGGGAAGATCCAAACAAACACAATCAGCAGTGACAAAGGGGGCATTCCTACTGACCACACAGAAATCCAAAAAAAAAAAGAAAAAAAAAAAACCTCAGAGACTATTATAAACAGACACAAGAAAATAGATAAATTCCTGGAAACATACAACCTCCCATGACTGAACCAGTAAGAAGTTAAAATCCTGAACACACCAATAATGAATTCCAAAATTGAATCAGTTAAAAAAAACCCTACCAACTAGAATAAGCCACGGACTAGACAGATTCACAGCCAAATTCTACCACATGTATTCAGAAAACCTGGTTCCAATCCTACTGAAATTATTCCAAGAAATCAGGGAGGAGAGACTCCTCCCTAACTTATTCTATGTGACCAGCATTATTCTGACACCAACATCTGGCAGAGACCTAACAAAAAAAGAAAACTGCAGATCAGTATTCATGATGAACAAAGACACAATAATTCTGAAGAAAATACCAGGAAATCGAATCCAGCAGCACATCAAAATGCTAGTCCACCACTATCAAGTAGGCTTTATTCCTGGAATGCAAGGTTGGTTGAATATATGCAAATCAATAAATGTGATTCATCACATAAACAGAACTAAAAGCAAAAACTACATAATCATCTCAATAGATGCAGAAAAGCCTTTCAATAAAATTCAACATCACTTTATGTTGAAAATCTACAATAAATTAGTCTCTGAAAGAACATACATCAAAATAATAACAGATATCTATGACAAACCCACAGCCAACATCTTACTGAATGAGCAAAAACCAAAAGAATTCTCCTTAAAAATTGGAAAAAAAGACAAATGCTCACTGTCAACACTTCTAATCAATAAGTATTAAATTCCTAGCCAGAGTAATTAGTCAAGGTAAATAAATAAAAGGCATCCAAATAGGAAAAGAGAAAGTTGAACTTCCTGCTTACTAATGATAATTTTATACCTGGAAAACCCCATAGTCTGCCCAAAGAATCCTAGAACTAATAAACAACTTCAGTAAATTTCCAGGATATAAAATCAATATGCAAAAATTATTACCATTTCTATACACCAGTAATATCCAAGCTGAAAGTCAAATCAAGAATGCAAACCCATTCACTATAGTAACAGAAATAATAAAATACTGAGGAATACATCTAAGCAAGTAGGTGAAAGATCTCTACAATGAAAATTATGGTGCACTGCTGCAAGAAATCAGATATGACACACAAAAAAGGAAAAACATTTTATGCTCATGAATAGGAAGAAATAATATTGTTAATATGACCATTGAGTCCAAAGCAATTTACACATTCAAAGTTATTCCTATCAAACTCCCAATTACATTATTTACAGTACTGGAAAAAAAACTATTTTCAAATTCATATAAAACCAAAAAGGAGCCCAAATAGCTAAAGGAATCCTAAGCAAAAAGAACAAAGCCAAAGACATGACACTACCTTACCTCAAACTATATCACAAGGCTACAGAAACCAAAACAGCATGGTACTAGTACAAAAACAGAGACATAGACCAATGGACAAGTCAGGGGACCCAGAAATAAAGCCCCACGTCTACAACCATCTGACTTTTGACAAAATAAACAAGTATTGAGAAAAGGACTTCTTAATAAATGGTACTAGGATGACTGGCTAGCCATATGCAGAAGATTGAAATTGAGCCATACACAAAATATGTACCATACACAGAACATAAACCATACACAAAATCAACTCTACTCACTGGCTTGAGGTGTCCTAAAAACATAGGGAAAGAAAAAAAATCAGTTTGAGATGGAATAAAACTTATATGTGAGACTCAAAGCTACAAAAACCCTAAAAGAAAACCTAAGAAATATAATTCTGGATATTGGCCTTGGAAAAGATTAATGATGAAGTCCCCAAAAGCAATTGCAACAAAAGCAAAAATAGAAAAGTGGGGCTTAATTAAAGTAAAGAGTTTCTGCATAGCAAAAGAAACTATCAGCAGAGTTAATCGACAACCTACAGGACAGGAGAAAATATTTGCAAAGTATGCATTTGACAAAGGTCTAATACTGAGACTCAGTTAGGAACAGAAGCAAATCAATAAGCAAAAAACAAACAACCCCATGTATGAATGGGCAAAGGACTTGAGCAGACACTTCTTAAAAGAAGACATTCATGCGTCCAACAAGCGTGTGAAAAGATCCTCAACATCACTAATCATTAGACACATGCAAATCAAAACCACCATTAAATATCATCTAACACCAGTCAGAATGCCTATTATTAAAATGTCAGAAAATTACAAATGTTGATGTTGTTGTGGAGAAAAGCAATGCTTATACACTGACAGTGGTAATGTAAATTAGTTCAGTCACTGTGGAAAGCAGTTTGGAGATTTCTCAAATCAATTAGAACAGAACTACAATTCAATCCAGTAATCCTATTATCAAGTACACACCCAGACAAATATAAATTGTTGTTTTAGGGCATTCTTGTGATGGTATAAATACCTGAGACTGGGTAATTTATATAGAAAATAGGTTTTATTTTATAAAGAATTTAGAAAGAAATTCTAGGTAATTTATAAAGAAAATAGGCGTATTGGTTCATGCTTTTGCAGGCTGTACAAGCATGGTACCAGCATCTTCTTGGCTTCTAGGGAGACCTCAGTGAGATTTTACTCATGGCAGAAGGCAAAGTGAGAACAGACTCATAACATGGCAAAAGTAGGAACAAAAGAGAGAGAATGGGAGGCACCTAACACTGTTAAACAACCTGATCTTGTGTGAACGCACTCATCACTAAGGAGATTCCATTAAGACATTCTTGCGGGATCTACCTCATCAATGATCCCAACACCTTCCACTACACCCTACCTCTAACACTGGATATTACATTTTAACATGGTATTTGGTGGGGATAAAGATACAAACCATATCAGTTGTTCCACCAAAAAGACACATGCACTCATATTGCAGTGAACTGGGGTATACTGCAATGAACTCAGTCTCATTGCAGTTCTATTCACAATACTAAAGACATGAATTCGACCTAGATGCTCATTGACAGCGGACTGTGTAAATAAAATGTGGTACATACACATCATAAAATACTACAGAGCCGTAATAAGAATGAAATCATGCCCTTTGCAGAAACATGGATGTAGCTGGAGGCTTTATGCTAAATTAAATTAAAGCAGGAACAGAATACCAAGTACTGTATTTTTTCACTTATATGTGGGAGGTAAAGGTGGAGTACTCATAGACACCAAAAGAGGAATAGTAGACACCGAGGAGAGTGTAAAAACTATCTATCCGGTACTGTGTTACTAACTCGGTGATGAAATCACTTATACACCAAACCCCAGCAACATGCACTTTACCCATGTAACAAGCCTGCACATGTACCCCCAAATCTAAAATAAAAGTAGAAAAAGAAATACAAAAGAAACGAAATGATACCTTATCCCCCATACTTCATTCCTAATGAAGACAACACGAATGAATGAGGTGGATGCAGACCTTATCCTCCATACTTCATTCATAATGAAGACAATATGAATGAATAAGGCGGATGCAGATTCAGCAAAACTGAGTTCTGGTCCTGGGTCATTCACTAGGTGAGTGTATTAGTTCGTTTTCACATTGCTATAAAAAATTACCCAAGAGTGGGTAATTTATAAAGAAAAGAGGTTTAATTGACTGGCAGTTCTGCAGGCTATACAGGAAGCACGACTCGGGAGACCTCGGGAGACTTATAACCATGGCAGAAGGTGAAGGGGAAGCAGGCATGTCTTACTTGGCTGGAGAAGGAGGAAGAGAGTGGAGGGGGAGATGCTACATACTTTGTAACAGTTAGATATAGAGAGACCTCACTATCACAATAACAGCAAAGGGGAAATCCGCCACCATGATCCAATCACCTCCTACCCAGCCCTTCCTCCAATACTGGGGATGAAAATTCCACATGAGATTTGGATGGGGACACAAACCCAAACCATATCAGTGAGAAAACCTGAAAAAGCAATGCTAGTAATCTTTCAAAGTAGGCCTTTTACAGAATGCCCTTTAAAAATATATACATAGTGCACACAAGGTCTAGGCTCAGTATCAATTAGTACAGAATTATTAACAAGACTCAATAAACCTTATCTTCTTCATATGTAAAACCAAAGCCCTTTTGAGCTCTAACCTTTCACTACTCTGTGTAATAAAACAGCATCTACATACAGGCATCTACATTTCCCCATGGAAAAATACAAATATATATTCATTTTAGTGTGCCTTTGGGAAAATAAAGATATCAAAGTGGGATAACTTAAACAACAGATTATGTAAATATTTTGAAGTATATTTCATCAGTTACTCTTAATTGTTTGGATTTTTATATATAAAAATTGAAATGCACTACATGAATAATTTTATGTCTTCAGAGTAAAATGCATATTTTTTTTCAGAGAAATTACTATTTGACCTTATCAATTGTTCACAGAACAAATGTTGTTATACTTTACTAATGCAATAAGACTGTGAGTTGCATTTACACTGGTTTACTGAGGCACATTTGATAAACAATAAACTGCACAAGTTTATGTACACAATATGATCAGTTTTACCAGATGTACACACCTGTGAAAGTAACAAAACAATCAAGATAATGAGCATATCTATTATCCCCAAGTTGTTTTGTAGCACTTTCAAATCTCTCTCTCCTACCACATCCCATTTTCCCCATGGCCAGAAAAATACTGATCATCTTTATTTTATTTTCTGTTAGTTTGACTTTTCTAGATTGTGTGTGTGTGTGTGTGTGTGTGTGTGTGTGGTGTGGGTGTGTATGTTTAACAAATGGGATCATAAAACACATGGTCTTTTGTTTCTGGCTTTTTTCTTATGGACAAATAATTCTGAGAATCATTTATATTGTTCATAGCAATAGTTCATTTCTTTTGTTGGTAGCTGTTATAGTGGCTATTGTAATATCACACAAAAAGTAAATTTTAGCGAAGAGCATTTTACCTAAAATAATAGGATCTTTTTATAGTAATAAAGGAGCTGATTCATCAAGAGGCCATAACAATCTGAAACATTTCTATATCTGATAATGAACTTCAAGTAAAATAAGGAAAAAGCAATAGAATTGCAAGGAGAACTAGAAAAGTTCTTTATTATAGTTGCAGATATTGACACCACTCTGAATAGTAGATAGAACCATGAGACAGGAAATTAGTAAGGATATTGAACACATAAATAGCATTATTAACCACAGTGACATAATTAACATTCATAGAACACTCAATCTAACGGCACCAAAAAACACATTCTTTGCTAGTTTCTATGGAACATTTGCCAAGATAGATTGTATTCTGACTATTGAAATGTATTCAAGTCCTACAATGTATGCTCTTTGAACATAATTTGTTTATTCACTCACCTATTAATGTGCAATTGAAAATAATAAATGTTTCTCAATTTATAAGAGATAGAATATTTTAGGATCTGAATATTGTTAAATAATTTGAAATCCTCAAGAAACATGGATTATTATAAACGTGTATGTTTCAATCAGTGAAACATGTATATTTCAAACACATAAATGCATATATTTCAATCAGTATGCATGTTTCAAACACACATTCAATAATATGTGTATTCCAACACACAAATTATAAATACACGTATTTAAAATACACATTGAAATATGTGTGTTTCAATCAGAAATTATATATATGCTTATATATATTTCACTTAACAAAAAATAGCTTTTTGTTAATTGTAGGAGACATAACAGAAACTGTAAACAAGGTAGCCATTTCTCTTAAGCACGATTGTCTTTTATTTAAAATTAATTTATTTTCTACCTTTTTGGCTGAAGAATTAAGTTTTGAAAGTTTCTGATCATTTTGGTGTGAAAACAAGGTAGGTGATTATCTAAGTCAATTTTATTTGAGGTTAAGGAATTCTCTCTAAATCACAATGCCCAAAATTATATTCTATAAAATTTTTTCTTATATTTTTAGACTGTACGTATTTTATTTTTTATACTTAAATATACAGTAATTAGGCATCCGTTTACAATGGTATAGCTGATTGTTGTAATGTTTCTTCATTGCAAAGTCTGAAACGTGTAACTCAAGGTTTAGTTTATCTGGGAACCCAGACTAACATAAATTTCAGTACCAAGAAAGGTTCTAGAGGAAAATAATTTTGAGAATGAGTTTTAAAATTTATACTGGGGTTTCCAGAATAGGCTTTCTAATCCAATTAGATTTAAAGATACAAATGTCTTTATTTCCAGTAATGTAAAGAGCACTGATAGTCCACGTCGTGAACTCTTTATAGAGGTATGAAAACTGTCTGTAATATATACTACTAATCAACCAAATACAAAAAGTAAGGAGATGGATGACTGTATATGACACCTTCAAACATTTTTGGAAAACTAACAAATATAATAACATGGGTTAGTTCTTTCTAATGTCACTGGACAAAGTAGGGGAATAAAAGATGAGCTCAGACATTTGAGTTCTCAGCTCAAGCATCAAGTAAACAACTTAAGACATTCAATGTATACCCAGAAGGAGAATCTTATTTCCTGTAGTCACAGGGCTGAAATTGCTGAATATCAAACTCAAAACCTCATCCTGTGACTGGCTGAAGTACAATGCAAATCAAAGGCCCAGTCTTGCATTTTGCCTCTTCTTAAAGTTAGGACTATTATGGTGGGAAAGACCAAGTGAAAGCCATTATCACTACCTTTACCTGGGAAAATAGTAAGTAACAAGCAATATCATATTCCTGGAAGAACTGCGGAGTTTTGTGCCACCATCAAGGTTTTAAAGTTTGCAGGGGCGGTAATTCCAACATTATTTTTCAACTCACCTATTTGACTTTTGCAGAAGACCTGTGAATCTTGAAGAATGACAGCAGATTATCATAAGCTTAATCAGGTGGTAACTCAAATTGCAGATGCCATTGTAGTTTTTATTTCATTGCTTGGGCAAATTAACACATCCCTTGATATGTGATATGCAGTTACTGATACAGCAAATGCCCTTTTCTCCAACACTGTCTATCCACCAGACGTGATTCGTTTTCAGCTAGCAAAACCAGAACTTTACCTTCACTGTCTTGCCTCAGGGTATATAAACTCTCCAGCCTTATATCATAATTTGGCTTGCAGGGATCTTCATCCTCTTTTCCTTCTGCAAGATATCACACAGACCCATTACATTGATGACATTTTACTAATTGGATCTAGTGAGAAAGAAGTAGCCGCTATTCAGACTCATTGATAAGAATTTT
Organism: Homo sapiens; assembly: GCF_000001405.40. NCBI lineage: Eukaryota > Metazoa > Chordata > Mammalia > Primates > Hominidae > Homo > Homo sapiens. The sequence goes on along the minus strand of NC_000021.9, from coordinate 21,549,178 downwards.
ACATGTTAAAAGATGAGAAATAAATGTTACTAAAATCCAGAATTCTGTATCTAACAAATTTGTGGACGTCCACTGGGAGGAATAATGTTAAAGGTATATCTTAAAGTGATGAATGAGTTGTTGCACCTGGTGTCTCCCACAATAAATAAAGAGGCACAATGCCTAGTGGGCTTCCTTAGATTGTGAATGCAACACAATCCACAGTTTAGTATGCTACTTCAGCCCATTTAAATAGGACCCCAAAAAGCTGCTAGTTTTTTGTAGGGCTTAGAACAAAAGAAAGACAGGTCCAGGCTCTGGGCAAGCTGTTCGGCCACATGGGCCATATGATCCAGCAGATTCAACGGTACTTGAAATGTCAGTGGCAGATAGGGATATTTTTTGGAGACTTTGGCAGGACTCTATAAGAGAGTCACAGCATGAGCTTTTAGGATTTTAGAGCACGACCCTGGCATTATCTGAAGATAGCTATTCTTCTATCGAGAAACAGCTTTTGGCCCAAAACTGGGTCTTAGTAGAGGCTTAATACTCACCCACGGGCAAACAATGGGTGAGTATCAGTAGGGGTTTCCTCTAGAGAACCCCAACTAATACAGTGACTGACTTCAACACACCAGGAAGGTAGGGAAAAAAATATATAAAATCAACCCAACTCAATTCAAAGAATTACCAGATAAAATAAAGTGGGATTCTCTTAGTCATTATATTTTGCAGTGGTTTGTTATGTAGACAGTGGAGGGCAAGATAATGGTACCCCAAAGGATGTCTTATTTACTGAAAGCTGCAAATATATCATCTTACATGGAATGAAATGACTTTTTAGGCCAGGGGAGGTGGCTCATGCCTGTGGTCCCAGCACTTTGGGAGGCTGAGGCGGGTGGGTTATCTGAGGTCAGGAGTTTGAGACCAGCCTGGCCAACATGCTGAAACCCTATCTCTAGTAGAGATACAAAAATTAGCTGGGCATGATGGTGCACACCCATAGTACCAGCTACTTGGGAGGCTGAGGCAGGAGAATCATTTGAGCCTGGGAGGCAGAGGCTGCAGTGGGCCGAGATTGCGTCACTGCAATCCAGTCTGGGCTATGGAACAAGACTCCATGTTAACAAACAAACAAACAAAAAAACCACCACCACCACCACCACCAAAAAAAAAACCACTTTGTAGATGTAACTAAGGACAAGAGAGGGGAAGATTATGAGATTATGCTGGACTATCAAGGTAGACCCAATGTGATCGCAAAGCTCCTGAAAAGAAAATAAGGAATCAGGGAGTCTGAGTCAGAGAAGGAGGTGTGTCGATGAAAGCAAGGCTCAGAGTAAGGCAATTGCTGGCCTGGAAGATGGAAGAGGATCATAAGTCAAAGAATGCAGGCAGACTCTAGCAGCCTTTAAAGTAATGTAATACTGCTGACATTATGATTTTAGCCCAGTGAAGTCCATAACAGAGTTTGACCTCTAGAACTGTAAAATAATACATTTGTGGTCTTTTTAAAGCCACTAACTTCATTGTAATTTCTTACAGTAGCAAGAGGAAACTAACACACAGGCATAGATAAGTGGAACCGAAACTGGAAACTGCAAGTGGGCTCTTATTATAACAAAACGATATCCCTTCTGTCATCAGCTTTGTGATTATATGGGAGATAAAGGCCTAAATGGAGGAAAGAAGACTGTTAGTGAAGTCTCTTAGAGCAGTGAGAAAATTGCTGTTAGGGACTGGAGACAAAGAAAACCGTGTTTGCAGATATTTAGGAAAATTGTTGCCTATGATAAATTGGAAAACAGAAAATGTACCTAATGTGTTTGTGAATGTGACTAAGGAGATTTCAAGGCAGCATATTGAAAGTGCTAATTGTCTTTTTTTTTCTTCTCAAGTATGATAGGGTGTTGCAGGAGACATACGTGCTAGAGAGATATATGCTCAATTTTCAAGCAGCATTCAGAAGATTATTTCTTACAAAAGACTTGTTCTCTCTTTCCCACACTTTCTAGCTGTCAAAAGTTTCTCAAAAGTAATAAATGTCATAGAGTCAAAGATCAAAGTCTGGGTATTGTCAGTAAAACATAGTTTGGGGATAAAAAAAAAATCAAGGGTGTCCTTTGTTAGATCACATGGGAATGTAAGGCCGTGCCTTATAGGCTTTTATAACTGGATAAATGGGCTTTTAAAATTGTTAAGGGAATCATATAATAAGATCCCCCTTTGCAGCCCCACAGAGAAGTAACTATCTTGAAAACATTCCTAAGTGTGGTTCTTGTCTAATGTAGTAGACTATAATTTGATACATTTACACATACGTATATATATGTATATATATAAACATGTATGTATATACATATATATACATACATGTTTTTATATACATATATATACATACATGTTTATATGTGTGTGTCTATCTATCTATCTAGAACTCCCACTGTTTTAAAAAAGTTGTATCAGCTTGAATTTAGTGGGACTTAAGAAGTTTAAATGAAAATAGTTTTCTAGGCAGTAAATACATCTGGCCAAGAAACAAGCCAAGAAATTTACCCAGCTATAATCACGTACTCTTTCCTATAGAAAAGTAGGAATATCTCAAAGAGTGACCCTAACAATACGAAGAACAATATAGATAGTTATCTTACCCTTGGAATGGAATCAAACCCTAATTAAGGAAAATTCCCTGTGCTGTTGGTGGGGGGCAGTGGGTGATGGAATTGGTCATTTTTTTCTGACTGGATCTCAAAATTTCTACAGACACATAACTGTCAAAAGTCTCCAATTCCTTCCCTATTATTTGAATTGCCGTGTCTATTGTTATATCCTGCTCCTGCCTTATAATTATCTGTAGAGTTTTCCAGAAGGAGTTACATTATCTTTTTAGTGGACAGAACTCTGCACTGAAGAATTGAACCCAGGTGTAATCCCTGAGATGCTATGATCACCTGGGATTAACTTAGTTGAATAAATTCTAAAATTCAAATCTTATCATGGTAACACAATAATATACATTGAAAGTTTCAGGAAGGGTTTGAGTGAGTTTAGCATGTGGAAAAGATGTGAAACATTAGGAGACATAAGGAATATTGAGCTACATTGTGACATTAATTGTGCTCAGTGCATTATGCCCTTGTTTACACCCTCTATGCAAACACATTGACTATGTGCTTATCCATATGATTTAATGTGACTGACTGAACATCACAAGCATGATGCAAATAGAGGCTTGGGGAGCATTTGCATATTGGGACTTCCATTTGGAAGGTTGCCTTTTAGAAGCTGGTAGCCACTTAAGGGAGCTCAGCTACATCATATGTTGCAAAATAATTACCGAATTTATTCAAATCAATATGTGAAATCATAAAAAATAATACATTGTTAATGTTTTAAGTCACTACTACATTTCAATTTGTTATTCAATAATAGGTTACTGTCTAACGTAACTTACTCTGAGAATCGATGTTGAAATATGGCGGATATAAAGATACTCATGGCTACTATTTATTGGTATTTTCTGTGTGGTAGACATTGCATGAAGAACTGCATAAATATGATCTCAATAAATCTTTAAATAATCTCTTGAAGATGAATATTATTTACTTTAGGATAACAATTTTATACATGAGGAAATAAAGCTGCAAATTTTTATCTAAATTTATCACATTCAGAGCTAGTAATAGGTAACGGAATTGGGGTGTGAACCTAGGTTTATTCTAATTCTAATATCTCGGTTCTCATCTGTTTTTCAATATTACTCCAAGGATCCCAGTTTTGCATCCTGGTTGCAAAGACGTAGGAAATTCTTTTCTCTTCTGCTGAGTAAATGTGTGGATCTCTTGGATCTCTTGGTTTCTGAATTGGTGAAAATTTTTTTTATGCTTTTCAGAGAGTACTTCCCTTATAATTAGTAGGGGACCTTCACATAGTCAAACCTAGTGCTAAAGCTTCCTCAAACAGCATTGAATAAGCCCTGGATGTGTGTTGCATCCCCTCTGTGGGTTCAGTCTGTGTCCTTGCTTACAAACTAGATGCCTATTTCCTTCTCTTCAGCCAATGCTTCCCAACACAAAGAAAATTGCAACTTCCTTCAAAAACTCTATTTTCAAAAACGACTCTTCCAAGATAATTGGTATTTGCTTCATCTCCAGATGTGATGGTATACAAATGTTTTGGACTGATTTTGGTAAATATCCTTTTCTTTATATATCTCAAACTTCTCAGGCCAGTTTCTGACATTGGTCATGATTGAGATAGATGAAAGAAAGATGAGAGAAGTAGGAAGTGTGGAAATTGGAGGTGGAATTGGAAAGGTTGATGTAAACTAAAATAATCAAGTTAATCTTGTTTTCCAAATATGAAGACATTTAAATACTAGAAATATCTGACTTTACAGCCCATATATTAATAAAAATCTAAATTAAAGACTAAATTAAAGTGTAATAAATTTTATATTATTATAGTGGCCACTCTACCAAAAAATAAAATGCAAAAGGCTATCTATGGAAGATGTTAAAGTTATCCAGAAAAGTTAAAATACACAAACGTATGCGTTCTATTAAAGAACAAGTTTATGCCAAAGACGAGTACATATATGACACCTCATATAAAATATAAAATAATATTTATATTTTGAGAACATTTTAATTTGTGTATTAAAAACTCATGTTAAAAAAGAAATTTAAAATGCTGAGGCCATATATGGCATGAAACTTAGGAGAAATATGTTCATTATTTAATGTATAATAAAGAGAATTTGTATTTAGGCAATGCCTTGGGTTAGAAAAAATGTGGAAGAAATTCTCTAAAATATTATCAGGGTTACCTGCACAATTTCCAAAACACATCAGAGACTTAATTTTGGCTTCTTTCATGAGGCATAGTTTGTATTTTATTTTAATTGTCTTTATAATAAACATAGAATACTGAAATACCAAGCACAATATATATCTTTTTCTTCACTTTTCAAAGTGTTTGATGTTATTTTTATTCTATATGTGTATGTATTTTGAGGTATTTGTAAAGCTTACATTGAAAATTGCCCCGTTGTGAAAAGTTGGCACTCAGATTTTTAGTTTTTAAGAGTAAGTCACATTTATACTAGTTTTAAAAAATGAAAAGTACTTGTGAAATCATGTGTGAAATGATTAGCTTTGAAACAGAAGTTAATAATAGACTATCATTCAATATGTTCCAATGTTTATACTCTCTTTTAAAGAATGGTTGTTTGCTGTTAACTTGTGACAATGCTCTGGTTCCACAGTTGTTTACATTTTGACTGGTTTGTTCCAAACTTATTTTTCCTTCAAGTCTTTTTATTATTAAGTGCATTATTTTGCAGAATATGATGCTGTTGGGGAATGCATACATTGCGTTAAAGCATAACTGCTATATTTAGTTGGTTGCCTAGCATTTATAAATTGATCAACACAATTTGGTAAATGAAAAAATAAAGTGTCTCTAATCCATTGGACCTCAAATTTTAGCGTGCATCAGAATCATCAGAAATTCTTATTGAAACACAAATTACCATGGCCCTCTCCTACAACCTTCTGATTGATCGAATCTCTGGTGAGGTCTAGAAATTTACAATTCGAACAAGTTCCCAGGTAATGCTGCTCTAGGGGGTCACATTTTGAGAACCACTGCTCTAAACCAACTGTTTATTCATTAATTCTCTGAGCTCTGCTCAGTGTAGAAGCCAAAAGATTGTAACTCATTGAGAGATAAGATGGCAGAAAGCATTCTCTTCTTTAGAATATCTAGACATATGTTTGGAAATTTCTTAACACAGAAGTATTTGAAAAGCCATAAGCTTGCTCACTGCAGAAATGTTATTCAAAATAAACATAAAATGCAACACTTTATTAAAGTAAAAGTATCTTTACTATTAATATACAAATGGTGAAGTGTGACAAGTTTGATATACTGTAAGCCATACTTTCAATGTCTCTCATAAATACAAAACTTCAACATTTGCAGTATAATTTTTACAGTTTAGACATATATATACAGCATTTCATTGGGACATACCATATTGAAACAATAAGAAAACGTTGTGGTAGCTAACTTAAGAATATAGAATTTGAATGGAATATATAAATTAAAGAAAATAAAAGATAGTATGTTTCAGTACATACTGAGCACAGCATACAGTTCACATACCAAAAAAGCTTTTTTTTTAAAAAAACCTTTATTTCTAACTTCACATATTTCTAACAGGGTTTAGAGGCAAATGCTAAACCATGAATATTTCTTTAAGAGTTGGAACAAGTAGGTTTGTTCTTAATAGTATCATTTCTTTTATAGTATGCATGTTGTTCTCTAAAAAAACTATTTGCAAAATTAAATCATAGATTCTATCTCTGTTAACTTTCTCCTCTGTGTTACACTGTTTTCTCCTTCGCATCAGTGTAATCGGCCATAATTTTTATCTAAGCAACGTTCCTAGTCCCTGGTCTAGCACTTCTCAAAGTCAGGTCCTTCTTAGCTATTCCAAATATAGCAATTCAGTTTGCCTTTCTAGATCCACTCATTTCTTTGTTTCTCTACTCTCCTATGTCGGGTTGTGATTTGAAATTCTCCAACAGTGATGGTTTTGCTTACTGTCTTCCATGGGAGGCTAAAAACAGATGCCAAAAGATTCATGTTTTCATTTCAGAAAAGAAAAAAAATAAGTAGCAATATTTAAATTTACATGAGCAATAATTCTGAATGTTGTGTGGCCAGAATCTCAAAAATTGTATAAAATGAAAATTTAAAGAGGTAATAACAAATAATATATTTATGTTATAGATAAAATCCTAAAGTAATAAACTATTTTTCTAAGAATATTGTGTTATCAAATAAATATTTAGCATTATATATAATATAAAATTCTTTGCCTTTATATGAGAAGATATAATTAATCTATTCGCATTCTTGTATAATTGTAAATAGCTGCATCTACATGGGTAAATTCAATTTTTCAAAAAGGAAGGATGGGAGCTGGAAGAAAATTATGTTTGTTCAGCAACTACTATATGTGGGTCTTTTTATAAATTTCTCATTTGGACATAAAATTGTTTCATCTTAAGACATTATTAAGTCCATGAATAAAATACTTTCTTGAAAATTTTACCTTCTAAGATGAAGTATTTCATTTCTGCGACATCCATAATTTAATTTTAGCCTATGTTGATACATCCATATGCAATTTCAATGTGAGTGACTAAGTATTAATGCTTCAAAGGGTAAATAAACAGATGCAAATATTTTCTCTCTAAAGATAAATAAATAATGCTAACAAACTTATTGTTAAAAATATATCCAGATACAAAGTTTGTTGAATAAGCACATTATGTGATAATGATTATGAGTATGAGCATGAAAAAACTTCATGGGGGATTTAAGTTGAATGTTTACCTTATTTTCTGTGAAAAACAACATTGGGAACCTCATAAATAATTATAATATGCTATTCCAATATTTCCTAAATTAACTAATGGAAAATATTATTTCTACTTCTTGAACTGTACATATTTTCGTCAGTGATAATCTTATTGCCAAAAATAAAGGTTGATTTATTATTCGAAATAAAAAATATATATAAATGGAATAATGAAGACCCAAGAAACACCATAGTAATTTGCTTGATTTTCAAAAGTTATCTGTTGTCTTTGTCTTACAACTGGCAAAATTTAATTTCAACAATATCTAGAATGTATTTATTGTTTAGAAAAACAATACAGAACAGATTAAGAATATTTCATGTGTGTGTATAAAAAGAATTGTTTTGACATGAATTAAAGTAAATTATACAGTATAGTTTATTATATTTAGATTTTATATTCAAGGTAAAATAGTTTGAATTGAACTTAATTACTGACTGTAAATAAGACAGCATCATTTGAGTATCTCAAATCTAAGCAAAATATACTAGTAATGATGTTAATTGTAGTTTTTTTCTTTTAATAAAGCAGACTGTCATGCTAATTAAAAGGCACAGATACATCTTAATTATTTAAAATAAGAAGCATAAACAAAGATATGATCATAAAGTTACAATTAATTGTTGGCACACAAATAAATAATTTGATTAATAAAATCTATTTATATAAATATTTAATTCAAAGACTAAGATCCATATGAAGTGTGCTGGATCAAATAGCCTTTGAAAAATGCTTTTATAGTTATTAATATTAAAAATAAAAGAAAACAAGAAACATTAATGTTAGACATTAGTATCAATAGAATGGCAATGTCTTAGCCCACAAAAATAATAAATAAATCTTTAAAAATACAATTCTTAAATTCCTTTGACAATCATTGTAAAATATGTTGACACATTAATTTGTGTCAAAATTCTGATATTACTCTTTCCTCTTATATGTTGTTGAATACAGATTGTCACTGCCTAATTGCACCTAACCTATCAAGAAATACCAAGTTTTAGGTGATATCTTTGCCTCTTGGTTTAAAATATCATAGGGTTCAAATTATTTTAACAGTACTTATATTCAGTCAATTCTTTTGACACTTTATACTAATATTTAAGAGTACTCTCAGACAATAAAAATAACATTTATATGGTTATATGTATATGTTTGTTTAATCTAGAATAAGAATGAAACAGGTTATTTCAGTTCTACTCATATTTTACAATTTACTACAAGCCATCTTTTATTTTGAAATTTTTATAAATCATTTGGAGCATTCCATTGAAATATTAAAAAAAATACTTTATCACAGTATTGCCTTGCTTCAGCATGGCATGGATTTCAAGGACAAGAGGTAAGGACCACCCGGGCAACTGAAACAGTGCACTTGAAATAGTCTGAATATAATTAGCTTCAGATTATCTGTTAATTTCAGATCATTACTCCACATGAGTGGCAGGAAATTTAACATCATATATATATATGTATATATATGTGTATATATATATATGTGTATATATATATGAAATATATGTCAATTTCTTTACAAGGAAAATCCGAATAAATGAGAGAAACAGAAATGTCACATTGAGAAAACACAAAAATAGTTTGTTATTTATTATGATTTCTGCACTCTTGAAGTAAAGCACGAATATAACAATAGTAAACATGCGAAATGACTTTCTCAGTCATCGTATTTCTTTCACCATCATTAGTTTAAAACCATGTGGCCCTATTTAGAAATAATTAGCATTCATGGCTATTGCTTCATGGACACTTTACTAAGCTTGTACACTTTGCACAAACAAACTAATTCAAGTATTTTGACTAGTTTTAGTACACTGGTACAAAACAAAACAAACAACAAAATAAAACACAGCAAAATAAAGCAAACTGGATGATCAGACAAACATAAACTAAATATGAACAGTCAAATCTGTCAAAGACCAGTTGGATAATCAAGTCAGTTAAAATGACCTAACTGCTTTGTTTGTTTAGACACTACTCAAATTCTTAGGTAGGCACAAGAATTCTGTTCTTTTCTTCAGAATACGCCAGACAGGAACGCAAGGAGAGATTCCCGCATTTAACCCTGCAACTTATGGCAAAGACACTGCGACGATTTGGTGCCTTCAAACGAAGATGGTCATATTCTGTCCTGCTGTAGCCAGAAAAGTGATGAATTATATAAAAGTACTTAGTTTTCTCTCCTTGGCTGAGTTTCAAGCACTTTGTAAATAAAAATATTCATGAGTTGCCTTAATTTTACATTTAATAATCATCAGGTTATCTCTACAGAGAGACACACCCAGAGCAGGTTTCTGCAATGTTAAAATTGCTCCAATATTCCTTTGGAACGCATTCCCTGTCCTGTCACTATTTGAGCTATAATACCACCTGAAACACCAAAGGTTCTGAATGTTACAGGGCCTAAGGAAACCTTTGGCTCTCAAGGTTAATAAACCTGCTCCCAAATGGTATGTATGTTTATAATGATAAATACTTTTTTAAACCTTACATATAAGTTAAATCATGTGTCACTCTATTACCTCTGGGAGCTTGCATAGCTTGGAAGTAAAGAAGCATTTTATTCTGGTATAACCCTAACAAAAGATATTAGAAAGTTTGTGTTGAATACTTAAGGAATTTCTTCAACCAAAGTTGTTTATCAAAATCTTAAAATGACTTCTAGCTAGAACATCCGGAATAGAACACATAGTGGCATTTAATTATTTATCATTTACTCTTTTATGGCACATTAAAATGTTAAATAATTTCTTCTTAATTTAGTCAACCTTAAAATTTTTATTAGCCAATTATATTTAATGGTGAACCTATAACAGTGGTAAAATTAGTTCTTAAAGATTATATAAAACCATGGGCTAAAAATATATCTGAGGATATGATTTGAAGTATTTGAACACTAAAGACTTGTTTTTTGATAAATTATTTTAAAAATAAATGATAATCACATATTTATAAATATATCAAGACACCATATTGATATTGTTCCCATTTCAATTTACTTTATTTGAAGCTGAGGGCAGAAATCAATATTATTTCACTTGCAATACACTTTTTTTTGTATAATCCATTGTGAATGAATAGGACATATATAAAGAGATAGAGATTTAGAAAGTCTTTCTAATCTAATTTTATATACAACTAATATTCTTTCAAATGGGTAACAATTTTGATCTGGCACTTCAGTCTATCAAAAATCAATGTTGAAAATGCACTGAATCATAACTTGAAATGAGTTCTCCAAAGTTTTCAATTTTTAATATCTGCTAAAGATAACTGGCTCTTTGACGCCTACGTTCCCTGAAATTCCCCTGATAAAATGAGTAACCATTATTAAGCTCCTTCATCTTGAAGTTGAAAGCCACTTTAAGAATCTATTTGCCCAGAATAGGACTCATACACATGCAGGGCCTTCTTACACATGTAGCTCACGTTTTTTTTCCTTAACCCCTATATTTGTTGGTGGTATTAAATATAGTTCTTAATAAATAGAGCACTTTAGCCACATAATAAATTCCAGTACTTCAGTCATAGAATCAAATTGAATACCAAAGTGTTGGTGCCAGTCAGTCTTGATATTGAAATTCTTAACAAAATTAACAACAACAGCAACAACAACAACAATAACAAAAGGGAATGGATCATGGGCAGGAGTATTTGATCATATGTATATGTGTACAAGCTATTCCAAGCTAGAAGTTTCCCAAGAAATTAAGGTCAATGGAATAGTTTTGGTCATAGGGTCACGCAATCCAAATACTCTTCGTAGTGTTGTTCAAGCCCCTGTAATATTGTTGTTATGCTTTGCTGTCGTCTTCTTTTGATTGAATGATGTCGTTAGAAACTTTAATTTCTATAGTTTCTGGATTTAGAGCTTCTTTCCCATCTTCTTCCTTTAAAGGCAATTTTCTGGAAGATAAAAAATAATAAGCTTCATTTTCTGAGGTATTTAAGGAGACGTACCTTAACCTTTAAGTTACTGTTTTGTAAGGAAAATATGCTCCAATAATATGCTAACATTTTATATATGCTAAATAAGTTACTATTTTATAGAGAAAACGTGCTACAATAATTAGAAAGGAAAAATTAAATTTATTAACATAATATAAAATAGATTTAAAAAGATCTAAAAGAGAGTAAAAACAATTACTTGGCCTTTTAAAAATGTAATGCAGAATGATGAATGAAACAATATATTTGTAGATATAGATGCACCAAATTGCTCACTATAGGGTGGCTTAGATTTGGTAACTAGTTGTTGATCTCCAAAATATAATTACATGTTATGGAAGGTAAAATGCCAAAATATTTTTAAATGTCAATGATATGATTTATTAGCACTACGTTTTCTCCAGTGAAAACAATTAATAATTGTTGCCATATTCTGTTACATAAAATTCAGAAACCAGGCTGGGCGTGGTGGCTCATGCTTGTAATCCTAGCACTTTGGGATGCTGAGGCGGGTGGATCACTTGAGGTCAGGAGTTCAAGACCAGCCTGGCCAAAACGGTGAAACCAGGTATCTACTAAAATTACAAAAATTAGACGGAAATCACTTGAACCGGGAGGTGGAGATTGCAGTGAGCTGAGATCATGCCACTGCACTTCAGCCTGGGCAACAGAGCAAGACTCCATCTCAAATAATAATAATTATTATTAAAATAAAATAAAATAAAATTCAGAAACTAAGTGAATTAACAATATTCCTTAGAACTTAATGCAAATGAACATATTTTAGGACTTGCTCACTTTTTAATATTTATTGTATATGTTTTCTTTTGTCTCTTTTCACATTGTTTTTCTTGTCACTTTTATGTCACTTTGCAACACGGATTTTGAGTTGTTTGCAATTGTAACTTATGAAGCAATACCAACTTTATTTCTTAATATCAAGACAGCGTCATAAACCCTACTTCGATGCCAATGAATTGTGCTTTCAAGATTTTCCTAAAACTTGCAAATTCAATTGTTTACTATTGTGTACATGACATTTGGAGATGGGTTTTTCTCCCTTAACAACATACTTTTTCCACACCAAGAAAATTAAGTTAGAAATAGTATTCCAGGCCAGGCGCAGTGGCTCACGCCTCTAATCCTAGCACTTTGGGAGGCCAAGGCGGGCGGATCACATGAGGTCAGGAGTTGGAGACCGGCCTGACCAACATGGAGAAAGCCTGTCTTTACTAAAATACCAAATTAACCTGGTGTGGCAGCGTGCGCCTGTAATCCCAGCTATTCGGGAGGCTGAGACAGGAGAATTGCTTGAACCTGGGAGGCGGAGGTTGAGGTGAGCTGAGATTGCGCCATTGCACTCCAGCCTGGGCAACAAGAGCGAAACTAGTCTCGGAAAAAAAAAAAAAAGAAAGAAATAGTATTCCAATCCATCTCTGTGACTTTAACCTTACCATGTTATAATGGAGTGAAAGTTACAATGCTAGTTCATCTGGGATTTATTTGTAATTTATTTTATATTTTTGAATGAGAAGGGTAAAACATTCTGCAGATCAAAGCAATCAGAACTAATCAAAAGAAGTAATAGGCAAAAACTAGTAATATCCATTGCTGGGAATGAAAAAAACATTAAAAAACATTGTACCAACGAGAGCAGGCTATTTTATATATGTTATAAATAGTGCAGTCTCAGTTATTCCTTTTTAGCATTCACAAGTACTGAAAATATTGACAATACAAGGTCATAAAAGCAATGTGTCACCTCAAGCATCAAACTGTAGAGAAAGAGTTCTGATTAGAGTTCTGATAGTAAGTTAGCATAATAATATATCTCTTACTCATGAAATATATATTAAGTTTTTAATGACCCAGTGCTTTCACCAAATTGATAGTTTGTTTCTGGGTATAGAATTTCTCACCACTTACGTATAGGTAAAATATGTTTAAGATCACTGTTAATCATATTATTTTATATTGGTGATTAATTTTCTATAATTGTGAAATAGTTATTAAATTACCCTTTTTTCCCAAAATATAGCCTGGTCCAAGAGCATATTCTTAACTAGTTTTCATGTACACCTCTTATTTCTAAAGTGAAGAATGTAGAACCCACATCTAATACAGTTAATTTGAATTTACATTGTAATAATCTCTAAATGCAATCACTAAAATTGGCCCGAGGATTTATATTAAATTTTTTTCTATAGAGTAGTACTTTGCATTTGTGTAAATATTAATTATTTCAGCCCCTTGTGGGTAGACAGAGGGAATTTATGAAAATAAAATCATTTTCTTCATCTGTGACAACATTTTTTCTTTGATTTAGGATGAGAAACCTAAATCAGTTTACTCTGCAAGAAAATATTAGGTGTTACAAAAATAAATATTTGTTTTGAAAAATAATAAAATTAAAAAGTTTTTTTGGTGCACAGTAAAGAAGTGTGTGACCACCATGGTTTTGTTAGTACCACATACATCCAATAGAAGAATACTACTATTACTACTTTGTAATAATGCCTTTGCTTTGAATTATTCTAATTATTCTGTGCATGAATCTAGGCGTATATTCATCTTTTCAGCTTTTGATATCTACTATAGTTTTAACAGAGCTATTAGAGATGCAAAATAAATAACATCAAGAATGGAAACCAAGCATCATTTACTACATAGATATTGCAATGATAAACACTTTAATATTATTTTCTCCTCTGCACAAATATTTCTTTTTAAAATAGCCGTGCGTATATTTCAATGACATTTATATTCAAAGCGATGACAAATTTCCTAACATGTCCTTATTTCAGTAAATATAATTATTTTATCTTGAAAGAGAAAACAACACTATCTTAAAAAGACAGACTATTGTTGAAAACCTCAAACTCTGTAAGATACTTACCTTTTTATACTTTTGCATTAAATTACAGATATATGGTTTAACAGACTTTCTCTGACATTCATACAAAGTTTTCATGAAAAATGTCTCCTTAGAAAATGGATTTTAGATATTCACATGTACTTTCATCAAAAAAGTAAAAGCACAATTCTTTTACAAATAATTAATATTTAAATATGTAATACAACAATAATAATGTGTTATCATTTTGCCAATACCCATTTGAACATAAGTGAGCACTCCAAGCCACATACTCAGGTTCTGTCAGTGGTGTGGTTTCATTTGGCTCATTTACTGGGCTCCCATCTTCGTGATTAGTAACTCTTTCATCCTCTGTTCTCATCTCCACTATTGGTTCTTTTGATCCATCTTTCCTAGAAACATAAAGAGAAACATCTCACCTGTGTAATTTAAAAATGGATGCATTATGGAAAAAAACAGAGTTTAAAATCACCCAATTCTACCTTCCTCCAAATAAATCCAACTTGGTTAATTTAAGAAAACCACTGAGAAATGCTTTACCATTTAAATTTGTTTCACCATATATTATCACTCAGAAAAAAAGGAAGAAATTCCATTTTTTCTAGATAGATTTTCTCATCAAAACTGTATCAATTATTTTGCAAAATTGGTACACATTTTAAAATCCTACTGTATATATTCTATTTTGAAAAAAATGAAAATATTTTGTTAATAAAATGTACAGCATCAAGTAGGTTTCTTTCCTCTAACTAGCCACATTTGAAACTATCAAAATATTTCAAAACATTTTTAAAATAATAAAAAAGAAAACATTTTAAAATTTTAAAATATTTGAAATACTTCAGAAGGGTTGCTTTTATTTCAAAATTTAGAAGACAAAATTTGTATGTGTTGTCTTCTTTTAAATATGTCTATCCATTTGTATGAAAGATCTTAACTATAAAATGATTATGGACTTCTAACTTATTCACGTTTTTCAAGAAAATAGTTTAAATAAAATAATCTTTGTAACATATATGCATATCTTTTCATTTATAACTTCATCCTCCAATGTCGTCTTTATCAAATTTTGAATATATAACAGTGAATGTAATTTTTCACAATTGATGAAAACTAGAAAACTTATTATAATGTTTCATGCCTCACAACTGAACAACAACCAAAAAAAGAGTAACAAGGAAGTTATTTGGTGATGACAAGGAGTAAAGTGAGACAGAAGAATTGGGCATGAGGTACTCCTAATAAAGATTTCAAATAGGTACAGAAAAAAAAAAAAAAAACTAAAGAAGGGTTGGGGACTTCAATTTGTATTCATTCAACAGTCTTCATATGAATGTTTACAGTAACACTATTTATAAATTGCCAAAAATTGTAACCAACTTGTCTTTCAATAAGTGAATGGATAGTAGGTAATGGGTAAGTAAGCTGTGGTCCATCGGTAAAACTGAAAATTACTACTAATAAAAAATAAATGAGCTAACTACCATGAAAATATATAGAACTTTAAATATATTTACTAAGGCAACTGAGGCAGTTTGAAACGACTAAATACTTTCTAATTCCAACTATATGACATTCCGGAAATGACAAATGCATAATGACAATAATAAAGTCTGTAGTTGCCAGGGACTAGAGGAAGGGTGGGACATTTAGAACATTCAGAGCAGGGAAACTGTTATGTTTCTTATCATAATGGTGGATATAGGATATTAAAATTTGCTCTTAGGAAGCATATACACTAGGATTACCAAAAAAAAAAAAAGCAAGCAAACAACAAATCTACAATGGTCCAAAGATTGAACAGACTCTACAAATGCTGAGACTTATATAGAAAAAAACACTAAGGATATAAAACACTTTTGATCAGATCACAGTTCCATATCATTCCTCTTATCTGAGTATGTAGGTACCTCACATACACATGCATCATAATTTGAAGAATGGGTGTTTATAAGAATAGAAGAAATCTAGAAGTGAATAAACTTTTTTAGCTCTGAAAATCAGATGTCTGTAAGAGACAGTGATTCACACAGATTTAGCAACATTATCTGATCAAGGGCCCCAAGTAAGTAAGATCTACAGAGTAAGTAAAGATGGATGAAGAGCCCACCACCACTGGATCTTAATGTTGTTTGGTCTGTTTGTGTGTTAGTTTTCATTATTCTTCAATTGATTCTTTTAAAAAATTCTGCATTATGCCAGTGTTTGTGATGACATACAGGAGTATACTATTTGTGGAAATGTGGCTATTGATGATTCTTAGCAAGAAAATGATTCAAACATTTTCTTATATTAACAATTGGTACAAATATACGATGAACTAAAGCACAATGCAGAGAGAAGACAGAACTAGTGAATTCTGATTTTAATTCTTTTTCTTACTAAGAATTAATATGCAAACAAATATCTTTAAATTAAAAATAATTAAATATTACTGAAAGGACATTCAAGATTAACAAGAGAAAATGGTTAGTTAGTAGCCTTTACAATTCTTATTTTTGTTTTTGGTGACCTTTTTAATTTTAATTTTTATTACATTAATTTTTTTCCAGAGACATTCTACACAGATATCAGCACATATGAATCAAATGCATACAGTTATTTTTACACAAATAATATACTAACTGTATATAATTGAGCCTTTTGAACTAACACTGAGTTTTAGCTATAATCTATAAAAGAATATTTAGAGTTGTCTTTTATTTTTTCATGCTGCATACTATGCTGTTGTATGTATGTACCACCATATATTTAACCAGTTACCAACTGACAAACATTTAGGTTATTTTTAACTTTTTTATTATAATAAATACCATAAGTATTATCAAGTGAATATTTTACTTAACCTTGGTTGGCTATATTTGAAACACACATAATTTACATGTCGAATCTCCTATCCATTGTAAGATATATATATAATATTTTTCTTTTTTTTTGAGACGGAGTCTTGCTCTGTCGTCCAGGCTGGTGTGCAGTGGCGTGATCTCGGCTCACTGCCAAGCTCCGCTCCTGGGTTCACGCCATTCTCCTGCCTCAGCCTCTCAAGTAGCTGGGACTACAGGCGCCCACCACCACGCCCGGCTAATTTTTTTTTTTTTTTTTGGTATTTTTTAGTAGAGACGGGGTTTCACCGCGTTAGCCATGATGGTCTCCATCTCCTGACCTCGTGTAAGTTATATTAAGTAATACCAGAATCATTATTGATATTGTCTGTAGAATTAAAAAGAGTAAATGAGGCAATTGTTTGTCAAAATAGTCACAAAATGTAATGTGGATAAGTTTCACAATGTATAGACTGGTTAACATTATATAAATTCCTGCCATATTTTAGAACTTACTATTAAATAGGAAATAATAACAAGCATAGCATAATGTTTAAGGGAGGTGTTCAGACCTAAATTAGCTGGCTCTCCCACTAACTCATTGCATAAAACTCCCCATCCTTCGGAATTGCTTAGTTAATAAAACAAAGATGGTAATAGTGCCAAACTAATTCCTGTAGGTTACTTGTAATAGCTGATGCATGTGCCACACTCAATCAGTGTTACCTGCATCACTGTCGTGGCATGCATGGAGAATTTACATTTGGAAATATATTACTGAAACTTTCAATTTTAAGAAATTTTTTAAAAATGAAAATGTCAACACTGAAAAAAATTTATGAAATTCATAAACTTGCAGATAAAAATATAAACTTTCATGTAATAAATAGCATCATATAAATAAATATTTGCAAGTAATACAAAATCAAATGATTATAGGGCACATGATATAAGCAACAAGTAAGAGAAAAGGTTAAATAACTCTATGAAAGTGTGTAAAGATATTAAAAGACAATTAAAACAAAGTAACCAAAAAAAGAAACAAGCTCAGACTCAACCTAAATAGACAAATGCAAATCTTAAATAACATCAAAATAAAAACTTTTACTTACCAGATTGTCAAAAAATAAATTGGTGATATTTAATATGTCAGAAGTTGTAGAGAAATATGCATTCTTTGCTTTTATTGCAGCCATGAATTGGAATAGACTTCTGTGGGCAATTTGCCAGAATTTTTCAGTTTTGGCCTTCCATTCTACATCTAGTATCTTACTGTATATTTACAAAATTTATATATATGGATATTCAAAACAGAACAGTCCATTATAAAAATATTGAAAGTTTCTTCTAAAGTGTAACAATAAAGAAGCAGAGAAATACTTTATTATATCTAACACTATGGAATACTACTCATTTATGAAAAGAATGAGGAAGAGATTTATGTGCTGAAATGGAACATTATTGCAGCTGCATTTCTATGTGACATAAATTTGCTAAAATTTATATATGTATATATGTAGTACATAGAAATATCTGTGTGTGTGAGTGTGTGTGTATCCTAGGATATTATTTTTTACAAACTATAGACCACATGGAAAATTATTGGGAAGGAAGGAAAAAAATATTAATGCTTATGTATGAGGCAGCAAATAGGATCAGTATTGATTAAGGTCTTTGATTTCTACTTTTTACATTTCTTTGATTTTTGAGTGTTTAAATAAAATTATATATAATTTAATGTAATCAAATTATATTTTAATTTAATTATGTATAATTTAATTTAATTTAATTATATATAATTTAATTTAATTATATATAATTAAATTAAATTATATATAATTAAATTAAATTATATATAATTAATTTAAATTAAATATATATAATTAAATTAAATTAAATTATATATAATTAAATTAAATTAAATCATATATAATTAAATTAAATTAAATCATATATAATTAAATTAAATTAAATCATATATAATTAAATTAAATTAAATTATATATAATTAAATTAAATTAAATTATATAATTTTATTTAAAGTATATATATTTTTATTTAATTAAATATAAAATTACATATAGATACTGCTTTTGAAACTAAAATATTTGGTTACTTATGGAAACGCTAATATATGTTATGTTTTATCAACAGAGAGGGAGAGATTTTGCATTAAAACTGTGAATGTCTAAATGCATTCTGCCCCTGTCAAATGTCATCCAGTCTATCATAAAAGGTGATATTATTAAATATAAATTATATATGTTGGTACTGCTTTTGTAACTAAAATATTTAGTTACTTAAAGAAACACTAATACTATGTTATGTTTTATTAATATTAACACAGAGAGAGAGAGAGTTTCCACATTAAAGACAGTAAATGTCCATGCACTCTGCCCCTGTCAGATGTCATCTGGTATATCATGAGAGGTGATATTATTGATTAATTAATAAGCACACCCTGCCAGAATGTAAGGATTTCATGCAATTAATAAATCATGAAAACAGCTTCGAGAATGATTAGTTTAGAAAAGGGAAGAGTAAAAGGGTATACTGTGGTTACCTTAAAATACAAATATGGCTGTAAGGTTTTTAAAATATTGATGTATTCTATGTTTTATTTCAGAATGCATAATTAATAGAAAGTTTAACTCTACTATGTAGAATAACTTACTTGCAAATAATTTTAACTTAAATGCAATGGAAGGATATGCAAAAATAATCCAAATAAAACACATCCCAAAACAAATTTAATATTGAAAATTTCATGTTCCTTATACCTGCGTTGGATAGGAGGTATCATCATGTGACTTCATATTCTCTTTACTTTCTCAGATTTTCTGATTAATTGCTTGTGATTCAAGTTTGGGCCCATGTATATAGCTAAAATTGAGGAGCGGGTATTCATGTAATATTTCACTCACAATAACCATTGGATCCTACTGTCATGATACTTTCATAAGGGGGGATGAATGAAAAGGAGATTAGGACTGAACATCCAATAAGACCTCATTCATCTGTGTTTTTATGAATCAACCATGATATTTTCATTTTACATATTATAGAAAGGATGAAAATGATTCAAATATGCCAAATAGACAACAGCAAAATTTCACTCGTTTTTTGTAATCTGTGTGCCATTTGTTTCCCAGGGTTTAGAAATAAAGTGCTGAAGTATATAACTTCTTTTCTGGAATATTTGAAGTTATATAATTATATTTCTTTTAGATTTTATTCTGTATATTCACTTTTCCCCAACATCTATGATTCTTCTTGTTTCTTCCTTATTATTTAGATTAGTGTAATTCAGTATAATAGCCAGTCTTTCAGGTGATAAATGTGTGGTTGTCATGGAGTAATGATAAATATTTCCAGACACACATGTGAATATGTCTACTAGAAGGTAAACCTTGTTTATTAATGTTTTTCTTTTTCTTTTAGTCTTTTGACTTTCCCACGTACAGGTATTCACTGTTACAAACTATTAACCATATACATTGTAATTTTTTAACATCAGGAAAACATTCTGCTATGATGCCCAGCAATTATAAACTACAAAGAATAATTTTAAAATTCCATTTGTATAGACTTAATTTAGACCAGTTTTAATTTCATAGCAAAATTGAGAGGGAGATACAGAGATTTCCCACGTATCCCCTGCTCCCACACACGCATAGCCTCCCCCATTAGCAACATCTCCCACCAGAGGGGTGCATTTGTTACAATCAATGAACCTACCTTGACACATCATTACCCCAAATTTATACTTTACATTAAGGTTCACTCTTGGGGTTGTACATTCTATGTGTTTGAAAATGTTTATCATGACATTTTCTCACAATTATTTTATCATACAGAATAGTTTTACTGCCTCACAAATCTTCTGGGCTCCCTTTACTTATTCCTCCCTTCTTTCCAACATGTGCAACCACTGATCTTTTTAGTGTCTTTTGCTTTTCTCAAAGCAAAACTATATTTGTCATATAGTTGGAATTATAAAGTAGGTAGTCTTTTAAAATTGGCTTATTTCACTTAGTAATAATCATCTAAGTTTCCTCCATGTCTCTTCGTGGCTTGCTATCTCTTTCCTTTTTAGTGCTGAATAACAGCCCATTGCTGGGATCTACCACAGTTTATTCATTTACCTACTGAAGGATGTTTTAATTGCTTCCAAGTTTTGGCAGTTATGAAACAAGCTTCTGAAAACATCAGTGTGCGGTTTTGGTGTAGACATACACTTTCAACTTCTTTGGGTAAATACTAAGGAGCTCAAATAATAAATTTTAAGGTAAGAGTATATTTATTTTCTTGAGAAGCTGCTAAATTGTCTTCCACAGTGATTGTATCACTGCATTTCCATCAGCAATGAATGAGATGTCCTGTTGCTTCACATCTACCATTTGGTGTTGTCAATGTTCTAGATGTTGACCATTTCGATAGGCTTGCAGTGGTACAGTAGCTCATTTTAATTTTCATTTCCCTGATTCATAGGATTTGAAATGTCTTTTCATAAGCTTATTTACTATTTGTATATGTTCTTTAATTAGGTATGTATTAAGTATTTTGGCCCACTTTCTAATTGGGCTCTTCTTTTTATTATATAGAGTTTAAGAATTATTTGTATACATCATATAATAGTCCTTTGTCAGTTATGTGTTTTGCAAATATTTCCTCCCATTCCGTGATTCGTCTTTTCATTCACTTAACAATGTCTTTTGCAGAGCATAAATTTTTAATTTTATACTAGTCCAGCTTATCATGAGGTCAGGAGTTCGAGACCATCCTGGCTAACATGGTGAAACCTCATCTCTACTAAAAATACAAAAAATTAGCCAGGCGTGATGGCACGCGCCTGTAATCCCAGCTACTCAGGAAGTTGAGGCAGGAGAATCACTTGAACCTGGGAGGTGGAGGTTGCAGTGAGCTGAGATCAGGCCACTGCACTCTAGCCTGGGCAACAGAGCGAGACTCCATCTCAAAAAAAAAAAAAAAATCTTTCTTTCATGGATTGTGCTTTTGGTGTTGAATCCAAAAATTCACTACCAAAACCAAGGTCATCTAGATTATCTGCCATGTTTTATTCTAGTAGTTTTATAATTTTTTGATTTATATTTAGGTCAATATTACATTTTGAGTTAATTTTTATGAAGTGCATAATGTCTGTGGCTAGATATATTTTTTCTTATGGATTACAGTTGTTCCAGTACCATTTGTTGAAAATAACATCTTTTTACCATAGTACTGCCTTAACTATGTGTGACATGTCAGTTTACTTGAGTATATTTATGTAGGTCTATTTCTGAGGTTTTTATTGGGTTCCATTAATTTATTTGTTTACTCTTTGGCCAATATCACAAAGTCTTGTTTATCGTAGCTTATAGTAAGTATTGAAGTTGGATAGTGTCAATCCTACACATTTACACTTTCAATATTACTTTGGTTATTGTGGGTCTTTTTGCCTCTCTATGTAATAAACTTTAGAATCAATTTGTCAATATTCATATAATGACTTGTGATTTTGTTGGGATTACACTGACTCTACAGATCAAGTTGGGAAGAGCTGATGTCTTGTCCATATTGAGTCTTTCTATCCATGAACATGAAATAACTCTCCATTTATTTCATTCTTCTTTTATTTTCTATCATAAGTTACATAGTTTTCTTCATATAGATCTTGTACATATTTTATTAGCTATACGGCTGAGTATTTAATTTTGCGGGGTGCTAATTAAAATAATAATTTTGTTTCAACTTCAAATTTCACTTGTTTATTGCTGGTATACTTTTGATTTTTGCATATTAATTGATTTTTGCATATTAATCTTTTATCCTGCAACCTTGCTATAATCATTGACTATACCCAGGTGTTTTTTCAGACTTTTTTCATAGACTATCATGTCATCTGCAAACAAAGAGAGTTTTATTTCTTCCTTCCCAATCAATATGCCTTTTATTTCCTTTCTTTGTCTTAATGGCTTTCGCTAGTTCTTCCAGTACACTGTTGAAAAGAATTAGTGAGAGAGGATATAGTGGGGACAGCTTCTAGTTACTCACTAAGATGTAAAAAATGATGTAAGTTGTAGTTTTTTAGATATCCTTTATTAAGTTAAGGAAGGTCCACCCCTCATTGTTATTGAAAGCTTTTATTATGAATGGGTATCAAATTTTGTGAAATAATTTATGTATATATTAATATGATTTTATGATTATTTTTCTTTATTATCTTGAAGTGTTGGATTTACATTGATTTTTTAACGTTGAACCAGACTTGCATACCTGGGATAAATCCCACTTGGGTGTGATATATAGTTTATTTATAAATTGTTGGATTTGACTTGCTAATATTTTGTAAATGGTGTTTGCATCTATGTTTAGAAAGATATTGGCCTGTGGTTTTCTTGTCATATCTTTGTCTGGTTTTGGCATTTCAGTAATGCTGGCTTCATAGAATGAGAAAGTATTCTCTCTATTTCTATCTTTTGAAATAACATGTAGATAATTGATATAATTTAATGTTTAAATGTTTGGTAGAATTCACCAGTGAACTTGTCTGGGCTTGGTGCTTTCTGTCTGGGGAGACTATAAATTATTAATTCAATTTGTTTGATGGATATAAAGGTCTGTTCAGATTGCTTCTTCCTTTGTGACATTTAGCTGATTGCGCCTTTTGAGGAATTTCTCTATTTCACTTTGGTTATCAAATTATTGGCATAAAGGTGCTCATGGTATTACTTTATTATCCTTTGAATGACAATGCTGTCTATAGTAGTTATTCCTTCTTTATTTCTGATATTCTTGTGTATTTTCTTTCTCTATCTCTGTCTTCTTTTATTTTTCTGAGTTAGCTTAGGTATAGACTTAGCAATTTCGTTAATCTTTTAAAAGAACCAGCTTTCAGTTTTAATTTTCTCTATTGATTTTGTTTTGAAATGCATTTACTTCTTCTACAATGTTTATTATTTGTTTTCTTCTGCTTACTTTGAACTTAATCTGCTCTTCTTTTCTCAGTTTCCTGAGGTAGAGGTCTAGATAATTCACTTTAAATCTTTCTTATATTCTAATATATGTATTCAAGGAAATTTCCCTCTAAACATTGGTTTCACTTCATCCCCCAAATTTTGATTTGTTGTGTTTTCATTTTCATTTAGTTTAAAATATTTAAAAATTTCTTTTGAGATTTTTTCTTGGACCTATGTGTTACTTAAATGTACATTGTTTAATCTTCAAGCATTTGGAGTATTTTCTAGCTTTCTTTTATTTATTTGTAGTATAATTCCATTGTGGTATGAGAGCAGACATAGTATGATTCCTATTTATAAAATGTTTTAAAGTGTGTCATATGACCTAGGGTGTGATCTATCTTGGTGCCTATTCTAGGCAAGCTTGAGAAGTGTATGCATTCTGCTGTTATTGGATTAATTCGTCTACAGATGACATATATAGTTGATTGAACTTGATTGGTTAAGCAACGTCCTTACTGATTTTATTTTTTTCTCTTTTTTCCCAAATTTTCCCATTTTTTCTTACTTTTTTTCTTTTTATCTTTGTATTCTCCCCCCACACCCCCTTTTTTTTTGTTACAGAGTTTCGCTCTTGTTGTATAGGCTGGAGTGCAATTGCCCGATCTCAGCTCACAGCAACCTCTGCCTCCTGGGTTCATGTATTCCATTTTTTTTTTTTTTTCTGCTTGCTGAATGAGTTCCTTATAGGGCAGCGTTAAAGTCTCCAGCTATAAAGGTGGACACCTGTATTTCTCATTAAGTTGTATTAATTTTTGCCTCACATATTTTTATGCTTTGTTGTTAAACATATACATGTTAAAGATCACTATATTTTCCTTGAGAAATGACCCCATTATGATTAGGTAATACCCGTTTAGAAACCTGATAATAGGTAATACCCGTTTAGAAACCTGATAACTTTCCTTGCTCTGAAGTTGACTGCATCTGGCATCAATATTTCCATTCCTGCTTTCATTTGATTCATGTTAGCATAGTATGTCTTTTTCTATCTATTTATCTTTAATTCACGTGTCATTATTCTTATTGTGTGTGTGTGTGTGTGTGTGGACAATATCTGGTTGGGTCTCGTTTTTTTTTATTTACTCTGACAGTCTCTACCTTTCAATTGAGCTATTTAGATAATTATAATTTTCAGGTAATTACTGATACAATGGATTAATATATATACTATATTTGTAACTATTTTATTTGTTGCCCTTATTCTTTATTTCAGTTTTTGTCTTTCACTATTTTTCTGTCTTTGGCGATTTCAATTGAGCATTTTATATGATTTAATTTTCTTTCCTTAGTATATCAGTTATCTTTCTTTAACTTGTTTATTTGTTGTTCAAGAATTTTCAATATACATTTACAATGAACTGAATGAAGTCAATTTTCAAATAACACTGTACTTCTTAATGGGTAGCAAGAGTTCTTTATGATAAGTTATTTCTAAGTCTTTCATCCCTTATATCATTGTTACCATTCATTTATCTTATACGTAGTATATACACATAATATAATACAATACATTGTTTCCATTATTTTCAATAATCTTATGAATAAGAATAAGAAAAGTAAAAGTTTTTAATTTACCTTCACTTAGTCTTTCTCTGATGCATTTCCTTTCTTTAAACATATATTAGGGAAAGGACAGCCTCTTCAATAAACCATGCTGGGCAAACTAGATAGATATCCATATGCAGAAGCATAAAACCAGACCCCTATCTCTCACCATACACAAAAATCAAATCAAAATTGATTAGAGACTTAAGTCTAAGATCTGAACCCGTGAAACTACTAGAAGAAAAAGTTGGGGAAATTCTTCAGGACATTGGTCTGGGCAAAGATTTCTTGAGTAAGACCTCAAGAGCACAGGCAACCAAAACAAAAAATGGACAGATGGGATCGCATCAAGCTTAAAAGGATCTGAACAGCAAGGGAAACCATCAGTAAAGTGAAGAGACAACTTGCAGAATAGGAAAAAATATTTGCAAACTATTCAATTAACAAGGAATTAATAACCAGGATATATTAAGGAACTCAATTCAATAGCAAAACAACAAACAACAACAAATAACAACAACAAAACATAAACAAGTCCAATTTAAAAATGATCAAATGATTTGGAGACCTGAGTTTCTAGTTTAAAGCATTTTTCTGCTCTGAAGAACTTGTTCAGGGCCAGGCACAGTGGCTCACGCCTGAAATCCCAGCACTTTGGGAGGCCGAGGTGGTTGGAGGTCAGGAGTTTCAGACACGCCTGGCCAGCATGGCGAAACCCCGCCTCTACTAAAAATACAAAAATTAGCCAGGCGTGGTGGCACACGCCTGTAATCCCAGTTACTCAGGAGTCTGAGGCAGGAGAATTGCTTGAATCTCAGAAGGGAAAGGTCAAAGTGGGCCGAGATCACACCACTGCACTCCAGACCGGGCAACAGAGTAAAACTCTGTCTCAAAAAAAAAAAAAAAAGAAAAAGAAAAAGAAAAAAAGAACTTGTTCAAGCATTTCTTGCAAGTCAGATCTATTGGCAAAAAATACCCTCTATTTTTGTTTGTCTGAGAAAGGATATTCTTTCTGCTGCACATGTGAAGGATAATTTCACATTTCACAGAGACAGAATTCTATACTAGCGGGGTTTTCTCTCTCAACACTAAAAATACTTCACTCTCTTCTTGTTTTATGGCTTCTGCAGAAAAATCAGATGTAAAACTTATTTTTCCTCCATCAGTAAGGGCGTTTTTACCTCTGGCTCTCTTGCTCCTTTCAGTATTCTATATAGATAAGGAATATATATGTATAAATATATCATTCATTCATATATAATCATATTTATATATAAATATAGTATTCATATATATTCATCTTCATAAATATAATAGTCATTCATATATAATCATATTCATATATATAGCATTCATTCATATATATTCATATTCATATATATAGTATTCATTCATATATATTCATATTTATATATAAATATAGTATTCATATATATTCTTATTCATGTATATGGATTCATATATAAAATATATATACTATTCATTCATATATATGAATATGAATAATATATTTATATCTATATTTATATATTGATATATACACATTAATTTTCTGCAGTTTGAATATGATGTATATATGTGGGCATTTTCTTTTTACATGTTTGAATTTACACATTTGAATTTTCTGGATCTATGGTATGGTGCCTGACATTAATTTGGTGAAATTCTGTCATTATTGCTTCAAATATTTCTTCTGTTTATTTCTCCCTGTCTTTGTTTTTTAATATGACCAATATGCACATATTATAACTGTATTTACTCCATGGTTCTTGGATATTATGTTCTGTTTCTTTTGTTAGTTTATTTGTTTGTTTGAGTCTTTTTTTTTCTTATTTCCTCTTTGCCTTTCCATTTTGGCAGTTTCTGCTGAGATACCTTCAAGCTCAGAGATTCTTTCTTCAGCTGTTTCTATTCTAATAAGCCTATCAAAGACATTCCTCTTTTCTAGAATCTTCATCTCTGTGCTTGCATACATTGCACATCTGTTATTGCTTATTGTCTACCTTACCTGTTAGAGTTCTTAGCATGTTACTCATCGATATTTTAAATTCCTAGTCTGATAATTCCAACATCGCCATCATATCTAAATCTGGTTCTAATGCTGCCTCTCTCTTCAAACTGTGTTTTTTGCTGTTCAGTACTCCTTGTAATTTTTTTCCTGACAGCTGGACATAACATACTGAGTAGGGGTAAATATAATCAATAGGCCTTTAGTAATTTGGAGGTAATGTGTGGGGCAGAAGAAGAGACTATCATCCCATGATTAGGTCTCAGTCCTTTAGTGAGTCCGTGATTCTGGCTGTAAACTTCACAAGCATTTCTCAGATCCTCCCACAGCCTTGGTGGGACAGAATGAATAGAGTGGACTGGAGTTGGGGATTTCCAGGGGGAAACATAGAGCCGGGTGGTGTTGGCTATTTCCATTCTCCGGGTCAGTTAGGCTCTGTTAAAAACCCCATGTTAGGCTCTGGTTAAACAGTTTCTTCTGAGAGTAGACTTTGTTAAGAACAGAATGGTCTGATATATTTTAATGTAGTTACTTCCCCCTTCTATTTCCAGAAACATAAGGAGATACTTCTCCAATAATCATTGTAACAACTAGGTTAAGCTCCTGAAGGTAAAATTCTCAGAAGTATAGGACCTCCTATGACTAAGTCATCCTGGAGTTTTCAACTCACAGATTTGTCCACATCGAGCCTCTACCAATTCATCAATAACATTTTACATTTTTTTCCTATTCCTGAACTGGTTCTCACAGACGTTTCTGCTTACAGGTTTCTGCTCTGATAAGTTGTGATTTTCTGCATCTGCCTCTCTGCCTCTTCAATTTTCAGGACGGTAGTTTGCACTAACACCACATTTTTCTTATGAATCTAAGAATTGTTGATTTCAGTTTGTTTAGCTTTTGGTTTGTTAGGAGAGAGTGGCAACTTTTAATCTCTTTGCATGCTGGGCTGAAAACCGGGAGTATTGTTTTGGTTTGTTTTGTCACTGTTATTCAGAAAATACAATTGATATTTCATACATATTTCTTCAGTTTTTGTATCAAATCTTACTTTCTCTTATAACAAAGCCTTTTACACAGTCCATTCCCTCTGCCTGAAGAACCATCTTCCACACACCCCACCAGACACACACGAGCTAGTTAATTCCTACTCTTCCTTATGCTTTAGTTCTTCACAACTTGCTTACATAAATATGAGTAGGTAAATTATTTATTTTACATAACATTTATAAAAATTATTTATCATTTGATTTTTTTAAATTAAAATGTGGTTCCTGCCAGAATAAAAGTTTCCTGATAGAAAGGAATGAGTCTGCTTTTTCACAAGTTGTATTCACAGAAGTTAGAGTTGTCTCTTGTTGTATAGATGTTTAATAAATATTTTTAATATTAATGCTTAGTAAATTATGCTTGAGTAAATAACAGTAAAAAGATAATTTGATTAAAAAGTATTATTAGTCATTTTGATAAGAAAAACCCTTGAGAATGTAAGATATATAGTAATTTAAATTGATAAGAACCAAATTAAAATAGAACTTTACACTAATACTATCCTCTATGACACTGATCTTAATTTTTTTTTCTCTGCCTTGAGATGCTCTTAAAACAAAAATGCTTTAGGTGTAATTAATGCAGTTTTAATAAATCATCATAGTCATAAGTTTTGAAAACATGAAAGAGCTAGTCTCAGAATGCTTGGGATCATGTGTAAAAGATAGTATAAATCCGAACAGTCAAATCAGTTAACCCTATTCCTCATTAAGATTTTATATCTTTTTCAAACTTGAACACTACATTTTTGAAAAGAGCTGAAATCTGTTTTTCCAAAGCAGAAGAAATTTATATAAAAATTGTGTGATCAATAATAAGCATGGAATTAACCACATATTTTCATTTTCCCAATTCCTTAAGGTTAATTAAACTCAGCAGGTTTTAAAAACAGAGGTGTGGTGGACAAATTAACAAATAACAGGGTTATATAAAAATAAACAGCACAACTGCATACACCTGGTTGTCTGCACAACCAAACAACATCATGAAGGTACATTTTGATTTCTCTCTTTCCCTAATCCAAATATAAAATCAATCAGGTGATTGACACTACCCCAACTATATCTGAAATATACTCACTCTTATATAAGTGTAATACCACTGCCTTGGGCCAAAAAACCCCAACTTTTTTCATCTGGATTACTTCAAGCTCCTCTTAACTGGGCTCCCTGATTTTAAATCATTCCCCTAAACCTATTATGTCCAATAACCCATTCTTCACACAATAGCAAAAGTCATCTTCTTAAAACTCTTCTAGTAGTCTTCTATTTCAAACAAAATTCAGACCCTTTTCATTGACCCAAGAAGATGGAATAATACTTTGGCCCCTAGATAATTTCCCAATCTGATATTTATACCAGTTTCTCTTTCTCTGACTCTCACCAATAAGCGTCATTTGCCTTTGAACATAGCAAGCTCATCCCCATGTTAGAATCTTTACATTAATTTACACCTGCCTAGAATGTTCTGTCCCTTGATTGTTGTATTACCAGCTCCTTATTACCCACCCTTAAGCTTAATGTCACCTCCCTGAGAGGTATTTATGACACAGTATCAAATAACAACTTAACATCCTGCCTTTCATTCATTTAGTGCTTATCACTACTGGACATTTCATTTTTAGTTAACGTTTATTAACTGCCATCTTCCACAATAACTTGAACTCCATGTGAACAAAATTATTGTTTGCTTTGCTTACTAATTTGTTCCTAAGTTCTATAAAAGTGCTTATAACCTGGCATTTATTCCATAAATATTTGCTCAGTGGATGGGCAAAAGAGAAGACTTATAAAATTTAATATATATCTCTATCTATACCTTTATATATAATAGCATAATATATAGTATATGTAATGATGTTATTATATATAATATTTATTCTATGTGTTTTTATCTTGTGCCTCTATTTAAATAAAACAACTAAAACTAAGCTTTGTGATCTGTTTGTTTAGTTAGGAAGACAATGTAAAAGTACAGAAAATTATTAGGAGGCATAAAAGGCAATGACGAAGAAAGCAAAAAATATTGGAAATGAATTGATTCCACTGTATTTACCATGTCTCTTATTTGTATCTCATTTAGTGTGCAGTAGAGGCTAATTTATGTTTGTTCTTTAGTTTATTCCATGTCCAATAAATATGCAGTTTGCATTTTGTTTGAGAACAGTTGAATCTAATTTTTGAACTGAAATATGTTATCTAATTATCATCTCATGAAGTAAAAATATCCCTTACAGAACATACATAACAAATGGTCATAGACAAACAATCTAGTAAAGTTGAAAAAGGCTTGGTGATGTAAAAAAAATGTAGCTAGGAAGAATCGATTCTCCTGTATTTCTAACCCTGATGCATAAATTATTATTAAATGCCAGGCATTATAAGGGTAATTTTACATATATTGCATGCATTTCTTTACTTATGTCACACAACATGTGGAGCAGAACTGTAAATTCTCATTTTATGAAGAAAGAAACAAATGTTCACAGAAGTCAGAATGACTTCTCCAAGTGTACTGGGATTCAAGCTCATTTATTTTTCCACTGGTTCTTGGAATCTTTTCACAGCTACTTAAAAATAGGCTGAAAATGGTACTCTCTTACAAGGTGATAAAGTTTTATTTTACTTTATTTTTATTTTTCTTGAGATGGAGCCTTGCTCTGTAGCCCAGGCTGGAGTCTATTGGTGCCATCTTCGTTCCCCAGGTTCAAGCGATTCTCCTGTCTCAGCCTCCCGAGTAGCTGGGATTACAGGCATGCACCACCACGCCAAGCTAATTTTTGTATTTTTAGTAAAGACAGGGTTTAGCTATGTTGGCCAGGCTGGTCTTGAACTCTTGACCTCAGGTGATCCACTCACCTCGGCCTCCCAAAGTGCTGGGATTACGGGGGTGAGCCACCGCCCCTGGCTGTGTTAAAGTTTTAAGTCAGTACTTACTGAGGGAAAACTGATGAGACTTTTGAGTTAGGTTTTGAAAACAATATATCACAAGAAGAACACATAGCTTTCTATCCCTCTAGTTCCTTGCATACTATCTACAGAATAGAAGGAAGAAACTAGTGTCTTCTTATATGTGACAGAAAAAGACCATTTGGTAGAATGTTAATGTTAATATGAGCCAATGCCAATAATCAATGAGCTTGTAATTTATTCAGAATGGCTTATTTAAAACAATGCTAAGAAATGAATATAAAAATATGTAATAAAGGATATAAGAATATGACAAATGGAATGAAACAGGAGTACACAGATAAAACAGGATTTTAGCCAAGTTGATGAAATAGAAAATCTTTATTGAGCTAGAAGCATTTGAAGTGGAATTGAAGTGGAACTGGAAATATACTTATTCCATTGACAGAGATGAGGACCACAGAAACAGAAAATAATTTGGGAGTAATCACTCTAAGTTAGATTTCAGACATTCTCAATTACTGCCATTTTGTTTAGAAATAGACACACACAGGCATCCTGATGCCCAAGAGAATGATAAGGACCAGACGCAGACATTTATTTGGTATTCACACATGTAGAGGTGATATTTGGAGTTATGGGATAAATTATACATAAAGAAAGAGAACTGAGGAGGAAACACAGAGAAAAAAGATGATACAGAGTCTTGGAAGGGGATGGTAGAATGTCGGTGAGGGAACATGTAAACAATATCACATTCTCCAAGATGGTTTGAGAATTTGAAAACCAAAGTAAGACATGAGATTTGATCAACATAAAATCTCTCGACTGAAAAGAGCAGCTTTAGTGAAGCATAAGCCAAAAATAGAAGAGATTAAGCAGTGAGGGAGGAAGTTGAAAGTGGAAAAAAAATACAGATGGTTGACTTCTAGATTTTCTCAATAGAAAGAGCCAGATTCGAAAAAAGAGAAGAGAAAAAAACACTGGTATACAAAATAAAATGTGATATTACAGGAACATTTAACAGTTAAGTTTCTTGAATTTTAGGCACATAGAAATTCAGAAGAATTTCAATATTTAAAAAGTGGATTAAAAGCCTTTGTTTTTCAATTTTGAAAAATAAATCTCAGTTGGCATATGGCGTTTCATTTTAAGAAAAGTAATGATTACTTCTGCCTTAGAATTGAAAAAAAAACTTTTATAATTAGATTATTAAAATATATTACTTCCCAAACTAATAATTATTTGCCAAACTAATTTTTATCTCAATGGTCTCTCCATTTGTTAGCACTGATGTTATGAAATGCCTGTGCAAGGATTTTTATTCTTATTTCTCAGAGACTGTAGACCTTACTCTCCTTTTGTGAGTAATACAAGCTTTTCTGTAAGAAGCCAGACACGAAAGAGTACAAACTGTAGATGTGGTTCTTTGGGGAGTAATTGCAAGGGTAGGATGCCTTTTGTTCCTTTTGTTTTCTAAAACTTGTGTTTTTGTCATTTCTACTTCCATTCGATACATGGACATACGGTATGCTTCTGTGTGGCTCCCTCAAAATCCTGAGATCTTAACAACTGTAGAGTTATTTACTGAACAATTCATAATTGGAGTGACATAATTTTAGATTTGTAAAGAAAGTTTAAAATTACATGGCCCATGGTCTATTTTTATAGGCAAGGAATACAAAAACTCTAAAATTGCCGTCTTCTTCAGTTATAAATGATAAAATTTAATAAGAAGATTTCAAACACCTAAACCCAACAGTTAATTCTAGCTAAGTGTGGTCATTATACAGTACTTTACACGGGTTTAAGCTGTCATTGTTTATAGTGTCTTATCAGTATTAGTTCATGGTCATACCCAGGGTGAATGTCCATAATATATTGGATTTTAATTATGGTATTACAGGTAGTAAATTAAATTTTCCACTGAATTAATTCTATCGAAATTACTTTATTCAATGAAATGAGAATTGGGAAAAGTCAGCATTTTTTCAAACTTAAAAAGTACATTAGAGATAATATCTTGTTAGGAAAGCAATTTGCTTTGGTTCTAACAAAAAATAAAAATAATTATGTTTAAAATTTAGAGACTATCTTGATGATTTCACTATGTTTCATGAGTACATGTATTTTAAGACAAGTGGTTATAGGTAGAAACATTTTTTAAAAAATTTATTGTTTAGTTATAATGCATTCTAATGAATAACTCTTTACTGAAGTAAGGGAATTGGTCCTAAGGTTACTGCACTCATTTTCTCACAAGTCAAGTGGTGTCATGACCCTCATGAATAGCCCTCTTTGGACTCGTGCAGAACACCATCTGCTTAAACATATTCAGCAACCCAAAAGGACTGCATGTGAAAGAATAAGGTACTTTAAAAATTTCACTTCATAAGTAAATCTAGATTATTTACAAAGCTCACACAAGTTATTATTGGCTTGTTGCTTAAAATAGTTTATCTTGCAAAGATATTGATTGTCTTTCAATGAATCTGCAAAATTAATGCACTCCCAATACAAATTGTAACATTTTTAAAATTTGTAATTGCAAATTTTTTTATGGATAAATAATTTAAATTTTTTAAATGGATATGTGAGTCAAGACTAGCAAAACGATCTTGAAGAACAACAAACTTGGAGAACTTATTCTATCAGTTAGAAAACAACCATGGCAAAGATTTAGTGGTTAATAAAGTCTGGCATTGGTGAAAGGATAGAGAAAGTGAAAAGTGGAATAGAATAAGAAGAACAGAAACAGGCCTATTTGAATTCTGTCATCTGAGATGTCACAACCATGGCACTGCTATTCATGAGAAAAGAATGACATTTTCAATTACTAAAATTACTAGTGCTATTTTCTAAACATAATTTAAAAAATACTAACTGAAAAGTGTGTGGAGTCCTAACTCAGGTATATTGTATGTCTAAAGGTAAAATGCGAAATGATAAAGATTTAGTGGAAAATATAGAGGGCCTTACTGACCTCAGGATAGGCAAATATTTAAAAAATAAGACAAGAGACAAATTAAAATATTAAACTACATGAAGATCAGGCACTTCTGTTCACCAGAGAAAACATTTTTTTTTTTTTTTTTTTTTTTTTGTTTTTTGAGACAAAGTTTTGCTCTTGTTGCCCAGCCAGGAGTACAATGGCTCACTGCAACTTCCACTTCCGAGGTTCAAGTGATTCTCCTGCCTCAGCCTCCCGAGTAGCTGGGATTACAGGCACCCACCACCATGCCTAGCTAATGTTTGTATTTTTAGTAAAGATGGGGTTTCGCCATGTTGTCCAGGCTGGTTTCGAACTCCTGACCTCAGGTGATCCACCCGCCTCAGCCTCCCCAGAGACAACATTTTGCCAGTTAAAAAAATAAGAAAAGAGGTTATATGTAAAATTATATTTCATATGTAAATATTTTATTATAAATATAAATTTAATTATACCATATATAGGTTTATGTATACTTATAATAAATTGTATATACATAATTTATATGTATAGCCCAGGTTATATATGTAGAGCATGTTGTATAAAAGAACACACCTGCATAACAGTAAGGAAAAGAAAGGCAACCTAATAGAAAATGACTAAAATGCTTGAATAAGGACTGTAAAAATAGATGAATAAGGTCATTATAAAATGATAAAGGGGTTGGTTAATCAAGGGAATATAACAATTATAAATATGTATGCACCCAACATTGGAAAACCTTGATATATAATGCAAATAGTATTTGACCTAGAGAGAAAGATCCTAATAAAATCGTAGCTGTGAACCTCAAAACCCATCTTTCAGCATTGGACAAGACATCCAGGCAGAAAATCAACAGAGAAACATAAGTCCTAAAATATGCTATAGACCAAATGGACCTAATAAACATTTAAAGAACATTTCATCCACGTTTTTAAGAATACACTTTCTTCTCCTCAGCACATGAAACATTCTGAAGAATAGATCGTATGTTAGGCCACAAAACAATTCTTGAAAAATTCCAAAAAATTGAAATCATATCAAGCATATTTTCTGACAACGGAAAACAATAAACTAAAAGTCAATAAAAAGAGGAACTTTGGAAACAATAGAAACACATGGAAATTAAAAAAAATATGCTCCTGAATGACCATTAAGTCAATGAAATTAAAAAGGAAAATTAAAAATTTATTGAAACAAATGATAATGGAAACACAACATACCAAAACCTATTGGATACTGCAAAAGTAGTACTGAGTGGCATATTACAGCAATAAACACCTACACCAAAATAGCAGAAAAACTTTAACTAAATAACCTTACAATGCATCTTAAAGAACTGGAAGAGCCAAAGCTAACCCAACCCAAAATTAGTAGAAGAAAATAAATAATAAAGCTAGTATCATACTGAACCAGGAAAAATGGACAGCCTTTCCTCTAAGATCTGGAACAAGACAAGGATGTCTACTTTCACCACTGGTATTAACGTAGTACTGGATGTCCTAGCCAGGGCAATTAAGAAAGATAAAGAAATAAAATGTATCCAAAGTGGAAAGGAAGGAGTCAAATAATCCTTCTTATGATGACAGATCTTATATTTAGAAAATGCTAAAAACTCCACCAAAAAAACTATTAGAACTAACAAATATATTCAGTAATGTTTCAGGATAAAAAATCAACGTACAATAATCAGTAACATTTCCACATGTCAACAGGAAACAATTTGAAAAAGAAACCAATAAAGTAATCCCATTTATAAAAGCTCAAATAAATTGAAATACCTAGGAATTAACTTAAGTGAATAAGTAAAACATCTCTACAATGAAAACGATAAAACATTGATGAAAACTTCAAGATGACACAAAAATTAAAAGGCATTTTATGTTGGTGGATTAAAACAATAAATGTTGTCAAAATGTCCATACTACTCAAAGAAATCTACAGATTCAATGCAATTCTTATCAAAATGCCAATGACATTCTTCACAGAAATAGAAAAAAAGATCGTAAAATGTATATGGAAACACAAAAGACCCACAAGAGCCAAAACCATCCTGACTCAAAAGAACAAAAGTGAAGGAATGACATTACCTAACTTCAAATTATACTACAAAGGTATAATAAACAAAAAAGCATGCTACTGGCATAAAAACAGACACACAGACCAAGTGAAATGGCGTAGAGAACCCAGACATAAACCCATGCATTTACAGTAGAGTTATTTTTAACATAGCTGCCAAGACATTGGAGATAGGGAAGTCTCATCAATAAATGGTACTGGGAAATCTGGACATCCATATATAGATGATGAATGTAGACCCCTATCTCTTGCCATATACAAAGAACAAATCAAAACAGAATAATGACTTAAATCGAAGACCAAATCTATGAAAGTACTAGAGTAAACATGGGGGAAACACCTCAGATCATTGATCTGGGCATAAATTTCTTTGAGTAATACCTCTCAAGCATAAACAAAGCAAACATGGACAAATGGGATCACACCAAGCTGAAAAACTTCTGAACACTAAAGGAAACAATTAACAAAGTGAAGTGACAACCCACAGAATAGGAGGACATGTTTATAAAGTACCCATCTGACAAGGAGTTAATAACCAGTATATACGAGCATCTCAAACAAAACAGGAAAAAAACAAAACAAATAATCCAATTAAAAATGAGCAAGTGATCTGGATAGACATTTCTCTCAAAAGACAACATACAAGTAGACAGCAAGTATACAAAAAATGCTCAGCATCATCATCAGAGAAATGCAAATCAAAACCATAATAAGATATCATCTCATCCCAGTTAAAATGGCTTGTATCCAAAAGACAGGCAAAGATGAATCCAGATGATGATGTGAAGAAATGAAAACCATTATACACTTGTGGATTAGTGGGAATGTAACTTAATACTGTCACTATGGAAGACAGCATGAAGCTTCCTCAAAAAACTAAAAATAGAAACTACCATGTGATCCAGTGATTCCTCTGCTTGGTATATATCAAAAATTTTTAAAAAAATCAAGAGATATTTGTACTCCCATGTTTATTGCAGCAATATTCAGAATAGCTAAGATCTGGAATTGACCTAAGTGTCCATCCATGGATGAATGGATGAAAATTTGCTAAATACACAATGGAAAATCATTTGTGGAAATATTGGTGGAACTGGAGAAAATTATGTTAAGTGAAATAAGTCAGTGCAGAAAGAAAAATATTGTGTGTTTTCATTCATATGTGGGAGCTGCAACAACAACAACTTAAACTCATGGAGAAAGAGAAAAGAATAATTGTTAGCAGAGGCTAGCAAAGGTAACAAGGAAGGGGGAATGGGGGATTAAGTAGGAACAGTTAATGGGTATGAAAATACAGTTAGACAGAATGAATAGGATTCAGTATTTGGTGTCACAATAGATTGACAACAGCCAAAAATAATGTATCAGATATTTACAAATAACTAAAGGAGGAGAATTGGAATGTGTTCCTAGCACAAAGAATTGATAAAGGTTTGAAGTGACAGATACCACAATTATTCTGATTTGATTATTACATATTGTATGCCTGTATCAAAATACCCCATATGCAACAAGTATAAACTCATTTATGTAAAGTACAAAACAGGAAAAAGTAATCTATGGTGCTATGAAGTCAGGATATTGCTTAGCACGAGATTGAATAGGGACAGGAAAGGAGACGTAGATAATAAAGTTCTTTTTCTTGATTTGAGCGTTAAAAATGGGCATGCTCAGCTTGTGAATATTTATTAAACTGTACACTGATAATAGCTAAGCCTTTTAGAATATTATACTTCCATGAGAGTAAAAATGTTAAAACAATTAGCAAAAAATGCAGAAATATGTAAAAAATGATATATATTTTGGCATATATTTTAAAAGCCAAAACTTTAAAGTAAAAACTTTTCAAATAAAAGAATTATCCTTAAAATTTAAGGTGTAAATGATACAATGGAACAAAATTATATGATAAAGCCAAGACAAAATGTGTCTATAAAACAGTATGAGACCTTCCACGCTTCAACAGATGCATAGAAAAAGAATATAAATGATTCAACAATAAAAAAGCATCAGTCCTTGAAATACAAAACATGAATGGTCCTAATACAACATTTTTGAAGATGTCAGATACAGAAGGGTAGACACTGCAGGAATCCATTTATGTGAAGTTCCAAAATAAGCAAAAACTATCTGTGGTGAAAAATCAGGAATAGCAATGGCCTGGGTGAGGGAGGTTAATGTGGGTGGACTGGATAAGGAAATGAGAGAACTTCCAGAATGTGGTGGTAAGGTTCTGAATTGTGATATGGCTTTGTGTTACACATATAAAAACATTTGTCAAAACTCTTCAACTGAAACATTTGGTGCATTTTATTCTGTGGCTTTACTTACATAAATGTAAACACCTTTTAGACTGTATGTAATGATATGCAAGTTGAATTATGTAGGGGTTGTGTGATGATTTTTTGAAATTCAAGAAAATATAAGGGATTAACGTATGAATAAACATATGACAAAATAGCACAAAATGTTAATTGTGGAACCCAACTAGTTGTTTGCTTTAAAGTCTTTCAACACTTTTGTATGTGTCAGAAAAAGTATGCAGTAGAAAGGACTTAAGGTTAAAAATAATAAAGGGAATGTCCTGAACTCTTAAGACTGTTTATTTTTTGATTGCTGTGTTTAATGCACACATGTATATGTATACAAACCCACACATAACACACAAACGTGTGTGCATATGTTTGTGTATGATTTCCTGTGCTTGCTGAATTTTTTGCATTGATCATATTCTACTTTTGAAATTAGATCTATATCTATGTAAAGACAAACACAATAAAACAAAATGGAAATATTAAAACATTGTAAT
Source organism: Homo sapiens (assembly GCF_000001405.40). NCBI lineage: Eukaryota > Metazoa > Chordata > Mammalia > Primates > Hominidae > Homo > Homo sapiens. The sequence continues at coordinate 21,509,716 of NC_000021.9, read as the reverse complement.
TTCCCTTTTACAGGACAAAATAATTTTCTAAAAAATCGATCTACATACTTTCTTGAAAATTATATCTGCTTAACTAAATAGAACTACACAGAGAGCTCCAAATTCTAACAAGTAATCAACTTTTGATCAAATTTTAGAATAGTATATTCAGAATCTGTAATATTGTATTTTATAGCACATATCATATTTTCTATACAAAAAATCATGAAGCCTGTTGTAATCATGCCTTACGTTTGTAGAAGTTGCCACAATTTTGTTGTTTTTAACTCAGTTCAACTGAGTTTTTAGCTCAGATTATTGTTGAAGCCTTTCTTTTATTTAATATAAACAAAACCGGTGGAATAAATCAAAATGGAATACATTTGCACAACTATCCATCCATCTATATGTTTATCATCTATAAATCATGGTAGTGATTCTTTTCAGTGAAGATCCCATTGTGAGGTTTAATTTTGAATAAACTGTTGTCAAAGTCACTTTGTTCTAGGTTATATATAAGGATACATAGTTTCAAGGTCAGAGAGCAGGCAGTGCAGTGTCCAATGTTGCATAATCAAACTCTTTACCCTACTCCTTTACCCTACAACGCCCTCAGGTAAAGCACTCGAGCTTGACTGTGGCGCTTGTTTAATATGACATGATGTAGATGCCTGATACTCACAGGTATGCAGCTTTTCCTTCTTCGAGTTCTTTACTTTTGCCACTGGAGCCACTTTTCTTTCCACACATTCTCCTAGTGATGCACATCAGCAACCCACATTGCCGAATAAAGAAGCAGCTGACGTCTGTTACCACAAGAATTAGCAGCAGTGCAGCAACTCCCAGGCCAATTACTGCTCCAAGCCCAAGACCATTAAACAGCGTGTCTTAAAAAGTAAAAAAAAAAAAAAAAAAAAAAAAAAAAAAAAGGAAAAAAAGTATTAAACCTCTAAATTAGAAAATATTAGATGATTATTTTAAAAATAAATCTTTTCCAATAATTCAATTTAAGAGACAGAATAAAGTCATAGTAACCGGCAGAATTCAATTTCATGATTGTTGACGCCTATTCCCTGGTTTCAAACAATATTTTAAGCAATTGATTTGTTAATTATGTGACTATCTTTTTCAAACTTCTTTTTTTTTTATTAACAAAGAAAAAGTGTCTAAGTACCTCTTCTTTTAAATATACCTCTTGAATCCCTGTGGGGAAGATAATGAATATTATCATATCCCTAAATGTACTTTATCAGAAAATGACACCCATTAATAGATCATAATGTTAAAAGAAAATTATAATCAAAACTTCTGTGAAAAGTGTTAAATAAATCTTCTATATGAGATTATGTTAGTTTTAAAACTTAAACTTGAAAATGGATGGTTCTGAGCGCGTTATTTTAACAGAGAATGTATTTAAATATACCTTTTTATGAATATTTTAGGAATCATCATTTGGCAAGAAATGGATCACCTGTATTTCTCCAGTTAATATTTTAACAAATATATTAGATTAAAGGCAACATTTTATAGCTATGGTATTTATGACCTTTTGTTAGTTTCTACCATGAGAAGGTAGGAGAAGGTGGAAGCCACTTTTCTTTGGCATATGGTTGCAGGAAATCCCAAAAGACATAAAGAAAGTAACCATGAAAGAGGTGAATAGGAAGAAGATGAAGTATTCTGATTGATAAAATTGAAATGGCAAGTGGAGCAAGTAGTAATGAAGATGAATCACGTGTTACGTGTTTGTAGTAGAATCTGAGGGTAGACTCCGCAGCTATAACAATATGGATCAGAAAATAATAACAATGAAAAGAAATAAACTGGTGATAATGTATTATCTAGAAGAATAAGGAAGAAATATAATTTGATAGGCATTCAAAATGATTCTTAACACATGTTAAGAATTAGCTTGCATAACAGTTTAGTCTTTTTTTTTTTTTTTTTTTGAGATGGAGTCTTGCTCTGTCACCAGGCTGGAGTGCAGTGGGGCGATCTCGGCTCACTGTAACCTCCACCTCCCGGGTTCAAGCAATTCTCATGCCTCAGCCTCCCGAGTAGCTGAGACTACAGGCGCCACTGCACCTGGGTAATTTTTTTGTGTTTTTAGTAGAAACGGGGTTTCACCGTGTTAGCCAGGATGGTCTCGATCTCCTGACCTCGTGATCCGCCCGCCTTGGCCTCCCAAAGTGCTGGGATTACAGGCATGAGCCACCGTGCCTAGCCCAGTTTAGTCTTTTTAATGACAAAATGCATTTATTACTCAGCATAATAACTGCATGTTCAAATATGTAACTGATGTGAAACACAAGTGACAGATACGGGTATAGATGTAAATTTGAACTGTGAGAAAACCACTCCTGAAAAAATATGTATATAAAACCTGTATTTGTTTTATATATGTATAAAAAGTTTTCCTATGTGATATTTTTAAACTTAGGTTTAATATTTTAATAATGACTTGAAGAAATAGTGATCCAAAGGAAATAGTGATCCAAAGGAATCAGAACAACTGCTAACATACAAAAGCAAGCACTAGCAGGTCGACTTTGAGTATGTCAGACTTGTCTGAATACTAGTTCTGTAGGATGACTGAGTGTCATGTCTACATTATTTTATTTTTTTTTTCAAAAAATAGGTTTAAGTTATTTTTATTTCTTATAATTCTAAAAGCAAACAGCTCAGTTTTGAAAAAAAAAATCATTCAATTTGTGATTTTGCCTGGCACTTCATCCCAGCAACTTTGTGGTTCACACTTGCAAATATACTTCTACAATGTCATCATGATACGGCAAATGAGAATTACTTAGTCACTGAATTAACAAATTTAGAATGCTCATGTCCAAGCAAGTATAATTTTTATTGAAATTATTTTGTTTTTCATGAAGAAAAACTAGTGATAAACACAAGGTAGTGAAAAAAAATAATGTATTAATGTCAATTTCAATACCTTCCTATACCAAATTTTAACATGCTACTTAGATGGTGATAGTTTAGTAAAATTGCTTAGCTAGTATCCGGGAATTTTCTGGTTTCGACAGAACTATTATCTTTGCACATGAAACCACTTGAGGAATAACTAGAGAAAGAATAGTATTTTCTCAGCCATGGGGATTTAATATTTTTTTTTAGTTTGCAAAATCTCAATAAACAAGTGTAGAATGAGATTCCAAAGATTAGTTATCAGTTTTTCAAAGGTATATCTCTATGCATGAATTAAAAAAGAACTATTGCCTCATGCTACAAAAATAATATATCAAGCAAGCTAGGATTTCTGTTTGCAGTTAAAAAAAATCATGGTATATATTTTCTTCCATTATCCATTTCCAAATATAAATGACTCACTTCTGAATCTATCATTACAATACAGTGAAATCAACTTACCTATGAAACATGTTTGATTATATGAAAATACAATATTTTCTTCAATTTCAAATGTATTCATTTTAGATATGTTGCACATTACTCAACAACTAAAGCTCAGGAAAAAAAATTGGAAAAAAATATACAATTGTGGTTTAGCCCTGGTGTATACATTCACATGATGATCCTATTGGTTTGAATGGATCACTCTTCTGCTACTTCGTTTAGGGTCTTCTCACATGCAGATAGTTCTAGGCAATAAATCCTATAGATCAATGACAATATATCTGATTTATTATACACATTCCCATTTACCTTTCCTAAGTATGAAGATTCTTGCTTTGTTCTTAAAAACACTGCATCAGGAGTAAGAAACGCCTGGTTTCATCACTTACCATCATTAGCTTTTGGGGTAAGCCATCTAGTATCTCTCAGACTGAAGTGCCTCTTTATTAAAATGGAGACAGTAATAATAAAAATAACAACCAAAAATAGGTCACAAGTTTGTTGAGAAGATTGTGTGAATGTGGTAATGTACTTAACCTCCAGCACTTATTGCCCAGTACAAAGTAAAAATCTAGCAAGTACTGCTTATAATTATTTTAATATTATAAAATTGATATTTAGTATTATAAAAATGATATTTCAACTAAAAATTATCTAATGTTAAACATTAAACTATTCTGTAAGCACATCTTTTCAGCAGTAATCTAAAGTGGAAGACTATCTCTTATTAAGTAATGATTATTCTCTTGAGGCTAAAGTAAGTTTTTTTTTAATAATTCAGGTTTGGCTAGTTAGCTTTTAAATGACAAGTATTTCATCCTGTGACCTTTTTAGCATTAAACTAGTATAATTATATGCTTCATTTTTATCTTTAGAAAAGCTTTCAGAAAAATTATATATGTAAAACATCTTCATTTTTTGGCTTAAACAAAAGAAATTTATTTCTTAACAGTTATGGTGGTTTAGAGTTTGAGGTCAAGGTACCAGCATGATTGGATTCTGGTGAGGGCTCTTTTCCTGGCTTTGCAGACAGCTTCCTTCTCACTGTGTGATCACTTGTGGGATAGAGACTCAGAGAGAACTCTCTTTTCCTTTTCTTTTAAGGCCATTGATCCCATCAGATTAAGATCCTACTCTTTTTTAACCATATAGGAGCCCTATTTTATTATGGTGAAGAATTGCTAAAATACTAATAGCTAGTACTTTTTTCTATATATAGAAAATTAACTTTATAAACTTATTACAATCGTAGGTTGCTTGAAGTTATTTTTATGAAAAAATAAGTATCTTTTTGTCATTGCAGAGGATAGAAGTGAACTTCAAATAGGTTTGTGTTAAAAATAGAATAAGATCAGGTATTTAATAGCACAACAGGATGACTATAGTCAATAATAATTATACATTTAAAAATAACTAAAAGTATAATTGGATTATTTGTAACACGAAAGATAAATGCTTGAGGTGATGGATACACCATTTTCCCTAATTTGATTATTACACATTGTATGCCTGTATCAAAAGTTGTCATGTACCCCACAAATATACAAATGTACTATTCTCTGAAAAAAAATTAAAATTGAAAAATAATAAGTTTATAAGTTTTGTCTTTTGAAAGTTATGTTCTATGTATGTATATACATATTATATATATATTAAATGTCACCTTGAGGATGTATTTAAATGCTTATACTTTCTCATATCTCATGAGGTTAGGCTGTTACAACTATAAAAGTTAAGTATTTTAATTATTTTCTCTCACCAATTTACTCTGGCATAAAAAGTCCACTATTTGTACTCTGGACGTTTCACAAATAAAACCATAAGCACATATGAAATGACATCATTAAGATTCGGGCACTACTAATGATGTATTTTCACAATAACATCCAGAACATTCATTTTTATTAGTTAATCATGGTTTATTACTTAGGAAATCAAACCTGAGCATAAGTAATAATTTAAATAATTGTAAATCCATTTTTTATTTTTTAAGATCATCAGAATACTTACACTTACGACTTATGGTGTAAATTTTATGGTAACTTTATAAGGTAGGAAAACAATATTATCAGTTCTAATTTACATAAAAGAAAACTGAGATCCAGAGAGGTCATTGGCCTAAGTCACATACTAACCCCTAAAATGAGAACTGTACACGTGAATCACTAATTAACTCCAGGTTGTATACTTTTTATACTTGTGTTAGAGTCAACATTTTATCTTGGATATTCACCAACGAGTAATGAAAAGATATGGATAAAATACAGTACAGCAATACAGCAAATACATTAAAATATGTATTATTCTTATAGAAAAATGTCAATATCCATATACCTTTAATATTATTTGGAGGTACAACTATTTAACAACTATTTAAATGAAAAACATCAATGTAAATTATTTATCTAACTTATATTTCTGCTTTAAGCTTCCTCTTTAATGATCATTTTGTATTGCTGTTATGAAAAATGGGCTTCATAATTGAATAAGAATAAATAATTTAGAATATAAAAAGTTAAAAATATATTTGGTTTATATTTTACTATTAAAAGCAACTGTGAGAATCAGTTTCCCTCTGAGCTGCATTTTCTCTAACCCCATGAAATTTGGAAATTGACTTTCTAAATCTGTTTCCCCATATCTTCTTGTAATTGCATTCAAATTTTCAGCCAAACATAAAATCAAAGTATTAAAGTATGAGAATCCAAGCTTCATTCAAATGTCTTATATACAGTAGTCCCTCCTCATCCAGTTTTGCATTCTGCAGTTTCGGTTATCTATAGTCAACTGTGGTCCAAAAATATCAAATGGAAAATTTAAGTATACAATTCATAAATTTTGAATTTGAGGCCATTCTGAGTAGTGCGATGAAATATCTTGCTATTCCTCTCTGTTGTGACAGGGACACAAATCATCCCTTTATCCAGCATGTCTATGTTATCTACACTACCCACCTCTTAGTTACTTAGGAGCTGTTTCAGCCCTCTATTGTCAGTCTCAAAGCGTTCATGTTCAATAACCCTTATTTTACTTAATAATGGCCCTTATACACAAGATTAGCGATGCTGGAAAATTGTTGTAATTGTTCTATTTTAATAACAGATATTATTGTTAACTTACTGTGCCTAACTTGTAAATTAAAGTTTATCATAGGTATGTACGTAGAGGAAAATCTGTATATGTAGGGTTAAGTACGATCAAAGGTTTCAGGCATCCACTGAGAGTTTTGGAATGTATCTCTGGCTAAAGCAGGGACTATTGTATGCGTCTTTTCATGTTTCTGTTGTATAAATTAAATCCCAACTGCAATATTAAAATATTTGTCCATGAAATGTATTATATTTGATAATACTAGCTTTTCAAAAACCACTGCACTATTAGATTCATAAAACTAGCCATGCTTTTTGACTCCTTATATAGTTCAATGTTTTATTTAACTTTTTTCTATGTGCATGTATCATCTTCTCCAGGTAGACTGAAAATTAATTTCAGGACGTGGAAAGCTGCAATAAAGACATGGAGAAAAAAGTCAGAGTCCTAAGATGGTGATTGGTTGCTGTTTCCAGAATACTGGTAGCTATTTTCATAAGAGATATTGTTGGATGCAGCAGGCAAGTAGGTTAAGCATATGAAAAGAGAAGACATTAAATAACTCTGATTGGTGTTGATGATATTACTACGTACGGTATCTTTCCACATTGGTGATAAGTCTACATGACTCTTAATTATATGTTCTTACTTCGTCCTTCGTAGTACAATATACTCCCTAACATCAAATGATATTTGGAAAATTTTGGCCTAAGTCTATAGCAAATACATACATGTATATGAGGAAAAACTAAAGAAGATTAAAAAATCCCCTGCAACTTGAAATTCTACCTGGTGATATCTAATCATGGGGGATGTTTTAGTTTGCTTTGTAGATTAAGGTCAATAGACATGAATTCAACAATACTTTTGTGGAATCTTATGAAGTGAAATTAAGTTAAGAATATTTTAAAACATACTCTTCAAAATTACCTCAAATTTGAATCATTTAAATAGTGCAGAGTTAATCCTACAATTAAATAAATTTGATACATGGATAGAAAATTGAGAGAATTAATAACTGTTCTTTAGAGTTTCAAAAAATATTTTTAGAAATTATCCATTGTAAAACATACCCCAAAAGTATCTTCTTTGAGAGGCATGAGTATAGTCTAAAGTTTCACTAACTTCTATTCAAAATGGTTTGAGAAATACTTAATATAAAGTGTCAAAATGTTGAAAACATTAAATTTACTTAATATAGTCAAGCAAAACAACTAGGCAAAATTTTTCTCGCAAAATACTTTAGTCAGTAGAAATGTTTCCTCCAGGGGATAGAGACTTTTTAAAAATTTGGAAGGTATCTAATTACTCTTATTTACCAATTTCTGGGAAATGTATTATCAGTGTTGGACTTCACAGGGATACTTCTTAAAATATTGCTGATTTGGATTTGAATGGCTTTGTAAATTACTGAAGTAAAACTATGATTGTAATTTTTAATATTTGAATTTGGTATACTGAAACTTAAAGGGCAATTTCTCAAAAATTACAAGAACACAGTCAATTAGTCTTGTTTTGATTGCATTTCTGGTGTGGAGAAAGGTGGAGTAGGCATCTTTCTGCAGCAGGGCTCCATCTAGGTCAGAATTGACAGCTACTTAAGAAGTCAAACATCTGGATAGTCTAAAGACTTCTGCAGCTACATAGCAAAAAAAAAAAAAGGAACATTAATCCATGTATGCTTCATAAACATTGATTGACTGTCTAATAAAATAGTGCAGAACCAGAAGGGTTGCCTAAAATGTACTAAAATAGAATTAATAAAATTAACATAACTCTTTAGAAATATTATACTTCAAGTCCATATTTACTTAGGGAGCATTATAAATTCCCTTATATAATTTCATCCATTGAATTACAAAAGACACGACAAAGGAGCTAATGGATATGATATTTACATTAACAAGGGCATACTGGTAATAGTTAACATTATGGCAAAATTTTGCGTTATGGAAGACACATTCTGAGATAATACATAGTTTTAAAGAAAAATGCATTGCACTAATTTAAAAACCAATTAACATTTCTGAGATTTATACAACGCTTCTTGTTGTGTTATGTTAGGCAAGCAGTCTACCAAGATTACCTATTCCTTATAAACCTGGATATTATATTAAATTGATGAATTAAATGTTTGTTTTGTGGCATTTTCCATAGAATTCCCTTGAATATACAAAGAGTAAAATGTAGTTCAAAGAGTCAATGTGTAGCAGAATGTAGAAAGAATCAATCAAAGCAGATACTAGACTAGGTGAGCAAAATAGTGTTCAAAAATAATTTTTTTAAAATTAAATGCTCACGGCTTTAAAAATGGTGGGGATATTGAGAATAAACTGTATTCATAATGTTCTTCCAGTATAAAACCAAACAGCATCCTTTACATTTCTTAACAGAAGCCACTTGTCACGAAATAAAATAGTACTCTTCAACATTATGGAGTTGTGAAGAGAGATGTCTTATATTAACAAAACTTCCTATCTTCTACAGGGAAGACCTTACATGTTAATCACAAACTTACTTACCAAATAGTTTAAATGAGTTAAGATTCATGTTTGGACTTTGATAGACTTCTCTCAGTTAAACTACATAGATAATTAGAAATATATGTATAAATGTTTTCTTTATATATTTGTGGGTGGTAAGAAAAAAATTATTCCAAAATATTTATCTTTATATATTTGAAAGAACATGACTTTCAGATCGCATTTGCATGTGTTGTAATTACAGGTAGAAAAAAAGGAAAATGAAAATTTTGATTTACGCAAGTTATAAAATTCACTGAATTTTATATGGAACCACTGATACTAGCAATCCGAGCACAATGTAACACTATTTCCATTTCTCTGAACAGGTTTTTCTTCTGCATCACACCAGGTGGGGCCTCTTGCATTTTTGCTACCTGTAGTGCATCCCTAAATGGATAGATTTATTCAATTTTAATTCACATTAAAACTCCTTATTTGAAAGAAGTGTTTGTACTTTTGAGGTTTCCAATGTTTAGTCAATACTCCTTTAATTGTATCAATTAGAGAAAAAAGAGAAAAATCATGGCAAATTTCATTAGCAAGGATGATTAAAAATATCATTTGACATTCATTCAAAATTTAAAAAAATAAACAGCACACTCAACAGCAACCATGATTGAATTTTATATTCTTCCTTCCTTCTAGAAAACTTTTAAAATTGTTTCCTGTATATATCTAGAGAAGAGCTGAGTATCCACTTCCAAGATGGGTGTTTTTATTTTAAATTATAAACAGGTAGTATTTTATAATATATATTGAAATATGTAATGCACATTATAAAACAGAAAAATAAAAAGATGAGTTGATATAAATGCACTTGGAAATTCTAACATTTTATATCTTCAGAGTGAATTATATTTTTCACCCATTTTGTGGTCCATATAATACAATTGGAAATATCTAAATAATATTGTTGTTTCATTCCCAGTTTCATTGTTGGTAAAATGGTGATATACATATCTAGTTATCTTAATGAAAATGCTCTTTTAGGCTCAAGCAAGAAAGTACTTTGGGAATTCCAAGTCATTATATACATATGTTATTATTTCATTTGTTAAATCTATTATTTTAAAAACATTCAGTTTAGAGTAGCTTCTTGTTACTTGTTGCTTATAGCAGTATTTTTTTTTAAACTAGAACTTCTCCACTTTTATACAAAACCTTCCTAGATTTTAGCAAGTACAAACATTTTGTTTTAAAATTTATTGTTATTGGCCAGGCACAGTAGCTCACACCTGTAATCCCAGCACTTTGGGAGGCTGAGGAGGGCAGATCATGAGGTCAGGAGGTCGAGACCATCCTGGCTAACACAGTGAAACCCTGTCTCTACTATAAGTACAAAAAATTAACTGGGCGTGGTGGCACGCGCCTGTAGTCCCAGCTACTTGGGAGGCTGAGGCAGGAGAATCGCTTGAACCTGGGAGCTGGAGGTTGCAGTGAGCCGAGATCACGCCACTGCACTCCAGCCTGGAGCGAGACTCTGTCTCAAACAAACAAATAAACAAAACATTATGTTATTTGTTTAATATGTTATCTTCATTAAGGCTTAAGGCTTCAGATCATTTCCATTCTTCTACTTTTAGCTACGCATTTTACTGTGGCCAGAATCAACAAGTTTTTAAAAATTTTAATATTATTCCTTTTTTATTTCTTCACTTCTTAGCTAGTAAATTTTGGTTTTGGTCATTGCTATATTCCTAATTGACACTATAAAATTTTTCTTCATCTTTTTAAAACTCATGTGAAGATGGAGGAAGTCCATATAATTTACTAATGCTCTTACTGTCACTCATATATGACTTTGGCTTTTGCTCAGTTTTGAGATAAGGAGATACTGGATTTTGGGAGGCATTCTCTTCTTCTATAATTCATTTTGCCCCCTAGTACATTATTACGTTTTTGTGATCATTAACATATTTATTGTATTATTATTTTGTCCAATATTTTAGATCAATTCATCTTCATTGTAATAAAACATAAAATTATAACTTTTAAAAGATTGTTACAAAGTGAATCAAAATCACCTCCCCAAAATAAATACTGTACTTCTTTTGTGTTCTAATCTTTTACTCTGGTATGTCTCGGCTCCCTCTGGACAGCTCAGAGTATTTATGAGATTATAAAAAGGCATTACATCTTTCAGCTCCCTGACAAAATGCACTTATTGGCAACTTTTTTAAGTTCACTCAAGTTCGCAGTCATCATATATAAAACTGCTTACAGAAATAATTGAATGAGAGCTGTATGGGTACAACATGTGTTACAGAAATAATTGAATGAGAGCTGTATGGGTACAACATGTAATCTCCTGTAATTTTCAATGAATAATTTGAAAAGAAAAAGTATGTAATGCTAGTAATGTCTGTGATGGCTGTGAAAAAAGCATTGTTATCTATGAAGAGAAAACTGCAAAGAGTGTCTTTTTAAGAGATAAATTCTATGAAATGAGTTTTGGAATATTAAAAATAATAATGCTTAAAAACATTAAAAATCAAAATTAAATTATAATCAGGAATACAGCACTTAATTTGATGAAATTACACCAGCTTATGGATTGTGTGTGGCCAGTTGGAGGGATTTTTAATTTTTAGAATCACACACAAGTTATTTGCTCTATTTTCACATACGTATATAATGAGTTCATTGGAACTCTTTTTAGATCTATAAATAAATTATAAAAGTTTATACTGGACATTAATACACTGATGTAGATTGTGTAAAATCATTTTACATAATTTCCAGCTCTTTTAGTCCCTTACAATACTATTTACAGCATCCACATATTATTTGGGGAATTTGAAAACTTTAGGTTTTAAAAATTCTGAGTAAAATTCATCAACAATTTTCAACATTACTTAAATAAATAAAAAAAGGCTAATGCTTATTTATATATGTTTTACATCCTCAGGCTATTTTTGGTAACTTTCAATAAGGTCGTTTTAATGTACCATTTTATGTGTACTTTGCTGAACAGTCTTGATGTAGACATTTTATTACTTACTACCGAATTTCTTTTCCCAGAATGCTTATTCTTTAGGGGGTAGATGTATGTATTTCCCAACACTTATTCTTCAGTACTGAGTCTCCATTCTCTAATGATTTTAAATGTTTTGTCAAAATGTTGTTACACGTATAAATAATTGTTTTGTAAATAAACTCAGTGGCAATCCAAAATTTTCCTTCAAATCACTTCAAAATCCTAGGAAGCTTATCAGGGATTCGGAACAGTAAAAAGGTAGCACCGATAACCATATCCTTTTATTTGCTTTTTCTTAATATCTGATTCAGGGCAAGAAAAAGTAGCTAATTGAGAATATTTGGTTAAAAATGGGGGAACTATAAACAAGTAGATTATAGGAATGGCATTTATAATTGTAAAACTGTATACCTTTTAGAATTTCAACTTTTATTTTTGATGTAGGGGGTATATGTGCAGATTTCTTACATGCGGAAATGCATGATGCTGAGGTTTGGAAGTCATATCACCCTGATAGCGAGCACACAGCTTGATTGATTGGTAGTTTTTTAACCCACACCCCATCCTCTAGTAGTCCACAGTGTCTGTTGTCCCCATATTTATGTCCATGTGTGCTCAATACTTAGCTCCCAGTTATAAGTGAGAACATGTGATATTTTGTTTTCTGTTGCTGAGTTAATTTGCTTAGGACTATGGCCTCCCGCTCTATCTATGTTGCTGCAAAGGACATGATGTCATTTTTTTTATGGCTGTGTAGAATTGGATGGTGCAGATGTGCCACATTTTCTTTATACAATCTACCACTGATAGGCACCTGGCTTGAATGCTCTTAGACAGAACAGAAAACCCAAAGTAATGCCACACACCTACAACCACCTCACCTACAACAAGGTAAGGGGGAAATAACTCTCTATTCAGTATATGATGCTGGGATAACTGGCTAGCCCAATGCAGAAGATTTTATCTGGATCCCTACCTTTCACCATATACAAAACTTAACTCGGGATGGATTAAAAACTTAAATATAAGGCCTCAGACTATAAAAATCCTGGACGACAACCTAAGAAATATTCTTCTTGACATTGGCCTTGGCAAGGGATTTTTGGCTAAATCTCCAAATGAAATAGCAACAAAACAAAAAATAGACAAGTGGGACCTAATTCAACTAAAGAGCTTCTGTATAGCAAAATAAATGATCAACAGGGCAAAGAGAAAATCTACAGAACGGGGGAAAATATTCACGAACAACGCATCCTACAAAGGTCTATTATCCAGAATCTATGGGGAACTTAAATCAACCAGCAATAAATGAATAATCTCATTAAAGAATACGCAAAGGACATGGACAGACGCTTCTCAAAAAGAAGATATACAAGTGGCTATTAAACATATGAAAAAATGCTTAGCATCATTAATCATCAAAAATGTAAATCAAAACCACAATGAGATAGTATCTCGCACCAATGAGAATAATCATTTTAAAAAGTCAAAAAACAACAGATGCCGGTGAGGCCGTAGAGAAAAGAAAATGCTTATACATTGTTGATGGGAATGCAACTTAGTCCAGCCACTGAGGAAAGCAGTCTGGAGATTTCCCAAATAACTTAAAACAGAACTACCATTTGACCCAGTAATCCAATTACCAGGTATCTACCTGAAAGATATAAATCATTCCACCCAAAAGACACGTGCACTCATATGTTCATCATTGTGCTGTACTTTGTTAAAGGGCATGTTTTCATATATATATTTTATATATTATATATATATTTCATATATATATACACACACACATACACTGGGTAATGTATTGGGAAGAGTAAGATACATCATTTAGAAATTAATATGCAGTGTAATTTATTGTTTACCTCTTGGCAAAAAAAATAATGTGAGGTTAGCAAATAGGAGGGAGAAGCATATAAATTAGTGACCAATGGTCAAGGAAACATAATAAAGAAAATAATGTTTGAGATGGTTTTCGAAAATAAGAATCAGGTTCCCATTTGACGTAAGGAGTCCATTTTAATCTGAACATGGCTTGAATAAAAAAAGATGTATGAAACTGTGTGTGATTCTGACATTAGAAAACATACATGGATATTAGAGGTGATTGGTGGGCATTGGAATTTTAGTGGTGAAGGATGCTGTTAAAGAGGATGGAGCTTGCAAGTGAATTCAGTAACAAATAAATAGATCAACCAAATCAAAATTGACAAACAGCACCAAAAACAAACTAGAAATTGTGATCATTTTCCAAAAGATGGTAGGGAGTCATTGGAGGGAAGCAGAATCGTCACAATGGTTTGGAAAGAGCTAGAGGCGGCCTGGGCTATGGTAATGGCTATTAAATGTCTGTCCAGTCTTCCCTCTCTCCTTCTCTCCTATTCCATGCCCATTTCCACACACCATATAAGAATGAGAACTCCTTGGATAATGTTTGGATTGAAAAGGTGAAGAATTAAATAGACTCAGCCCCTTATATATGATTAGTTGTTGAATTAAAATTACATAATTAAAGTCTATTGGTATATTTTAAAAATAGAAACTAAATAAGATAAAATACTATGAAATTGTATAATATATACGTTTATATTTATGTATAACTATTCTCTATATATTTATTTGGAATGGAATTTTAAGTAGCCCCCCATGGCCGCCCTGCTTTTTAAAATATCTACACAATCCCTCTTATAGTTTTAGCTATCCTTTTAGAACAATCTTGTGTAAAAAGTGAACCACTAAAATAGAAGTTTATTATGCTTGTATAGAAATGTTGATGAGAACTTGTCAAATTCTTGTTATCCTTTAAAGTAACTGATTTTAACATAAGAAAAAGAAAGAAACTGAGCTGTGCTTATTTTGAAAAAAATTGGCTAAAAACAAATTCATACATAACAGCTCTTTTGTGATAAATATCACAAAGTACTAAAAATTTTAAAAATAAATATTTTAAAATATCCTTTTAATAAATGTGGTACAACTGTAAACCATGAAAAATCATAAAATATCTGAAGTCTTTGCACAACAAAATATCTATTATCTTATCTATACTGACATTTCACATTATTATGTATGTTGGAACTGAGATCATTTTGGCACATATAAAATATCTTTTGTGTTCTTTAACTATCCAGTTGAACCTCTTCTTTTGATGTTTGCTATTATCTTACTAACTCTAAACTTTTCCAAATACTGTTTAAATTTGGTTATATTTCTGGTTGACTTTGATGGATGCAGTTTGTTTGCTATAAAACAACTAGTGTTTGTATTGATTAGTAGAAAAGGCAGCTTCAAAGATTTGCATGAATATGACCCAAATATGTATTAGCCAGTGTAAAAGAACTGAATAATTTTATTTTTAGTTCTTTGTTTAAGCCCCCACCTGACCAATTTTATTTTTCTGTCAACATTGAAAGGCTGCTCCATATATAGAAAATGAAAAATATATTTTCATTGTACAAACAAAATTATTTTCCTAGACTATATTACAAAATTGAAACATATCTCTATATGATTATACTTCAGTTCATATTTTATAATTTGTTTTCGAAAGTCCAAACTGTTTAATTTTCTCCAATATAAAATTCCTAACTATTTATAAAACTTCTGCGTTTTCTAAACATGTAACAGAATAAATGAAAAATGTGAGCAAATACACAGAAGATACGTATTATTATTTTTCTTGGAATCTATGGTAATTTATTAAGATGTTTAAAGTTTTCAGTTTTAGATACTCACTGCATTCTATCTTAGATATTTCAATTTCTGCTTAGAGTTATACAAAAACATCAATTCTACATTATTAAAACTACATATTTTAAGCATGTAGGGTTTATAAACGTCTATTATTATATAATGCATCTGACTGAAGACATTTTATGCTACCAGCTATCAAATTATAAAAAGACACGTAGAAACCTTGAATGCATGTTGCTAATTGAAAGAAATCAATTTGCAAAGGCTACATAATGTAAAATTGCGACCAAGTGACATTCTGGAAACGGCAAACCTAGGAAATAGTAAAAAGGTCAGTGATTGCCAGGAACTAGTGGAGAAAGGAGGGAGGAAGAGAGGATTTTTAGGACACAGAGGATTTTTAGGACAGTGAATTTATTATGTATGGTACCAAAATGGTGGATACAGGTCATTATTAATTTATCCAAATCCATAAAATGTACAACACCAAGTATGCACCGTAATGTAAACTGTAAACTTTGGGTGATTACAATGTGCCACTGTGGGTTCATCAAGTGTAACAAAGGTACCACTTGGGTGTTAGATATTCATTATCAGGAAGGTTGTGCCTGACTGGGGTAGATGGTATATGGGAGCCCTCTTTAGTTTCCATTCAATCTTGGTGTAAATCTAAAAGTATTTGAAAAACTAAAGTCTATTTAAAAGGGAAAACATGCAATGGTGATATCTCTATTACCTGCATGGAAAGGGCTACTATGCCTAGATTGATTATCTCCTATAAAAACAACTTTTACTTTTCTGTCCTTTAACAAATAAAAAAACTCCACATATTAAGTGAGGAGTAACACATATAGATGCTTTAAAAGGTTTTAGCTTCCTGTTTTTATGTAATAGAATTCAGCAGTGAACCATACCACATCCTATTTTAGATAAATATTTTTCCCTGTTCACTTAAACTTTCTTTCACGACTGAGCCATTTGACAGGACCGTGAGTCACAGGCTATTATATAAAAATTCCATACAAATTTTAATGTTTTCTGCCAACATGCACTAAGAAATAGGATGTTTTTCAAGAGCCAAGGGTAGTTTGCACTTCACATTACATACAAGTATATCCCATTCAGCTATTGTGAAATTATATTCTAGAAACAATAGTAAAATTTAGGTGTGTTATTCATGGATTCTTTAAAACAGAAATGCCAATTTGAAGATAATTTATTTTTTATTTAACCACATTTAAACAGAAAAAATAAAGTCCTCTATCTTGAATACTTGTTTTTAACATTTTGTTTCTCTTTGTAATATTAAATAAGAAATCAGTAGAGAAGCAAACACATAGCTGCTATGCAAATTGTAAGTGTTGAAACTATTTACTTTGAATTCTTAAAATAAAAAGGATGCATATTGAGATGAAAATATCTTACTTTTAGTGGACAGTAAATAAAAATATATTAATTAAAAATTACCTATCTCTACCAACAATGCAAATAAGTAATTTAGTAAGGTGTTATCAAAATATGTGTAAAAAACAAGAAAGTGATGAAAATTTAATTTGATATTCATTTAAAACCATAAACTTAATGTGTGCTTACTTACCTTGGTCATAGGGAAGCAGCTATATGTAAAAGTTTGAGTGAGAAAGATAAAAGCTGACTAATAGAAATACTGTGATTAATGGATGAAACCGTGGTTGTTGTACACATAGCCTTTCCTCTGACACATAGGGATTTTTTGTTGTTGTTCTCCACAGGCCAATCAAGAAAATAGCAAAGGAACTAGACCTAAGACATATGACCATATAACTTATAGGTCAGAAATTTACTTGTACCAACTTTGATTTAGTGTAATACAACAAAGATAGGAGGAAAACTGAGAATCAAAGTTGCTTGACTATATCAATGACTATTTGGTTTTTCTGATCCTCAGTTTGTTGATATAATAAAATAATAGAGTTTGGTTATAATAGCTTCAGATTTTCTCAAATCTCTTTAGTTTCTTCACAATGGCCCAGAATAGTAGAACAATAAAAAATTAATAAAGTAATATATATTTACTACAACAGTAATCATACAAATTCCTAAGAATTCCAAGATACCCTCCATTTGATATCATCCTATTATCAAGGGGATTCAGGAAAAATAAAAACAAAAATAATAAAAAGAAATAACTGTTCTGGTGTATGTTTCAAACTACTATAACTATTGTATCATTTAAAAGAAGTATAAGTATTACAATATATAAGACTTATAAATGCATTAAAATTTTCATTTTGAAATATACACAAGCATGTTTCAAAAGGTGTATAATAATGTATATATTAAAATATACATTTTGGACTGGACTGTCATGGAATAAGAGAAATTAAATATGCTCCAAAACAATCCAAAATCCTGAAAATGAACATTTTCTCTTTTGAATTTTGGCATCATTTCATATTTATCAGGCAATGTAACATTTTGCTCTAAAAGAAAAATATGACTTTTCTGTTTATATCTATGTCAAAAATTATTTTTACACTATAAAAGCTAATTAAATAATTTTTATATTACTTATAGTATTATTCCAAAATTTCAACTTACTATTTGTGTTTCATACCTTTGCAGTGGATAAGCACAGAATGTTAATCAATTTCTGCAACTTTATTCATTTGGTGCCCAAAACAAAAGAAATGACCAAAGGAACTGGAGAAAAATCACTTTACGTGTTTATATTTCCTTTATGGACTTTTGCTAGCAATGGAGACTAGTTAACAATCTTTATATTACTGAAATTGTTAACTATGTTCATGTGTTTTATTGAAATATATGATTATTTTGGCCTCCCACTAGAGATCGATGTTTTTATGAAGACACTAGAACAAGTTTACAATGGAAGTAACAATATTTGATATTGTCACGAAATTATTTTTACAATATACAATTGTTATGAATCTGCTGATGATGTATGGGTTATCCAAAAATTGAGTAACTTAATGAGTATAAGTTTATTACCTGCTCCTAAGTAAATAAATGTTTGTATTAAATTTGATCAAGTTAGATATGACAACACTCGACAAGGACAAAAAAGGCTGTACCAGTAATAAAGAAAACACGTATAACAAAGCTTTTCCTCAGTTTTCTTTATTACAACAATGGAGACACAGAGGTACAGAAAATAAAATGACATTTAATATACTATGAAACACACGCATAGGATTACACACAGTGCTGGATATTATGTTGAGGGTTTTAAATAAGATGATACTGAGGACAATACACTTATAGCATACTTTTTTTTCAAGAAAACAAGCTATGATGAAAACGAATGCAATTAAATGATCAGAAGTACTTTAAAACAGAAGCGTTATACATGACATCAATGAAAATGTAAGAGAAAAATATTCTTGAAAGGGGTACATGAATTGTGTACACTATTTAAAACAGTAGTTGTAATTGCTTGCTTTTTAGGAAAAAAAATAAGACTAGCTAGATTTATGTCGTAGCCCCTATTCAGTACATACATAGAATAAAAATAAAAATATATTTTCTAAACTGAAGTTGTGTCTCATTATTATGCATTCTTTACAGTGTGTAACATATTTTTACTAACTAAAATGAAATGATAAAGACTAATTGAATTTAACTTAAGCATACATAGTTTTAGAACTTTCAATATATCTAAATTTAATACAACCAATATTAGATTAGTTCACAATTAAAATTAAGTTTAATTCTACTTGGATGAAAGTATCCTTAAAAAGTAGATGAAATAATAGTCTACCAACAAAGGAGATGAAATGCAGTTAAGACCATCTCAGAAACACTAATAGAATTCTTAAACATAATTATTTTTTACATTTCTTGGATATTGTTTTTTTTTAGTTTTACAGAATATTAGCTAATACAGATGTTATGGACTATTCCAGGCTATGTGCAACATTTACTGACAGTTCAGGCTTGGAAATTAGTTAATAGCCAGGGAATATGTTGAATTATTACAAGAGATCTTTGTTGAGTTCTTAATTTTAGACAACAAAACTAAAGGTTTTTGGAAAACAAAGCATGGATATTAAACTCTCATCTTTGTCTAATTTTGAAAAAAATAAAATTAGATTTAAACTGAGGGAATGTTTTCCTTAGATAAAAATTGGGATTATGTAAGTATATAGAAGGAATAATACAACTTTGTATTTAAAAGACAAACCATATTAACTTTAGAATAATACTCCAATTTATATGGTAATTGGTAAGAGAACGAGTTAATAAGTGTTAATTTTTTTCTTTAGTTAAGTCCCAAAATTTACTGTGGAAATATATTCTGAATATTATGTTTAACTATCAAATATTAATGATTAAACAATACTATTTATGAGATTAATTTGGAAATGCCTCGTCACCAATTTCAACATAAGTTGTAATCATTTTAAAGACAATTTGTAGAATATCTGTATATTCAGTTATTTGAAATATGCAGATTTCAGCTATCTATCCAATATATTAGATTTGCTGAAGCTTTTATGACATATTTCTATACCACAAAGGTTAGTATTTTAAAATTTACAAACAATGAACAGAAACATAATAGAGGAAATATATTCCATTCATTCATGGCCAAAAATTTAGAAAGGAAGCATAAGAGAGACAGAGAGAGAAAGAGGGAGAGAGACAGAACAAAAGAGAGAAATGGAGAGAAAGAGAAAGGAGGAAGAGACAGAAATAGAGAAAAAGGGAGAAAATTAAAAATAAAGCATTAGAAGAAAGTAAGAAAGGATAAAAGAAAATAAATTTTAAAAAAGTGAAAACATGAGGCTGGGCACCATGGCTCACGCCTGTAATTCCAGGATGTTGGGAGGCTGAAGCAGGAGGATCAATTGGGTTCAGGAGTTCGAGACCAGCCTGGCCAACATGGTGAAACCCTGCCTCTACTAAAAATACAAAATTAGCCAGGTGTGGTGGCTGCACGCCTAGTAGCACACCCAGCTACTAGGCAGGCCGAGGCATGAGTGTTGCTTGTACACAGGAGGCGGAGGTGCCAGTGAGCTGAGATCAGGCCACTGCACTCCAGCTTGGGCGACAGAGCAAGAGTCTGTCTCAAGAAAATAAAAAAATAAATAAATAAAAATTAAAATAGAAAAAGAAAACATAATTAAATTGGACTTATTAAAAGATCATTTAAAGGATGTTACATTATCTCTTACACAGATTAATCATAATAAAACACATAAAGTTACATATTTAGGTATGATCAATATTATAGTTTATCTTTATTCAGTGAGTGAAATCATAATACTACAAGGCCAGACAAAAATATATGTGATAATATTTAGTTTAATACCAGAATTGATCATTTCAAGCTCTTAATGTTGCTTATATCATATTAATATCAAATTTAAACCTTTAAAGAAAACTTTACATGACTAGGGATATTTCTTAATTACTACAAACTCAAATGTTATCATGCATAATACTGGCTATTAGTCTTGAAAGCTAGACCCAAATATATTGTATTATTGTATTGATATCAGTATCCATCTTGAATTATTAAAATAATTTGTAATTTTAAGGTTTTATTTCTCCATTATCAGGGTAAATATACCATATTAATATTTAAAATTATTTTTATGTATCTAAGAATACCTCCAGATCCAAAAGTTCATGGTTTAATTCTTTCTTGTACAATATATTTCATTTAACATAAATGACTAATCATAAATTTAATTGTACGTGGTTGAAACTACTTTGGAATTTTTCTTGTTTTAGCTTTAATTTAACTCAAACATAATGAATGAGTATTCTTACACAGAAAATATTATAATTAATTATAATGGTTTCCCAATTGACACAAATTGCATATTATTGTGTGTAACATGTGCACTAGGATGCATACTTGTAACTTTGTTAATTTAAAAAGAACTTGAATATTTAAAAAGTCAAATTTATTTGCAATAAAATTATTTGTCTTTATATGTATTTGCTATATGTAAGTGAAAATTGCATATATATTAAACATCAATCTAACCCCTTCTATAGATAGGCATATTTAAAATGTTTACATATTTTAATTTCAATCTTGTTCATGTATACCAGGAATGAAGGCATATATGTGCATTTGCAAAATGCTTCTGGAAATAATATGAATATAGAGTTTATAAAATTAAACTTAGTCCGTCCTAATGACCTATAGTATTAGGAAAGAAATGAACAAAAATAGCAACTCACCTAAGGTTTTTCCACGTAAGAATACATTTTATAGGAAAGAATTTACTGCTACCTCCTAGGCCTACTCTGTTAGCATATCTGAAACATGGTACTTGTGGGTCTTACTGTGAACTGATGAGTAATTATAGTTTTGATTGGGGTAGAGAGGCCAGTAACGTTGACTGTAAAATGGAGGAAAGAAGACAGACTAGAAGAGATTGGGAGGAGAAAGAAGGAGATATCCAGATCTATATTTTAAAAATCCTGATATTCCACATGCAGATAATGGCAATCATGCATAAGTAAATCAATCTAGCTTCATAACTGGTAATACGGTCAAAACAATCTTTTGAAATATTTTAACAGTGAACGATACAATACACACACCATTGGACATAGACATATATTTCTGATTATATATAATGACTAATCTTACACTCAACACACAAGCTCAAATTTATACATCTTCAGAGACAGAATTTTATGTAAAACTCCATTGTATGAAAAAAAAATCATTGGATGGTACTAGGAAGATACTTAAAATAAGTTTAAATTTTTATGTCTTGCTTACCAGTAATCACATTTACTTAGATGGGTAGACAGATGAAATAATAGTAAAGCCAAAAAAGTAACAAACTCATTTTTAAAATAAACAAGTAAACTGTCTGATTTTTATGGCTGCATATAACAACAGTATTGTTCAGATAATATAAAAGATAACTCAGCAACACATTAAAACTTTTAAAAAATCCTAGGATGTAAAATGTCTAAGGTTTTATTTATTGGAATGCAATAGCTTTATTGTTTAGTTTTGTACTTTTTAATTTCTTAGAGAAATAAGGCAGATCACAAAGCCTATTATTTTACCATCTCTGAGAATATTTTTAAAAGAATTTATGTGTATCTCAGAGTTGTGAAATAGGTGTTCATGTAAGAATAAACATTTGGCCAAATGACAGACTGCTTATAAAGTTTAGGACTAAAACTAGATCCACACTTAGATGCTTAAAATCTAACAAACAACTCTTTAAATGTATATAACTCTGCTAACATAATTTTAATATTAGGTTCTTTTCAAAATGCCAAATTGATGTATCTTATTTCTGTGTATACCTCACTTTGAATGTTCTTTATATCACTTAGTGACCTTGAGTTATGATATGTAAAACTTCAAGATAAATAAACTTTGCACTAACTTACTAAATAAGTATTCCGTGATCTCCAAAAAAATATTTTGTCATTCCTAAGTCAAGATCATTTCTACATGAAATTCTCACAGAAATGTCTCTAATTTATTGGAAAGATCAAGTAAGGTTACAATGAATGTAAAAAACAGTTTCTGGAGGTGTTACTAGAAATCTTTTTATCAACGCCTTCTACAAATTAGTAACCAATATAAACTCTTCAGTCTCAAATATCGAGAAATTTAATATGCAATGATAGTTATTTAATAAACGGAATATTGGTTATGGTGATTTAAAAACAAAACTTGCCCTATAAATGGATTATATTTCCATAATGTGTGAGTTGAGATATCGTTTTATCTCAGCAGGGGAGAAAGGAGGGAAGCAGAAGTTTTTTTTTTTTTTTTTTTTTTTTTGAGACGGAGTCTCGCTCTGTTGCCCAGGCTGGAGTGCAGTGGCGCGATCTCGGCTCACTGCAAGCTCCGCCTCCCGGGTTCACGCCATGCTCCTGCCTCAGCCTCCCGAGTAGCTGGGACTACAGGCGCCCGCCACCACGCCCGGCTAATTTTTTGCATTTTTTAGTAGAGACGGGGTTTTACCGTGTTAGCCGGGATGGTCTCAATCTCCTGACCTCGTGATCCACCTGCCTCGGCCTCCCAAAGTGCTAGGATTACAGGCGTGAGCCACCGCGCCCAGCCGGCCAGAAGTGTGTTTTATCGGTTGATGGGTTGCTTCTGCAGTCTACAGGTCTATTACTAGATTACAAGAAAGGATAGCAGTTGACAGCTAGGAGTTTGGAAAAGATAAGTTAAAAGAAAATCTACTATGAAAGAGAGGCCTAGCCCTCATATGAAAAGATTCTGTAGCTATCTCTTTAAAAAGAGACACGAAAAATATTTCTGTTCAACAAAATGATAGCTTTTGATGAATGAATCACAGAGTCCAGAACCCAATCATTTGATTTACCAAGTATGTTATGGTCACTTTTATGCATATATGTACATCTGGTTGTTTCCTATTGTCCTAAATAAATAAGTAGTAAAAGTCACTTGTTAAGATGTGGTTGCAAGTGAAAAACACAAACACTCTTTACTTGTTTTGAAATTACTTAGGTAAAGATTACTTAAGTGAAAATTGCATATTCACATAATGAAAATTTGCAAAGACCAAAAATCATTCTTCATGCTACTCCCTCAAATCGAAATTCCTTTGAAATTTGGAATCTAGTTCCAATCTCAATTTCTTCCCATCTTGATTTCAACTTCTTTAAAGGAGTGTCTATAATATTTTCTTCTCTCTCTCTAATGCTTGCAAGAATTCTGACTACCAGATGTCCAGAAAAATGTAATAAATAACTACTTATGTTAGAACAATAGGACTTGAGGTCAGCTCAAAATGTAATCTAAATCCAGTGAATTGGGTGTAACTTTTTAGACATATACAAATTTAATTTAACATTCATTCTGGGAAAATTGCAGAGATATTTTCACTTAATGAAAAAAATTAATCGGTGTTCAAATTTAAAATAGGAAACTGTTTCACATTTATTCCTTAAGACATTTTGGTTCAACAAAGGGAAAATAAGCAGCACAATTGGGATACACATCTAATAAAATATAATGCTTATGTTTTATATAAATGGTAAACACATTGAAATATTAGAAATGTTCATAAAGTTGGAAACTTATACTTAAAAGTAACAGTAAAAAAAACAATAGTAGTGATCCACAATTCTACATAATAAAATTATGATTTTTAAAAAGTATGGCCATGGATATTTAATTATTTGCAAAATAATAATGAAAGATTAGATGTAGCAAAGGCTTAAGTTTCAAGTACAAGTGACATGCTATTTAACAAGGTCAACTTTAGGAATTAATGGAAAATTTAGAATAAAGTATGTTATGCAGTGAACTGGTAGCTGAAAGTAGCAATCCCGATTGAATTTCCTTCATTTGATTTTCTGACAAATTATCCACTTAAAAGGTTGATAATTGGGGGAAGGAGAAAAAGCTTAATCATTCATGGGTGAAGATACATGCATAATTAATTGGACCTTAGGAAATATTTTATTATAATTTTAGATAAGCCTTGCTATTACTATTTTTTTTTAATTTTCAGGGCATAAGAGGATATACCATATGATATAACAATGACATTAAAACACGCAAGACAAACTTATGGCTATAATGAAAGAAAACCCAGCAGCATTCAGCTGCCACGACTGGCTTCCATTTTCGCCTTTATTCGCTTCACAGCATTTATCTGCATGATGAAAATTGTTTTTGAAAATAGAATAAGAATGAAATAATTAAGAAAATAAAGGGTAGAGTTACAAACGAGGAAATCAAAAGAGAAAAAACGTGACAGTAGGAAAGAAAAAAGAATAATTAATGCAAGATTTACACAAAGTCATTAACAATTAATGCAAACCTACAAAAAATACTTTCATACAAAACAAGAATGGCTAAAATCTTGTATAAAACATTTCTATGTATTGTCACATATTAAAAACATACAAAGGTCAATATTGATGTTTATTCTGCATTACTCAGAAATTAATTCTGTCACTGATCCCTTATATGTGAATATCTTTCATTTATAAGTTGAAAATGTAAATTACAAGGGAAAAGTCACCAGTCATTTCACTGTGCTATTGGTGAATTCACAGTGCTACTTTTAATATGATCTCAATATATCCCACAATGTTTGATGGTAATTTTTTCTACCGTAATTTCTTAGGATATATTTAATAAAAGCCATTCTATTTTAATAATAAACAAGCTACCAACAAATATAAGTGAAAATTGCATATTCACATAATTAAAATTTGCAATAAGCATAGAAGCTAGAAGCATTAACCTATTGGCCATAAGCAAACTCCAGACATATGTCACTGCATCTCTTTTAAAACAATTTTAGGAACCAAAGATTATGAAAATATTTTTTAGACTTACTTTTTCACTACATGCTAAACTAAATGCTGCTGCAGGTGTAGTATCAATATTTAGGTTAGACTGAAAATTCCAGAGGGTTAAGATGAAGTTTCCCCAGGTAATTGGACTTCTATTTCACCATTGTTTTAGAATTTTTAAACTTATGTTCTAAAACAACCATAAATGTAATCCTAAAATAATATTTTCATATTTGCCATGTGTTTGAAAGTTGTTTTCTGTTCATGTTGAATTATCTAGTGATGAAGGATTTATTAGTGTTGCTTGAAACTAGAGTTGAGGTGATCAAAATAATTTTACTGTATAGTTCATTGGAAGTACAAATTAAAAGCCCATGAAAATACAAAGTAACTGAAATATTTTAGCAATATTTTTTGTGGTGATTTATATTATTTTTTTTAGCTTGTTAAATCTAAACAACTATTTTGTATGTATTATGTATGCATTACATGTTCCCAGAGGGCAGAATTATTTTATCATTGAATATAAAAAATGTTGAACAGAATTATTGTCATCAAATTATATTGATAGTCAATATTAAAATTAGACATGTCTTCAGGAAAAGAAGGAAGCAGTTACTGAAAGATACTAACGTCTTTTTTGGTTAAATATAAATGTTATCAAACATGTGGCAGGCCAAAAGAAATGGTGAAAATGTTTTTCAAAGTAAGTTTATTTATTTCCAAGGATTTTTTTAAACATTAGATTATATCCAGTCCAGAAGTTTAGTAGTATTTTTAGTCATTAAGATTACAGAACAAATCAATAAATGCCATGCTATCAGCCTTGAAATCCATAGTTTGGTAGTCATTTTATAACAATTAATCTGCTATAGTTTCCCAATATTCTTGTTTCTTATAAAATAAAATAAGATGGAGTTATGCTGCATGAATATTCTGAAAAGGAACACGATTGATTATGGAAACTCCATTTTAAATAAATCAAAATACATATCTTTCAAAATAAGTACATCTTTAATAAGAAAAAATGAAAAATATTAATTACAAAATTATTTTTTAATAATTATAAACTAAGAAGAAATGTAGTATCCACTAGCATACTTACAAGAAAAATTATTGTTATCAATGTAATATTTTATATGAATGTAAAGGGAGTAGGTTGATAAAAAACGAAAAAATAGTGCTTTAGTCCAACAAATAAATGTTCTCTAGACTTACCCTATTGTTTACAAAAAGTTAAATATATCTAATATACATAAGTAATGGGTTTTTAAATTCAAAATTCCAGAAAACTTATTTTGACAGTCTACAATGCATGAAATATAAAAATAAATTAAAACCACTTTAACCTTTAAACTCTATATCTTCTCTAACTTAAATGAAAAGACTTAAGATGTGCTAGTTTATTACAGATAACTTATTTCTAATATGTTTGAATTTATATTTCATTTTAAAATGAAAAATAAAATGTTATAAAATTATATGATCTTTTTTCATATTTTGCAAATATATAATGTTAACTCTATAAGATCTGAAAGGTTCTCAAATTCCCCATCATCACAGCCTTTAAAATTGCCTCACAAAACCTAGATCTAAATCAAACAATTCTTAATTTATGGTTTGTTTCTGATATGACTTTCTATGAGGCCTTAGCAATCCGGATTCAGTAACAGTAAATTAGACACGATTTTATAACTTTTTTTTTTTCGAGATGGAGTCTTGCTCTGTCACCCAGGCTGGAGTGCAATGGCGCGATCTTGGCTCATTGCAACCTCCAACTCCCGGGTTCAAGCAATTCTCCTGTCTCAGCCTCCTGAGTAGCTGGGATTACAGGCGGGTGTCACCATGCCCGGTTCATTTTCGTATTTTTAGAAGAGACAGGGTTTCACTATGTTGTCCAGGCTGGTCTCAAACTCCCGACCTTGTCACCGGCCTGGGCTTCCCAAAGTGCTGGGATTATAGGCGTGAGCCACTGCGCCTGGCTGAATTTGTGACATTTTTACAAATAAAATAAATATTTCATTTTCCCCTTTTTTTGATAAGTTGTGATGGCTTTGTATCAGCTACATGGTTTAGAGGGGTGAATACCATCTCCTACCTTCTCAGATGGCTTTGTCTGTGTGCCTGTATGTGTGATTGCTCCACGACTCCTTGATTTGTTTCATCTAGCATTTTTCATCATAAAAGACCTTCTAACACTGGCTTTTTCCCTCCTCTGCTCACCTTCATAGAAAAACTTCCTGAAAGCATTAAATAAATATGGAGTCTAAACTCCCTAACCTCACATACAATTCTCTGCCCACTTGTACCTAATTTATCTCTCAATGACGTCAGCAAAGCTGCACGTGATAGGGATACTTCACATCTGTTCTGGTTCAGTTCCATTGACCTTTCAGCAGCATTTGACACTTTACATCTATTCTTCTTGAAATATGACCCTTTGTTAACTTCCAAGATACTACGCTCCTGTTTTTCCAGTAAGTTTGTAAAGTGTTAGTCTCATGATGAGGGGTGGAGTGATCTGGTTTCTTCTTCTAGTATAATATGATAGTTCCTTGGAACTCAGTTCTTAACTTCTTTCTACTCTTCAGTAATTCAAGAAATATTCTCTGGAAATCACTGCTGTGCCAGTCGCCCTTCTAGTTACTGGCAAACACAAATGAGTACTACAGACATCAACCCCTCTTCAGATATTTTAGGCATTGCTTAGACGGGTTTACCCTCACTCACATACCATTCACCTGTTAACACTGACAGCATCATGGTGTATGTTTCCAAGCCATGGTTATCTTCTCATTTCCATACGCCCACATATCTAACCAACGATTTGATATTTCAAATTTAACAAATACTAAATGGATCTGATGTTTGATCCTCATTCTCCAAGTCTTGCTTCTCCTACAAAATTCTTCACCTTGAGAAATGACATCAGCAATGTTCTAGTTGCCCAAGCAAGAAACCTAGAAGTCATTACTGACTGAATCCAATCTATTGCAAAGGCAGCGTTAGTCTACACTTATAATGTGTCAGGAAATTTTTCGTTCTTTTATTTTTTCTACCGCTGTTCATCCATCAGTTGCTCTTACCCATAAGAGAAAGAATAATCTGTTTATAATACCTATCTCTTCATACAACTTTTCTGCTTACAATTATTTATTTCTTTTGGAAGATGTTTTACAATTACGTTTTTAAAAGCCCTTGAATTATCTGGTTTGCATTCCCTCTCTGACCTTATCTATAGTCACACACTTCCAGGTTCTCTTCCACACATGCCTTTTCCACCTCCTAGAACAGATCATGCTCTTTCTTGTCCCAGAGATACCTTCCACGTCACACATTTTCCCTGGAAAGTTCATTCCTGCATGTTTCCTTTGGAAACTCACCTTCTAAGAAAAATCTCTCTTAGTTGCAGTTATTCTTTTTTTTTTTTTTTTTTTTTGAGATGGAGTCTCGCTCTGTCGCCCAGGCTGGAGTGCAGTGGCGCCATCTCGGCTCACTGCAAGCTCCGCCTTCCAGGTTCACGCCATTCTCCTGCCTCAGCCTCCCGAGTAGCTGGGACAACAGGCGCCCGCCAGTACGCCCAGCTAATTTTTTTGTATTTTTAGTAGAGATGGGGTTTCACTGTGTTAGTCAGGATGGTCTCGATCTCCTGACCTCGTGATCCGCCCGCCTCGGCCTCCCAAAGTGCTGGGATTGCTGGCGTGAGCCACCGCGCCCGGCCAGTTGCAGTTATTCTAACTCATGTTGAATATCTGTCTTCTCTACCAGACTGTGGAGATTTTGGGGGACATGGGTCAGTGCTGTATTTTTCACAGATAAATCCTTTGTACTCATTCAAGGGTTTGTCACAAAGAAGTACTCCAATAAATAATTCTTAAATTAATAAATGATAGATCTTAACATTGCAGAACCAGAAGGAACTCACTTTAGAGATGAGGAAACAGTTATTTTGACAAGTTATGTGACAGGAACAAATCTGGGAATATAAACCAGAATTCTATCCATTTTCTTTCCAGGTCTTGCCTACAAAGCTCTCAGGACACGAGTTTCTCAAATTGAAAAATATATATATATAGAGAGAGAGGAAATGAATTACAGCATGTCTTGGTTACTTTGGTGCCTTCATATCTGCTTTTATTACCTTTTAATTTTTTCAACCTTTTGTCTACACGTATTGTTGGTTTTTATCATCAACAATTTTTTTTTTTTTTTTTTTTTTTTTGAGACGCAGTCTCGCTCTGTCTCCCAGGCTGGAGTGCAGTGGCGCGGTCTCGGCTCACTGCAAGCTCCGCCTCCCGGGTCCACTCCATTCTCCTGTCTCAACCTCTAGAGTAGCTGGGACTACAGGCGTCCACCACCACGCCCGGCTAATTTTTTTCTGTTTTTAGTAGAGACGGGGTTTCACCGTGTTAGCCAGGATGGTCTCCATCTCCTGACCTCGTGATCCGCCCACCTGGGCCTCTCAAAGTGCTGGGATTACAGGTGTGAGCCACCGCGCCCGGCCAACAATTTCTTACAAAGATAGCAGAGTCATTGGGGGTATAACATTTAGTAATCTGTGTAAAATCTATTTTTTTGATTTTATGTTTTATCTATGTTATTAAAATTTTGCCTTCTACTTCATATATTAAATTTAATACATTATTAAATTAAACGGATTAAGTTAATTCATTATGTTTCAAAATATATACACTAAATTAAAAATTTGGGAGATTATAGTATATACTGTTGCAATTTTCCTTTGGAGGAGGCTCTGGCTCAGTATGGGAATACGTATAGCATGTTCCTGATATTTGCATGAAATATAATTACCACATACGTATTCATTACAATTGTAGAAGTGGTTTCTGATGTTTCAAACATAGAGAGGTAATGAATTCGATAGTACATTCAGTCATTCTTATTTAGATGTGTTATCTTGTAAGGGCATCAGATTTGTCATATAACTAGAAATATTTCTGACCTCCAACATGTCATTAAACCTCTTAAAATCATATTTGTAAAATGAGAATAATGCTTCCTTATCCAGCTCAGATTTAAGAATAAAATGACATAATCAATGCAGAAGGGCTTTGAAAATAGTAAAAAAAGTCCTTAAAATGTAACATACCAGTGTTATTTCCAGGGACTTTTTACTTCCTAATTTTAAATTATAATTTGGTAGAATTTATTAACATTAGCAATATAAAGCTCTAATATCAATTACTTTTTAAACCTTATAACCAATACTAATTACTTTTTAATTGAAAGATTAATCATATAAAACTGCTTTCAATTACTAAACAACTGATGTATGATATAACAAAATCATAATATGTGAAATTAACATCAATTTGAAATTACAAGAGGGTTTAATGACATGACTGAACTAGCTAGTTTTCTTTTCCAGTTTCAAAAATATTATATATCTATACTTATACTCTAATATAATAAGACAAATAAATCTTGGTTTCATGGATTAATATGCTGTTCTTTTCTGTATATATGTACCTATAAAGAATATACCATATATACATAAATATCTGTACATGTCTGCATAAAATTAAAATATTAAAAGTAATAACTGAGGGAAAATAAATGTAGAAATATGACCAATTTAGCAACTCATGAACAGAGTTAAATGTTATTTTGAGTCAGAATAAATTTTTGCATCTTTACTTCAAGAGCATTTATCTGAATAAAAGTTTTAACATCCCTGTTGTGAACTTTCATAATATTACTAACATACTAAGATGTAACAATGTAAGCACTGTTACCTATCAATGGTAGAATCTAACCAGTGTGTTGCAAAGGCTGATTTACAGTGTTCTCCCATTTTATGAGCCTTCTTAAAACTCTAGGTATAGGTCTTTATGGAATTATATTTGTGGCTGTTCCTGCCTTTCTTTGTGACTAATTTTATGTTTCCAAAATCAACTTGCTTGGTCAGGCATAGGTTGGCTCATCATTACCTTCGGTCAAATCTAACAAGAATTGGATCATCAGTCTCCACATGATTGGCAGAGAAATTGTCTTCTTAGCAAAGCTTTCGTATGGCCTCAATAGACACTTTTCACGTTGATTATCATCAGTCACTCTTACTCTCTATGTTCTCCTAGTCATTCTTTCTCCACCACTCCAACTATTAATGGGGTCAAAATATATTTACAAATTAAGCAATACCCTATGGCAAGAGCGATGAGAAACTTTGTGTATGATATGTCACAATAATAATTAGAACCTGGAATTTACATTTCAGTTTGTTTTAATTATTAATAAGAAAAGTCAGTAAGGGTTATAAAAAGGTGGTATCATATTTATTGTTCAGTCTAAAAAAGAATATAGTTTTGCTTACCTTTAATAATGTTGGGCTTTGGTGGCATGCTGAATTCATAAACTGTCGGTTCAGAATATCCCAATCTATTGGCAGCTGTAATCTGAACTTCATACCCCATGGTCCACTGGAGATGCTCCAAAATGATGTGGTCTTTATTTCCTTGCACTTTTTTCTCTAGCCATTGGTCTTCCTTATCTTTCTGTGAAAGCAATAAAAATGCAGTTTGTAAATATCCATACACTAAAGTGACACCTTTTTAAAAAAATTATATTGGAATTGGAACAATATACTTATATTGGATATTGGAACAATTTTCATAGGCACAGGGATACATGAAGTTGCTGTGTCAATGAAGCCAGTATTATTTCCAACATTTTTCTATATAAAATATAATGTTGTTTATATTAGCCAAAAAGTGGTTTTGTCATTAATCCTTTATTCAGTGGTTGACAATTTACCTCCATTAGGATTTTTTTTTTTATTTCACATATATCAGTTAGTTTTTTGGCCATTTTGTTGATTATTCATCATTATGTGAATGGGAAAATGAAACATGATACACAGAAAAAACTTAGTATGTCCATTAAAAGAATTGCCAGGGACTATTGTTAAAGTTTTTTGGGGGGAAGAAAGATAAAGTATCTTGAAATAAAGTCTGGATATGAATGATAGATTTATATTATCACTGGTATTTTTTACTACTATGATGTTTTATGACATAAAATAATATACAAACAAAATTACTAAGTTTTAAATATATCATTAGCATAAGAATATAAAACAACGCCATCCTATTCTCAAACATTCTACACTTAAATACTATCTCATTCTTTTTCTAAAATATAAATTTGACCATATGACATTTGAATTTCCCTTTATTTGAAAAAATTACCATTAGAACTACAATTACTAATGAAATATAAATTGATACAATTATAAATTAAATTATCTAAAACAGTGTGATTATTGGGTTGTGCCATGTATTAAAAATTTAAACACAGAAAGCTTCCTTAACCTTTCTGGCTTGTCTTCCTTCTCTTTATAACAAAAGTGATGGTAGCAGCTGCTTCTGTCAGGTTTTTGGAAAAGCAATGAGGAAAATTGAGTAAGTTGTGTATTTCAGGGCCTTAGAGATCATAACCACTTAAAAAAATAACAGCGATTTTAGGATATAACTGTTTCCATAAAAACTGTATGGAAATGAAACATTTTCTCTGAAATCATGTATCTAATAATCTATCATTGCAACTGCAAATCTCACTTTCCCAGGGTATAAATATAAATAAATTACAGCCTGTCTATAACAATAGATGCAGACATGTCTTTTAACCTCATAGCTCAGCCCTGTATTACTCTATGTTGAGCCACAATTTAACACTGCTTCTTTGAGTATAAAGAATAACGATGTATTCTCCATTTTTGGTGACAATTAAGTATTTGTTCTCTAAAATATAATTGTGAAAGTTAAATTCATGATTGCATTAAATTGACAGTACTCAAACATGGAGTGTCCTTCAGAAGGAGGCAAGAAGACATTGTAATTTTGATAACATACTAGTATTCTCTTTTTCTAGTTAATATTTTTTTTGGTGACACAGAACTTTTATTACAAAGGAAATAAACTTTTTGGTGACATAGAACTTCCATTACAAAGGAACAGAAAAGTTTGGCCTGTTTTGCTATTTCGTGTAAAAATGAAGATATTAGAACCCCTAACGAAGCCCTGGTTTTAAATGAACAAGCACTACAAGTTATCAATATACACAAGAGGCACTTGCCTTGATTTTTGAAACTCAGGAATATCTGTTTTTATAAAAATGGCCTGTAGCCAGTACTACTTAAAGTATTATGAGATGTATGAACGATGGAATAACTGAGAAGAGAGGTTGTAACTTTTCTAAGTTAATCAATGGACAGTAAGGTTAAGAAAGAAACCTAGTTGCAATTTTGAAATGCTTAGGGCAGCTATGCTAAAAAGCCACAGCTATCACAACACCCTCTGTCTTCACCCACTCATTCATCAATTATTTATTCAGTTAATTGATTAGTGAGGACTTTCTAGAAGGCATGAACACAATAGTGACCAAGACATGTGCAATACCCTCATGTTGTAGTTTGCAAACCAGCCCAGAAGAAAGACATGAGGCCTTTGAAAAATGAGAAGGTGGAATGGAGGCACATAATACCTAATAAAGTCAAGGGCTAGGCAGGTCACCAGTGGGGAGGTGATATCACCCTTCCTGGAAATAATACACTCTAGCGCCATTTTTCTCTTCATTTGTCCTAATTGAGTTAATGACAAGAAGGTGTCAGTTTTTTACACAGCTTTAAATCCAAAAAGAAACACAGTGATTTTAAGCCTTAGATGCATAATCACTGGGAGATGTATAAGCAAACACTGTAGCTGTTTCATATAAATTTTTAAAAATTGTGTATATATATATATATGTGCATTATATATGTGTATTATATATATGTATTATAATGTATTATATATGTGTTATATATATAGACCTACATAGAACAAAAAAGCTTAAAAAGTCAACCCAAAAGTAATTTGAGATGATATGTTAAATGTATGTATATATATACACACACAAACACACACAACATATAATTGTAAATGCTATGTATAGCATATTCAGTATGAATATGCACATATATACATGTAGCATGTATTTTTATAAGTTATAAATTGTGTATACACACACATATATGGGAAGGAAGGGGTGTATGGCAAGGACACTGAAGGGTGGTATGAAGACAAGGGATCCATGAGGCAGCAGACAGCTGCATGTCCCTGTGGCCCTGGCATTACCTCAGCTATTCAGTACTTTCTATGTAACGATGAAGTGGTTGATGTGAGTAAATATTTTTGTGGAAATACTTGGAATTCAGTTTTGTTATGTATCTGAGTGAAGATGTGGGTGAAAGAGCCAGAAAATAAGCCAAAAAATGAGACCTTAATTACCCCAGAAAAAAAAAAAGTATTCTTTAGAGGGATAGATAGATGTCATGTCCTTCAGGTAATCCTTCAAAAATACCATTTTTGGAAATTAGACATTTAAGGTGAAACTTCTGTACAAACACAAGGCAGTCTCTTGTAAATTAACAATCATTTAGCTCTTATTTGTTGAAGCCCTTAATATGATAAATTAAAGGGCCCTCCATCATTTTAAGTATTTGGGCTGATAGTATAAGAAACCAAAGGGAGCTCTAACATGTTCCCAGCATAAATCAATTACATTTTCCTTTCAACATTAGGCAAGAAGGCATTTTAATCCCCTAATTGCTATTCCTAGGGAATAGGAAAAAAATTAAAGTGGGTGTTACCAAATACTCCCCTGGCATCAAAATCTCAAGTATGCATATCTGTAGAGTGTCTAATTTACAAAGGTTGAAATGCCTAGGGAACAATTTAAGATAATCTAGTTGCAAAACGTTCCCCTAGGTAACTTAATGAGATGATTTGCTGAATATGGCTATTATTAATAAGCCAATTAAATGTTGAAGGGCAGCTACTGAAAAAAAATGGTCATTTGCCTTTGGTATCGCTTCTCTTAAGCAATTCCTTTTTTTTTTTTTTGGTCAGAAAATAGCAGGGCCATATGGCAATTCAGGGTACTTCTTAATAGTGATTCTGAAGTCATACTATCAGCATTCAGGAAAGTATTGGCTATCATCTCTACAGGGAAGTGATTAGAGGCAAGGTGTAAGGGTCACTATTTTCTTATTTTCAGGGGCTGCTTGATACTTTTATTCATAACAAGAAACAGTTTACTGACTCCTTTTGAAGTCTCATGAAATGTATTATCAGCATCATTTTAAATATAAACTGAACAATTATAAAATGAGAGGACAATAGAGAAGGTGAGCTCATATAAGCAAGATGAAGTTTTGATTCTTCTGACTCTCATGTCCTATGATTTAAGATTTTGTATGTATATAAAGCAGTTCCCGGTTCCTGGATTCCCTGGTAGCATGGTTCAGGTATTCATATTTACATGACCTCACAGAAGGCCCAGAAATTATTTAAAACTCCATTTGCTACTCTCAATGTCAGAGAGGTGATTGATCAGTCTGGATTTTATATATAATATATATATATATATATATTTATACATATATTTTGTATATTATATATAATTGCATATATATACACACAAGCATATATTTTTATATATATATACAGATAGACCATATACAGAATTCAAGAAGAGTTTACAAATGGGCAAACGAGAAGCATCAAGGGACCTGGCTTGAATACCATGGCACTGTCAGATTCATCGAGAGACCAGTGAGTCCTTCAGAGCTGTCCTGGGTAGAGGCACAAAAGTCTCCATATCAGAATATCCAAAAGAAACAAACAGGTACTCATCATTGTTAGCATGAAACCTGGGACAAAAAGTTGTCCTCTGAGAAAGATATTAATCTTAAATTTAAAACACCGAATTGTATATAAAATTATATATACGTGTGTGTGTGTGTATGTGTGCGTGTGTGTGTGTGTGTGTGTGTGTGTACATATATGTATATATATACATTTGGAAGATTTAAAGGTTTGAAGATTTTAGCCGAGTTCTAAATTTAAATCTCTTTTTCCATGATCATAACAGATTCTACTTGCCTTTGTTCCATGTGCTGATGCTTGGTAAACTTTTTTAAAATTAGGCCCTACATAATCTGTTGCTAGTCTCCACCACCCACATAGTACTTAAGGCAAAATAAATCTAATTTTCCTATTCATTACCTTCTGTGTTCTCATATCTATAAACATTGGCAGTGCATTTTTTCTTGTGTTTCTTATTTCTCATATTAATTATTCTATTTATAATACTATTTATAATTGTATAGTGAGCTAATTTCTTTATTGATTTCTTGCTGTATTTGTTCATTCAGACAACACATAGTCTATCTATACAAAGAAGAATAAAACTCATCCTCTTAACTTACAGCAAAGAAAAATTACTAAAATGCTTGCTACTCTTTAATGTCCATAAGTATTCATTGTTTAAAAATACTTCAAAACTTAAACTATAATGGCTTTAAATAAATTTCCATGTACATACATAAACATTATTAACTGGAAAATGTTTTCTTAAGAACCAAAGCTTGATTTTACTTATTTATTATTTTAATGCCCTTTTCAAACTTACCTTTCTTATCCTATGGCCATTGAGATAGTGTACAACCTCGTGGACTCCAACTTACTTAAGAAGTTCAATTAAGACTTACAAATGCTAGTCCCTATAGTACTTCCTTACAATTGATTTTAAGCTACCAATTATTTTAGTTAAGGAAATGTATTTAATATGCCAACACTAAGTGATAGTTATGATCCCATAGCTATCATCAAATTAGAAATAAAATGGTGAAAAACTCATGGAAACATGTAAAAATCTATGTACTAAATTATATGAAGTTACATTGACACTATAAGTACAAAGTAGATGTAAAAATAACTTCATGATTTTTTCCAAACATTTCATGAGATTAATATGTTTGTCTTTATTTTCCAAACACACGGTTTAAACTTACTGATTTATTGTTAGAGACATTAATTTTCATGAAGAGTCCACAGAAATATCTCATTCTGCTTTTATTACTCTAGTTCTGTTCCAATAAATTCTGTCTTTGTAATGGGTGAGTGAACAAAGCCATGTGCTGTATTACAGGCTGACAGAATAATGGTGTTTCCTGGTTCATAATCTATAGGGAGTTTTACACTTTCTATAATAGGATATAGCTATTCTTGTCCTTTCCCAGTGAAACCCAAATTAAAGGCTTAGATTCAGTGTCTGCTAGAAATCAAGTCATATAAAGAATATATTGTCTAAATTACATTGTTCTCAGAATATAGCCCTGTGCACACTGGAGTTGAAAGATGTGGCCAAAGAAGAAATCAAGAAGTGAAAATCTTAGAGCTGTTTCTTATTTTCCAGATTCCTCTATGTACTTTTTTCTTCATTTTTTATTAAAAATATATTGAATATGTCTAAACCATTTTTTCAAGTTATTCAGTTGCACTTTATTCCACTGTGGAGTTCATGTGGTTTGAGAAACTAATAGATGAAGTAGTTTGGAATCATATAAAGAGAACAGATGATCAAGAACTTTTTGAAGTAGTTATTTCATTTTTTATTCAATCATGGTATCTCCAATTGGATCCTCAGAGCATGATGTTGACAGGATGGAGGAGGTGGAGAAGAGAAGAGACAACAACAAAATAGGGATATATAGAGTATTTTAATGATGAAACTAGAAGGCATACTATCAAGTGATATGGTCAAGAGAAACTGTGCCAGGATGGCTGTATCCGAAGGCACAAGAGCTGGGCAGTTGAGCTGAGATGAGATAGTGATTGAGGGGTTGCCTCTTGCCCAGTACTGCTGCCATCCATATTTAGACTGTTATGAATTACATTCTGATGTCTGTTCCCTCTCCCCACCAAGTCACTCAAATTCTCTAACTTTCCATTGGCGCTTGAAAAAAATGTGAAAAAGTATCACTTTATATTTGATTAATTACAAAATACAAAATAGCCAAGAGTGAGCAATGCCTATCTCATAATACAAAGGATATGGAATCATTCCCTTTGCAAAATTTGCCATAGGTGCCTAAATTTCTACTATTAAAACAATGTCCCCTGTTAAAATGATAGTAGCTCTAAGATGGATAACTTAGTAATTGATTGATTATCAGACAATTATAGTTATGTATGAATTAATACAATCAATCATTTCCAATGTGTTATGAAAAACAGATCCTCTAGCACTTCTGGAGTTAGAAAGGGTTGGAAATTAGAAAGAAGAGGAGGGAAAAGGACATACTTTTATTGGCGTGGTAAGCACAGACACTGGGTAACTGGGAAGAAACCAGGCACTTTTACCATTAGGTTGGGAGGAGAAAGAGAAAGGCGAGAAAACGGAAGGAGTAACTTTACTGGAGACAAAATTTGTTCTTGTTTAAACTTTATCAGTAAGCCGTATCAACTATACCTTAGCAACTATGTGCAAAGGTAAAATTTATTGAGTACCATTATATGAACTTGAGTCTCTTCAATCTTACTAATCTCATTATGCTTAAAATCTTACTTATTTCTATCCATCTGTGTTTCACACATAACTTCTCAAAAAAGATTAATTCTAATCCACATTTAAAGAAATCAATATGAATTTGAAGTCAGATTTTTAAAATAGTAATTTATGTTTTAAACTGTGTATATGTATACATAAATATATGGCTGTCTAAAATGTCATTATTTCCATTTGTGACTCTGCTTTGCTCTAAATAGATGCAGTGCTACTCAAGAAATATTTTTGATTACATCAATGACTGGGGCCACTACTGACAATACAGTACAAATAAAAATATACAACACGTTGTCTCACAAGTAGTCATTGCATTTTAGAGTCCACTGTGGGATTGTATTAGAATTCCTTACAAACTGTTACTATCCCCCAGTATTTTGTACAATAAATTTTTTCATCCTAGAATTGTGAGCAACAATCTGCATGGAAAGCCTGTTCTAACAGTCCAATTCATGAATTCTGGCCAAGCCTACCTCCCTAGAAAAGATTATCTCTCTTCTACCGTGTTTACAAATGTGCAAATGAGAATGGCCAGGAGACCTCACTTGAGTATGAAAGCTGGGACAAAAACTTGTCCTCTGAAAGGAGTATTAATCTTAAATTTTAAAAATTGATTTGATATCTAAAATTAATTATTAAAATATGCCATTCAAAATCAAATTTTTCTTTTTTATTACCCCTCAGAATGTAGATCTTTCCATTTAGAAGCAGCAGTATTATAATTTAGAAAATTGATGAGAAAATACTGAAAATTAACCCACACACTACTATGGAGTAATTATTTTAAACATGATCTGCTAAAATATAATTAATTTGGATAGCACTAATATGGATTCAGTCAACATAAGCATAAAACGCATGTTGTATGAATCTTAGAAAATTTAACTTAAAATTGTGTTTCATTTTTAACTTATTTTACAGTAGACACCAATACTCCAAGGTACTTATGGAAAAAAATGTTGAAGAAATTATTTTCAGTGGCTTTTGAAATCATCTTTTCTGAAGGCAAAACGCAGTTGTCCATAGTGTCACTCTATGACTCTGCAACTAGTGAACATTGTTTACCTCTAACCTCTATCAAAAATCTGTGTGCAGCTTTTAGCTCTCCAAACATCCTTACTGGATAGTGCTAATTAAAGTTGAAGAAAAGGATTCCCTCTTCATCAAGTTCACCGTGGCCATTCTTTGTTAAACATTATGGATAAGTAAGTCAAATTATTTGATTAATTTGTTTTGAGGTGTGATTTTTCTAATAATATTACCTAACATATGATTGCCAGGGACTTAGCCTGAAGTTACTAATATCAAATAAAATGAGAAGCTTGTCAGCAAAACAGGGGAAATAATATCTCATTTCTGAAATGTTTACTAGTCCCATTTCACACCTAAAAATCATAAGATGAAAACCATGAGAATACTTTGATGATCCATGCTTAGATTTTACAAAAAAAATAAAAAAAAATCACAATGATGACTGTCAGGAATGGAAGGAAGATTAGCATTTATTACCACAATTACTAAATACACATTCTCTCCTGATATGTTTATAAATTCAGTGCAACTCAATTTAATTTGAAAAAACCTAGCATGATATGACAATAAACAAGGTACTTACACTTCTATATTTCACAATGTATTCCAAAATAGGGGCCCCTCCATCGTCCTGTTTGGTGATGCTGAGTTTAAAGCTCTTTCCACTGCTTGGCTGTCCATGTATGGATGGAGGACTTGGTTCACCTAGATATACAATACAACATTTCTTCATTTGCACACATTTCAGATACCTAGATAAACTATATTTTAATAAAAAGAACAGTAATGTAATCAAAATATATGGTGTTATCCTGGATTTACCATTTGACATTGCCCTTTTGTGATATAATTTCTGAACATTTTCCCCATCCAAGAAGCAGCAACATTATAAATCTAGAAGTGTCATGCCAAAACTGTAGCCTGAGGACCAAATATATTATTTTCACTGATATGCAAATGCTCTGAGAAAAGTATAGCATTGCACAAATGTAAAACTTTATTTCTCTTATTATTAATAGTATTAAATCATTTTTATTTTCTTAATGTAAATTTAGTTTGTAAATGTTTTGTAAGCATTTATTAATATGAATACATTAACACATCAGTCTGTATGGAATATATACCTACCAGTAAAGATAATGACTTGCAATTAGTAAATGTGCTTTAATAAGCATTTTCTTTCCTGGGTGCAAATTTGAATAAAGTTTGCAGTATCCAATTTTATAGACCTGTGTTTCAATATTTCATTTTCTTCTAGGTTCATTCATATACTTGCCTTTGATATTATACTTCAACATAGAGATAGCCATATAACAATGATGCTTATATTGTTTTGAATAGAACAGGGATCTACCAAAGTGCAAGAATTTTCTATGTGAAGGGCCAAGAAAAACAGACCATGCACTGAAAAGGATTTCATATCTCTAAACCGGCATGACCTGTTATTTCTTCTCAGCAGGTTATTGTCATTTCTTTTTTCTTTCTTTCTTTTCTTCATTCTTTTTTTGAGGCAGGGTTTCACTCTGTCACCCAGGATGGAGTTCCATAGTGTGATCATGGCTCATTTCAGCCTTGACTTCCCCAGACTCAGGTGATCTTCTCACCTCTCACCTCAGCCTCCCAAGTAGCTGGGAGTACAAGTGCATACCACCACACCCAGCTGATTCTTTTTTTATTGTTTTTTGGAGAGATAGGGTTTTACTATATCACCCAGGCTGGTCTTGAGCTTCTTGGTTCAAGTGATCTGCCTGCCTCAGCCTTCCAAAATGCTGGGATTACAGGTGTAAGCCACCGTATCTGGCTGGTTATCTTAACCACCAGCATTGGGAATGGAGAAAAGAAACTTACCTGACAGATTTTATGATTACCAATAGAGAGATACTCTGTAAGATAATATATTGCAGCCATTTTGACTGTCCTAACATATATATATATATAAAAAGATATATATATACACATATACAACGATATATATATATATATAAAGATATATATATCAGGCAGTGTTACGCATAGATTTTTATAACAGTGGTTCAGTCGTATTTATTATGTTTTCTCACATTTAAAGTAATTTATTTAACATAAAGGAAATGTTAAGTCTTTTAAAATTTAATCTTCACTCTATGTAAACTCAATTAACTTACAATTCCCCAAAATATGATAGTTATCAGAACAAGGCTTCTCCTGCAGTCACTGTTTTAATGAATTAACATAATGATTCCTTTTCTGACACTTAGAGCCCATATAATTTGTGGAACAAGGTCAATAGTCAGGCCTCCAAAAAGAACAAAATATTGAACATGTTACATAGACATTTTTCTTCTCCCAGAATATAGTCTGAAGACTACAATCCAATTAATCAGACCATAAGTAAGAAGGACACTTTTGCAATAAGGACAATTTCCCGGGAACAATTTTTACTGAGTGTATTCTAGTGCACTCTTTTTTTTCTGCCTTGCTCTAAAGCAAAGTTATTTTTATGTTAATAAATCTCAGATGTCACTGTCTTCAGAAACCACTTCACCAAAGACATAATTCATGTCTCAAAAGTGTTGAAACATCTCCCTACATTTTAAAATCTATTAAATTTGCAAGTGAAGAAAATGACAAAAGAGAATAAAAAATAGAGATGATTACTTACGAACTGGTAATGTTTGGAAGATTTCTATTTTACTGTAGTCTCCTTGTCCCTTTCCATTTACAGCTGCAACCCTGATTTCATAAGTTGTATTTGGTTCCAGGTTGTTCAAAACAACCATTGCTAGAAGAAAAACAAAACAAAACAAAATAAAACATATATATACATATATATCTAATTGGACACATTTTAATAAGGAAAACAAATCAAACTATTACAATTCTGAGTGAATAATTTCACTGAAATCTTTCCATGAAATACCTAAAAAATAGATAAGTCATATAAGAAGAAACTGATTTGTGAATAGTTCTCTTCTTCACCTCTATTTTAGCTTTCCAAGCCACGTACTTTCAAAGAAAATTACCCGTTTCATTTGTGACACATTCTCAAAGTAGAAAGTTAAATCTTTTTAATATCCAAAAACCAAGAATGATGTTAATGATGCTAAAATGCATATATTCTGTATGTGTCTCAAGTAGAAGTACTCTACATAGATTATTTCTATAGTATTTAATAGAATCATGGAATTTAATATGCAGATTGGCTTCCAATGTCAGGTGATTTAGTCATGTCAAACAAGTGTGACAAAGTTGAAAATACAGCAAAAATAGTTTATTCTACAATTTCAAATCAAATCAAGTTGTTTTAATTCTAGTTTGAAGCCTACTCATAACTTGTATTTTCACTCTGAGTTTCTTCTCATTTACATACTCTACCAGACCTGGATTCAATAAGACACTAAGGAAGAATATGAAAAGGCACAAGGAAATAAAGGTTACTAGAAATATCTGGGTCATGTCAACCCTTGTTATTTGACCCTTGTTAATTTTGGATGCAATTATAGATTTCAAAATATTACATCTTCAAAAATTCATCTGATGGAGCCACCAGAATTTTATAGTTGCCACTTTCTTTAAATGCTTTTGCTAAAGAAAGCAGAAACTCAGCTAGGGGATATAACAATATCTTGATGAAAATCAAAAGGAAGTTATGTCTGGTTTACACAGTAACTCCAAGTCACATAATCAATTAATATTAGGAGATATAAAAGATTAAATCATAGGTAATTAAGATTATCTTTGCAGAACTATAGTTTTACATAAACCATGACCAGAAATGATATACATGCAATAACATTGTAATATAATTTATTAATATTATTTCTAATGATTATATTATAATTTACTAGATAACATATTCTCTGTATTATATGAGGATACTTAATGAATTTGTTGTGATACTTCCTTGCGTTCCATTCTTTTCCTCAATATTTATGATCATGGTATTTATTTAGCATTTTGTTTGTTTTCTATAGAGATGGGGTCTCACTATGTTGCTCAGGCTGGTGTTGAATTCTTGGGCTCAAGCAAACTGCCCACCTCAGCCTCCCAAAGTCTTGGATTTCAGGAGTGGGCCACTAGGTCTGGCTTAGCATTTTGTATTGTAATCATTTAATCTATATTATCACATTCTAGAAAAGAAAAAAATACATTGTTGAATGTACTGTGTCCAAAATTAAAAGAAAAAATATATAAAAATTACTTAATACCAGATAAATATTAATAGCCACAACACACATATCAACCAGACATTACTTAATCCTGTACAGATGTTCTAAAATCAACAAAAAAAATTAAATTTCCAAATGGCAAAA
The DNA here is from genome assembly GCF_000001405.40 of Homo sapiens. Taxonomy (NCBI): domain Eukaryota; kingdom Metazoa; phylum Chordata; class Mammalia; order Primates; family Hominidae; genus Homo; species Homo sapiens. The sequence continues at coordinate 21,465,074 of NC_000021.9, read as the reverse complement.
TTTACTTTCGTATTTCTCAATTTCTCAACCTTATAAGAAAACTGAACTTGCTTTTTAGAGTGTACTGCCTTATTGAAGCCTCAGATTATAATACATTATTTCAGATTTAAGGGAGGCCAATTGGGAATAGATTGATTGGCACAGAAATCCTACTGATTAGAAGCTGCAAGGATAAATGGCATAGCCAAGGCTTGAATTCAATGATTTCTGACAGGGTAATGACCTGCAAACTTTTCAGGAAACCCAAACCCACTTGATAACTGGTAGTTAATGGTATATAATTTAAGCCCCAGAAAAGTATATAGTTACACTGAAGAGAAGCTGAGTGCATAGATAAAGAGTTGTTTATATAGATTATGGAATGAGAAGAGGAAATTTAACCAAGGTTGCTAAAATGCTAGTAAATTGGAATTTTACTGTCTTTAAGATGTAAAGCCTCTGCTGAAAGTCAGCATAACATGAATTTGTTTTGATGCTTCCTTTTGTTCCATTCTTTTCCTCAATGTTTACAATCAAGGCATTTATTTAGCATTTTGTTTGGTTTTAATAGAGATGTGGTCTCACTATGTTGCTCAGGCTGGTCTTGAACTCCTTTAACAAGAGTTTAAAAATCACAATATTTTATTAATTAAATCAGATAATGAATATTTTTAAAAGCAAAAGCAAAGGTGAGCTAGGCTCATACGCCCCATGCTATATCTAGTCATGCTTCATTAGGGTAAAGAGTGCAATAGAACACAGACTGTGCTATAACATCATATTGGCTGTCCTAAGGCCTAACATGTTTTGGAATAAGACTTGAAGAATAAACGCCCTTTTATAAAACAGCCAACTTTGATATATGGTATGCCTTTCCATATTTCTGTGATATCCTGGTGCAGCTGCAACATCATTTTAAGAGCATTCAGTAGTCTGTGACTTGGCTGCGTTGGTGATGGCATCTGGCAATGCTTATATTCAATTGTATTTCTTAATACAAGGCAAAAAGAGAAGCAAAAGAATTTAAACATGCACTTTCAATTGCAAATAAAATCCTACATAAATCAGAAGTGTAGAGATCATTATTCTAGATATGATTTCTTCATCTTTGTAGGTTAAAAATTGATAACAGCAGAGCTACCAAAGTACCAGGGCAAACCTACTGTGAGAAAAGTTGAGGTTATTAATTAGGTTAAACAATAAAGATGATACTCACCCCACATACCCCAGCAAAAAAAAATCAAGTGCAGATCTTACTTGAATTATCTGAGTATTTCAGGCAAAAGCTCTTTCTGGCTTGTATTGTCAGCAATCCCCTTCCTTCAACATTTCACAGGCGCTATGAGGAGTTTTGCATGCCCCACTACCTCTGCCAAGGCTAAGTATTTCCTTAGTTACACTGTATCAACTCAGAATGGAATTTCCCTGTTTCCTCACATGTTTCTGTTCTCAGATTCAAGGCTTACCCATGTACTGACCGAGTTTCACATCAGTTGGCAGAAGAAAGGAGCGAAGAGGGCACACCGATGGCTAAACTGTTATTACAGTCCTGGGCTAAAACATGAAAACTGAAAGCTGGCCAAAGAGAGGTTTTATAGATAACCTTTAAAATTATAGGGAAGAGGTATAAAATAAACCTACTGATGTAAGTTTTGCAAAGTTTATATACAAGAAGTCAGTTTGTTTTTGATTCGTGAATGCAGGTTTTGATACAATAACTCTTATTATGAGGCTTATTAACACTGCGTGAACATGAAGATTATTGTGTGAAATAGAACTCCACACATTGAGACTACATTAAAGTGAGAGAGGGAAAAGATTTGGAGGAGGCAAAGCCTGGATCTGTAATTTGACTTGCCTTTCTTAAATGAGAGGATATATACATTAAATCATCTGTAATTTACTGGCATTTTACCAAACAAGAGTTTCTGAACACCCAAGGTAGGGACTGAAAGAAAACTACCACTTGGAAAATGAAAGGCTGTGTACTCAATAATAGAGTTGTACCTCAAATTATGAAGATAGTTAATGTGAGACTTTCTTTCCCTAAATCTGCATATACAAACAGAACAACAGAACCTTAAACTGAAGTGTGGGATGGGTTCTTGCCTTGTAATTTACTAGAAATTCAAACTCCAGAATTAGGAGAAAGCAGATCTAGATTACAAACTAGTAAAAGCTTTTAAGGACAAAGTATAAATTAAGGTATTTTAGAGCTATATTTAGTCAGCACGATTTACAAATCTTAACACGGTTCTTCCAAAAATTATAAACAATCATGAATTTTTCTTTAACACGGCAACAGAAATGAATTCTCTATAGAATCTAGTTTCCTGCACTAATATTTCTACATCATTTATATATAACTGAATTTTAGAAATAACGCTTTATCACCTGTCTATAAAGGCAAAAAAGACAAAAAAGTCAAGATACATTAAAAACACTTTAACTTAAAAATGACAGAAAAATATAAATCTTTTTACATTTTTTATAAGTTTGGAAATGATCATAGTAGAGAGAAAAATTTGAATTTGAAAGTTTATTCTCTTTTTATTAGAGAACCAGACTTTATTAAAGGGAACTACACAAAATAATTTTTTGTTCCTATAATGCATTATAAATTACTTCCTGTTGGCTGTCAAGAGAAGTAGAGGCTATAGAATATTTACAACAATTGCAGCAACGACATCAACTAAATACATATTTGGTAACTAATTAAGCTCAGCAAAATTCTAAAGTAAGATTATTTTTATTCATGTTCTCTTTCCTTTCTCAAACCCTGGCTCTCTTCATGGGGTTTTTGTCCTATTCAACGTAAGCAATTACAGTCTCCCCAGATGTAGAACTGCTTTATCACTTAACCCCAATGGAACTGTTCATATTGTCAAGTACTGTGCAACAACTCAGAGAGCTATGAGAAATTACAAAGCTTAGCAAGGGTAAAACTGATCATCCAAAATAACACTTGGTGTTAATCCCCTCAGATAGATCTGAAAACACAGTGAAGTCCCTCAAGTTTCTCACTTAAAAAAGCTTTTGATCTGTAAACAATTAAAAGAAACAAAAGCAGGTCTATTTTTGAGAGAATTATCTGACTGACTTCTGCAGGAGTTAGCAACAGGCAAAATAAAAATAATTTTTTACTGTTTCTATACACACGCAGAACATTTTAATACTTTGATGCCAGCTCCACACGTACGAATGACTTCAGAGGGAATTCCATTATTAATGAAATTGCCTTTAAGTTTCCTTAGAAGCTTAGGTATGTAATCATCTCAGTTCAATTATATTTTCACTTACTTCTGAAATTTACATTTTTGCACAAATTATATTGTGTTTGAAGTTCTCATTACTTGCATAATATTAATAATATAATCTTAGTTTTTTTAACAGTACTTTAAATATTTTATGAATCATACTTTTACCTGTATGCATACATATTTTGGTATAAATAACTTTTATGGATAGATTATTGGTTAATAAAACATTTATATGGATATATATTTTGATGAACAGTGGAAAGAAAAATTAATCTAATAATGATGTGTCATTTGTCTAGGACTTTCATCAAAACAATATGTTGATGGCATTATTTTAAGATCACAGTTCAGCACATCCAAATGTTTACAACATATTTATTGTACTGCTTATGTAACTTTCCATCATGAGTATAAGTTATACTCAAAATAAACAATTTAACAATTGGAGTTTAATTGCTGCGAGATTTTATACAGGAAGTACATATTACCCTTAAAATCAGATGGCTTCCTATTTAAATAGAAAAACTTTGCCTTATATAAAAACATTAATTTAAAAACATAACAGTTTCATTGAACAAAATATGTTTCATAAACAATTTATAGTATTTTTCATTTCAAATATAATACTTCTTAGTATACGTAAAATTATTTATGCAAGAAAAATTCAACTGACGTTTTTTCAAGGTCCACTGAGTACGTAAAATATCACAAATGTGTAATTACTAAACATTTCCTTCTATAGTCTAAATGCGTAGATTTTTATAAAATATTCATAAAATATCTTCATGATGTCAGATAACCAGAAAATTGCTAAATTTTTTCACTCACAAAATTGCTAACTTCCCTAAATGTCCATACTGCCAAATTCTTTTTCTGCCACAAACTTTTTAATTTTTTTTTTTTAGCCAGGTGAACTGGGATGAGTTAAGGTTTTGTAATTAAATGCTCTTCTCTCTTCTGTGCTGACGGAAACTCTAACCTCCATTTTACCTATTTAACCTCCTAATAACATCTCTATATAATTTTTCTCAGTTATTGATCACACCCTCATTATTGTATTTGGCTACTATACTGTGAGAATCTTTTTATTATAAGGATCTTGTGAGGACACATATCACATACCATAAATACTGTCCTCAGCCCTCATCTAGCCTACACATTTTAAATGTAAAATAATAATTCAGCAGTTAGTGCTTGAATTTATGTTTTTAAAAATTATACCAAATGAAACACCACTTTTAAAGAAAACTGACCCAATGAGAGCACTTGTTAAATCTATAGTAGTTATCCTTTATTACAAATGCACTCTGCTCTTGTTGCTGAACATTGAAAACAAATTTTACTTTTCCAAATTAAAGTTTGTTTTAGGGAAAAATCTACTATTCAAGTCCTATCTGATCCTATTTCATTTAATACCAGAACTAACAGAGTTTGGTTACATTCTCCATTTCCTACACCAGTAAAGGGAGGCTCAGAAAGATGAACTAGCCACTAAGCATCAGAGTTTGGATTTGAACATGATTCTAGCTTAAGTTAAAGCTTTGTATGACCCATAGCTTTATATTGACCTATTAATATAAAACTAGAGTACAGAGAGCACTTTGTAGTAAATGAAAATCCTCATAAACGCGAATTATAAGGAAAATGTATTATCTCCCAATAAAACATTCAATACAAACAAAAATAAAAATGATAAATAAGAAAAATGATATTACTGTATATGCTTTTCTCCCAGCTTTATTGAGAGATAATTTACCAATAAAATTATATATATTTAAGGGGTTTAACTTGATGTTTTGATATATGCATACACTCTGAAATAATCACCATAAATTCAAGCTAATTAAACATATCTACCAATTCTCATATTTACCAGTTTTTTAATATGTTTGTATTTGTACACTTAATATGTAGCCTCTTAGTACATTTTAATATGCATTGTTAACTATAGTTACATTTCTTATTAACTTAGCACATATCCATATGTATCATTAATATGGCATTATTAATTATAGTCACAATGCGGTACATTATCTCTCTAGAATGCATTCATCTTGCATAACTGAAATTTTGTATCCCTTGACCAACATTTCTTCACTTCCCTTATCTCTCACTCCTGGCAACCACCATTTTACTCACTGCTTCTATGAGTATGATTCTTTTAAATTCCACATATAAGTGAGATCATGCAGCAATTCTTTTTTATGTCTATATACATATGTGTGTACATATAAATAATGTATATAAATGTATACATATGTATAAATATATAACAATATCCTATATTCTAATATATAAACAATATTATATATAATATATATAAACATTCTATACACATATGTATGCATACAGGAATATTATATGTGTGTATATATATTATATATATTATAAATATGGCATATGTGTGTGTGTGTGTGTATATACATATTTTCTTTAACCATTCATTCACAGATAGACATTAAGGTTGTTTCCAAATCTTGGCTCTTGTGAATAATGCTACAAAGAACATAGACGTACACATTTCGCTTGAGAATATATACCCAGATATGGGACTGCTGAATTAAGAAATGTCATACTATTTTCCCTAACAGTGTACAAGTGTACACTGTTACCGTTTCTCTACATGCTTGCGAACACTTAACTTTTCTCTCTTTGAAAAAAAAGCCATCCCAACAGGTGTGAGTTGATATCTCAATGTGGTTTGATTTCATTTCTCTGATGATTAGTGATACTGAGCACCGTTTCATATACCTATTGGCCATGTGTATGTCTCCTTTTGGGAAATAGCTATTCTGATCCTTTGCTTATGTTTTAATTGGGTTATTTGGTTTTGTGCTATTGAGTTGTATGAATTTTTCATATATTTGTGGAGACTCACCCCTTATCAGGTATATGGCTGACAAATATGATCTCCTATTTTATACATTCCCTTTCGCTCTGTTGGTTGTTTCCTTTTATGTGCGGAAGTTTTTCATCTTGATGCAATCCCACTTGTTTATTTTTGCTTTTGTTGCCTAGGCTTTGGGTGTCATATGCAAAATAATCATTGTGCAGACCAACGCCAAGAAGCCTTTTCCCTATATTTCTGTCTTAGTACATTCTGGCTGCTAAAAGAGATTACCATAAACTAGGAGGCTTATAAACAACACAATTTTATTTGTCGCAGTTCTGGAGGCTGGGAAGTCCAAGATCAAGGAGCTGGCAGGTTCAGTGTCTGGTGACGGCCTGCTTCCTGGTTTATACATATGTCACTTTTTCCTCACATTGCAGAAGGGGCAAAGCAGCTCTCTGAGGTCTATCTAATAAAGGCACCATTTCCAAGGCTAAGAAGGCTCCACTCCCATTGATTTGCTCCACTCCCACACTGCCCCTAAGTGTGCTCAGTGCCTGAGCCCCACTCCTACACCAGTTCTCTGCTGGGGCCCAGCGGCTCTCCAGAGCTAGGGACCTGAGCCTGCAGCTCTGCTAAGAGGCCCTTCCTCTGAAATCCACGTGGAGGCAGCCACGCTCCCAGGGCCTGGGGGCACATTGTGCCCTGGTGGAGATGGTTCCACAGGAACATGACCAAAGTTTGCTGCCTATGTTCTCTGAAGGGGCACCCACCATGTCCTACCCGAGACCAGGCCCCAGTGGGGCCACAGCTGGGACAATGAGAGGCGTAGTGCTGGCGTAACAGGAGCAGAGCCCACGATGTGAGATGGCACTAGGAGATCCTGTAGGCACCTTCAAACCTTCCTTTGAAACTTCCTGTCTCCTAGGCACCTGAACCCTGATCCTGTGATGGGAGTGGCAGCTCTAATTATCTTTGTATCTGCTTCATGGACATTCCTCCATTGTCTGGAAAAATTAACTCCTAGCTTCGACTGAGATGGCTGATCCATGCTAATCAATCTCTATATCAAATGTCCTCCTGGCCAAACCCTTAATGTTCTTTCCCAGTTTTTCTCATTTGTTACAAAATGGATACGGTAAAAAGTTCTGCATCCTTTTTGATTAATAATTCTATCTTTAAATCATGTATTTCTCTAGCCCTTTAATATAAGCAGTCAGGAAAAATCAGACTGCTTCTTCAACACTTTGTTGAGAAATTTCCAGGCGAATATCTGATTCCATCACACACAAGTTGTAACTTACCAAAAACACTAGCATACTAACATAGTGTACCTGAGTTCTTCACCACTTTTTTTTTTTTTCTTGAGAAGGAGTCTTGCTCTGTTGCCCAGGCTGGTGTGTAATGGCATGATCTTGGTTCACTGCAACCTCTGCCTCCTGGGTTCAAGCAATTATCTTGCCTCAGCCTCCTGAGTAGCTGGGATTACAGGCGCATGCCACCAAGCCCAGCTAATTTTTATATTTTTGGTAGAAACAAGGTTTCACCATATTGGCCAGGCTGGTCTCGAACTCCGGACCTCATGATCTGCCCGCCTCGGCCTTCCAAAGTGCTGGGATGACAAGCGTGTGCCACCGCGTCAGACCTCTTTGCCACTTTTTAACAATGATGCCCTTTCCTCCATTGTCCAACACATGTCATAATTTTTGTCTGAGACCTCATCAGAACGTCCTTTACTGTTTATATTTGTATCAACAGAATTCTCTTCACAAAGAAGTATTCACAAAGAATACTGAGACTTTCTATGTAGCTCTTTTTTCCCTTGTGGGCCCTCACAAGAATTTCCCTTAATAGTCTATTTGAGGCAATGCCAACACTTTCTAGCATGTACTGCAAAACTCTTACAGCTTCTAGCCATTACCCAATTCTAAACCCTCTTCTACATTTTCAGGTATTTGTTAGAGCAGCACCTCTACTTTTTGGTGCCCATTTCTGGCTTATTACATTTAGACAATTATAAGAGAATATCTTAGACTAAGTGGCTTATAAACAAGAGAAATTTCTCACAGTTCCAGAGCCTGAGAAGTCCAAGTTTAGGTGAAAGCAGATTCGACAGCTGATGAGGGCCTGGTTGTTGGCTTATAGACATCTTCTCATTCCACCCTCACATAGATGTAGAAGTTAGGTCGCTCCCTGGAATATCTTTTAAAAGGGCACCAATCCTACTCATGAGCATTTTGCCCTTAGGATTTAATACCTCTCAAAGCCCCACCTCCAATACCATCACATTGAGGACTAGGTTTCAATATATAAATTTTGAGGGTACCAAACAGTCATTCTATAGAAATTTTCTTCTAGTAGATTTATGGGCTCAGGTTTTACCTTTAAGTCTTTAATCTATTTTGAGTTGATTTTTGCATATGGTGTAAGATCTTTTTAAAATTTAATTTAAACTATTAGAGGACACAGTGTCTTTCTCAGAATATTTTACTTAATTACGTGTTTCTGAGTTCTCATTAGACTAAAAAAATGTAAATCCATGCTGATTATCCTCATGAATTGCTAGCACTATAAAATGAATACAATTCAGCATTTTCCTTATAGTTCACAGGAGCAAATTGTAATCACACTAAAAATACAGAGAAGAGAGATTCAGAATAAAGTCAATCAGATTCTCTGGTTAATTAGAGATTTTATTCTTAGGCCTTTTGTAGTAAAGATGCATGTACCAGCCACTTTGTTACTATTATACACTCTGGCCAGCATATTCTGTCATTTCTTAAACTATGAAATCAACCTATTTATTTCATATATCCCATTCAAGATTCCCAGTCAAATTTGCTAATAATGATGAATGAACTGTTCTTGCTATATCATTTGTATTCTCTACTATGGAACATACCAAATCACACAGAAAGCCCAGAGGCCTTGTTAGAATGTGAACAAGATTTGAGATCAACGCACCAATTGCAACACTAGGCAGGTTTTTGTTTCTTTTTTTAAAGTTTTCTCTCTTATTTTGAAAGAATTTTTAATATTATATTGGGAAGAAATTCATAATAATATTTAAAATTTGTCTTTGCTAAGCCATTCTTCTATATAGTTAACCCAGATATCTCCATTAATTCTAATAAATTGCTTGTTATTTTTCAATGAAATTCAAGCCATAAAAACCTTCTAATCTCTCTAGATATTTGGAAACATTTATGTTTCTTTCTGTCCTTTGTTGTTGCTTAACACAAATTTTTCATTTTCAAGTTATTTATTTAAATATTTTAAATGAATTAATATGAATGGTTTGCCGAGATTTTCACATCACTAAATATTTGTGACAAGAATTGTATTCCTAAATAATAATTCAAATATTTCAGGAAAATATTGCATTATATTTTTCTAATGCTATTTTGAAAGATTACACGTTATTTTGATATATAGCATTTTAAAACATGTTTTCTGGAGAAGTTAAATTATTAGGACAGTAATTCTATGAATAAACATTTCTATGAATAATTTATTTTCTTATGAGCATGTCATAGAACCTGAAAATGCTTATTTGAATTATTCTATTGGATCTCCTCCTAAATTAAAAGGAAAAAAAATCACTTGAACCTTGCATTTTAGAGCTCAAAAAAATGAGTATTTCTAAATTAAAGTTGCAGTGAATACAAATAATTGTAGGTATAAATGTAAAAACGATGAAATCATATTATTCCAATAACTTTTGATCTGGGATATCCTGGCTGTATTGAGTCATCAAACAGGACAAATTAAACTTTTTTTTTTTTTTTTTTTTTTGCCAATAGGTTTCCTTTTAAAAGGACTCTGAGTGGAAGATTATGTTAGAATTTGGGAAAGAAACCATGTGATCTTATTTGGCATACAAATTTATAATGGTAGACGTAAAAACACATATAATCTTCCCTTATGAAATTCATTTGTATTTGGTAAAGCTTAATAAAATGCAAAGAAGAATAAATTAGTAATCCTAATTGCTATCCTTAGGCAAATTTGTGATAATTTCCCCTTGTATCTAGAGAAGGAAAATGTATATTAAGGCTATGAGAATGCAAATAATGGTACTAACCACCTGCTTAATGAGAAAGACAAGTGCAACCTGTTTCTGTTATATATTTCTTTTTCTATTTATTAAGAAATTTGAATACTTCATATCTGCTACAAAACCACAGAGCAGGTGTTTTCTCCTTAAAGCCCTGGTTTTTTAAAAGCCCGCCAGCATTTAGATGCTTGAGAAAGCTAACACTTATATTTAGCCAGACCTATTTGTATACCAAACATTCTGAAGCTATCTTGAATATGTTTTTTAACCTAGGATCACAAAGTTTAGCATTAATGAGATTAATTAATACTGAAACCAACAAATACAGGGAAGTTATTAAAAATAACTTTCCTGCTGAAACCGACAAATGCAGGAAAGTTATTTAAAATATTAAAATCGTTTTACAGTCTAATACACATTATTTTGAACACAGTCATATATGAGTTGCATGACACAGGTTCGTATTTATGAGCTGTACCCATACATAAGTTAGGGATGTTAACACCTTAAAATTATATATCAAACTCACCACAAACAGCAATAAAAGCAAATGGAGAAAATAGCTGCTGGAATGTGGGATTCAAATATATTGACTAAGTTTATCTAATTAGATCAGTTGGCAGAATAAAACAAACTTCCAATGGGTATACACAAACATACACACTCCATATATACAATTTAATATGAATTAGGGAAGAATTTTTGTGATTATATTCTCACTTCCTTGAACAGTGCCTTGGCACACTGTAGGCTTTAGTTGTTTAATGCATGAAAAATTTAACATCACTCTAGAGTTTTGTAATTAGTACAGGAAAAGTATGATTTCTCTGTGTGTGTCTATATATATATTTAGAAAAGGGTAGGTGGTCAAATTTCTACAAAGTTAGATCAATTAATTTCCACAATATGTAACTAGAAATCCTAGGCATGGTAAATCATAACTTACCTTCATCATACTGTTTAAAAATTCAAAAAGAACATTCATAGGACGCTGAACTATTGTCATTGTAGACCTCTGTATTTCAAGAATAAAAACACCATACCGAAGAAAGAAACAAACAAAAACAAACCTTAACTATAAACATCGCCTTATATTCTAAGGACTAATTCAAGAATAATACAGGGGGAAACTAAATTTCAATATTTTGAGAACTAGTAAAGATGAGAATTTCAAAAATAGCAAAGAATCATTTGTTTAATGTAGAAAAAGAAGGAAAATGTATATCAAGTGATACAATGCACTAAGGATTCTTCATCTTTACTAAACATATGGCAGAAGGTAACTTTTACTTTTCTAACCCCAAAATTTTGCTTCATGTGGTAAAGGAGATTTTGAGAAAGGTTGTTCCCTACTCAAAATGATCCCTTTTAATAATGTCAGTACTTAAAAATGACCTCTCCTATACTCCTTTCTAGAATTACTTACGAGATTTTCAATAAGGTTCCATGACATTAAGAATAAAATGCAAAGTCTTCTCCATAGCCTGTAAGGCCCCATGGGACATTGGCTTGGCTATCTGTCTACTCCTACTTCATTTAATTCCTCTCTCTGATCATGCCATTCCAGGCAGGACGCCCTTCATACTGACCTCTGCCAAGGCTAGGCTTCCCTAGGTATTTATGTGATCATGCCCTCACTTCATATGGGACTCTGCTTAAACATCACAGACCCTGCTGACTCCTCTTTATAAAATTAGTCCCCATTCCCACCCCCACTTACACAGCATCTTGCTCTGCTTCATTTTTCTTCATACTTTATATCATTAACTGTTTTAAAATTATAAATTTTGATATATTAAACATTATATATAAACTATATATATTTTGTTATTATATATAATATATATTTAATATAATATATTAAATATATAATAATTTATAAATATATTTATATTTTTATATATGTATATATTATTTTTATATATTATATATTTTTATATATTATATATTATATAATATAATATATAATATATAATAATATATAATATATAATATATAGTATAAATTATATTATATATATTATATAATATATAAAGTAATATATATTATATATTATATAATATATAATGTAATTCATAGAAATGTTTATTCATATATAATGCAATACATTATATATTATATATATTATATAATATATAAAGTAATACTATATTTTATATATAAAGTAATACTATATTTTAATACATAAAGTAATATATTATATATTATATATATTATATAATATATAAAGTAATATATATTATATTTTTAAAATGATATATAAATATATAATACATATTAAATATATATAATATATATATTTATATATAATATATAATATATTGTATATATTATACTATATATACAATTATATGCACAATACAATATATATACAATATATATACTATATATAGTATATATTATATATTTATTTATAATATATAATATATTTTATATATTATATATTATATATAAATTGATATTTTATCTATTGATGCATCTATAAATACATCTTCCCCCCCGACAATGTAAATTCCATGAAGACATTGTATTACTTTCTTCACTATGGAATCTCTAGCAATTCAAAATTCTAAAATCTCCCTAAACATAGTAGGTGCTTTTCAGTTTTTGTTAAATTAAATGAATGGACATATATCATTTCAATTAAGATGACCAAGCAGGAAGTCATTTGTGTTAGAATATGTATGTATATATACATATACACATATGTATATGTGTGTATATAATATATATGTGTGTGTACATACATCTATGTGTGTGTGTGTGTGTGTGTGTGTGTGGTCAGTTCACATTTATAAATCAGAGGAGATAAAAAACCTCCTGAAAATTACATAACATAAGAGATAAAGTCACTAATAAACTATATCCTAAAACGAAAGAAAGGAAGTGTTCTTTAAAGCTATTCAGAATCTGAGCATCAAGAAATAGAGTAGGCAGGACAAATATTTGTAGAATTAAGTGAGAATCATTTGTCAAGAAAGAGTTGAAGATAAAGAATGTAGTATGAGTGGCCCAACCAATAGATGGGGAAAAAAGACAACACTACCATGGACAGAAAATCATGGGCCTTGAAACTTAAACCTACATTTTTTGCTATGTGTTTCTGTGTCACAATAAACTGTGGAGATGAAGATGTCTGGTGAGGTTTCCAAGTTGAAGCAGCGTCATGAAGCCCATTATTTTCTCTGTGATGTGAAATTTATCTTATTTTTCATTGACAAGCCCACGTTACCAGAACGGCACAGGCTTGTCCTGTCACCAAGGGGGATTCCCTTTTGTCTTTAATGTTAGATAACCCAGTAGAAGTAGCACATATTACACAGTTGTTAAATGCTGCTTTTAATTTAAAGGGTGGGAGAAAGAAGTAGTAACAATTAAGACTGTGCTTTAGAGGAAGAGAAACTACTATTTTAATTTTACTAAAATGTCTACTTATGTCTGCACTTAGAATAAAATAAATTGTTGCAATGGAATTTTTTAAAAATCTTGGTAAGTAGAATGAAGGTTTACTCATGTTCATTAAGAATTAATATTGAAGAACAGCTAACTACATAACATTACTTCCCAGAAAAGCTTGTGGATTCTCTTTCTACAAATTCCAAAGAAAGAATAAAACGATCAATGTGCTTAGATGGTTTAATTTGATTTGACCTGGACATGTTGATAATTTATAGATGTTTGAAAACAGTAACTATTTAGTTTTATTTGAGTGTAAACAAACAGTAATTAGATAATCCATTTATTCACCTCAAATGATATGGAAGACTCAAAGAGCCAAATGAACGGTAAACAGGCCCTCCAATGTGCAGTCAAGACAGAGAGGCGTGACTGATGTCATACTGCTTAACAAGTGAGCAGCTGGCAAAATACCTGTATGAGCAATAGTTCCTATAGGGTACCAAAGGAAGAGAAAACTATTTCCACTAAAAATGAATCTCATGAATTCTCATATAAACGCTTGGAATATATTGGACCTATATATATATATATTCCTACTTCTTTCTCCCACCCTTTAAATTAAAAGCAGCATTTAACCTGTGTGTAACATGTGCTACTTCTACTGTGTATTCTAACATTAAAGACAAAAGGGAATCCCCTTTGGTGACAGGAGATATGTGTGTGTGTGTGTGTGTGTGTGTGTGTGTGTGTGTGTGTATACATACATACATACATACATGATGGGGAGGAGGAATAACACAAATTCATGCATGACTGTAAGAAAGTAAAATGCATATTGGACATAATAAGTGGACAGACATGAAAGTGCCAAGTATTTATGTAGAGAAAAGATATGAGGTAAGGCAGAAAAGAAAGGCTAAGGCAGGGCACAGTGGCTCATGCCTATAATCCCGGTGATTTGGGAGGCTGAGGCAAGAGGACCACTTGAGGCCAGGAATTTGAGACCATCCTGAGCAACACAGCAAGACCTCTTCTCTAAGAAAAAAATTTTAAATTAGCCGTGTGTAGTCCCAGCTACTCAGGAGGCTGAGGTGGGAAGATCGCTTGAGCCCAGGTTTTGGAAGGCTTCAGTGAGCTATGATTGTGCCACTGTACCCCAGCCTGGGTGATAGAGCGAAACCCTGTCTCCTAATTTATAAAAAGAGACTAAGATATTAAGACACATGAGGCACACACACACACACACAAACACACACACACGCATATATTAAAATAGTATATATATACACACATACATACATATACATATATAATGTGTATATATACACAGTATTGTCAATCATTTATTCAGTGTGATTATTTAAATTGTAATTTATATTATTTGATTAGATGAATTGAAAATATTTTCTGATTTATCTTTGTGTACCCTGATGATTGATCTTTCAAATACCCTGGAATAGGTGCATCTTTAAATAACACTGTTATGTGCAATGGAGATTTTGTAAAAAGGCAAATCAGGCAGTGCATTAGTTTAAAAAATCAAAACAGTACATTAGTTTAAAAGATTAAAAGAAAGATGAACAGACACTGATACACAGAAAAAGAACGAATACAAGATGCTAAAAATAAGAAAAATTAATAATATTATCTCCATAATCTATACATAAAGTAAAAGCAATGAGAACCAAGATAGTACCAGCCTCTGAAATCATATCTGTACATGTCAGTCTGCGGCATTCATCACTCCATATAGGATGGTACTATTGAAATAGAAGATTAGAATCTTGCTGATATAAGCATCTTAAGCCATTGAGTGAATAATGGAATGGCTCTATACCCCTCCTTAACCTTTGAGGACATTTATATACTATAATAGATAAAATATTTAATGTTTATAGTAAGTAGTTTTAATAATCCAAAAGTTAAATAATGTTTAATACAATAGTATATGTTGGCATAATTTCAAAAATTTTATAGTTATTATATTTAAATGTCATCTAAAATGCGCTATCAATAAAATTCACTCTCAAAATGTGCATGAGAGCCCACAAGAATTCTTCACTGGGATTAGGGACTTAAAAGCTACATTCTAGCAAACATCATATGTACATTGAATTTTAAATTTGCCTTAAGAGTGTATGTTTGAGCAGTCAGATGAGCTCTAATTTTTTTTTTTTTAAGTTTCTGGGCACTATGAATACTTTCATTCTCCTCCCGTGGATTAAACTCCTATAAAACACTCATGAAATATTCATATTTGTTTTCTCACTACTCACAAACATTTTTCTTACATAAATTAATATCATTTATTTGTACTATTTATTTGATTCATAAAATTATGCATGCACAGAAAAGCTCATTAATTTTATTGAAAAATTAAAAAAAGTATTTGCATAGAAGTTCTCCTTAACATATAGCAGAGACCAGGCTGAGTATAGAATTATGTATGAATTTGTGTCTTCATCTTAAGATAAGTGAGGAGGTTTCTAGCAGACAAGTAATTTTACCTAAAATTGTTATTTTGCTTAATTTTTCTCTTAGCTTAGTGCCTGTATACTTTGATCTACATGGTTTAAAATCATTAAGAATGTAATTACATACAACATCCTAATTTAGCTATGGTTCTCTTTATGGGTGCAATGAACACAGTCCAAGATATTCTTATTTGAATTTTAACATACAGAAACCTTTCCACAACATGCAAATCAGAACAAATTTTCTTTCACTGAAAATATGGAATTAGTGTGGATTACTTTTCTTCTTTTTTGCAATTCATAAGTTTACTGCAGTTTCATTTAACATAGTCAGATGAATTTTATAGTCAATTTCTCCTTTATCATATGAAATATAGTCATTTAGAAATGATAGTCTTTTTTCTTTGGGCATTTATGTTAGAAATAGTGTAATCATAGAAAATACTCTAGTAGAAAAATTTTAAAAGCACTGTAACTCATTAAGATTTTAAAATCTGTATAGTAGTTTAAAGCTAAGACCAAATACTGATTATTTTACTTATTTATTTATTTATTTATTTATTTATTTTACTTCAATTTCCAGGATACAGGTGCAGGTTCATTACATAGGTATATATGTGGCATGATGGTTTGCTGCACCTATAGACCTATCCTCTAAGTTCCCTCCTTTTGCCCCCACACACTCAACAGGCCCTGGTGTGTATCTTTCCCCTCCCTGTGTCCATGTATTCTCATTGTTCATCTCCCACTTATGAGTAAGAAATGAGGTGTTTGGTTTTCTGTTCCTGTGTCAGTTGCTGAGGATGATGGATTCCAACTTCATTCATGTCCCTGCAAAGGACATGTTCTCATTCCTTTCTATGGCTGCATAGTATTCCATGGTGTTTATGTACCACAATTTCTTTATCCAGTCTATCATTGATGGGCATTTGGGTTGGCTCCGTGACTTTGCTATTGTAAATAGTGCTGCAATAAACATACGTGTGCATGTGTCTTTAGGGTAGAATAATTTTTATTCCTTTGGGTATATATGCAGTAATGGGATTGCTGGGTCCAGTTATATTTCTGGTTCTAGATCTTTCAGGAATCTCCATACTGTCTTCCATGATGGTTGAACTAATTTACATTCCCATCAACAGTGTAAAAGCATTCCTATTACTCCACAACCTCTCTGGCATCTATTGTTTCTTGACTTTTTAATAATCAACATTCTGGCGAGTGTGAGATGGTATCTCATTATGGTTTTGATTTGCATTTCTCTAATGATCAGTGATGTTAAGCTTTTATTCGTAAGTTGGTTGTCCACGTAAATGTCTTCTTTGGGAAGTGTCTGTTCATATTCTTTGCCCACTTTTTGATGGGGTTGTTTGTTTTTTTCTTGTAAATTTGTTTAAGTTCCTTGTAAATTATGGATATCAGACTTTTGTCAGATGGGTAAATTGCAAACATTTTCTCCCACTCTGTAGGTTGCCTGTTCACTCTGATGATAGTTTATTTTGCTGTGCAGAAACTCTTTAGTTAAATCCCATTTGTCAAATTTGGCTTTTGTTGCAATTGCTTTTGGCTTTTCGTCATGAAGTTTTTGCCCATGCCTACGTCTTGAACTGCATTGCCTAGGTTTTCTTCTAGGGTTTTCATGGTTTTGGGTTTTACATTTAAGTCTTTAATCCATCTTGAGGTAATTTTTGTATAAGGTGTAAGGAAGGGGTCCAGTTTCAGTTTTTTGCATATTGCTAGCCAGTTTTCCCAGCACCATTTATTGAAAAGGATATCCTTTCCCCATTGCTTGTTTTGTCAGGTTTGTAGAATATCAAATGGTTGTAGATGTGTGGTGTTATTTCTGAGGTCTCTGTTCTGTTCATTGGTCTATATGTCTGTATTGATACCAGTAACATGCTGTTTTTGCTACTGTGGCCTTGTAGTATATTTTGAAGTCAGGTAGCTTGATGCCTCTAGCTTTGTTCTTTTTGCTTAGGATTGTCTTGGTTATACAGGGTCTTCTTTGATTCCCTATGAAATTTAAAGTAGTTTTTTTCTAATCTGTGAAGAATGTCTATGGTAGTTTGATGGGAATAGCATTGAAAGTAGAAATTACTTCGGGCAGTATGGACATTTTCATAATATTGATTCTTCCTATCCATGAGAATGGAATGTTTTTCCATTTCTTTGTGTCCTCTCTTATTTCCTTGAGAGTGGTTTGTAGTTCTCCTTGAAGAGGTACTTCACATTCCCTTGTTAGCTATATTCCTAGGCATTTTATTCTCTTTGTAACAATTGTGAATGGGAATTCATTTGTGATTTGGCTCTCTGCTTGTCTACTGTTGGTGTAAAGGAATATATGTGACTTTTCCACATTAATTTTTTATCCTCAGAGTCTGCTGAAGTTTCTTATCAGATTAAGGGCATTTTGGGCTGAGATGATGGGGTTTTCCAAATATAGAATCATAGCATCTGCAAACAGAGACAATTTGACTTCCTCTCTTCCTATTTGAATACTCTTTATTTCTTTCTCTTGCCTGATTGCACAGGCCTGAACTTCCAATACTATGTGGAATAGGAGTGATGACAGAATATGGGACTACGTAAAAAGACTGGGCTTATGATTGATTGGAGTACCTGAAGAAGATAGGGAGAATGGAAACAAGCAGGAAAACATACTTCAGGATATTATCCAGGAGAACTTTCTAACCCAGCAAGACAGGCCAACATGCAAATTTAGGAAAATACAGAGAACACTACTAAGATACTCCGCAAGAAGGTCAACCCCAAGACACATAATCATCAGATGCTCCAAGATTGAAATAAAATTAAAAAAAATGTTAAGGCCAGGAAAAGGTCAGGTCACCTACATGGGGAAGCCCATCAGACTAACAGCAGACCTCTCAGCAGAAACGCTACAAGCCAGAAGAGATTGGGGGCCAATATTCATCATTCTTAAAGAAAAGCATTTTCAATGCAGAATTTCATACCCGGCCAAACTAAGCATCATAACTGAAGGAGAAAAAAAATCATTTTCAGATAAGCAAATGTTGAGGGATTTTGTCACCACCAGGCCTGCCCTGCAAAAGCTCCTGAAGGAAGCACTAAATATGGAAAGGAAAAACTGGTACCAGCCACTGCAAAAACCACCAAAATATAAAGACCAATGACACTGTGAAGAAACTGCATCAACTAGTTTGCAAAATAACAAGATGGCATCATGATGACTCTTGATCAGGATCAAACTCACACATAACAATACTAACCTTAAATGTAAACAGACTAAATGCCCCAATTAAAAGACACAGACTGGCAAAGTGGATAAAGAGTCAAGACCCATCAGTGTGTTGTATTCTGGAGACCCATCTCACGTGCAAAGGCACACATAGGCTCAAAATAAAGGGATGGAGGAAAATTTACCAAGAAAAAAAAAAGCAGGAGTTGTAATCCTAGTCTCTGATGAAACACACTTTAAACCAACAAAGATCAAAAAATACAAAAGAAGGGCCTTACATAATGCTAAAGGGATCAAGTCAACGAGAAGAGCTAACTATGCTAAATATATATGCATCCAATACAGGAGCACCCACATTCATAAAACAAGCTCTTACAGACCTACAAAGAGAGTTAGACTCCCACACAATAACAGTGGGAGACTTTAACACCCCAATGACAATATTAGACAAATCAACAAGACAGAAAATCAACAAGGATATTCAGGACTTTAACTCAGCTCTGGATGAAGTGAAACTAATAGATATCTACAGAACTCTTCACCCCAAATCATCATAATATTCATTCTTCTCAGTTCCATATGGCATTTATTCTAAAATCGACCACGTAATTGGAAGTAAAACAATCTTCAGCAAATGCAAAATAACTGAAATCATAGCGAACAGCCTCTCAGGCCACAGTGCAATCAAATTAGAACTCAGGATTAAGAAACTCACTCAAAACCACACAATTAAATGGACATTCAACAATCTGCTCCTGAATGACTCCTGGGTAAATAATGAAATTAAGGCAAAAATTAAAAAGTTATTTGAAACCAATGAGAATGAAGAGATGAAGTACCAGAATCTCTAGGACACAGCTAAAGCAATGTTAAGAGGGAAATTTACAACACTAATTGTCTACATCAGAAAGCTAGAAAGATCTCAAATCGACACCCTAACATCACACTTAAAAGAGCTAGAGAAGCAAGAGCAAACTAACCACAAAGCTAGCAGAAGACAAGAAATAACTAAGATCAGAGAAGAATTGAAGGGGACAGTGACACCAAAAACACTCCAAAAAATCAATGAATCCAGGAGCTGGTTTTTTGAAAAATTAACAAAATAGATAGACCACTAACTAGTCTAATAAAGAAGAAAAGAGAGAAGAATCAAGTAGACACAATAAAAAAGATAAAGGGAATGTCACCACTGATCCCACAGAAATTCAAACTACCATCAGAGAATACTATAAACACCTCTATGCAAAGAAACTAGAAAATCTAGAAGAAATGGATAAATTCCTGGACACATACACCCTCCCATGACCAAACCAGGAAGAAGTCACATCTCTGAATAGAACAATAACAAGTTCTGAAATTGAGGCAATAATTAATAGCCTACCAACCAAAAAAAAAGCCCAGGACCAGACAGATTCACAGCCAAATTCTACCAGAGTTACAAAGAGGAGCTGGTACCATTCTATCTGAAACGATTCCAAACAATTGAAACGGAGGGACTCCCCCTAACTCACTTTATTAAGCCAGCATCATCCTGATACCAAAACCTGGCAGAGACACAACAGAAAAAGAAAGCTTCACGCCAATATCCCTGATGAACATCGGTATGAAAATCCTCAATAAAATACTGGCAAACTGAATCCAGCAACCCATCAAGAAACTTACCCACCATGATCAAGTCAGCTTCATCTCTGGGACGCAAATCTGGTTCAACATACACAAATCAATAAACGTAATCCATCACATAAGCAGAACCATTGACAAAAACCACGATAATCTCAATAGATGCAGGCCTTTGAAAAAATTCAACATCCCTTCATGTTAAAAACTCTAAAAATGCTAGGTATTGATGGAACACATCTCAAAAAAAGAAGAGCTATTTATGACAAACCCACAGCCAATATCACATTGAATGGGCAAAAACTAGAATTATTCCCTTTGATAACCAGTACAAATACTGATTATCTTAAAGTTTTTCTATAACAGTGAAGTTGAGTAGTATGATAGAGGGAAATCCAGTTACTTCCAGGGAATTGTAAATAACTAGTTTCAAAGAAATGCTGCAGGATAAACACCTTGAAGCATAAGTGGAAATTAATTTACAATGACCTTGAACCTCTGAGAAATCTATAGGTCCTCCTACAGAACAACTGCCTCTACTATAATGGAAAAGGGCTATCTCTCACTGAGTACTTAAAAAGAGAAATTTAGACCCATCCCATCAGAACTGTTATCCAAAGAAGCTTCATATCTGGTATGCTACAGCATTTGAAAAATGCAATACCTGTCATTGATTCATGTCATTGGACCAAATGAATCCTTTACTCATTGCTTATAAAAGATGTCTGCTAATATACATAAAAATACACAGTAATATATTTTTCCACAACACAGAAAGCAAGCACAATAGGGAAGAGAAGAAGAAAAAAGAAAAAAAAAATTATACTTTTAAGTTCTGGGGTTCATGTGCACAATGTGCAGGTTTGTTACATAGGTATACATGTGCCATGTTGGTTTGCTGCACCCATCAACTCGTCATTTACATTAGGTATTTCTCCTAATGTTATCCCTCCCCAGGCTCCCACCCCTCGGCAGTCCCCGGTGTGTGATGTTCCCCTCCCTCTGTCCATGTGTTCTCATTGTTCAACTCCCACTTATGAGTGAGAACATGCAATGTTTGGTTTTCTGTCCTTGTGATAGTTTACTGAGAATGATGGTTTCCAGCTTCATCCATGTCCCTGCAAAGGACATGAACTCATCTTTTTTTATGGCTGCATATTGAGAACAGAGACACAACATACCAAAATCTCTGGGACACATTTAAAGCTGCGTGTAGAGGAAAATTTATAGCACTAAATGCCCACAAGAGAAAGCAGGAAAATTTTTGTATAGTTAAAGTAATCCAGTGTTTGTAGGAGGGGCGAGGGTGGGATAAAGAGAAAGATCATTTCTTGTGGAATATCTTTTGAGGTACATCTCCCCTTAAAAAATATTTCAAGTAACATAGACTCATATCAATATTTTCTTTTATTATTTTTAGTAGTGCCATAACACAATGTAGAAAATTCCCCATAAATTTAGAAAAGTCACACTTTAGGTAACTCATTATTATATAGCAAACATCTTTAAGAAAATATATACTAATATGTAAATAAACCAGACAATGGCTCAGTCTATGGGCCTTTTCTTTCCCCTCTCTGCATTTATTTATTCCTCTGTTGACTTCACAATATCCTGACTTTAAGCATCCAAATGCAAGTGACTTTTAAATTTGTACCTACAGTCTAGACCTCTCTTTAGCCATCTTCTACTGCCTTCATGGTATTTCTACGGGATTAAAGACATCAGTTTAAGTCTTAATTCACAAGGCTGATTTCCACTCACCAAACAAGATGCACCTAGTTTTTCCCATCTTGGCAACTTTTAGTTGAGATTTTAGGTCTAAAATGTCAGAATCAGCTTCAGTTTCTTTATTTCGTTTATTTCCACCCTATGTCCTATCCTCCATGTTCCTACGCATCTAAGGAAATTCTCTGGACACTACCTTTAAAATATGTCTAGAATTTGACAACTTCTTCCCATCCCTCCTCAACTGCCTGGTTTGAGTGCTGTGTGTCTTTCATTTAGAAGACCACCATTGCCTCTGAACTGTTCCGCCTTATTGCACTCTTTCCTCAAGATAGTAGCTAGAGTGATCCTAGATATTTCAGGTCATTATACTCTACACAAAACACCCCAAAGGACTGCCTCTAAAAACCAGAAAAAGAATTGAAGTCCTGTGCGATCTTACAATGTGTTATATCAGTGCTTCTGGAACTTTAATGTGTATGTAAATATCGGGTCATCTTGTTAAAATGAAGTCTAGATTTCATAGACTTGAGAAAAGATACAAGAGTCTGCACTTCTAACAGTCCCTCAGGAGATGTCAGTACTGCCAGGTCATGTTCATTACATAGAGTACCCCTTTGCCTAGCCTCGTATCTTTCTGATTTCATCTCCTTACGCCATCTGATTTTTTCTCTCTAGTGCAACCATGCTGACCTCTTTGTTCCTTAATCAAACAAGCCCACTCCAGCCTAAGGGCACTTTTGTTAGCAGCTTAACTCTGCCTGGGAGGCTTTCCTCCAGGATACCACGTTCATCTTTCCCAGTCTCTGCTGAAAAATCACTTTGCCAATAAAACCTACCCTCACTACCTTACTTAAAATTGCTAAGTCTCCCAACCTTCTCAATATTTTCAATCCCTCTCTTCTTCCCTTTTCCCCATTGCTCTTTTAAACCTACGAAATAAGGCATAAAAATCATCTGAATCCATCTGTTAGAATCTAAGCTCCTTAAGGGCAAATAATTTTTTGTTTCATTCATTGATATAGTCCAAATATTTGAAAGCATGCATCACTAATAGTATATACTAAGTATATATTTGTTGGAGAATATTTAGTAATTAGATTTTTTAAATGTATATTTTGTTCAATATAACTAAAATAAATGAAGATAATCATCATTTTGAAGTGATGGTATGAGTAATCACTTTGTGCCAGAACTGGAAAGCTTGAGGTCTCGTGACAAATGGAGATTCACTAGGATGTCACTTAAAAGGTATTGTTTTTGTTTTTGGTATTCCATGCTTCGTAAAATAATAACTGTCTTTTAGTTTTGTAGACATGAAACATGTATGGGTTTCTCATGAAAACTGCATTAAAGTTTACCTGAAGGTGATGTAAATATTAACTACTGCTGAAGCAGAAACACTTCCAGAATTTAAAAATCTACAAATTGAGAGTGAAGTATGATGAGCAAGAGAGAAAAGTATGTTTGAAAATTTTGATTTGGAAGACTACAGGGTTATGAAGAATTTCATTAATTTTTATTTGAAACCCTGCTAATTCGAGTCATTTAAATGAGTCAATCAAATGAGTTTGATTGTTAACTTGACTTATATTTCTACCTAAAAATTGTCTTAAACAAACAGAAAAGTAAAATTCATCTAAAATGTTTACTAAGCTTGGTAAGTACATGTAGCTTTTACTTGTTGAATAGAATTTCTGAAATCTTTAACAGGTAAAAATGATATGAACTTTTCCATGTTTGCATTCTTATTAATCCATTTTTTTCTTTTCTTTTTTCTTTTTCTCTCCTTCTCTGTTTTTTCTTTTCTTTTCTTTTCTTTTTTTTGTTGTTGCTGTTGTAGGATTTCCTTCTGTTTCCCAGGCTGGAGTGCCGTGCTGCAATCTCAGCTCACTGCAACCTCTGCCTCCTGGGTTCAAGTGATCCTCCCATCTCAGCCTCCAGAGTAGCTGGGACCACAGGCGCCTGCCACCACACCCAGCTAATTTTTGTATTTTTGTCAATATGAGGTTTCGCCATGTTGCCCAGGTTGGTCCTGAACTCCTGAGCTCAAGCAGTCTGCCCACTTTGGCCTCCCTAAGAGCTGGGTTTACAGGCATGAGCCACTGTGCCAGGCCTATTTATTTTCAATATGAGATAACTACAATAGAGGAAGGCTGTTAAAAATGACATTTCATAATAAACTCTGTAGTTTATTTACTACTAATATACCCATGATAATTCATTAATTTTGATACATGTACTGTGGTATGTTATTATAAGGGGAGGTTGGGTGAAGGGTGTCTGAATACTTTTGGTACCATCTTTGAACTCATATATAAAAATCAAATTATTTTTAAGTAAAAGGTTATTTTAATGACACATTTTTTAAAATGTCAAGCTGTTAGAAATATGTAAGCATGAAATCTCTACATCAGCAGCGAACTAAAGTTTGTTGAGCCAAATATACTAAGAGAAATTCTACCATAACTTTAGCCCTAACGCAGAACTTTATGACTGCACAACTAGGCTAGTAGGAGTTACACATATTCCATGAGTCAGTTCCTCTGTTTTAAGAGATTTGGGAAGTTTCATTAGCCTCCTCTTATTTTTCACTAATGAAACCAATGACTCAGTATATGAATGAACATACACGTGTTCTATACTTGAATAAATGAATACATTTTGTACATCCCCAGCTGCTTATTAGGATGCAAGAGTAGTTTTCTTTGACAATGTGTATCATAGGTATAAAAACATTTCAACACATATCATTTAAAGAAATAGGAATAATTTGTTTTTTGAATGCTGGCTATATTTATTGCTGGTACTTTGCATATTTGCACCTAAGATTTCAGTATCTGATCTACTAAACTTTACTATATTTTAATTCAGGCCTTTATTCAAAATTAGTTTTCTGACCTATCAAGAACAGGCATATTGATTATAAATCAAAATCTATATTTCAAAACCCTATCAGGAAAAAAAGGTATATAAAAAACAAGAAAGCACTACTTTTCTACCAAACTGAAATAAGTTTCTCTACCACAAATATTTTTTCCTCCAGATTTCTATTAAAATAAAAACTTTTGCTAAAATTAAACCTGAAGGCCGGGCGCAGTGGCTCACGCCTGTAATCCCAGCACTTTGGGAGGCTGAGGGAGGCTAAGGCGATTGGATCACCTGAGGTCAGGAGTTCCAGACCAGCCTGGCCAACATGGTGAAACCCCATCTCTACTAAAAATACAAAAATTAGCCAGATGTGATGGCGCGCACCTGTAATCCCAGCTACTCAGGAGGCTGAGGCAGGAGAATTGCTTGAACCCGGGAGGCGGAGGTTGTAGTGAGCTATGATTGTGCCGCTGCAATGCAGCCTTGGGGGACAGAGCAAGACTCTGTATCAAAAAAAAAAAAAGGAAGTACTTACTTATTTTTATTTATTTATTTTTTTAGAGACAGTATCTTGTTGTGTTGCCCAGGTTGGAGTTCAGTGGCACAGTCATAGTTCTCTGCAGCCTTAAACTCTTGGGCTCAAGTGATTCTTCTGCCTCAGCCTCCTGAGTAGCTGAGACTACTGGCCCATTCCTTCACACCCAACTAATAAAAAACAATTTTTTTAGAGAGACGGGGTCTTGCTTTGTTGCCCAGACTGACCCTGAACTCCCGGCTTTGAACAATTCTCCCTCCGTACCTTCCCAAAATGTTGGTTTCACAAGCGTGAGCCACCATGCCTGGCCTAACATTTTAAAATATTGATATTGTCATTTGTATTAAGAAAACTGAAAAAAAAAGAGTAGCTGTTTGTAAGATTAGTATTTTCTCTTCATTAAGTGGCCAGTGAGGTGTATGAAACCCACAAAATATTATATGATTTGGCAATGAATACATCCTGTAGCTTCCCCAACCAAAAAGTCTTGCTACAGCTGTGATACATGTTTCTCACTCAAAATGAAGAGTCACACTGACTCACATTCTATATCTCTATAGTTCGAGTTGTTGATATGTGACTGGTTCACAATTCCTTACAGTTTGAAAATTAGTTTCATGTCACATCATTGGTTGGGATAATTAGTACGGCTTCAGCTAAACCTTCAAAAAGAATATAATAATAGGCCTGGCTTCCATTGTACCTTAAACCTAGGACCAGGTGCACAGTGAGAAGGTAAAATTAATAAGAATTTGTTAATGATTTATTTAAGATTAGAATCTACTAACAGGACAGTATTTATGCTACAATATTCATCTTAAATAGCATTGCAGTCCACCAAGAGCTGATAATTACTTCTGGGTGGTGACATCAGCAATTAGAATTGGACACATCAATAAGTGTATTCAAAATCATATATATTTACTACCAAGGAAAAGTAACTAAACATTAAACTCACATAAATTAGAATAAATAAAGCTGCTCAGAGGGAAAAGATAGCTGAAATGTTGAGACCATATGTACCTGCATTTTCAGAGATAAACCTAAATCTATCTTCTAACAAATGCTTCAGAGAATGAGTATAATTGTGCTTACATAGAATTCTTAAACTTTAAGATATATGATTAACACAACCTGTGATTTACAAAACGAAGGCACAAACAAGCTTTTCCTTAGTATTCAAATATATATATATATAATATGTGCTTTAAATATGTATTCTAATTTTCAACAATATCTTCTCCTAGATAGCCAGAAAAACAAGCCTTCTAAGTACACCTAGAAATTATGCATATCATTTTCGAAAATCTTTTCAAATCCACTGATTATCTCACAGAAAAGGAAAGCAAACTCTGAAACATCAAAAATGAAGTGTGTGGAAAGACCAGGAGCTAGAGGAGCAGCCATATAATTGTTTTTTCTATAAATTGTGGCAGTTTTCTGGTACTCAGATTCTCAGAGCTTTTGCATGGGTCTCTGATGTACAAGATTGGTTTTGAATGGCCTCAGTGGGTTAAAAAAAGATTCAAAATGGGGAGATGAAGTGGGGATCCCTGCATAAACCGGGACCGTTAATATCCTTAGAATGAAATAAAAGGGTGTGCTAGAAACACACACACACACACACACACACACAGAATCTTGGTGGGGGATTGGATAAATACTTCTTTGAAAATTCATAACCATTGAATTGCTCACATAGTATAAATTGCTCACATGATCGATCTGGTGAGGCTGATATTCGTCAATACAATAGAGGTTGGAAGAAATGTTGTGTGGAATTTCTGGCATGCCCCAGTGGAAGAATTACAGTAAAGTCTTCTGGTTTCTTGATCAAGGTAATGTTATATGCAGTGCAGAGTTGTGTACCTTAAAAACAACAATAACAACAACAACGACAACTCCCGGCATACCACTGGAGCCTGAACTGTAGCTCACTCCATTGGCTGAATTCTGCTTCATCTTCACTCTTTTCAAAAGTGTGTTAATCTCTCATAAACACTTTGAACCTTAGTTTCCATTTAAAAGTTGCTTCTGGCGAGGCGTGGTGGTTTATGCCTGTAATCCCAGCACTTTGGGAGGATGAGGCAGGTAGATTGCCTGAGCTCAGGAGTTTGAAACCAGCCTGGGTAACATGGCAAAACCACATTTTTACTAAAAAATACAAAAATAAAAAAAAAAATTAGCCAGGTGTGGTGGTGCACACCTGTAATCTCAGCTACTAGGGAGGCTGAGGCACGAGAATCGCTTGAACCCGGCAGGCGGAGGTTGCAGTGAGCTGAGATCACGCCACTGTCCTCTAGCCTGGACAAGAGCAAGATTCTGTCTCAAAAAAAAAAAAGAAAAAAAAAGTTGCTTCTGTAGACACATACTTATTGGAAGGGGATGTATAATGGATTCACTTAAGACCCAGTCAGAGGTGCTATAAAATAATCCTTTCCATTCTCCTACCTCCACCAAATTTCAGTATTCCCTCTACCCTAATATGCTTTTGGTACTTGAAACAATGACATAAACAAGGCATACGAGGTCCACTCATGGAGTTTATAAACTAGGAGAAAAAATCCTTCAGAGTTATAATGTAAGAGAAGTACCATAAAATATAATATGTTATATATTAAAATATGCACAATACAATATAACATCTGAAATACAGTGCCACTTGGCAGTCACTCATTCTGGAGGAAGAGGGAATTTTACTGTGAGAGCACTTTCAAGGACTGATTGTGAAAGTATGTTGTAAGTGGTTCAGGGTAAAACAATAATTCTGGGAAGTATTAAAAGGACCTAAGTCAGTCAGATGGGAAAATGTGAGTAAGGTGGAAATGCTACTTTAAAGGACATAGTGACTCATTGAAATCACAGAAACAAAATGAAAGTATGTTTGGTTAAAGTAGAACGTTTCAGTCAAAACTATGTCATATGTTTCAATAATCAAATCATTCCTGTCAATTTACAGTAAATATAATTATGACTATTAACATCACATTTCATATTTCTGTCAGCAAAAATCATGTTATTCTGATGAATATCTTTACTATGTCTTTACAAAATAATACATCTCTTGGCTAAAGAAAGAATAAGTGCCAGACACACATATCTTACAACGTTAGGGGTGGTCCCAATGGAATTACTCAGCTTCTTTCCCTGGGTACTCATTGCATTTATATTGATCTTACAGTTACATATTTACATTCATGCCTGCTATACAAATATGGAGTCTACACTAAGAAATCCTTAAAAACTTGGTTTTCCCCAAAACATGATTTTATATATAAAGTGAGATCACATCACCATTTGAGATATAAAGTGTAAATGCAGCAATAAATAAATCCCATTACACAGGTACTCTTAATCTCAAGTAGAAAGAATAGTACCAGCACAGCCATAAGAAACTGTATGGAAACATGTAGCGGGCATGTTTCTGTAGTGCTGTAATTTTCAACTGAGACAATTCATAGAGAGAAGAAAAAAACATTAAATACCTAAGATTTGAGAAGAGGTCAGGCACCTCCTGCAGAGTTAAAGAAGAAGATGTTAAACTGGGTTTGCAACCCAAGCCTTGAGAATTAACTCCCATGCCCCCTGTCCTTCCCACTCCCCGCAATGTAAGCAGAAAACTAGGCGGAGGAAAAAATCCACTGATGAAACTAGTAAGTCTTCCACCCAGAAGAAAGCGCAGTGATGCTTCCCTCCCAGTAAGTGAAGGTAAGTCCAAGAGGTGAACAGAACCCACTGAATTGTTTGGCACAAGAGATGAGAGGAGAGATATGATATTTGCATCGCAATTTGGAAATTTGGACTTCTGCTTTTACAGAGGATTGATCTACTATGTCTCTTTAAAATGAGGAGAAAGAAAATGAGAAAGAGATCAGCTGCAAAGAAATGCAGTTTCTTACATCTTAGCTAAGTGAGAATGTGGAGCATTTCTCTTGGTCAAGTGGAAATTGCATAATGTTAGTGGGTGACATTCACACTTAAAAGAAATCCTGCTGAAGTAAAGGGTGAGGAAAGGTATAAAGAGCTCAAGCTAAGCAGCACCCCATGATGAATATTCTGTCTCCAAAAAGGAATATTCTATCTCCAAAAATGAAATATTCTATCTCCTTCTGGTGTGCTTGCACTCCAGTCACACATCCCCAAGGGGCAGGTACTTAGATGCCTGTCCCACAGAGGGCAGGTGACAGCGACAGCCCAATGAGGTCAACAGCACCAGAAACATGAGGTATTTGATCTCTTTCACCTTCCCAAGACAAGATGCAGTTCATTTCACCATTAAGCTCCCCAGGTTGAGGTTTATCTTTCATGGAGGCCAGAGACAATGTGAATGCAAAATTAAACATTATTATAAGTTTTAAACTGTGCATGGCTGAACTGTTTATTCTGGAAGGCAGCGATGCTCACCACTATACCAACAATATTGAACTTTTTTTTTCTAATACTGGAAGATGATAATATATCTACAGTGTCTGCCAAATATATTATTAAATAACTGAAAGGGAGAATCAAAAAGAAGAGCTTAATGTAGTAGTCAAATTTAAAATTCATGTTTATACTGCACTGAGTTGAGATCATACAGTGGTTTGATTACATAACTGTAACTTGATTTTAAGGTACTCATTAACATACCTATGGAAGATGAATCAACAATGGAAACAGAAAAAAGTACTAATGCTGTCATTTTCCTCAAATCAAAGTGAGAAATCCCTAGCCACAAGACTTTTGAGTATTTTATTCTCATTCGCAAGCTTTTAACTGTCCCAGTCTGAGGCCACTAAACATTCTATGCACGCAGCTTCCCTAGTTCATATTCTAGACTCACCAAACAAGTTTCTGACTCTCATTTTGTATCTTCATAATATACCAACAGGTAAAGTATGTACTTATATAGACTCTGAATGTTCTAATTTCTGTGACAGTTATTTCTCATTTCAAAGTAACGAATGTGCTTTGTTATTATATTTCAGTTTTATAAACATAGTGATCTGCCTCTGACAGATGGACAGGTAAGATAAAATGTCAGGATTTTTACCTTGATCAACTTGGCCAGATCAAGGGCACTATAAATTCTCCATCGTGCTGCACCTTTGCAAGAAGTCTGGAGGGAGCCTATTAACCTTTTCCTGGGTTTGGCAGGGCTAGGGTGCAGCAGCACTTTTGTGCCGTGTTCAATTTCTATAATATTCAGACTTAATATTAATTTTCTGTGTGCTTGTGCTTGAGCACAAACACTGAGTTTTATGCAGTTTAGGAAATAATGCCTTTTTTCCTTCTGTTTTTCACCTACCACCCTCCTTTTTCTCTCTTTTATTTTTATTTTATTTTATTTTATTTTATTTTATTTTATTTTATTTTATTTTATTTTATTGAGATGGAGTCTTGCTCTGTCGCCCAGGCTGGAGTGCAGTGGTGCGATCTCGGCTCACTGCAAGCTCCACCTCCCAGGTTCACGCCATTCTCCTGCCTCAGCCTCCCGAGTAGCTGGGTCTACAGGTGCCTGCCACCACATCCGTCTAATTTTTTTTTTGTACTTTTAGTAGAGACAGGGTTTCGCCATGTTAGCCAGGATGGTCTCGGTCTCCTGACCTCATGATCCACCTGCCTCAGCCTCCAAAAGTGCTGGGATTACAAGCATGAGCCACCGCTCCTGGCCCTTTCTCTCTTTTAATAAAATAAAACAAAACAAAATTTAAAGTAGCACAATATTCCTGCATCCAGGTTAATAATTTTTTAAAAAAAAACTATAGTCCTTCGTCTCACTCATTGTTTTTGGGGGGCACTGTCTTTATAAATCTCTCCTAAACCACACAATGTGCACAGATAATATAATCCAAGTATTTCATAATTAAAATAAATAATATGAGCTCATCAGTTTGAGAACATTATTTGAAGTATATGGTACATGATAGATGACTGATTAATGTTTCTGATACTTCTATCAAAAACCCATAGTTATGCTCAGTGCAAACTGATAAAGTAGGGTCAACACAGATGAGACCAGGATGATTTCATTTGCTTTCTCTCTATGTTCACTAGAATTGGTTCCCTCTTTCTTTCTCAGGAAGGCTCTTGCTTTTTACTGAACCCCTACACCATATGTGTTAGGGTCAAGGTAGGATCCTCATAGAACAGACCTATGGAACATTAATTTCCTCACTATTTTATGCTTCCCTTTTGGAACACTCAGTATGGTTCTGTGTCTTAAACAACAGAGGCCAACGCTGGTAATTCTTATTATTTCCTGCTTTAGTTTTGTCTCCTCCTAATGAGAAAACAAACTACATTTTCATAAGACGATGAAATTTTACGTAAGTGAAAAGAAGCTCTGTAAATTATTTTGATTTTTAATAGAAATATAAAAGTAAAAAAATATAAAAATACAAAAAGTAAACAAATATATAAAATTCTACAGATTTTTAGAGATGGCTTCATAAGTATAGAAGGTAACTACATTTTGCAGTATCATTTTCACACCTATTCTTGAGAGAAATATTAATAAATGAAACATGAGCATACATTTCATAAAATCCAGCCATCATATCTAGTATGTGAGCAATTGCCTTTCCACCAACGAATTTTTTTAAAGTGACTTCTTCCTCCAGAATTGAACTCTGCTGATTCTACTAAGCTCTTTCATTTTTACTGAAGATGGAAACTATTCACTCTGTATTCGAGTTATTATCAAGAAGAATGGGGCACAGAAAATATCTTCCCAACACCATTTTATTAAAAGAAAAGAAAATGTTGGAGGAAACCGAAAAAGCCAATCATACAGGTATACTGAAGATCAGCTTGAATTAACCAACACATTTTGAAATTGTTGACTCACTTTGAACTCCATGGGAGCGTACAATTTTCCAGATTTCTGACGCTACTTCTTTGACATCCACCTGATAGTGATGAATAGGTACACCTCCATGGGAGTCCGGTTTGTTGAAGGAAACCTTGGCCGTGGTCTGCGACAGCTCTATGATCTTCACTCCATAGGGACTGGATGGCACGTCTATGGACAAAGAAATATAAAGAAAACATAACCAAGGGAATGGGAATGGCCATTATTAAGGCTTATGGTGTTATGAGAACTAGGAGTGAAGGAAAACTGCTACCTGTATCACTTAATATGTTCGAGTTACAGAACTTCCTGAAACACCTGAATGTTCTTTTGAAATTACAAGAAAGTATACATGAGTCAACTTTTATTACCTCAGAAAATAGACAGTAAAATTAAAATCACACTTTAATTATTGAGGGAATATGTTACTTCTGCATTTTCTATACGATATAAACATTTTATTGAGGTCCAGGAAAACAATCTCGTGTGTGTTTAAGAAAAAAAAATAAAAGAGAGATAAAGAGGGTAGTTAAAACGTTAGAATACATAAATCAATTATTCAACCATCACCATAAATAATGGTGCCTTGTGAAAATACAAAATGTATTTTCTTTGCATTCACCACAATTATATTCCTAAATTGTAGGTAAGTGCTAAGTTTTGAGAAAAATGTCAGTATTATGAACTAAATAAGACTGTAAACTATTAGGTCTAATTTCATTTATATATTATCCAATTAAATTAAACCTTTAGTTGAGATATTAAAATACTATTCCCATATTTTCAAAATAGCTATAAAATTCTTCTTGTGTGTTTTATTTTAATCCATCCACTACTTAAATTATTTCAAGTTCAATAAGGTATCTTAGGTGGACATTTAATTTAGTGTCTAATATAAAAAATTATTTCGGAAGAATTATCTCAAAGGCAGAGCACGCAGAACTAGAAAAAAAAAAAATCCCAGTGAGGGATTTTTGAAAACTCTACTCCAGAAACATCAAGATTTAGAGACACATTAACATTAATTTCTCTATGAATCTCTTCCTCTTTTGTTCCTATCACATCTGAAATAATCTTAAACTTTGGATAAAAAAATAATTTTTTTTCAGAGAGGGAATATATATATATGTATACACACACACACACACACACACAAACATATATTATATGGTTTGGCTCTGTGTCCCCACACAAATCTCACCTTGAATTTTTTTTTTTTTTTTTTTTTTTTTGAGACGGAGTTTCGTTTTCTGGCCAGGCTGGAGTGCAGTGGCGTGATCTCAGCTCACTGCAACCTCAGCCTCCCCTGGGTTCATGCCATTCTCCTGCTTCAGCCTCCAGAGTAGCTGGGACTACAGGTGCGCACCACCACGCCCAGCTAATTTTTGTATTTTTAGTAGAGATAGGGTTTCACCATGTTGGCCAGGATGGTCTCAATCTTTTAACCTCGTGATCTGCCCACCTTGGCCTCCCAAAGTGCTGGGATTACAGGAGTGAGCCACAGTGCCTGGCCTCACCTTGATTTTTAATTCCCATAATCCCCATGTGTCAAGGGTGGAACCAAGTGGAGGTAACTGAATCATGGGGGCGGTTTCTCCATGCTGTTCTCATGATAATGAATAAGTCTCATGAGATAAGATTGTTTTATAAATGGTCTGGCTCTTCCCGTTTTTATAAAGGTCTGGCATTTCCCCTGCTGGCACTCACTCTGTTCTGCCGCCCTGTGAAGGTGCCTGCTTCTCCTTTGCCTTTCAGCATAATTGTAAGTTTCCTGAGGCCTCCCCAGGAATGCAGAACTGTGAGTCAATTAAATTTCTGTCCTTTATAAATTATCCAGTCTCAGATATTTCTTCATAGCAGTGTGAGAATGGGCTAATATATATAAACTTGACTGATAAATATGCAGTACATGTGAATTTCAATTCTTATATCAGTCATTTACATAAAATTGGGGCTGGGCATGATGGCTTACAACTGTAATCACTGCACTTTGGAAGCTGAGGTGGGCGGATTACTTGAGGTCAGGAGTTTGAGACCAGCCTGGTCAACATGGTGAAACCCTGTTTCCACAAAAATAAAAAAAACAGCCGGGTGTAGTGGAGTGTGCCTGTGATTCCAGCTGCTTGGGAGGCTGAAGCAGGAGAATTGGTTGAACCCAGGAGGTAGAAGTTGCAGTGAGTTGAGATCATGTCCCTGCAAATCCAGCCTGGGCAACAGAGAGAGACTCTATCTCAAAAATAAATAAATACAAATAAAAAATCTCATATGGCAGTCAAAAGTCAAATGTACTCTTTTTGCTAGAGTTAAAAAAGGTCACTGTAGGTCATATAAAAATATGCCTTATAAATAGTACTGAGCAAGAGCCAGGAGCACAGCTTTACGGCCTTTCACATGTGAATACTGTAAAGAAATGCCACAGTGTATATTTCAACTCTAATTAGAAACTGTGAATTATTTAGAGAGCCTATGAAGTACATGATGTTACAACTCTAAGGTTCAAACACACGTGTAGAATTCTGATGCATCCAAAAGTCTTAGAACTATTAAAATCATATCTGGAAATACAAATTTTAAGATATCTAAATAATGTTTTGGCCTTCAAATATTCTAATAATTTTCATGTTTCCTTAATCTCCAGGTTAATCTGCATGTCTTTTCAGCTGTAGGTTTGATCCAAAATTTACTTATAAGTTTGATCCAAAGTATAGGAGAAAGGCAAACAAATGCACACGGATCCCCTTAAAAAATGCCAATTCTTCAATCTGTGCTGAGTGGCTGACTCCCTAATGTACATTAGGTCTAAGTTGGATGTCATAGGCATTACACTCCAGTTTGGGGACATGTGTCAAAAGTGAAGGTAGTATATTCTGGGGGATGAGAGGGAGATATTATCTATCCTCTTGGGCTTCCATCTTTGAATATATGGTATAAACATGATTGTTTGTTTTTACTCTGACTGCAGAGGTTGCACCATTCACCAACTGTGCACCCTGACATGGTGCACCTGCAGAGAAAGAAGAGCCTTTGTTTTTTCTTTCAGCACAAAGCCACCATCATCAAAACATGGGCCAGTGCCTAGTCTCTTCTAGTTATATAGTCCGTTTTCAGATCTGCTGACACTTACTGTAGCCTTTTTTTCATATTATTTTCCACTGGCCTCTTATTTCTATTACTTCTTTTAAAGCAAAAGCATGCTTATGACTTTCATTCTCTTTCTAAATATTTTTTACATTTTGGTTTTATAAGTCCAACTGTCAACTGACTACTAAATTGTAAGTTTCTTGAGGAAAGAGATAAAACACTTTACAAACACACATTCGCACACATGTATTTATACATGCATACAGATAGATACATGTAACATAGAACAAAGTGACTGGAATATAGTAAGTTCTCAGGAAATACTTGATGAATTAAATATTTCAGTAATGAAAAATTATATACAAAGATACAGAACATATCTAAGTGAATAGTGTCAGATGTGCCTAGAATCAACATCTCTAATTCTTCTCTTCACTTTCTGGATTTTTCTGTAATCTGTAATTGTCTTCACCCTTGATTCCTATCTATCTTATACATCACAATCAGTCAAAACACTATTTTAATAATTCCTGCATTATAATTCTTGTATCTATTTCTTCCTTCCCATTTCCTCTGTTACCTCCCAAGCCCTGGCCCTATCTGACTTTTCCTGTGATGCCATTAGTGGCTCTTGGCTTCCTTTTCTATTGGATGTCTAACAAAAACATCAATGCACGAGGCATGCAAATGCAAAATCAATCTTTGTAAAGAACCACTCTGATCACATCACTTCCCTGCAATGGTATTCAGGAGCTTCATTTTCATTACAACATTAGTCTCGATCTTTTCAGCCTCATGTTCAGGATCCTGGATTATCTAATGCACTGGGTGTATGCAAAGATACTGGTCTACTCTAAAAGACTTTCAGACACAGCCCAATATTTCAACTGAGGCTCATATCGGATGCTCAGTTTTACACACTATTATTCCTTCATTGTTACCATATTTTTCTAAACTATTTTCTAGTGTCTTATATCCCAAAAATTGATGAATACCATTCACCACTCAATGAATGAATAAATGAATAGAAAAGCAATTGTGCAAATACTTATTTGTTTAATTACCCTTTCTCTTCACCTCTAACAGTGCTGGCAAAGTGCTGGATTAAGAGACTGGATATGTCATGAGAGTCCATGGATTCAAGACCTGGCCTTGCCACTTTTGTCAACTACAGCACTTAATCTTTTCACATCGCAGTAGTTTTCTCTCTCAAATGGAGATTAGAATAGTACGACGGCGAGTGTTGTTGGAAATATCAAGTAATGTTGAGCACTTAAACCCTAGAATACGTTAAAACTCTTAGCAAATGTCAGTCATTGTAATTTTTCTATCCCTCCCTGATCATCAGCCTCCTTCTATTACATACTTTTGTATCCATTGACATGTATCAATGTTTTAGTCAAATGGCAGGTAATGGATACAATATCGATGTTCAGCTCAGAATTTTTTGAGGTGTGTAATGGCAAGGAGTTGGTGCCATGACCTAGGAGTCAGATGGATACAATCTCTGGAGTCACTGAATGAACTTGTGTTTATTAAACTCCCAGAAGCTATTCATCTTGCATAACTGAAACTTTTTAATCTTTGTCCAACATCTTCCCATTTCTCCCACTCCCCAGCCCCTGGCAACTACCACTTTTCTCTGTTTCTATGACTTTCACTGTTTTAGAATTCCACATATAAGTGAGATCATGCTGTACATCTTTATATCTTGGCTATCTTGGCTATTGTGAGTAATGCTTCAATGTAACCAATGTCTTGGACAGCTATCACGTCTTGATTAACTGATAATGGAACTCTATCTTCTTATTTTCCAAGACTAAACCCTTCATCTCTGAATGACATGTCTTTTCCTTTTGTCTTCTCCAAAATTTTTCTTTATCAGATAGCTCTTTTCCTGTTTCTTCTTCTTTGGAATTTTATTCTTTCTTCTCAGTCTTATTACTGTGAATTATAAAGATCTCTTTTTTTTGTTTTCAATCCCACTCTCTTCTCAGGAAACATACTCTTCTTTTGTTCTTTGTTACTCTGTTTCAATAGATTATT
Organism: Homo sapiens; assembly: GCF_000001405.40. NCBI lineage: Eukaryota > Metazoa > Chordata > Mammalia > Primates > Hominidae > Homo > Homo sapiens. The sequence goes on along the minus strand of NC_000021.9, from coordinate 21,427,151 downwards.
TCTAATTTCTGCCCCAACATCTTTATTTCTGAGAATTTGCTCTCCCAGCACGCATAGTTCATAGACACTAACTGTGCTCTTTTTACACATATGAGGCTGTGGTGTTGCTAAACTTAGATCCAGGAATCTGAAGAGTTTGATTTTTGTAAACTCTCTTTTAAAAGGAAGTGCTAGCATGAATATTATTTCAGAATGGTGTTTTAAACCCTATCCTAGATATTTTTCTATTAACACTCAGAGTCAAATTATACGATTTAAGACACTCCTGTTTATCATAAGAAATTGCAGGCTAAAATCTTCATTTCCTAGACTGACTTGCTGCTATGGTTCTAAGTTTCATGTAGTGAACCTAGAATGAAAGGTACATGTATACAGTTTAGAATGCTGGAGGGGTGTGAATGTCAGTCCCACTTTTCTCAGGAGGTGCGCATGGACAAGAGGCTCTGCAGATATGAATGAGAGTAGCATCCGAACTCCCCATTCCACAGCCTATTCATCCAGTTTCAGGAGTGGTGTGGCTGTGATTATTAGCTGAGGGGTAACTTGGCAGGAGGGCTTCCTGACCTCTAGTTAGTCATTGCAGACTTCACATGTGGACCACGCTTATGCTATTTTGTGACCTTGAAGGTAGAATATTGGTGGCTGTCTTTGGTCTTTTCTCTGCCTTTCCAGTGATTTCATAACCAGCTTGTTCTTTATCATAAATCAGTTTCTGCTTGATTTCCTCATCAATTTCTATCTGGTAAAAGTCTCAAATACTAAAAGAATTGGAACATAAGTAACTGAATTTCCTAGATCCAGTAACACTGTTACATGCAGTGTCACCATAATTGCTTACAACTCAAGGACTTCTATGCTGAGATAGGTTCTATCTATTTCTGTTTTGAGTGGCTACCTTACTTCTATAAGGTTTTATATACATTTTTCTTGTTTCGATCATGCTGTGGTTTGAATGCTGGTTTCCCTCCACATTTTATATGTTGAATATATTATTAAGAGGTGGGGTCTTTTGGGATGTGATAAAGTCATGAGACATCCACCCTCGAGAATAAGATTAGTGCCTCCATAAAAGAGGCTGAATGAAGTATGTTTGCCCCTTTCACCATATAAGGACACACAGAAGGCACCATCTATAAAAACAATTTGGTTATTGGACCTACACCAAAAACCAAATCTGATGGTGCCTTGATCTTGAATTTCCCAGCCCCTAGAACTGTAAGCAATATATTTATGTTGGTAATACATTACAGAGTCTAATATATTTTGCTATAGCATCCAGAATAGAGCAAGAAACATTGTGAGCTTAATCTAATATTATATAGCCAACCTGCAATACATCTGAAATGCTGTAAATTCCTTCTCATTTCACTACTCACCTAGTTTTTACCAATTGCCAAATCCAAATTATTATTTAGACTTTTTCACAATATTTGACCAATTATATTTACATTTATCCTTCAAAATAGATACACTATCTCCCTGAAAAATTTCTTTCATTTTTTTTTTGTTCTTATACATCCATGAATTAAACTGAAGTTGTCCAGAGATCTGACCTTGGTTTTCCCATTTTTACCTCTAATATTCTCCATAGCAGTGTTCATTCACTACCAAGATATCAATGGAAATTATTTCCTCCAAATATGAGTATGTCTTGACTCTTCTCACAACTCACGGACACCCAGATTCACTTATCTTTAGTACTGGGCATTTCAACAATGGGTCATAAGCAAATCAAATATAACACAATGAACCATTCAAACATTCAATTTAGAGCTATTATGAGCCAGAAAAAAATTTTGAAGAGTGAACATTAGAGTGTTTGAGTTTAAATTTATATATTTTAGATATTTGGAGAAATTTGGAAATTGGCAGTTGTGTCACTTTTTTTTATTATACTTTAAATTTTAGGGTACATGTACACAACGTGCAGGTTAGTTACATACGTACATTTTATTCTATGTTGAAATCTGTCTCTAGAACACCACCAAGATAATTTTCTAAGATACATGAATCATGTTGCTTTATGAATAAAAATCTCCAAATTTCCCTCGTTGTATACCAGACAGAATGTAAACATGATGAATTTTTTTTTTTTTTTTTTTTTTTTTTTTGGAGGAGGAAGAGTCCCGCTTTTGTCGCCCAGGCTAGAGTGTAATGGTGTGATCTCAGCTCACTGCAACTTCCGCCTCCTGGATTCAAGCAATTCTCCTGCCTCAGCCTCCCGAGTAGCTGGGATTACAGGCACCCATCACCACACCCGGCTAATATTTTTTTGTATTTCTAGTAGAGATGGGGTTTCACCATGTTGGCCAGGCTGGTCTCAGACTCCTGACCTTAGATGATCCACCCGCCTCGGCTTCCCAAAGTGCTGGTATTACAGGCGTAAACCACCTTGCCCTGCAAACATGATGAATGTTTTTAAGATCTATAACTTAACTTCTCTCTACCTCTCTAAGCACATTACCAACACTGGTCTTCTCATACAATATACCCTTCCAGTCTTCCATTAAATGCCTTACTCATTAACAGTCCCATCCTTTCAGAGCATAGTGCCTATGTACAAGTGTAACCTTGATGTTTCTTTGAGTCTTTCCCTTTCATCTTCCCTGGACCTGTTTCTACTCCCTCTTTCAGACTCAATTCAAAAGTTGACACCTTTTGAAAGCCTTTTCCAAGAACTCCAATCAGAATTCATTTTTGTTCTCCCAAACCTTTGATTCACACTTCTACAGCAACCTTATATCTTTTGAACTCCAACTTATGTGTAAAGACCAGATGCCATGTATTATTTACCTTCAGATTCCCAAGATCTAGAACAATGTGTGGTACCTACTAGAAATTCATTATATTTTTTGAGTGAATGAATTAAAAAGTGATTAGGAATTGATGCAAACATGGATTCTCTGAAAATAATGTCAAGTTATCCTGATTTCCTTTCCTTCATAGCAATATGAGAATGAGAAAACCAAGAATATATTATGAATAGTTTCTGAATATCACTGTTTGCTTAATGAGTTCTTTGAAAAATCAAGATGTAGACTTGTCCAGGCTAGATCATAAAACTGATTATGTTAAAGAATCCTGCCGTTATATTTAGGTGAAGAAAGTGTGATACCAAATGAACTAATTTTAACATGCTTTCAAGTGTTATGGAGCAAAGGTCTGGCTAAGATAAAATCTAGGTACACAGACCAGTAGATCGGCCATAATTCCATATCTTAGAATTCTATTCAATTGATCCAGTTTAACCTGTAAGCCAATCTCTGTTCTCAAGGATGACTTATACAGGCTAATCCTGACTCTGGTGAAAATACAGATGAGTGCTTCATGATATTGTACTTGTGACTTAAATCAATCCTGAAAAAAAGAGCTAAAATATTGAATTTGACAGGGTTTCAGTAGGTTAAAAAATGAGTCAAAACTGACAAGATGAGATTTAATAGGGGTAAGTATAGAGTCCTGAACTGAGGTTAAAAAAAATCAATTGTGAAGCACAGTATCAGAGACCTCCCTTAATAGCAGTTTGTGTAAAAAATTGGTAGTACAAGCTCCTAAATGGAAAAAAATAACAAAAGTCAAATGAATTTAACATTATTTAATAGAAGTATAATGTTCAGAATAAGTAAGGTCATTATCTCATTTTACTAAGCCTTGGTCCTTGATGTCTAGATTGATGTATAATAACTAAAGAGGTATCAAGGTACTGACTTCTATCCAAAAGAAAAGTGACCAATATGAACTATAATTAGGCCATAATAATACCTACCTAATATTTGTTGAGTACTTGTCATGTGCTGGGTGCTTGAATGCATTAACTCACTTAGTTGTCACAATACTGTTACCAGGTACCTCTTGGAATGACTGCACAGAAACTCTTAAAGAGCTGAGGCTCTCATTCCCCAGGGGCTGGACATACTACCTGATGACAGCTAACAGCCAAGTCCCTCCCATAAAATTGCCCAAGAGAAGGTGACTTTATCAGAAACCTGCATCAATTAATGAAACAAAGGTGTGATTATTTTATTTAGGGTTAAGGTTTAATATAAAAAAGTTCAACAGTTAAAAATATAACAATGATGAAACAAATTAAGAAATTTAAAAATATATAAATGAAATTACTTGATAATAATATTTAAAATGTAGGGTAATGATTTTTTAAGAAAAGAAATAATAAATATGCATATAAATATACAGAATGCCTTGTCAGATAATCATCTTTTGGAAGTAGAAAATTGTAAGGAAGAAATAACACTATATAGTCAAACTTTTATTTAGCCTTACATGCTGTACAACTTTAATTTGATTCAAGATATGTACTTCAATCCAAATAGAGAATGCTTCCTACTAGAAAGCAGGATCAACACCTAGGAGGTACATTTTAAAAACCAACTTTATGGTGAAGTCTTAAAATATATACGTATTTGTCTGTCTTATATTTCTAGTTAATATTTGGATTAAAAGTTAAGAAAACAAAATTATCAAGCACATATGTGAAATATTTCATATTTCTGTAACAACATAGAAAGATTACTTTTTCCCCCCAATGTTCTAAAAACAGAGGAGATAGGTAAAAGAAGACTACGTCAACTCCTGCTCATTAATAGGAAGTCAGGGTTTAATGGAAAGTCCTTGCTTAGGGTTAACTGACTTAAACCAAACACATATACATTTTACTTCCATTTCAAAAATATTTCATTTTTATATTATTTTTATAGGTGTAGGGGGTTTTCTTACAATCACATATTATGTACTAGCAAAGTTTGGGCTTTTAGTGTATCCATCACTAGAATATTGAACATTGCATCCAACAAGTAATGTTTCAATCTTCCCCTCTCTCCCAGCCTCCCACCTTTGGGAGTCTCCAGTGTCTATTTTTCCATGTGTGTACACACTGTTAAGCTCCCACTTACAAGTGAGAACATGCAGTATTTGAATTTCTGTTTTTGAGTTGTTTCACTTAGGTGAATGGCCTCCAACAAGCCTGTTTGGGTTGCTGTTTCTGTCTTGGCAAGTGGGCACTCTTTTTACCCTCTCTGGATCCCAACACTCAACACTGGACCCCTGCAACACTCCTTCCACTCCATTCACTCTGCTCAGGCTTTCACATCCCATGCCAGGCTTCTGTGCTTCACCCTACTCCTACACAGATGCCTACCTCATTCCGATGTAGGGCTAAGTTATTAAAAAGGGAAAATGCAAGGAAAAAAGAAGGAAAGGAGGACAAATGGGAGGAAAAAAGGAAAAAATGTTTCTGAATGCTGAAAAAGTAATTGTTTCCTATATTACCACTGAATGTGTACAAAAATTTCACACTACATTTTGGCTCTAATTAATTCCCTTTGGAAGTAAGGTATTCTCTTACACTGTAAAATACCATATGCCAAATGATCTTGACCTTTTACAAGGCAAATAGGCCAATGAAATCTTAAACTGTGGTATCCTCATATATTAGGAAATATTTAATTTTTTATATAATAAATGTCTTACATCTTATTTAAAATCACAGTATAGTTTCAGTGTTAGGATTCTGCAGGACAGATTGTTTTCTACCAAATATTAGTATTAAATAAGAGTACCATAAAATAAAGCATATTTATAAATGTTGATATTTAAATGCATGTTTCCCATCTAAGGCTGACTGTCTGAATCATTTTTATATCTTCATTACAATTTCAACTGAATCCACCTTTTTCTAAAACAAATTCTTAGCCTGGAATTGATAAAATTTGGAATATTAGGAAAATTGCTGAAAAATATTCAAAAAATTTCCAATATTTTCTAACTCAGCTTTGATGAAAACTTTAATTTTTATTATGTTTGGACAGAAGAAAACTCAGTAATTTAATATAGTCACTAGAAGGATAGGAATCAAATATATTTTTCAATGAACAATATTGCAGTAAGTATTGTGAGATACAAAGGTACATGCACATTAAATACTACCTGTGAAGTTCATGGAATTATTTAAACCTAATCAACATAATGTTTTAAATACCAAATATTAATACACCCTCCTAAAAATTCTGGTCATTTATTAAGTTGTACCTAATCGAAAAACACATCATTTACGAAATGGCAATATACAATACTGGATCAATATTAATAACATTATATATACATATATTGATCCTATATCTAATTATTTATAAAATTATATACTAATTTAAAGAAAAGTTGCATAATTTCCAAAGGCTTGGAATTAATTTGAGTAGTGAATGTTTCTTATTAGTACAGTTGATTCTTCAATTTATTATCTATGCATTTTGGTGAGAATTAGCACACTTCATTTTCTTATAATTTAATTTGCTTGTATAACAGTCTCTTCACATTTCTAAACTCACTTATCTTGATTTTTTTTCTCCCTGCCTTCTTCCATCAATTCCTTCCATGTAATCTCTTTTCTCCCTTCTCTATCAATGCAGTAAAACCTGAATTGGAGAATAGCAGGTTCTCTAAGTTACATAATAATTTGACATTATTAGCTTAAAAATTTCCCTTCTTGGCCTTTACGATCAATGACATTAATATTTAGAATATATTTATACAGCAGTAAAAATGAACATTTTTCTGAACTTAATATAAAATTAAAGTTATAAATAAAATCTCTACCTGAAAAGGTTATAAAATTTCTTTACAGATGCTTTTAAGTCTGTTAAAATATAATATTACAATAATTTTCTGATATTACTTTACCTAGTCTTAGAAGACTGTAAATCACATTTTTTCCATTTGAGCTACATAAACTATTTTTTAAAATGTATTTTAGGATTCCTTATCAGTCTTGTAAAACATAATGGCAAATTTTATAAATAAGTAAACAATATCTGGCTTTCTGGTTTGTATGAATTTTTTATTCTATATGTTGTTATTTCTATATCTTTAAGTTTTAGAGGTAAAACTAGAATATTAACATATACATACAAAATAAAATATTTTCAACAAATTTATGTAACCTTCAATTTTCTATTTTCCTTCAGAAGTAAGATAGCTCTTTGTACTTTCAAGTCTAAAAGTTTAAAATATATTATTATAGTTCATTTTTTCTCAGAGTGTTTTGCTTTTTAATTTTTTCATCAGGATTCTCTCTTTACTTGAAATATAATTTAATTTTTTAAAAGTCAGGAAACAACAGGTGCTGGAGAGGATGTGGAGAAATAGGAACACTTTTACACTGTTGGTGGGACTGTAAACTAGTTCAACCATTGTGGAAGTCAGTGTGACGATTCCTCAGGGATCTAGAACTAGAAATACCATTTGACCCAGCCATCCCATTACTGGGTATATACCCAAAGGATTATAAATCATGCTGCTATAAAGACACATGCACGCGTATGTTTATCGCGGCACTATTCACAATAGCAAAGACTTGGAACCAACCCAAGTGTCCAGCAATGATAGACTGGATTAAGAAAATGTGGCACATATACACCATGGAATACTATGCAGCCATAAAAAATGAAGAGTTCATGTCCTCTGTAGGGACATGGATGAAACTGGAAACCATCATTCTCAGCAAACTATCACAAGGACAAAAAACCAAACACCGCCTGTTCTCACTCATAGGTGGGAACTGAACAATGAGAACACATGGACACAGGAAGGGGAGCATCACACTCCAGGGACTATTGTGGGGTGGGGGGAGGGAGGAGGGATAGCATTAGGAGATATACCTAATGCTAAATGACGAGTTAATGGGTGCAGCACACCAGCATGGCACGTGTATACATATGTAACTAACCTGCAAATTGTGTACATGTACCCTAAAACTTAAAGTATAATAATAAAAAAAAATCGAAAAAAAAAACCATGACCGTTCCTAACATCCAAAAAAAAAAAAAAAAAAAAAGTTCCCTATTTCTTTCACAAATATCTCACTTTTAAGTTGGAGGGATTAGAATCAGGTTTTAAAATCAATCCTGATGAGTAAATACATTGTACATGCTCACTGTATAGCAGATACAATGGTTTGAAGTTTTTAAAAGTGATTCATTCTTTATAAAAAGCAATCTGTATTGTTACCTATAAAAATGTAAAATATATTCTTTGCTAACATTTAAAATTACATGACACCCACTTTTTGGAAGTTCATATTTTTGTTATAGACACGCTAAAGTCTAAGGTTTTGGAAAATTTTTATGCATGCAAAATTGTTGTACATATTTACAGGGAACATGTGACTATTTAATATAAGCAGACAATATATAATGATCAAATCTGAGTAACTGGCATGTCTGTTCTTTCATACAATTGTCATTTCTTTGTGCTTGGAGCATTCCAAATATATTCTTCTACTTTGAAATATGCAATAACTTATTGTGAACTATTATAGCCCTACCGTACCACTGAACAGCATATCTTATTCTTTGTAATCAACTGTAGTTTTATGCTCCCTGAGTAACCCCTCTTCATTCCCTCCTTCCCAATATACTACCAAGCCTCTGGTAACCACAGTCTACCTGATATCTCCAAGAGATCCATTGTTTTAAATCCCACATGTAAATGAGACCACTTTATCAACTTAAATTTTCATTTGCTCTCAGAAATATTGTGTGCGATCTCAAAAATTATTGTGCTATACTTACCAGCCAAAGCAAGAATATATTCTTGAAATCTTGTTCCTATATGATTAGTGGCTGTGCAATTATAGCGTCCAAAGTCATTGTCAGATGTAGGTGCAATCTGAAATAATTATAATAACAAATGTTACAATTCTAAAACATCACAGAAGTTTTATAATAAACCCCAGTATGACTACCACTTTCACACATTTCATTTTTTACCCAACAACTCCTTACCATATATTTTTAATTTTCTTTATTAAGTAAGCATTACTAAATAATATAAATCCTTTTATGATGTATCCATGAGCCCGTAATATCCACAGGACTAGGCAAATCAGAATTTATCTATTAATTCATTAAGTAAACAAATGGCACCACTTCGATGTATCTATTAAATAGCATAACCATTATATCTACATATATGTAAAGCTCAGAAAGTAGTACACAGTTTGAAATATATATGTGTATATATTTATGTATACATGTATATATATATGTATCTATAGTTTGCAATCAATGTAGGTGTAAACTTGAAAACAGGAAGCTTGTAATAAAAGCATTGTTAACTGTTTTTTATGTTTTGGCCTCAGATCAGTTTGCTTTAATGTTCAACAAAGTCTCCAGATATGTGATATTTCTCTCCCTGTTTTGAGTTTATTGAACATATAATACTAACGAAGGAGGAAGGATCATTCTTAATGAAATCTTTCCAGGAACATACTGTGCAATAAAATGTTACTCTTTGCAACAATACTCATAGACAGGCACTTTTTCTCGCTATCTAATAACAGTATCTTGCTTCCATTTCTGTTCAATTCCTACCATTCTTTTTCACTCTAGGTAGAAAATAGCTGACCTCTATCCTTAAACATTTGAAATCCATAATTAAGTTAACCTTCGGGGATTCTATTGGTGAACACTGAGACAAACCCTGTAATTCTAATGTACAGAAATTCTGAAGTATCAATTTAGATAAGAGATTTGATGATAGTAATAGATATAATTTTCAATCTCTGTAACTATTATTAAGAGAGAATATGCCTACAAGAGTTGCTGTTAATTTCAACTCTATCCCAAAAGAGGGAAAAATGATTTTGTAGTAATGGGAGGCTATTAACTAAGAGTGCAATTTTGAGGCCCATTGAAGATGATAATTCTGAAAGAGTACAGAAAAGCTGTGTCATTCGTTTTCTAGTCAGCTGTCCATCTAGAAACAGATCATAGGAATAAGCTTAGAATTTGTAACAGCTCTTACATAATTACTGCTAAGTGATTAAAATATTCATTTTCCTTATGTGTAGCTTTTAATAAGCAAGGCTAATTTAACTCTAAACTAATTGTTCTAATGAGAAAGAGATTTAACAAAAAATTCTTATTCTACATGCATATGAGAAAGTTATTTGCAAATTCAACAGAGAAGAATGTGTTTATTGAATCAATATAATGCCAAGACAGGATAGCCACAACAAAGAAATGTGACTATTACACAGCTCCTTAAGATTAATAATTTAAATAGAGCCATTTTCATTGGAACAATTTCTTAAAAGCTCAATTCATTTTTTTGTTGTTGTTCCTGGGAGTTCAGCTATCAACAGATAAAAGTTCATCTTAAATAAGCAACCTTTTATCATGTTGTATGCTTAATAAATAAAGAAAACACCCATCACGACATAGATTAAGACACACACACACACATCCACACACATGCTCTAGATATAATCTGGCCAAATCATGTACCCTGAAGCTTATTTGATGTATTCTAGGAAAGCAACATAAAACTAAAGTCCAATAGTGGTTTTACACTTAAACCCAGCACAATGAAATGTTATATAATTTTATGAAAATATAAGATAATATAACGAGGGTATATTATAGACCATTAAGTAAAAATATTTAAATGTTTAAAATGTGCAAAGCATTGAAAATATTAATCAAGAAACATCTACTGATAAACACCCACTGATAAACATCTACTAGAAACATCTACTGATAAAACTATTTCTTCATATTTAAATATAGGCATACCTGTTTTATTGTGTCTTACTTTGCCATGCTTGAAAGATAGTGTTTTTCTTTTTTCTTTTCTTTTTTTTTTTCACAAATTGAAGGTTTGTAGCAATCCTGCATTAAGCAATCTAACAGCACCATTTTTTCAACAACAGTTGCCCATGTCCTGTCTCTCTGACTTTTTGGTAATTCTCTCAATATTTTAAACTTTGCATTATTATTAAATTTGCTATGGTGATCTGTGATCAGTAATCTTTGATGGTACTATTGTAACTGTTTTGGAGAACCACAAACTGTGCCCCTAAGACAGTGAACTTAATTGATAAATGTGTGTTCTGATTGCTCCACTGACTGGCCGTACCCTCATCTCTCTCCCTCTTTGGCTTCCTTATTCTGTGAGACACAATAATATTAAAATTAGGCCAAATCATAATCCTACAATGGTCTCTAGGTGTTCATGTTAAAGGAAGAGTCACACATCTCCCATATTAAATCAAAAGCTAAACATGATGAAGCTTAGTGAGGAAGGCATGACAAAACCAAGATAGGCTAAAACAGAAGCCTATTGCAACAAACAGCCAAGTGGTAAATGTGAAGAGAGAGTTCCTGAAAAAAATCTAAAGTACTACGCTAGTGGACTCACAAATGATAAGAAAGCTAAACAGCCTTACTCATGTTATGGAGAAATATTTTGTTGGCCTGGATAGAAGACAAAGCCAACCACAATACTCCCTTAAGCCAAAGCCCAAGCCAGAGCAAAGATCTAACATGCCTCAATTCAATGAAGGCTGACAGAGGTGAGGAAGGTGCAGAAGAAGAGTTTGAAGCTGGCAGGGGTTAGTTCATGAGGCTTAAGGGAAGAAGCCATCTTTATAACATAAAAATACAAGGTGGAGCAGCAAGTGCTGATGTAGAAGCTGCAGCATGTTATCCAGAAGATCAAGCTAAGGGCCGGGCGAGGTGGCTCACGCCTGTAATCCCACCACTTTGGGAGGCCGAGGCGGGCAGATCACGAGGTCAGGAGATCGAGATCATCCTGGCTAACACGGTGAAACCCTGTCTCTACTAAAAGTACAAAAAATTAGCCGGGCGTGGTGGCCGGCGCCTGTAGTCCCAGCTACTCGGGAGGCTGAGGCAGGAGAACGGTGTGAACCCGGGAGGCAGAGCTTGCACTGAGCCGAGATCGCGCCACTACACAGCCTGGGCGACAGAGCAAGACCCTGTCTCAAAAAAAAAAAAAAAAAAAAAAAAAAGATCAAGCTAAGATCATTGATGGAATTGACTACACTAAAAAATAGAATTTAAAGTAGATGAAACAGTTTTCTATTGCAAGAAGATGCCATCTAGACTTTTATAGCTAGAGAGGAGATGTAAAGGGCAGGGTTCAAACTTCCAAGGACCTGTTGAATCTCTTGTTAGGGGCCAATACAGCTAGTGACTTAAGTTCAAGCCATTGTTCATTCATTTATCGTTATGAAAATCCTAGGGTCTTTAAGAATTATGCTAAATCGACTCTGCCTGTGTTCTATCCATGGGAAAACTAAGCCTGGTTGACAGAACATCTGTTTACAGCCTGGTTTATTGAATATTTTAAGCCCACTGTTGAGATATAGTGCTGAGAAAAAAAAAAAAAAGATTCCCTTCAAACTAGTCGTGCTCATTGACAATGTACCTAGTCACCCAAGAGCTCTGATAGACATATACAAAGATATTAATGTTGTTTTCATGCTGGCTAACCCAACATCCATTCTGAAGCCTGTGGATCAAGGAGTAATTTCAACTTTCAAGTCCTAGTACTTAAGAAATACAATTTGTGGCCGGGCGCGGTGGCTCACGCCTGTAATCCCAGCACTTTGGGAGGCCGAGGCAGGCGGATCACGAGGTCAGGAGATGGAGACCATCCTGGTTAACACCGTGAAACTCCGTCTCAACTAAAAATACAAAAAAATAGCCGGGCGTGGTGGCAGGCACCTGTAATCCCAGCTACTCGGGAGGGTGAGGCAGGAGAATGGTGTGAACCCGGGAAGCGGAGGTGCAGTGAGTGGAGATCGTGCCATTGCACTCCAGCCTGGGCGACAGAGCGAGACTCCCTCTCAAAAAAAAAAAAAAACACACAACAAAAAACAGAAATACAATATTTAAGGCTTCAGCTGCCATAAAACAGTGATTCCTCTGACGGATCTGGGAAAAGTCAACTGAAAATCTTCTGAAAAGGATTCACCATGCTGACGCCATTAAGAATATTTGTGGCTCATGGGAGAAAGTGAAAATATCAACATTAATAAGAATTTGGAAGAAGTTGATTCCAACCCTCATGGATGACTTTGAGGGGTTCAAGACTTCAGTGAAGGAAGTAACTGCAGATGCGGTGGAAATAGAGAGCTAGAATTAGAAATGGAGCCTGAAGAAGTGAATGAATTGCTGCAATCTGATGATAAAACTCTAACAGATGGGAAAATTGCTCTTCATGGAGGAGCAAATAAAGTGGTTTCTGGTGGTAGAATTTACTCCTGCTGAAGATGCCTGAAAAATGTTGAAATGATAACCAAAGATTTAGAATATTACATAAACTTAGTTGATAAAGCGGTGACAGGGTTTGAGAGGATTTACTTCATTTTTGAAAGATGTTCTGCTATAGGTAATTCCTAACAAACAGTATTATATGCTGTTAGCCTTATAGCATCACCTGCTACACAGAGATCTTTCATGAAAGGAAGTGTTAATTAACAAAGTGCTTCACTGTTGCCTTATTTTAATAAACTGCCACAGCCACTCCAACCTTCAGCAATCAACATTCTGATCAGTAAGCAGCCATCAACCTTGCGACAAAACGCTTCACCAATGAAAAAAGTTACAACTTGCTTAAATCTCAAATTATTCCCAGAAAATTTTAGTAATTATTTTTCAGTTATGTTATGTAGACCTTTTTATACATCATGCTTTTGCACACTTAATAGACTATAGTGCCAACATAACTTTTATATGCACTGAAAAAAGCAAAAATTTGTGTGACTGGCTTTATAGAGATATTTACTTTATTGAGGTGCTCTTGGAACTAAACCTGCAATATCTCCAAGGTATATCTGTATCCAGCTAAAAATGCTGATATTAATTAATGATATTAGGTTTGGACAGAGTATAGTGAACTAACAAATATAGTTTTGAATATCTAAATATAAGCTAAGTGTATAATATTAATCAAGAAGCTTGCTAGTCTTTTTCTTAAACCTAAAAATATTTATTTCTTCTATGTATTCCATGATAAGAAAGTCATGGACACAACAGTAAGCACCCCTATTTAGGATATGAAACAAAGATACAGACAATGCAAAGCACAATATTATTCTAACAAACCTATTAAAACCAATCCTTCTTTCAATGTTTGCCCACATATTGAAAAGTTTTGTAATTTCCTCAGGATGTGGTCAGTTAAAAAAATAAAGTTTTGATGACCTTGACCTTTACAGATTACAGAGGCATTTATTGGCAGTAACTTAAATAATTTATTGAATATTTGGTTATGTTTTAAAACACACAATTTTAAAAGTTTGAATATATATACTTAAAGAAAAAATCTTTAAAACAATTCAATAAATTTATTACTGACAACTTGTTAAGTGTAAACTTTTCCTATATTTCCTTTTATATTCTAAAGAATTAGCACATATATGACTTTTACAATAATTACTAAACAAAAGTAACTGTCTCAAGCAACTGTATATACTAATAATTAAATATTAGTAATGCTCATTGTTGCTTTCTCTTTATATTATTGTTATTTTGTTATGCTATGTTTTCAAGTTGTGTTAATCACACATTTATATTTTTCATTCAGAATTTAAATTTAATTTGTGAGAGTATACACATAAACATGTCTGTTTAAAGTCAGTGGTTTAGCCAACAGATCACCTGGCTGTGTGTCAAGTAGGCAAAAATTGTGGGTTTTTTAAAATTTTATTTTGGAGTGCAGAGGGATGTCTTTAGGCAGAAGTTTAAATAGCATACACTATATACTATGTTGTATGTATAAAATGTCCCTTCACATTAAATATAGAGAATTATGAGTTGGCTGAGGAACTAAAAAATGTCAAGATGAAGTAAAGCAGAAATTACACATTAGTCTGTCATTTACTCACGAAATTCAATCTACTTTCTATGGACTGAACTGCCCGCCTCCTCACTCTGCCCATTCATATACTGAAACCCTAAATTCCGGTGTGAATGAATTTGGAGATAGGATCTTTAAGAAGGTAATTAAGGTTAAACGAGGTAATAAGAGTGGGACCTAATCCAACAGGACTGGTATCCTTACAAGAAAAGGAAGACACCAGAACTCTGTGTGCGCACAGAGGAAAGGGCATGTGAGGACACAGCAAGAAGGCGGCCAAGTACAAGTCCAGGGAAGAGTCCTCTATAGAAAGCAACCTGGCAGGCACCATGATATTGAACCTCTATCCTCCAGAACTCAGAACAAATTTCTGTGATTTCAACCATCCTGTCTATAGTATTTTATTAAAGTATTCAAGGAGACTACACACTACACAAAACAAGTTAAATCTAACCTGAGCTTTTCACTAAGGTAAAACACATAAAATTTAGATTAAAACTGTCCAGATGTTTTTATGAAATTGACATCCCTGTCAAGTCACAAATAGCTAATTCTTCTAAAATATTTCCAAAGAAACTTATTTATATTGAAATTGATTTAGACATAGCGGTTTAATTACCAACCAGCCAGCTATGCAAGTATTTGCAGACATGATGGCTAAATCCTCCTATCAAACGAATTTTTTTAAAGTCTAAATGGCATCAATGAGGACATTTTAAGTTAAGGCAGTATGGATATTAGACGGTATTCTAAAACGTGCATTTCATTTTAGCTTATGCAAACTGAATTAGTGAATAAAATGTAGCAACCTTTCAGCAAATAAGGCTGTGTGAAAAAGATTCCCAATTTTCCTAACCGCATCATAATTTGGAAAGGGTGATGATCATTTTCATAGATTTTTTTATGTTTCGGAAATTGATACACACATACACTCCAATTAATAAATAAGAGGCACTTTATTCAGACAGTATTTAAAGGCCAATTACTTGGCAATATAAAAATAATTATACAAAATCTTATTTTTAGTAATAAAACAAAAGATACTGAACAAGTAAATTTCATTTATTTTGGAATTTACACTAGAATTGTAAAAATCTAGCCAACAGATAGCATTTATACCTGCCAGACTGAAAAGAAAAAAAAGCTATACCACATGGAATCAATGAAAACATCAACATTGAAGACAAATTTTTAGCCCTCAATAACTATTACATTACCAATTTTTTCTTCCTAGATTTTTCCATATATATATATATGGAAAAATTTTTATCCCTCAATAACTATTACATTACCAATTTTTTCTTCCTAGATTTTCCATATATATATGTATATATATATACATATATATGTGTATATATATATACATATATATGTATATATATACACACATATATATATGTGTGTGTATATATATATATATACACACACATATATATATGTGTGTATATATATATATATATTTTTTTTTTTAAGACGGAGTCTCGCTCTGTCACCAGGCTGGAGTGCAGTGGCGTGATCTCGGCTCACTGCAACCTCCACCTCCCAAGTTCAAGTGATTCTCCTGCCTCAGCCTCCTGAGTAGCTGGGGCTATAGGCACACACCACCACACCCAGCTAATTTTTGTATTTTTAGTAGAGACAGGGTTTCACCATGTTGGCCAGGACGGTCTCAGTCTCCTGACCTTGTGATCTGCCCTCCTCAGCCTCCCAAAGTGCTGGGATTACAGGAGTGAGCCACTGCGCCCGGCCATATAATTGTTTTTATTCCTAAAAGTGCATTTATAAAAATAATGGTCTTTGCTATATAGCCACATTGCTATATAAGTGAATAGACATTCATACACTCATCATTAATGAGCCATGGACCTTTAAGTAAATAACTGTAAAATATATACACCATGATTTCTCTCTCTTATTATATATATATATGCATATGAAGATATTTAAATATATTCTGAAATAGTAGATAGTTGTTAAAATAATACAATTTATTGATGTATACATGTGGACTTACCTCTAATATCATCTTTCTTCCTGTACTATAAGTCTTTAAATTGGTCGTGTTTTTAGCAGGTAAGACTAATTTATCTCTTCTCCAGTGAATTGATGCTGGTGGATTCGATTTCACATCACAACTTATATTGATAGGATTTCCTTCCCAAGAGTAATAAATTGTTTGGTTTGATATAAACTTGGGGGCATCTGTAATACAATATAATAAAATAATTATAGGCATTTTCTTTAAGTTAAATAATCATTTAAGTAGTATAAGCATTAGTTATTTCTACTGTATAAAAAGAAGCCACATAATTCTAATTTCGTGTATTTTTTTTTTTTCTTTTTGAGACGGAGTCTCGCCCTGTCGCCCAGGCTGGAGTGCAGTGGTGCAATCTCCGCTCACTGCAAGCTCCGCCTCCTGGGTTGATGCCATTCTCCTGCTTCAGCCTTCTGAGTAGCTGGGACTACAGGTGCCCGCCACCAAGCCAGGCTAATCTTTTGTATTTTTAGTAGAGACGGGGTTTCACTGTGTTAGCCAGGATGGTCTCGATCTCCTGACCTCGTGATTCTCGATCTCCTGACCTCGAGATCCGCCCGCCTCAGACTCCCAAAGTGCTGGAATTACAGGCGTGAGCCACCGCTCCCAGCCTAATTTTGTGTATTTAACACAGTGCATCAGAACTCACGAAAATATATGTCATTTGAATACTTTTATCACATAATTTAATAGGATTAACATACACTCATAAATTACCAATTATTAAAATATAAGAGAACCAGAGTTAAATTTGCTCTTACTAATCTGACAAAAAATACATATTGACTATGTTAATGACTATCTACTTGTGTAGAAACTATTTCTGGAACAAACTATAAAGTGAGAGTTTAGGATAAAATCTAATAAATGGTTCTTTCCTCACTTTTTATTTCGTTTAAGTCATAGTCACTTTTTCTATAAATTATTTTGAAGACTCAGGTATGAAATCTAAGCTGGAATGGCAACAACATAACTAAACATTTTTTCCCTAAAGTATCCATATTTCCCATTTTTACTAAACCACAGATGTCATAAATTAATCAACAATAATTAATTTGAAAAGTAACCAGTTCCTATTCTTACGATTCCCTATCAATTTTTTCAGGTCTGTATTCTAGATCTCTATCACAGAAGTTAAGAGAAAACAATGTATAATTTTATTTAAAAATCTAAATGTGAAAACATACAAATGTTGTTTTCACTCTTCCTCCACCCCAGGACTACGATCTAAATCAAATGCCAAATATTGTAACCTCTCAATTTCCTGCCTGCATAATTATTTGAGAAGATTTTATAATTATTTTTACATGAAAGCATAATTCTCAAGTAAGCTGTAGCTAAAATTTTGCTCATATTTATGCTGATTATTGTTACTAATATTAACTACTTAGAACTTAATATCACATCAAAAATTATCAATTTAAGTCATTTAACTTTTAAATATTTTATTACTGCAAACTACTTAAAAAAGCAATATCCAGTTTTGTTATATCTACTAATTATATAAATATCAGATATGTAACTTATCTGTAGTACAAATGCAGAAGTAATCATTTAGAAGTCCTTGTCCTATTTTACTTTAATGAATGTTTTTAATGACAATCTCACATACAAGTCTGAAATGCTTACTGAATCATTTCTATATGAAGGTAAGTTGTTTATATACTTTATTATATTTAATATTTTTAATAACCTTGTAAGGAAGGAATAATCTCTGTTCTATGGAAAAGGGATCTGAGTTAAGAGATGCCAAGCTCATTCCCACAATAAGTTTTAGGGCTCAGATATCAATATAGGGCTATTTTAACCAACGTCTATTATATGCCCAATCAAATACAGAAATAAAATTATAATTTTCAGGGTTTGAAACATTTTGGTGCTGTGAATCCTATCATCTATTATTAAAGGGAATATAATTGAAACAATTCTCAGGAAGATAAAACAGCTTTATAATCTTGATTCTGCAATCCAGTATGTATCCAGAGAAAATAATTATAAATATTATAAAAGTTTATTTAAAGGACTTTTAATGCACTATTATTTTAATAACAAAAACTGAAAACAACTTAACATCCCATAAATGGTGGTACATCTTTGTACTTAGGTGTGCTAAATATTACACAGATACATTTGCCTATGGCTTTCCATTAGCTCGGCATATACCTGCCCTTCCCTTCAACTGACTGAGTTCAAAAGTAAGCTCCTCACTTTCTAAACACAGCCTTTCCACACTCTTCAGTTCTAGATGAGGTGGCCTAAATTGTGCACCCACAGCATTCTGTGATTTCCCTCATCATGGTCATTAGGCAATGGAAGCATCTATTTGATCGTTTCTACACCAAATGATGTCCATTTGGGGGTCAGAATGTATCTCAGTCACAATTATTTATCTAATGGCTTACACAGTGTTTTTTAAACTGTACATTGAATTGACTGGAAATTAAATAGTCAAATAAATTTTAATTCAACAGTTCAACTAAATTGAAAAAGCCAGGGACATGAAGAATCTAAGAACACACAACTGATTAAAGGAACAACTATAAGAGAAGCCAAATTTCTTGATATTCAAAGTCAAAAACTAAGTTTACGTCTATATCTTTATTTACAACCCTTAAGGTATGTAAAATAATTTATTTAGCATTATACTATTTCTTGGAGAGGATTAAGGAAAATATAATTACAAATAAACTCAATCCAACAAGAAATTCATACGTCTATATCTATATCTTTAAATTTATTTACAACTGTTAAGGTATGTAAAATATAACTTATTTAACATTATACTATTTCACGGAGAGGTTTAAGGAAAATATAGTTACAAATAAACTCAATCCAATAAGAAATTCATACATCCTAATGGAAACATTAATAGCTGACTTGCAGTCACACTCTGTCCACAATGTGGCATCTGCATGTAGTGTATTTTAATAGTGTAATTTAACTATATACTGAGGGTAAGATTTGTTGTTTTCCATAACAGAAAGCAATTGCCACTAATTGCTTGCCTGATGATCTCAGTGTGAATTTTACTCAGAATTATCAGTGTTGAATGCAATACTTGCTACAGGCAATACATGCTATACTGAAAGCCACATTAAAAAATGTATTTGTGGTATCAAGCAAGAAAATATTGATAACGCCGGTCTATAATAAAACAGAAACTAAATGTCTATACAGGATATGCTTTGTAAATATCAATACAGTAGCAAGGCAGCGATATTCACTGGCACAAGATTAGCATGTCAATGCAATTAACAACTTGGTACTGGGCCAGTGTGGTATGAGGGATGTGACTCTTGCATAGCACCATCTGAAGTGGCTGAAGAATGTAGCCATATGTCATGTTGGTGTACCAAAAATAGTCATTTTCAAAATCAGGAAGGCCCTTTACATCATGAAAGGTTTCAAATGTACAGAGGAAATAAACACTGGTGGTTAGAGAAACACATACAGGGGAAAAAGGAGAAAAGAATATAGCATAAGCAGAAGTGGAAAGATACTTTTGCCTATGCTATATTCTTTCACATATATATGAAAGAAAAAAGGCAATAGGCATGGAAACATTTTTATCTTGAACTTGCATTTTTTTGGCTTAGGATTTGTGCCCAATTAATTCCTGACTACATGAAATATGAAGTTATGGAAGCATATCTTAAGGAGTTATGTGTCCATCAATCTTATCAAAGTCCAAATCAAAATATGATTCTACAAATTATAATGAAAAGAAGTGACTTTATTGGAAGAATTAATTTTTATCTGAGCAGAGTAGAAAAAAGTTAAGATAAATTTGAATAGTGAAAAGATGGAAGTATGTCATTCACTGGAGGTGGAGAAAAAGATCTCCTTTCTGAAAGCCTCCAGTGCCAGTGACAATCAAGAAAGTGACACAGACACCCTCTTTGATCAAACTTTAGTCAGGTTCTTCTTAGCCCACTTTTCAACTAGGCCTTGACCTTGGCACTGTCCCTGGCTTGCCAGTAGCAAAGAATCCTGCCAAATCCATTTATAAGAGTTCCCGCACCCTTGATTTCTGATCACTCTTGCTATCTGACCAAGTTCTTCATTCAACACAATTGTGGTCTAAGTCTTTGGCCTGTCTTTAGCAAGGACCCTGTTAGGCCAGGTTACCAAGAAAGTCATTACCTCTGAAGTTTACCAGGTCCCTCTTAATAACTTTTCATCCACTGCCATCTCTCACTCTACTCATTGGCTGTACATTCCAACTTGTCCTTGTATTTGGCTTTGAGCTCAATCTCTCTCTTCTATTGCAATAGTCTTGAGCACTATTGTGTTAGTAATAATGACTAGTCTTCCTTACAGTTTTTAACAGGTCTCGGAATAATTTCTGTTTGACGAATGAGGGTAACCCCAAGAAGGTGTTTAAAAAGAAAGCTTGATTCCCTTTCTTAAAGAGAGAATGAGAGAGACAGATGTGAAGCAGATGCATCAGTAATAAGAGATAGTGGGTTACTTTTGGTAAAATTTGTATATTTGAAATATGAGAGTTAAAATAAAAAGCTACAGTTAATTTAAAATTATGAATGGGCAGGTAAGTTAATCACTTGCTTCATTATCAGAAAGTCAAAGAAGATTCCCTAGATTGTAGTTTAGAAATGTTAAAATGCCTTCCATTTTGAATTAATAAGAAATATTGTTAAACTAGTGTAGAAAATTTGTTGCAATATTGTTTACAGACAAGATTTGGATTTCAAAGGTGAATTTCAAAATTGTCTCCCTAGCACAGTTGTGATTAAGAAATTACAAATAAATTGATTCATAGAACTTTTGCCCTTGATCATAACAAGTAAACTTCTGCATTAAAACATATTTGCCTAAAATAATGGAAAATGTCATTTGACATCTCAAGAAAGAATACCCAAATAAGTATACTTACTAACGTCTTCAAATATAATAATTGATTTTAAAGACACTTTTTAAATTATACTTTTTATTTTAAAATACTTTTACTGTATAATTTTACATCAGGAATATGCATCTGGACCTCGCCAAAGTTAGGTTCTATAATCAACTTTCAATTAGGACATTTATGAAGAAATTAGGTTGTTACCTCTTCCCAAGTCTCTGCTGAGGCATTAAGAGGTTAAAATATATTACAATGCTCCCATCATTGTTAATACTAACGTGTTTGGCAGTAGGCATATTGTGTATGCTTTTTTCACATTTTTTTCATTGAGAATATTCAGCCTCTATTAAATCAATATTCTGAAACATAAAAACTAAAAGAGTCTTGTTAGTAATTATACCATAAATAAATAACAAAAATACTAAACATGACTGCAAAAATATCTTGATAGTCTAAAAATAGTAAGTATAATAATAATATATTTGTTATACTGTACTTTCCTCAATAGTGTATTCTAATTTTGATGTTTTTCAGTCCCGGTAAAGTTACAAACTTTTGGAAAGCCATATGTATGGCTTTAAAAATGTAAAATGCGTTACTACATGTGGAGTCTCTTTAAATTTTTAAAAATGAAAATAAAAACCCTTAGAGTTTTAATTTCAAATAATTATGTAGGCTTTACTATTGTAAAGTTGCTTTTGTAAAAAAGCAACTTTACTTTCACTTCTGTAAAGTGTGTGCACATATGTATATATGTATATATGAGTGAATATATACATATATGTACATACGAGTGGGTATGTGTAAACACACATATGAATATATACATATTCACTCTCATGTATACAAATATACATTTAATGGCATATATTGTGTATATATAGATATACTGACATATATTGATATACGGTATATACACATACATACTATATATACATATATACACTCATATACACAAATATATACTGTATTAGTTCGTTTTCATGTTGCTGATAAAGACATTCAAAACTGGGTAATTTATGAAGAAAAAGAAGTTTCATAAACTCGCAGTTTCACTTGGCTGTTGAGGCCTCACAGTCGTGGCAGAAGGGGAAGTGAAAGGCACATCTTCCCTGGCTGCAGACAAGACAGAATGAGAGCCAAGCAAAAGGGGAAACCCCTTATAAAACCATCAGCTCTCGTGAGACTTATTCACTACCCTGTGATTCAATTATGCTCTGCTGGGTCCCTCCCACAACACGTGGGAATTATGGGAGCTACAATTCAAGATGAGATTTGGGTGGGGACACAGCCAAACCATATTGTACACATATACATACAATATATTGACATATGTTGATATTGTTTACACACATATATTCACTCTACAGTAAACACGTATGCCTCACATCAGGGGAAATATTGAGTTATCTATTTTATTTGTTGAGAGGCATAATTATTTGAAATTAAAATTGAAAGAGGCTTTATTTCCATTTTTAAAAATGTCAAGACACTCCATATGTAGTAAGACACTTGAAAGCATAAAACAACATCAATTATTTTTATCATAAAGAGGGCAAAATTCATATTAAATTTTAACAGTATTATGATACCATATATTAAGCCTGACCCCTTAAATAGTGACTTTATTTTTATTTAAATTTCTAAATTGAACTCATATTTTAATGACAGAGCTCATACATTCTATATTTTCACATATTTCAATGCTACAATAACTTGTTTAGAATTAATCATACTCCATAACGTATGGTGAATAATTAACATTTTATTTATGTTTTGGTTTTATTTGTTTTGATTTCAAACTAATATTTACCTATTTGTACATTTATTCTACCTTCACTTTCAAAAAGATGTTGAAGGAATTTAACTTCTTCATGATATACTGCCATCATGGGTTGCCTTGCCAAATAAAATGTTAAAATCCTCCAAATCAGAATGATATATTTGATTGTACACTAATAATTCAAAATAATATCAAAATTTATGTCTATGAATAGTAAGCCATTTAGCAGATGCTGGACACAACTGTTTGGGTATAAAAGTTTTTCTTCCCTGAGTATTAACTGGCACATTGAGAGTTTGTGGAGGAAAAAGATGAATGTCTCAACCTTAATCTTAAAGATTTTCCATCTGCAGCTCTGGGAGGGCAACCACTGTCCCAAATTATCACTGGTAGTTTATTTCATGCAAATTACTGTTTAAATGCAAGGTATTCATCTCAACAGGAAACATTCTAGTGGATGAGGCAGATGCAAAAGTAAATAAATATATTGTTATATAACTGCAACCCAGAGAAAGATTCCCAGAAGAACATTAACTTAAATCTCTACTATTTTGTGAGCAGTTAAAATGTCCCAGGCATAGTGCTTCTCACAACTTGTCACAAGTCTTACAACAAGAATCTGGAGAAAATTCAATAGCAAAAAAAACACATAATCTGATTTTAAAATGGGCAAAGGAACTGAATTAGCCCAAAAGAAGGTAAATAAGTGGCCAACAGGTATTTTAAAAAATGTTCCACATCACTAATCATTAAGAAGATGCAAATTAAAGCCATAAGAAGATATAAACTCACATCAGTTACAAAGGCTATTACAAAAAACCCAGAAGGTAATTATTGTCAAGGATGCAGAGAAAAGATAACCCTTATATGCTTTTGGTGGGAATGTCAATTAGTACATGTATTATGAAAAACTGTATGGAGGTTTCTCAAAAAATTAAAAACGGAACTACCTATCAGGGGAACCCACCCCCAATATTTCAGTGTAGGTTCTTTATATTTTCCCTAAGTGTCAGCCACTCTGAGAAATAAAGAGAAAGAGTACAAAGAGAGGAATTTTACAGCTGGGCCACTAGGGGTGACATCTCATATCGGTAGGTCCATGATGCCCACCTGAGCCACAAAACCAGCAAGTTTTTATTAGGGATTTCAAAAGGGGAGGGAGTGTACAAACAGGGAGTAGGTCACATGCTTCAAGAGGCAAAAAGCAGAGCAAAGATCACATGCTTTTGAGGAAACAGGACCAGGGCAAAATCAGAAACTCCTGATAAGGGTCTATGTTCAGCATTGCACGTATTGTCTTGATAAACATCTTAACAGAAAACAGGGTTTGAGAGCAGAGAACCAGTCTGACCTCAAATTTACCAGGGCTGGGGTTTCCCAATCCTAGTCAGCCTGAGGGTACTGCAGGACTCCAGGGCCTATCTCAGTCCTTATCTCAACCACATAGGATAGACACTCACAGAGTGGCCGTTTATAGACCTCCCCCCAGGAATGCAATTCTTTTCCTAGGGTCTTAATATTATATTCCTTGCTAGGAAAAGAATTTAGCCATATCTCTCCTACTTGCATGTCCGTTTATAGGCTTTCTGCAAGAAGAAAAATATGGCTGTTTTTGCCCAACCCTGCAGGCAGTCAGACCTTACTGTTGTCTTCCCTTGTTCCCTAAAATCGCTGTTATTCTGTTCATTTTCAAGGTGCACTCATTTCATATTGTTCAAACACATATGTTTTACAATCAATTTGTACAGTTAACGCAATCATCACAGGGTCCTGAGGTGACTTACATCCTCAGCTTACGAAGATAACAGGATTAAGAGATTAAAGTAAGACAGGCATAAGAAATTATGAGTATTATTAGGGAAGTGATAAATGTCCATGAAATCTTCACAATTTGTTTCCTCTGCTGCAGCTCCAGCCGGTCCCTCTGTTCAGGGTCCCTGACTTCCTGCAACAATTACCATATTATCCAGTTATCCTACTTGTGAGTATATGTCCAAAGGAACTTCAATTAGTATGTAGAAAAGATATCCATACTCCTATATTAATTGCAGCATTATTCACAATAGTCAAGACATGAAATCAGATTAAAATGTGCATCAGTAGATGAATGGATACAAAACACATAGTATATATACAAAATGAAAATAGAAGGAAATTCTGACATTTTCAATGACATGAATGAATCTGGAGGATGTTATCTTAAGTGAAATAAACCAGGCACAGAAACACAAATACTGCATAATCTAATTTATACATGTGGAATAAAAAACAGTCAAATTCATAGAAAAGGACAGTAGGTTGGTGGTTACCAGAGGTTATGGTGGTAAGAGGAATAGAAAGATGTTGGCCAAGGGATTCAAAGATTCAGTTAGACAACAGAAGTAAGTTTTTGAGATGTATTACCCAATAAGATGACAACAGTTAGTGTATCATGTGTTTAAAAATTGCTAAGACAGTACATTTCAAATGTTCTCACCACGAAAAAGGCTGAGTATTGTGAGGTGAAGAATTTAAACATTCCACACTGTTAGACATATATGAAAATATCACACTGTGACCCATAAATATATACAACTAAATTAAAAAGGTCTGGAGATGTGCACACACATACACACAGAGAATAGTGGATGAAAACAAAATAAAATTTGTGGCTGGTGCTCATAAGCAAAATTTTGTATTGGAAATAGCATTGAGCTTGCAATCAAAATTGAGTGCCAACTCTGTCAAGTAGAAAAGATGTGACCTTGAGTTTCTGCTTTTAAGTTTGGCCTTTTTTTCTTTTCTTTAAAGAATTTAGGAGTTGAACTAGATAAATTCTTCCCAAATTCCTTAACCTCTAAGATTTCTTTAAAATTACCCTGGGACAAATTTAAAAAATAAACATGCATATTACTTTTAGGATACATAAAGTAGCACTAGTCCATATAAAAGGTGGCATTTGCCTTTCTAAAGAACTATGTAAGCCACTTGGGATAATAATTATTTCATGTTTATAAAAGCCTCTGGTGTAGTTTACTACATACAAATGCAGGCATTGATACGCATATGTTTGTACAATAAGGTGCCTTTGATCCCTGCTACTTGGGAGGCTGAGGCATGAGAATCACTTGAACCTAGGAGATGGAGGTTGCAGTGAGCCAAGATTGCATCAGTGCACTCCAGCCTGGGCGACTCCATCTCAAAAAAAAAAAAAAAAGTTTTTGGTAAATATTTTAATAAGTGAATATCTTTCAAACAGACAAAAAGAGACTACATGAGGGTAAATAATGCAGTAGTCCTTGGTGGTAAATGTATTATCTTAAGACTCCAAAATCTTCTTAATAAGTATATAATTAATAAAAATTGTGCATTACTATATAGACCATAAGAAAAGGAATACTGCAAACAAGATGTAATGTGTCTACAGACATTAAAAACAAGGAACTATGCTCTTTTAGCTGTTATCACAATGAAATGATCCCTAATGATAAATTATTTAGATTTAATTAAATGGCAGCTGTACAGGCAGAAGTCTGACCTAGAACATTTATTCTTAAATCCATGCCCTTGACTGAATCTCTGACATTACATTGCCAGCATCACATGAAACAGTAACATATGCCAGCATCTGAATGTGTCACCTTCCTCAATGTTTCATTCAGGACAAGCTTATTTCCAGCCCAATCCTTTCCATACTAGGAGACACCAAAGAAACTATAATAGGGTGTCAATTTAAAGCATGTCTTTGGACTTGGTACCAAGTTATACTTGTTTTGATAAATGCCCCCTCCCTGCCTCTTTTTTTTCTTATTCTGAGATTTAGAGGTGAACTTGGAGTCAGTACTGATCACTGCATTCTCCTGCAGTATGAGATTTCTTGACTTGATTACTTGCTTAATGCAAGCTTTCTACTTTCTTTTGTAATTCCTCCTTTGGCTCTGAAATATTTTCTCTGAGCCTAGTTTATTTGTGGTTGGTAACTGTGACCTAAGAAAAGTCTTATTTCTTGCTCAGTGCTGGCCTGCATTACTGAATTCTGCCTGTGTCTGAGCAGGGTGAAGCTGATAATAAAGCATAACACAGGCTCTGGGAACTGAAATATACAAGTCTTTGACCTGAATTTCCACTAGGTCATGAATATTAGAACCAGGTAACTCACTATAAAACTCACGATATACAATCCATTTTCTAAATCAAATTGAAAAGGCATTACTAGGGAAATAATTTATAATAAAAATAAGTTTTTAAAAATCATATTGATGAGAATAAGAATAGGCATCATCCTTGTAAAACTGTATTATGATTGTATTGTAGATTATGTCCTACATACTCTTCAAAGCATTCACATACTAGAGTGAAATATCTTCCTCTTTTCCAGTCATAATACTCTGTGGCAAACAATTTTCAAATGTCCTTTTTAATATTATATTTTAAGAACTACAAATAACAGAAAGAGTTATTTTCACATGTAATAGTGTAACAGTGAAACAGCAAAAGAACTGTCATAACTAACTCCATTTTTGTTTAAGGAGCCTTTATCCATTCTTACATGGAGGCTAGAATAATTTAATAACGCTCATAATACGCAAGGACAGCAATCATAATTTTCAAAACGAATTCTGGAGTTAAAGGAAAAGTATGTACAAATTAACCATATTTCTCATTAAATATTTATGGAAGCATTGTGACTTGACCAAAGACAAAATTTTCCAACCCCATTGGATCCTCACTGACACTCAGATGTCTGCCACCCTTGGTCACCTCTTGATCCTAATCCCCATCTCTTCACCCTCCCTGCCCTTAACCAAAAAGAGGCTGAAATTTGTACTGACTTAATATGGTACTTTGGGATTTTAGTCCACCATTTTCTTGGTTTGCTGGCTCTCAGAATAAACCTGCTTTTCCTCCTGCCAACTCTCATCTCTCATGTTTGGCTTTCAAGTGATGAGCAGCTGAACTTAGATTTGGTTATAATAGGGTGTCAATTTTAAAAGCTTTGTCATTGATTTCTCACCACTAAAGCACAATATATAGAAATATCATTCATGTCTCTCAATATTTAGTATGAGCTCTCTTGCCCAGTTCATAGTCACTACCTGGTCAGTTTTAGAAGCCCCTTGCTGACTTACTCACCTACCAGTTTCTACTTTAAGCAAATGTAACTATCCTGCTTAAAACCTTTTAAAGATCCTATTCACACTCCTTAAATCCAAACTTTTATGACTCTTTACAAAGCTTCACATAAAATAACCTAGGCTTATTTGTGACCTTGCATACATTTAAATTAACTCTTCTTCTTAAACCTTAATCATCCCGAACTCTTTTGTGCTTTCGGTGCTTTGTACTAGCTGTCTCAATCTGCCTAATCACCTTTTTTCTTCTTTTTAATTTTAATTTTTTATTTCAATAGGTTTTTGGGGAACAGGTGGTGTTTGGTTCTAAGGATAAGTTATTTAGTGCTGATTTGTGGGATTTTGGTGTACCCATCACCTGAGCAGTATACACTGTACTCAGTGTCTAATATTTTATCCCTCACCCTACTCTCACCCTTTCCCTTCAGTCCCCAAAGTCCATTGTATCATTCTTATGCCTTTGCATCCTCATAGCTTAGTTCCCACTTATGAGTATGAACATTTGATGTTTGGCATTCCATTCCTGAGTTACGTCACTTAGAATAATGGTCTCCAAATCCAACTAGGCTGCTACAAATGCCATTATTTTGTTCCTTCATATGGCTGAATAGTATTCACGCACACACTACATTTTCTTTATCCACTCATTGATTAATGGACATTTGGGCTGGTTCCATATTTTTGCATTTGCTAATTGTGCTGCTATAAACATGCATGTGCAAGTGTTTATTTCATATAATGACCCAGTAGTGGCATTGTTGGAAAAATAGTGGATCTACTTTTAGTTCTTTAAGGAATCTCCACACAGTTTTCCATAGTGGTTGTGATGGCAGTGGCAGCCCATCTGGAGCAGCCACTGTGAAGATGCCAGCTGCAGTTGGGGAGGTCTGGCCAGGTTTGTGCACTCCACAGAGCCGGCAGGGGCCAGGAACAGGAAGAAGCCCTGCCTCCTACCGAGTAGGTGGGGTGGGAGCCCTGCACTCCCTGGTGCATGTGCAGCCGCACAGTCGCGCTCTGCTCTCAGGAGGTGAGGAACTCCCCCTTCCCCCAAAGGCTGGGAAGTGCCTGCTCCCATCCCTGACCTCTCTCCATTCCTGGTGCCTGCTCCGATTTTGGAGCAAAGTTGTGGCCCAGCCCAGGTGCCGTCCCATCCCACCTAGGTGTGTGCACACTCAAGGAGGTGCTGACACACCAGACCCCTGCTACCTCAACCCCCTCTGGACATTGGGCACCTAGGAGCATAGGAGGGAGGCTGAGGGAAGACTAAATGTGGCTCAGCAGGGGCCTATAGGCACCCCTTGGCATGAACAGCCTGGGGGCCATATACAACATGTTGATGGCAGCAGGAGGCAGACAGCCTTCTGGGCAGAAAGCTGAGGGTCCACCTTCAAGCCAAGGAGAGCCTGAAGCCTGGAGTTAGGGCTATAAGTTCTGGGTGGAATCGTGGCCCAGAGTGATAACTTCTGGTGCTTTTTCCAGGCCTACCCATGGCCAACCATGGACCAATCAGCACTTCCTCCCTCTGAGCCCATAAAACCCCGACTCAGCCAGAGTTGGACAGATGTCAGGATGACCTGCCAGTGGATAGAGCTACCCACTTAGGGTCTACTGAGAGCTTTTCTGTAGCTCAATGAAACTGCTTTCCTCCTTGCTAACCCACCACTTGTCTGCATACCTCATTCTTCTTGGACATGAGACAAGAACTCAGGATCTGCAGAATGGCGGGACTGAAAGAGCTGTAACACAAACAGGACTGAAACATGCCCCCTACTTGCCACGTTGCAGGCAATGAGAAGGAGAGAAGAGCTGTGGTCCTTCTGGGAGCCTAGACCTTGGGGCTCCCCATGCCAGGGCTGTGGCGTGATGTAACACCATCTTTGGGGCTGTTCACTCCCTGAAGTCTCTGAGCTTTCGGGCACCACTGCATTCCCCTGGTCCAGATGCTTGTGCCCACAGTGGAAGCCCCTTGAGATACACCTGGTTCAGCCTTGCATGGAGTGGCACCTGGAGCTGCCTGTCCCACCACAGCAGCTGAAGTGCCTGGCTGGGCCCAGTGGCTGGACCCTGCACTCGCCCACTGATACACCCCTCACCACTCCCCACCTGGTTCACCCTTGGCGGGTATGGGATCTAGGCCAATAGCATGAGCTGAGTGGGCAGAATGAGCCCAGTGGAAGCAAGCAAAACCCAAGCAGAGGTACTACCAGCCACAGAAGTTTCTGGCTGGCAAAGTGACACTGTAAAGATCCCATGACAGTGTTACTAGTCTACATCCCCACCAGCAGTCTAAAAGTGTTCCACTTTCACCATGTATGTGCTAACACTATTGTATTTTTATTTTTTTGATTATGGCCATTCTTTCAGGAGGGAGGTTGTATCACATTGTGGTTTTGATTGGCATTTCCTTGATCATTAGTAATGTTGAGAATTTTACATATATTTGTTGCCCATTTGTATATCTTCTTTGAGAATTGCCTGTTCATGTCCTTAGCCCACTTATTGATGGTATTTTTTTTTTTTTCTTGCTGATTTGGGTTCCTTGTAGATTCTTGATATTAGTCCTTTGTCGGATGCACAGTTTGTGAAGATTCTCTTCCTCTCTGTGGGTTGTCTGTTTACTGGCCGATTATTTCTTTTTCTGTAGAGAAATTTTTTAACTTAATTAAGTCCCATCTATTTATCTTTGTTTTTGTTGCATTTGCTTTTAGGTTCTTGGTCATGAAGTTTTTGCCTAAGCCAATGTCTAGAGGATTTTTCCCATGTTATCTTCTAGGATTTTTATGGTTTCAGGACTTAGATTTAAGTCTTTGATCTATCTTGAGTTGATTTTTGTTTAAGGTGAGAGATGAGGATCCAGTCTCATTCTTCTACTTGTGGCTTGCCAATTATCCCAGTACCGTTTGTTGAATTGGGTGTCCTTTCCCCACTTTACGTTTTTGTTTGCTTTGTCAAAGATCAGTTGGCTGTAAGTATTTGGCTTTGTTTCTGAGTTCTCTATTTTGTTCCATTGGACTGTGTGTCTATTTAATCCATGCTGTTTTGTTGACTATAGCCTTATAGTATAGTTTGAAGTTGGGTAATGTGTTGCCTCCAGATGTGTTCTCTCTGCTTAGTATTGCTTTGGCTATGAGGGCTCTTTTGTGGTCCCATATGAATTTTAGAATTATTTTTTCTAATTCTGTGAAGAATTATGGTGTTATTTTGATGAGAATTGCATTGAATTTGTAGACTGCTTTTGGCAGTATGGTCAAAACCTAACCACCTTTGATATATTTCATTTTAATGTACCCATGTATGTTCTATCTCCCTAATTTAAAAATTATTTTTCTTTTTTTTTCTTTGAGACAAAGTCTTGCTCTGCTGTCCCGGCTGTGGGCCAGGAGTTCAGTGGCGTGATCTCATCTCATTGTCACCTCTGCTTCCCAGGTTCAAGTGATTCTCCTACCTCAGCCTCCCAAGAGCTGGGATTATAGGCATGCGCCACCAGGCCCAGCTAATTTTTTTTGTATTCTTAATAGAGATGGGGTTTCGCCATGTTGCCCAGGCTGGTCTCGAACTCCTGACTTCAGGTGATCCACCTACCTCGGCCTGCCAAAGTGTTGGGATTACAGGTGTGAGCCACCACACCCAGCCAGCCTAATTTATACATTCAATGAGGGAAAGAACAATGTTACTTGCCTCACAGTTCTTCTACAGCACCTGAATATAAGTAGCTATTCAGTCAATAACAGTAAAATGGATGAATGAAAACCAGGATAAGTATGTATTCCAGATGTCATCACTCCATTTAAAAGAAGATGAGAAATACACCCACATTTGTTTGATATTTCTAAAGACACAGAAATTTGGACTTCAATCCAGTGTTATATCTATTGTAATAGATTGTCTTTCTTAGACCTTTATAATTATTTTGTAAAGAAGCTGGCCCAGCACTTTGGGAGGCCGAGGCAGGAGGATCACGAGGTCAGGAGATCGAGACCATCCTGGCTAACACAGTGAAACCCCGTCTCTACTAAAAATACAAAAAATTAGCGGGTGTGGTGGCGGGCACCTGTAGTCCCAGCTACTCTGGAGGCTGAGGCAGGAGAATGGCGTGAACCCGGGAGGCGGAGCTTGCAGTGAGCCAAGATTGCACCACTGCAGTCCAGCCTGGGCAACAGAGCGCAACTCTGTCTCAAAAAAAAAAAAAAAAAAAAAAAAAAAAAAAAAAAAAGCTGGCCCCTTAAATTAACTAAGGTCTAACTGCACATTTAAAATAACCTGTAACACTCACTGTTCTTTTTTTTCAGTCATTTAAATTTTCTCATTTGATTTATGCTGAGGGAAACTACCAAGGGAGTAAAAACTAATATATCTTTTGGCACATTTAAAGGGTAATTCAATTAATGATTTCATAGATCCAGTTCTCTGTGTTCTGTCATATGTAGAAAAAGCTATGACAATTAACTGGATTCAGTCCATGTACCATGGGAATTCTAATGGCTATGTGGAATACTAAATTAGATGTGTGCTTATTTCCAGTTAACCATAACACTGGATATGCAGTTTTTGTTCTAATTTTAAACAGCCAAGTTATGCATACATCTCAGCATATTTTATGATCCTTGAGTCACAAGAGTAATTTTTATTAAGGAATACCTATATGTGACTTCTTAGCACATACTGGCTTTCTCTCTAATTTGACTTTCATTCATGATAAAACATTTACTGGTCATAAGAAAAATTTGATAAGTAAGGTGAATTATTCATATTTCTAATATTATTCTCCTTTTTCTAATCAGAATATCTTTCCTTCATCAAATCATACATAAAATATGAATAAAAATATTGTAGCTGTACTTCCAATGGCTAATTTGTCTTCTATTGGTTATGTTATATATTTGAATTTTTCATGAATAGCTGTATCATTTTTAAGTATAATTTCACCTATGTATTTAGAAAACAAAGATTAAATGAACCTCTTTCATAAAAACTTCTGAGTTATCAAAGGAAGAATTACTGGTGATATAGATATATCAGTATTCAAGTTGTTTCATAAATAATATAATGCCTGTTTTTTCAGAATTTGCCTTTCAAAACAAACCTGCATATATCCAAATAAAATTAAAATCTTGGTTTATTAAGATATTATCTTTAAATTTTACATATCCAATACTTATTAGGTTAATAAAGATCTCTTAAAATAATTAAAATAAACAGTCATAAGAAAAAATTTTGGTATGGTAAGAAAAAATTGTACAGGACAACCGTTTTAGCATTGATCGCCCTAGTATTTGCATCATAGAAATTAAACATTTTATACTATCTGGAAAAAATCACAGAAAAGCTACAGGGCTACAATAACCAAAACAGCATGGTACTGATACAAGAGCAGACATATAGACCAATGGAGCAGAATTGGGAACTCAGAAATAAGAATGCACATCTATAACTACCTGATCTTCAACAAACTTGACAAAAATAAGCAATGGGAAAAGGATTCCCTATTCAATAAATGGTGCTGGGATAACTGGCTAGCCATATGCAGAAGACTGAAAGTGGACCCCTTCCTTATACTGTATACAAAAATTAACTCAAGATGGATGAAAGACTTATATGTAAATCCCAAAAGTATAAAAACCCTGGAAGGCAACCTAGATAATATCATTCAGGACATAGACATGGGCAAAGATTTCATGATGAAGATGCCAAAAGCAATTGCAACAAAAGGAAAAATTGACGGGGTATAATTAAACTAAAGAGCTTCTAGCACAGCAAAATAAACTATCAACAGAGTAATAAAACAACCTACAGAATGGAAGAAAATGTTTGCAAACTATGCATTTGATAAAGGTCTAATATCTAGCATCTCTAAGAAACTTAAACAAATTTACAAGAAAAAAACCAACCCCATTAAAAAGTGGGCAAAGAACATGAACAGACACTTCTCAAAAGAGGACATACATGTGGCCAACAATCATTTGATAAAAAGCTCAATATCACTGATCATTAGGGAAATGCAAATCGAAACCACAATGAGATACCCATCTCACATCAGTGAGAATGACTATTATTAAAAAGTCAAAAACAACAGACCCTGGCTAGGTTGTGGAGAAAAAGGAACACTGTTACACTGTTGGTGGCAGTGTATATTAGTTCAGCCATTGTGGAAGACTGTGTGGGGATTCTTCAAAACCTAAAGACAGAAATACCAATCAACTCAGCAATCCCATTACTGGGTATATACCCAAAGGAATGTAAATCATTCTAGTATAAAGACACATTCATTTGTATGTTCACTGCAGCACTATTCACAATAGCAAAGACATGGATTCAACCTAAATGTCCATCAATGATAGACTGGATAAAGAAAATGTGGTACATGTTCACCACGGAATACTATGTAGCCATAAAAAAGAATGATGTCATGTCCTCTGCAGGGACATAGATGGATCTGGTGGCCATTATCCTTAGCAAACTAACTTAGGAACAGACAACCAATTATTGCATGTTCTCACTTATAAGTTGGAGTTAAATGATGAGAATACATGGACACATACAGGGGAACAACACACACTGGGAACTATCAAAGGGTGGAGGGTGGGAGGTGGAGAGGATCAGGAAAAATAACTAATAGGTACTAGGCTTAATACCTGGGTGATGAAATAATCTGTACACACACAGACACACAAACCCTCTGACTCAGGTTTACCTGTGTAACAAACCAGTACTTGTACCCCTGAATTTAAAAGTTTTTTAAAAATAAGAATTTTTTTTTGGCATTAGACTGAACTCATTGATAATTGCTCTTACAATCTTAGCAAAATTATTAGCAGCCCAAGAAACATCAAAGATCATTTAAACAAAGAGGATTATCATAAAAATAACTTGTACCTAACCAGCAATGTTTCAAATTCTGTTGCATGTGAAGAATTCTGAGATACCAAGAGTACTAAAAATAATGATTTAAAGAGGAGATTTGCTCTGATTAAGCCTTCATCTTCATTCCAAGGGCAGGAAATTTTTCATGTCCACAATACTAAAGCAGAGAGAAGACATGTTAGTGTTGGTGAGCTGTAAATTTGCAATGAAGGGATCTATGTGAATAAATACACTAATCTGAATTAGTCATGTATGTTTTAATATCACATTTGATTCAGATTAATTATTATCTGATCATTATTGTTTTAATGTTGTATTAGACTCAGATTCAATATTATCTCCTCCTTAGGTTCTACTTCAAAATACTGTGATGATGTTACCTTTCAAAGAGTTTTTTCTCTTATTGCTCATTTGTATACTATCTATGACACATATTTTCTTATAAGCACATTAAGTTGTATGTTAATTTATGATGCTTTCTAAGCTATTCTACATAAGTAGATTCCGGTTCCCTAGACTTATTGAAATATTTGTAAGTATGTTCAATTATTTGCATGTTTGAAAAATACTAACAGTCTATTTCTAGTGTTGTACAATAAATATTATTATTATTTCTATTATTACTATTATTACTTGAGATGGGGTCTTGCTGTATTGCTCAGGCTGGTCTTGAACGTCTGTGTTCAAATGATCCTCCTGCCTCAGCCTCCTGAGGAGGTGTGATTACATGCATGCACTACCACACTCGACTAAATATTATTAAATTGAATAACTAAAATCAAAGGTTTTTAAACGAATATACAGAAATACCATTTTCTTCTTGAATAACTTTAAGACAACTTACAGAAATATTGTTTGTTTTTCTTATCAATATGTGATGATTATCCAAGCAAGTTGGAAACCACTTAGAGAAAAATATAGGTGTGCATATTTTCACAAAGGTGAATACTATTTTAAAACTAGGCACATTACTCTTTTGACCATACATTTAGCATAAAAAAGCACAATTTTACATTATACCTAGAATGTAATATTTCCCTGTGATTAATGTTTTTCTCTTGCTTTCTAGAATTGCATGCATTTCTTAAAAATACAGTCGAGTTGTTTTTATAAATTCTTGAAATGATTTGAATAAAGAAAAATATATAACAAACTCAATTCTTGTCTTTAATGTAATCCATTCTAATTAATATATACTGAATATGTTATTTGTTCTTTTTAAAACGATGTTCACTAATAGTTATATACATTTATGTTAAGGTGATGTAAATTACAATAACACTATGAAATGCACTTGATGTCTTGCAATAGTCTCCCTACTGGTGTCCCTCCCTTGCTTCTGCCTTTGTACCCCTTTCAGTCTATTCTCAGCTCTGAAGCAAAGGTCATTCACTTAAAATATGATCTGAGAAGACTGCTTGTACCTCCGATCAGAACTCTCCAGTGGCCTCTCATCCTTTTCAAAGTCCTCCTTGATATTATAAAGCTCTATATTAGTGCTGTCTAATATAGACAATGGCAATGGGAGCCACCTATGCAATGTTAAATTTTCTAAGAGCCATACTGAAAAAGAAACAGAATAAAGGTCAAATTAATTGTAATAACATAATGCAAGCCAATATATTTACAGTGGTATAATTTCAACACGTAGTCAATATAAAAAAAAATAATAGCCAGGTGGCGCGGTGGCTCGCACCTGTAATCCCAGCACTTTGGGAGGCCGAGGAGGGTGGATCATGAGGTCAAGAGATAGAGACCATCCTGGTCAACATGGTCAAAGCCTGTCGCTACTAAAAATACAAAAATTAGCTGGGCATGGTGGCACGTGACTGTAGTCCCAGCTACTCGGGAGGCTGAGGCAGGAGAATAGCTTGAACCGGAGAGGTGGAGGTTGCAGTAAGCCAAGATCGTGCCACTGCACTATAGCCTGGCAACAGAGTGAGACTCCGCCTCATAATAATAATAATAGCCATAATATGGAATCAACCTAAGTGTTCACCAGTGCATGAATGGATAAAGAAAATGTGAGACACGTACACAATGGAATGTTATTCAGCCATAAAAGAGAATGAAATCTTATTATTTGCAGCAATATAGACGAAACCAGAGGACACTGAGTGAAATAAGTCAGGCGGTAAAAGACAATGTTCTCACTTATATTTGGGAGCTGAAAAAACTGATCTCATGGAGGAAGAATAGAATGGTGGTTACCAGAGGCTGGAAAGGATATTGAGCAGGGAAAAATGAAGAGAGATTGGTTAATGGGTACAAAATTGCAGTTAGATAGGAGGAATAAGACGTAGTGATTGGTAGCACAAGAGGGCAACTATAGTTAACAATAACTTACTGTATATGTCAAAATAGCTATAAGACTTAGAATGTTCCCAATATGGTTTAGCTGTGTCCCTACTCAAATCTCATCTTGAATTGTAGCTACCATAATTCCCATGTGTCATGGAAGGGGATTGGTGGGAGGTAACTGAATCATGGGAGTGGGTCTTTCCAGTGCTGTTCTTGTGATACTGAGTAAGTCTCATAACATCTGATGCTTTTTTAAAGGGAATTCCCGTGCACACACTCTCTTGCCTGCCACCATGTAAGACATGACTTTGCTCCTCATTTGCCTTCAGCAATGATTGTAAGGCTTCCCCCCACCCATGTGGAACTGTGAGTTGATTACATCTTTTTCTTTTATAAATGACCAGTCTACGGTATGCCTTTATTAGCAACGTGAGAACAGACTCGTACAGTTCTCAACACAAAGAAATGATAACTGTTTGAAGTGAGGGATATCCCAGTTACCCAGATTTGAGGATTACACACTTTTGCTTGCATTAGAATGTAGCATGGATCCCTTAAATACATACAACTAATACATATCCATATAAATTAAAAATAAGTAACAAAATTAGTGAGATATAGTTAGTGAGATATTTTATATCCTTTATTTTTTGTTCTAAGAGTTCAAAACCTGTTGTGTACTTTACACTTACAGCATATCTCAAATAAGCCACTAGATTTGTATTGGGAAAGCCTCTTCTGCATTTAGATTTTATATAATGTACAACCGAATAAACAGATTCACATACTCAATTTGTTCCAAAACTACTTAAAAGTTTTCCAATAACTAAATCGAGCATCACATTTTAAATTTAAGTTAATTAAAGTAAAAAGAAATCAAAATTTCAGTTGCTCAGTTGTACCGGCAGCATTTCCAGTGCTCCATAGCCATATGTAACAAGTGGCTGCCGGACTGGACAGCACATCTCTATAACATCTGGCAGCTTGTTAACTTCATGGCCTCATCTTCCCCTCCTCTCTGACCCTTGCTTATTCAGCTTCAGCAACATTAGCCTCTGCGCTGCCTCTTGAATTTCCTAGAATTGCTCTTGCTTGAATAATCTGCCCTTGTTCCCTCTGCCTGGAATGTACTTTTCCTACATTTGCAGCAGGTCCCTCTCTTACCATATTTTCTTTATCTACCTAAAATTTCACCCACAAGCATATATGTCTGATATGGATTAAATTGTTTAGCAAAATTTCACTCCAAAAGACCTCCAAATAGAAGGCTAGTGTATTACCCTGATGAACTGATGTTTGGCTTAGCCACATGACATTTTTGGATGTGATGTGAACAAACACTTTAAATATGTCTTTGTTGTCGGGCTTGTTTTCTTGTGCTTCTGCCATCACCATAAGATGATATCCTCTCTGTACTTATTGCCTCTTCAGCCTGGTTATATGTGTTACTGGATCCATACCAATGAGTCAAGCACTGCTGTTTGAAGCCAAGCTCCTTATTCAAACCTGGCTTTGATCAGCAGTTTCCAACGTGATAATTATCGTATGACACTGTGTTTTTGGGTGTTTATGATGCATAATTATTATGGCAAGCTGACTGATGTGTCTCACTGCACTGTTTTACTTTTTTCTTCCTTAGACTTTCTCACTGTTTCCCACATTATTTTTCTACTTTATTTTTTAAAGTCATTGGTTTCTCTTGCCAATGTCCATGAAAGCAGGGGTGTTTGTTTGCTTTATTCAATTCTATACACTAAAATCCTAGAAGAGGGCTTGGTGTGTACCATACGGCTGATTCATATTGTTGAAAAAATTTAATTACAACCCTAACCTCAGTATGCCTTAATTCATAGATATGTCTCTTTCACTTTACAAAATGGGAAATTGAAACTTGGTAATTTAAATGAATTAACCAATGTTTTAGGATTAGATCCATATGAACAGTGTGAGGCTGAGATCACATCATACTGAGCTGTTACAGACTTCACTGAGTTTTTTTTTTGTCTTGAATATCCTGAAAGATACACTAAGACCTTGTGGCAGATGACTTGCTGTCCCCTCACGCTGTGGAAATTCTGTACTTGTCCTATCCATGAGGTGTCTTCTCTGTTAAACCCAGAAAGCTCACTGAATGCTTGTGTCCTCCCTAAATTGCTATGTTAAATTCCTAACCCTCAAAGTAATGGTATTTGGAAGTAGGGCCTTTGGGGAGCAATTAGGTTTAAGTGACGTTATGAGGGTGAAACACCTGTGATGGGATTACTGCCCTTATAAAAAGAGAAAGGGACACCAGATTTGTGTGTGTGTGTGTGTGTGTGTGTGTGTGTGTGTGTATGTGTGTGTGCGCACCAAGTAAAGGCCATGCCAGTACATAACCAAAAAGAGGGCCCTTACCAGTCACCCAACCGTGCTAGCATCCTAATCTCCAACTTATAGCCCCTAGATTTAGAGAAATAAATGTTTGTTGTTTAACCCACCCTATCTGTGCTATTTTAGTACAGCAGCTTGAACTAAGATATTCATTGTCCCAGTGAGAACTGGGATTCCCAGGGCAAGGTCTTCATTCCAGAGAAAGGACAGAAAGCAAGGGTAAGATTCAAGTAGACTTTAGTATTTCTGACTGTTAAACAGACGCCAACAGGCAGTGATAAATCCAGTTACAAAATATGTTTTTATTTATTTGTTTGCTGTTTGTTCACTTCTAAGGCTTATCATCTCAAGGATTGAATATTTCCTAAAGTTCCTTAAAAATTTTCTTACCATTATCTCTGAAATACATTTTAACAAGATCTGATCTGAATCAAATAACACCTGTCAGAGAGACAATAATGTTATAAAACGAGGACAATCGACAGTATCTATACACATGAAGAATGTGGTATTTCACATTTTCCCAGGGGGCTCACATAAAGTTTGGGTTAAAAATCTACAGCTTAACAATAAAAGACTCTTCACCTTTCTTTTTTAATGGTCTGTTCTTTTTATCTTCTGGATGAAGAGATATGCTTTCCATTTTTCTCAGTTGCTGTCCTTGAAATTACCATACTGGACATAAAACCTAAATAGTTGCAGGCAGTAGAACCAATTTATGTCTGCAAATGAGCCATCTTCTTTAAAGTTTCATTGGCTTAAATGTACTATGGTGAGTGTAAAAGTCAGGGTCATAAGACAAGATTTTAATCACAGATATAAAATGTGTGTCTGCTATGACCAAGGAATTTTTCTAATTTCTAAGTGTTTACTGAAATAAGCTTCTTTATATGTTTAAATTATGTTCACATCTTATTTACCTCATCCTATACATCTAACCAATCATGCTAGTAAAATCACTTTATATATAGAGAATGTACATCCACTGTTATATTCAGAGAATTTGAGATAAGAATTACTCAATAAAGCACACATCTATTAATTATATGGACAGCATGTAAATAAGTAACATGATTCTGTGTTATGGGATTATTTAATGTAACCATAACCTTAGAATGTATCTGATACTGCTAACTCTCTCTTTTATACTACAGGAGAAAATGCATTTACAAATCACCATTATGTCTAAGGAGAATTAAAGGCAGGTGCAGCAAGCTCAAATAGAAAAAAAAAGTAAATGAAAATTTCTAATATTTCTTAGCATGCATTGTTAGTATGTAACTGTTAAATTAAATTTATACATAAAATAATTAAGTCTAATTAATAGTTACTATGTAATGATTACCTAGTCACAAAACTTAATGATATTCTAATTGTAATCAAACATACTATGTAACCAGTGCTTACTGCATTAAACTGTATATCACATGCCTGTTTTCTCCTTTGTTTTAGAAATTGGAAGTTTAGTTCAATTCCTGCTTCTTAGTAAAGTAACGCCTCGGAAATGTTGAAAATGAACTGGAAGAATGCCAAGAAATCTGTTTAAGCTGAAACACAAAAGAGGTTTTGAGCAAAAAAAGGCTTAATTTTCTAACACCTTAAGTTTAGTGCTATTACAGTAAATGCGGCTTCTATCAAATTATAAATGGTTTGACTCTTTTCTACTCACTCTTAGCAGTATTACCCTGTAGGTGCTTG
Source organism: Homo sapiens (assembly GCF_000001405.40). Classification (NCBI taxonomy): domain Eukaryota; kingdom Metazoa; phylum Chordata; class Mammalia; order Primates; family Hominidae; genus Homo; species Homo sapiens. The sequence goes on along the minus strand of NC_000021.9, from coordinate 21,385,452 downwards.
GTTCAGGTGGTATAAGACTGTTCTGGTAATTGTGTGTGTGTATGTGTGTGTGCGTGTGTGTGTGTGTGTGTGTGTGTGTGTTTAACATTGTGTAATGTCTTTGTAATTTTTTGTCTCCATACAACTTTGATGGCCATGATGCATAACAAAAGTATTCTGAGCTTTATTAATAGGTAAATATTTAATTACGACAATAGCTTTTTGTGGCCTTTCACATAAGGTACTAAGAGTTTTATTACTATTATGAATTTGTTGCGAAATAAAATATCTAATAACAAACCAGGCTTCAACTGCCAAAAAATATACTTATTAGACAACTTCCACATATATCATGGGCATTTGATTGCAATATACAACTAAAAATGTGTCATAATCTTCACATAAAGGGAATTAAGATTTAATAAATAGTGGTGGCATAAACGTAAAAAAAAACAAGTTTCAACTTTCATAATACAATCATACAGGCTTAAAAGGAGTGTAACTAAAAGAGAGGACAGGCTAAATTTTAAATTACAATCATGGTTACATATTCCAAATGGTTATCTAACCCAATACCCCACTAAATGTAGACATATATCTCGTGATATTTTTTCTATTTCTATTACAAAAAATAAAACCTGAACTGTAGCAACTAATGAAATTAATATTAAGAATTATATTACTTTCTACTTAAGTATTCATCAATCTTTCACTAGCATATTTATATAATTTACCATAAGTGAATTTTCTATCATCGTGTTCATCTACTTTAAACATTATTTACATGATTTGGTCTTTCAATTAATTATAGGTCACTTAGAAGGTAATAATCTTGTATCTACAATAGTGAAGAGGTTAGGCAAATATATGAGCAAGTCAGTATCATGCTAAAGTTAAAAATTTATTCTTATATGTAGCAAAAGTTTGGAAACGTGAGGTAGATTTCCAATATATTTGGTATTTTCCTGGAATTCATGAGTAACTTTAATTGTGAAAAATAATAAATTTTCAGGAATGTATGTAAAGAAATACTATAAGAATCTAGATTAATCAAAAAGGAAACTAGACTGCTAGAGACTCACAAGTAATTTATAACAAACATGTAAGACATTAATAACCAGTCTAAAAATGGCATTCATCAAGCATAGGTTAGATCCATAAGAAAAAAAACTTTCAATAGAAATAAAAAATAAAATAAAATATGTAAATATAATCCATGACAAAATTTGAGAATTTGTTTAGTGATCTTAAAGATTTTCTTTTGCTTTATGTGAAATTCATTCTATATGAGTAGAAATAACGTTTTATAGTTAAAGGATACTATTTAAGACTTTAAACATATAACTCTAAATTCAGCTAAAGTTATAATATCTTTCAAATTAAAATTTAAAATACTTATATATCTACCAGTAAACTTATTACAGTTTTCATGAAGATAGTTTTTGTCTCTATGTAAACATGTCAACAAACACCAGGCTAATGAAGAAAATATTAAACAAAATTGACTGTCCAAAGGACTGATACACTGACAGAAAGAAAAGATACTTAAACACTTTTTTAAATTTTGTAGTTTAAACAATCTTACATTACAAAAATAATGTTTTTGAGAATATATGATGTAAAATACTCTAAACAATGTGAAAAATAAATTTTAAAAAAGAAAAATAATAAAAATACTGCTGAAAACTGAAACTAAAACACGTAGGTTATTGGTTCCAGACACTAGACATACCAAATATATTAATGCTTTAAAGTTGTACTAGAAGTAGAATATATAAAGATTTTTCATTATATAATGGCAGCTGAAACCCAAGATAGTACATCTTCACTACTAATAAGAATTTAGAACTCTGAAAATAATATGAAATAAATTTCAAAAACAACTATCCAAGGGTTCTCAAGAGGAAAAAAATCAGGAAGATTGTGATGGGAAATGAAAACTAGCTTCCATTTTTTTTCTTTGTTTTTCTCTCAAGGCTTTTCCCAGGGGACGGGCCCTAGTTGAAGAGGTTCAAAGTGATCGTGGTAACTAAAACTTGTCCAGAAGGACAGAGGTATCTTGGAAAAAAGCATACATAATGTTGGAGAGTGTGAGGGTAATCTCAGCTAGGAGTCAGAGAAGGGTATGTCAAAATTCTGTGTAAAAACCCACAGAAATTTTAGCCTATGCCCTAGCTCTGCACGCACAAACCAGCACAGCAAAAGCTTTGAGAAATCACTTGAGGTTTGAGTCACTGCTGACAGGATGGAACACAAAACTTAGAGGTGATTAACTCCTTGAAAAATAAAATCCCCACATATTTATCTAAAGATACAGAGAATGCACAACATAATATTTACAATATCCAGGACACAATTCAGTATTTTTTGACAACCAGTACAGTGAGGTGAATTGTAAAGGAACAATACAACAAACACATGCAAATACTAAAATGACCTAGATGTTAAATTTATCAGATAGTAGATTTTAGAGCAACTATTTTAGAGCAGCTTTGCTTATCATTTATGAGGTGAAGAAAATGTATATATTCTAAAATAGATAAAATGAAATGGATGAAACTATAGGACTTCTCAGTAAAAAGACAGAAAGAATAAAATGGAGCAAATTGAAATTTTAGAACTTAAAAAAAAAAAATACTATTTGGGCCAGTCGCAGTGGCTCCCGCCTGTAATCCTAGCTCTTTGGGAGGCCGAGACAGACAGATCACGAGGTCAGGAGTCTGAGACCAGCTTGGCCAACATGGCGAAACCCCGTCTCTACTAAAAATACAAAAAACAAAACAAAACAAAATTAGCCTCGCATGGTGGCACGCACCTGTAATCCCAGCTACTCAGAAGGTTGGGGCAGGAGAATCGCTTGAACCCAGGAGGTGAAGGTTGCGGTGAGCGGAGATCACACCATTGCACTCCAGCCTGGGCGACAAAGCAAGACTCCATCTCAAAAAAAAAAAAAAAATCCCTGAAATAAAACAAAAACTTTCACTATTGGCTCACCAGCAGAAACGAGATGATGGGGTAAAGAGTCAGTTGACTTGAAGAGGAAACAAGAGAACATTACCTAATTGGAAGGGCAGTGAGAAATGAGATAGATAAAACTGAAAAGTATATCATGAGCCTGTGAAACAATTTCAAAGGGTATAACATATGTGTAAGTAAAGTTCCAGAGATTAGTAAGAGATTACACACACAAAAAAATTGCAGAAATAGTGGCCAGAAAGAAATAGTGGCTCAAGCATATTGACAAATATAAATCCCCACATTCCAGAAGCTCAGTACACTCCAAATAAGAAAATTCAAAGAAAACAATACTTAGACTTATCCTAATCAAATTGATAAATAACAAAGGTAAAGAAAATAGCTTTAAAGCAGTTAGATAAAATGATATATGGCATATGAGGGAACAATGGGTCAATTTATATGGCTTTCTCTTTGAAAACAGAGGAGACTAGAAGATAGTGAAACCCCATGCTTAAAGAAATGTCAATGTAGAATTCTCAAGAGCAAAGAAAAACAATCCTTCAGAAATAGGAAGGAAGAGGTGTAGTGGACATTTGATGAAAGATAAATTAATGGAATTTATCTCTGGAAAATCTGCTCTACAAGAAATGGAGAAGAAACTTCTTCAGATGAAAAAAAATTGGGATCTTCAAAAATGAAGGAAGAATAAAGAAACCACATATAGATGAATACATATAAAATATTTTTTTAGTTCTTTAAAATATGCGTAACTACTTAAAAGAAAAAATATCTTAATTCCTGATGGGATTTTTAATGATTTGAGATGTAATGCATGATGTCAAAAAGATAATTAGATAAGGTGTGTGTAAGGAATCCAAATGGTTGCAATGTTTCACATTTTATGTAAAGTGTCAAAATATGAACTCAAGTCTATTTCAAGGAAACTTTGAAAATGTAGGTTTGTATTTTAAAATTCCTATAGAATCGCTTAAAACAAAACAAAATGAAACAAAACAAAAACCAAAAATATTGCCAATATATAAATTAAAATCAAATACTAAAACTTCGAATAACTCAATAGAAGGCAGAAAAATGGGCATAGAATGTGAAAAAAACATAGGAAAAAAAACAGAATATAAATAAAAATTGTAGGCCTAATTGAAATAGTAACAACAATGGCATTAAACTTAATAGCCTAAACCAGTGGATGGCAAATTATAGCCCATGGGCAAAGTCTTGCCCAAGGGCTTCTTTTATATGTGACTCAGAGATGAGGATGGTCTTTACATTTTTCATGGTTTACAAGAGAAAAAAAAATATGGCAGAGACTGTATGTAGCCCAGAAAAAGTAAAATATTTATTCCCTGACCCTGTTAATTACTGACTGCTTGTTAAACACTCCAATTATAAGGAGATTTACAGTCAATGAGAAAGCAATATTCTATCATATGCTGCCTAAAAAGACACATTTTAATTTCACATAAAAATGCAGACAGGTTAAAAGTAAATGAATGGAAAGTGTTATACAAACAAAAAGCATAAGAGGGCTAGCGTAGATATTTGATTATTAGCTAAGATATGTCAAGTGAGAGATCAGCAGAGAAAAAGAGAGGTATTTAATTCTGATGAAAGGGGATATTCATAAAGACACAAACGGGAGGGAGAATAACGACCTCCCAAAGATACTGACACCTTTACCTTCGGAAACTGCAAACACATTACCAGCTGCGACCAAGGTAAAGATGTTGACATGAGAAAGTTATCTTGAATTATCCAAGTGGATGCAATTAATTGCAAGGAAAGTTTGAGACAGAGATGGACTTGTGAAGAAGAAAAAAGAGTCAGAGTGATATGATGTGAGAAAGACTAGATCTGCCATTGCAGGCTCTGAGAAAGGAAGGAATCCATGAGGCAAGGAATGTGGGCAGCCTCAGAGAAGCTGAAAAAAAAAACAAGAAAACAGAATCCTTCTGGAGCTTCCACAAGGGAACACAGCCCGACCCACACATGATTTTAGCCCAGTGAGAATCATTTCAGACCTCTGACTTCCAAAATGGTTAAGACAATAAATTTGTTTTATTATACAACTAAGTCTTTTGTAATTGATTACAGCAGCAACAGGAAAGTAACACAACACACAAAGTATAAATGTTTATGTGTCTCATTGTAAGCCTCAAAATACATAATGCAAAGAAAAGAGAGAAAAAATAGTTCACAGTCATGGTAGAAGATTTTAATACCTCTTAATGTGATCAAACAGCTATAATAAAAATTCAGTAAGGATAGAAGTTTTAAACAATACTGTGATGGTTAATACTGAAGGTCAACTTGACTGGATTGAAGGATGCAAAGTATTGCTCTTGGGTGTATCTGCCAGGGTGTTGCCAAAGGAGATTAACATTTGAGTCAGTGGACTGGAAAAGGCAGACCCACCCTTAATCTGGGTGGGCACCATCTAATCAGCTGCCAACATGGCCAGAATATAAAGCAGGCAGAAAAACGTGAAAAGACTAGACTGGCCTAGCCGCCCAGCCTACATCTTTCTTCCATGCTGGATGCCTCCTGTCCTCGAACATTGGACAAGTTCTTCAGCTATGGGACTCGGACTGGGTTTCTTGGTCCTCAGGCTGCAGATGGCTTATTGTGGCACCTTGTGATGGAGTGAGTTAATACTCTTTAATAAACTCATATATATATATACATATATATCTTATTCTGTCCCTCTAAGGAATCCTGATGAGTGCAAATACCATAATTTACCTTGATCTAACTGACATTAAAACACAATAACAACTACAGAATATATGTGCTTTTCAAGTAAAATCGTCTATTCACCAAAATAGTTAATATGGTGGGATATAAATAAAATCTTTATACATATAAAAATAAAAAATACAGGGTTTTCTGAGCACAACTGAACTAAATTAGAAATCAATAACAGCAAAATATCAAGGAAAAATCCAAATATCTGAAAGTTAAACAGATTCTTGTACATAACTATGAGCCAAAGTTGAAATCAAATGGAAAATTATATTTTTAGCTGAATCACAACAAAAATGCAACATACTACAATATTGGGGGGTTCCGTTAAAGCACTGCTTAGTGAAAATCTGGAGTTATGTGATTCTATTAGAAAATAAGAATTATCTAAAATACATATACTAAGATTCCACCTAAAAAATCTACAACTAAGTGCATGGTGAATTCAAAATACATAGAAGAAAGGAAATAATGAAGATAAAGCCAGAATCATCAAACTGGAAAACAGACATATTATAGAAAATATGAATTAACAAAATGGAAAGCTAACACTCTGAAAAGATCAACAACTTTGTCAAACTCTTAGCTAGAAAAAGAAAAGTCCTTTCTATTAACTAGTGCTTGATCAACTAGAAATAAACATGGAAAAATAATGAACACCTACTCCACAAAAATGAACTCAAAATTAATAACAGCCCTAAGGTAAAACCAAAATCTACAAAACTTTAAAAAGAAAGCTTAGACATAAATTGTCATGGCCTTAAATTAGGTAATATTTTTTCAGAAAAAACACGAACCGTATAACATGTAAAAGTCCAGTTTGATAAATTTAATAAACTAGACGACAGCAAAATTATAATTCTTTGCTTTTGAAAAATTTACCTGAAGAAATCAAACAAAAATGTTTATTCCAGAGAATAGTATTTATATATCCACACAATCTGCAAAAATCTTTGCAGAAGTTTTTTGTCATAGTAGTCAATAACTAAAAACACGTAAAATGTCCATCAATAGGTACTAGATAAACAAACTCTGTTATATCTGTAGGATGTAATAACAGGAACAAGTAGTATAAATTATTGATGCACACATATACATGCGAATGTATGCCAGCTGTGAAAGCTCAGCAGAGACAATTCAAATAATGTGAGAAAATATTTGCAAACCACACATCTGATAGAGGGTTAATATTCAAAATATACAAATAACTCAAGCAAATCAATATCAAGAAAACAACCTGATTTTAAAATGGGCAAATTATCTTTAATTGATATTTCTCAAAAGAAGACATACAAATGGCCAACAAGTACCTAAAAAAGTGCTCAGCATCACTAATCATTAGGGGAATGCAAATTAAAACCAGAGTGAAAAATCACTTCATTAGAATGGCTTTATTCAAAGAGATGAACAATAACAAGTACTGAAGAGGAAGTAGATAAAAAGGAACACTTGTTGGGAATGTAAATTGGCATGGCCATCATAGAAAGTGGTATAAAAGTTCCTCCCAAAAAGAAAATGAGAGCCACCTTATAATTCAGGAATCCTTTGTCTGGGTTTATACCCAAAGGAAAAAAAAAAAAGTCTGTACCTGGTAGAGGTATCTGCAGTCCCATGTTCATGACAGTATTATTCACAACAGCCTAGATATGGAATCAACCTAAATGTCCACCAATGAATGAAAGGATAAAGGAAATGTGGTATAGATACACAGTGGAATACTATTGAGCATTTAAAAAATGATAAATCTTGTCATTTGCACAACATGGATGAATCTAGAGGACACTGGTGTTCAGTTAAATAAGCCAAACACAAAAAGACAACTACCTCATAATCTTCCTTAACTGTGGAAGCTTATAAAGTTTAACTCACAGAAACAGAGTAAAATGATGTCAGCAGAGGCTGGGGTGGGTGCATGGGAAGGAAGGAAATGGGGAGTTATTGATCAAAGGGTAGACAGGCAGATAGACAGGAGAAATAGGTTTTGAGAGTTATTGCATAGCTGGATCACTACAGTCAATAATGTGCTTTTCAAAGTAACTAAGAGTAAATTTTAAATGTCTCACCATAAAAAAGGTAGGTGAGGTAATGGACATGTTAATGAGCTTAACTGAATCATTTAACACTATATACATATAACAAAAATTACATTGTACCCCATAAATGGATACAATTATTGTTGGCCAATCAAAAATAATACTAATGATAAATTTTTAAAAGCATCACATTTGTACACCTTAAATATATACAATTTTTATTTGTCAACTATAACTAAATAAAAGTAAATAAGTACATTTCAAAGATAATAAAGTAAATTAAAAATAATACTGCATGACTCTATGTATATACATTCTTACATGTAAATGTAAACTAAATTGTAGTGATCAAAAGTAGATAAATGGATGCCTAGGGATAGTTGTAAAAAGGAGGGATAGATTTTAAAGTGACTTGAGAAAATTCTTGAGGGTGATGTAAATGTTTATCTTGATGATTATTATAGATTTAGTGGTGTATACATAGGTCAAAACTCATATTTTACATTATATATGGGCTTTTATTGTACTTAAATATATTTGAATAATGTCTTAACAAGAGATGATATTTATTTTTCTAATTATCCCCACTCAAGTAGAATAAATTTGAATGTTTCATTTTGGAAAAAAAGGAAAAATGATCAAGTGTTATAAGAGCCATTCAACTCATTTTCAACAATATTTGCAGAAAAATAATCAATGCTTAGGGAAAACAAAAAGTAGTTATATTTACATGAAAGTTTAATAGTAAGAAAATTTTTTTCAATGTATATTAATCTAGCTACCCTCTAATCAAGATGGCGGCAATAATAATCTCAGGGGATACTCAAATAATTCTCAAAACATCCTTTTAGAAAACAAGACCTTTCATCCCTGTTTAAATAAGATAAACTAAACTACATAATTTTCTGGTGAGCTTAAGTCTGCACATTTACCTTGGAATAATTAAGCAGAAACATAAACCAATATTTAAACTTATAAAGAAGGAATGCAATGTGATCAAAAGCAACTTGTACTTTGTTAGAAATCAGTCCTTGAAAAATAAAGTACCCAATGTACTTTTTTCGTATTAAAGTTATTAATTCATGGTATTAATAGATTACAAGAGCAAATAATTCAAATTGCAATATACAGTTGTTTGTTTATCCCATTATTTTCTACCCAGCTAAAACCAATAACTAAAAATCTCATGTAATTATGTATTAGCATTTTACATTAATTTGATATTTTATTCATTCTCACTTTGAAATCTGAATACATGCTGCGGTTTAATTTAAACTCCTGTTGATGGTAGACTTCTAATAAAGGAGGAGCTATGTTTTATTCATCTTTGTGTCCATTATCACTCAGCACAAAACCTGAAGCTTAAGGTGGACCTAGTATGGTTTTTAAAACTATTTTCAGTGAGGTTTTACAACATAAACATATATGAATTATAATCTTAATTTCGGTTTTCATTTGTTTCACACAAATACCTATGCTGTCATGCATGGACAATAATTCAGAAATCCCAGGGCATCTCTGGAGAATGTGGATACGCTTGAATAAAAGTATCTTTAAATGCTTGAGTATAAATAGGTCCCAACAGTCTCTTCTTTAAACCCTCTTATCTTATAACTAAGGAAATTGAGGACTCAGGGACACATAACACACTATTAATTAACATATTAGCTAGTCCTATTATTCTAATACTAGCATATCTTGTACGAGCCACTCTGCCTTACTGTGCTTTGGAAATATCCATAGTGTTCATTTCTCATAAACTCCACTTTTCTGAGGACCTGCAACAGACATTTAGTACTAATCCTATGATACAGCAAATGTTTTAAAATATTAATGAAATGCAAAGAATAAAAGTCCTAAATATAGTTTCATTAAGATAATATGTTGCCTAGCAGCCTAGCACTTTTGTAGGACAGTGGAAGAGGCCAGGAGGTCTCATATAAATCATATCTTGGCATGCTTAAGTTTTTTTTTTCTTCATTTAGATTCACATTTAGAAAAATTAAAAAAAATCATAAAGTAAATTTTGGTTTAAATAAACAAATTTTAATTAAAAATATAACAAATGTACTGTAAAAGTGTAAAGTATTTATAATTTGCTAATGATGTTGTTGGTCTGAAAAAGAAATATACTGTAATAATGGAAAAAAGTAGAAAAAATTATTAAGGGAAAAAGGTTAAGTAAGTTATTGGCATCACTTCCTCCTTTGTGTGTTCTCAATATTATCAATGCTTTCCATTTTTATTTTTTTAGAAAGTGTGATGGAAATAAAGTGGCTTTCTTAGAAGCTGCCTAATATCAGCAAATGAAGTCAGTAATTTGTGTCAGAATCAAGTTGCCTTTTATTGTTGACTGCCTTTCATAATCCTTTTTTCTTTTTTTTTCTTTTAGTTACGAAGTTTAGTAAATTCCAACAACTGTATGAATAGTTTTAAAAAGGTTGTTACAGATCCAGGAATTGTATAGTTTAACAAATATATCAGTGGGTGTTTTTTTTTTTGTTTTTGTTTTTGTTTTCTTTTTATCCTATTATGGGAATTTCTTTCCTTTTTATTATTATTATACTTTAAGTTTTAGGGTACATGTGCACAATGTGCAGGTTAGTTACATATGTATACATGTGCCATGCTGGTGTGCTGCACCCAGTAACTCCTCATTTAGCATTAGGTATATCTCCTAATGCTATCCCTCCCCTCTCCCCCAACCCCACAACAGTCCTTTTTTCTTTTAGAAGTTTCTGATTGGTCTTTCCATGAATTTCTTGACAAGCACAGTCTATAAAATGTAAAATAATATGGATAACTTATGTCTATTCTTGAGAAAATATTTTCTTTTTGAAGGCATTCTCGATAAGAGAATGCATCTTGTTTCACAGTTACCATTGCATTCTATCAATATTAATGTACTAGACATGCTCCAATAGAAATATTTTGTCAATAAGAATATCTCATACATTCCACTAAGAACAGCTATGTCCTTTCAAGCATCAGAGACTCTCCAATATTGATGCTTCATAAATATTTATTGAGAATGATGTTAAGTTTCTTCCTTTTTAAATAGCATGTATACCAAATTATTTTTAAATTCCATGCAGTGACCAGAGGGGTTTTGTGAAAGCTTGACTTACATTAGCCCTCCCATTTCCCAAAACTCACGTGGTTATGTACATTTTTAAATTTATTTTAAAAACTATCCTTGTCATGCTCCTTTCTTCCAGACAGAAAATAAACACTATTTTGATAAGACAGCATATTAGTACATTTCACTGCATTTAAAATACTCTTTATAGTTTATGAAAATGTAAAATAGCCTAACAAAACAATTTGAATAAGAAATGTAAACACTACATATTTGAGACATAATCATAAATATTATAAAGAAATAAAAAATCTAAAGTGATATCGACCAATTACTGATAATTAATATTTTTCAGTTGATACTGTGTTTTGAGTTCAATGTTGCAAAAAAAGAAAGACCATTTTCAGGAAAAGCAATATCAAAATGATGAAATATACAGCACTGTGAAATATCCTGTAATTTCCACTAGATGTCTCCAATAACTGACTGAATGATTCCTATATTTCCTCTAAAGCTATGCATTAAGTACTGAAATGTGAACTACATATATATTTTGGTCTTTATTGAAAAATCATATGTTTCAAAGCATGCAAAGTTATTTTAATGAAAATACAAAGGAAAGTAACTTACATTCAATATCAAGGTACATGCTCTTTTGATGCCCTCCAATTCTGCTTGCAGCTTCACAGTCATATCTCCCTGAATCTGACAACTTCACATCTTTAATATGCAGTGATGAGCTTCCATGCTGCCCTTTGACTTCGATACGGCCGTCCAGGCTCTGTTTACATCGATTCAGGAAAAAGAAAGATTTTATGCTTGTGTGTGCAAAATGGTGACCAAACATATAACATTATGTTACTTCCCATGTTTCTCTGGCAAAAAGAAAAAAGAAACTGTTCCTGATGTAGAAAGTATTTCTTGTATAGCTAAGAATAAGTTTTTTTTAAAAAGCACACTTTTTACATTCTCATAGCTTCATGAAGGTTTCCTGTACCCTGGCTGTATAATGATAAAAAGCATTTCAATGACTCCAAACAAAACCCAATCACTCAGCCTGATGTTTAAAGATCTCTCATGTGGTATCACCTTTCTGTCCAAGCACACTTTACAATTTGGATACCGTCAATTCCAATTATTTTGAATTACTTGTACTCTCCACAATATCCTGTGCTTTGAATAAACACTCTTCACAGACGTGTTTTACACTTTTCCCCTTTTTTTCTCTCTATATTTACATGGCAACATCCTACTTTCTATCCTTTAAGTTACTGGCAAAATTTCATATTGTATTAAAAATAGTTCCTGATTGCCTAAATAATTATGACTTATTTGAACTACATAATTTTCTTGGAATAAGTTGCTTTTACTAAAGTCTTGCTGGAACTTCAGATTTCATCCCATAGTGTGATAGTATAGTTGAACAAATGTAAGAAAATATTTATGGTACTTCACGTAAAAGTCACTTAAATTTCTAGGACAGAAACAGTATATTCTAATATTTTTAGAAAGCAAATTATGTTATAGTGAAATTTACATGCAGTTGAGTAAAGAAAATGTACTCCTTCAGCTATTATTTACTATGAGTTAAGCACTTGTACTTAATTAACTTTATTGGAATATAACAACAAAATACATTATTAATAATGCAAAGCAAATTATTCATTTTTATAAAGGAAACGTAATTATTTCACAGTATTGAAAAGTAAATTTTAAAGTTACATGATCTTCGCTTGAAAATAAACATGTTCTCTTGTAATTACCTGTTATACATGACATGGCTTTGACTTGTGAAAAACTATTGGTGTATATAGATGTTATTAGTAAAAATGTTTGCATTTAAAAGTTATTATCAATATACCTGAAATTATTAACATAAATTCTGGAAAAACAGACACTGTGCCCAAGTGTGTGATTCCTAGGAAAGTTAGAAGCCATTCTCAGGTTCATCACTGGCTCTGTAATGATGCACAATATGCATTTGAGTCAAATACTTGCACTAAAAGTCCAAGGTCATTTTCTATTTTCGTTTCTGACATTCTAAAGGACATGTCTCTTTGTGCTACAGAAACGCATTACAAATATCTGAAAGAAAATTCATTTATATCTTGGCTCTGATTCAACACCTACTAAAGATTCATTTAAGACATCTGATATTTGATTGAGACAGGTTAATGAGCATTTTTGCTGTCTATCTAGTATTTCCAGGTTCTATCACTGAATTAAGTAAGATGATTAGAAAACAAAGTGTCTGACTGTACATTATTATTCCATCCTTTACAAAAACGCACTCTCTGAAATTTGATTTGATGTTATGTTCTTTGCCCTTCTAGAAGGTCAGTTTAAGAATTGCTTATTTAAATGGTATTTCAATATTTTTATAATATGGTTATTTTTAGAGTTTATTGTCCTTTCAAAAATCCCTTAATCAAATATCCATGTGATAACCACTTCTTGAGTTTATTTGCAACTAAAAGTTTTTGTTGACAATTTTAATTGTCAAACAATTGAAATTATATAATGTGTCATTATTTATAGGTTATTTTTTGTGGCCTCACCTGACTAGACGTTTATTGTCAAATTTAGAATCCAATTAGAGTTCACAGCACATTTGAGGTGGCCAGTATTCCAAAACTTTCTATTCTTTCTACTGTGTCATGGAACACTTTTAGAGTCATTAAATCCTTTGGCCTTTTGGGAGATTGATGGATCATCTCACTTAACCATTCAACAATTATTTTGTGTCAGAGCGTGTGTGTGTGTGTGTGTGTGTGTGTGCACGCGCATTTATTTTACAATAAGCAACCAGGCACTGCGATGCAGTGCTGAGCAAACTGTAATAGTTTCTACCCTTGGTGGCATTAAAGTTAAACAAACAAGATAGATACTAATTTTACAGTACAATTCAAATAAATGTGAAAAGCACCAGGTAGGCAAACTATATCTTTCTAGGAGTAAGTGGAGGAATGGGGTAGGTATGTTTCCTGACAAACCAAAGTGTGGATTGTGATCTGTAAATAGTGAAAGAAGGGTGGTGTTGAGGGAAGAATTCCAGGCAGATGCCCTAAGAGGACATAAGAAAGATATGAGAGAAGCAAGAATACGCACAGAAGACAGTGGGGTCATGTGGTTCTCCTGATGATGGACAGGTAAATAGGGACCATAGGCAGAATGCAAGATCAATGCAGATACACAAAAGAATATGCACCCCATTGTGGATGCCTTCTATAGGTATTCTGTTTGCCTCATTCCTAATGGCATTATTTCTCTATCGAGTAAGTAAACTCAACTTCAAATACTCTGAGGTAAAGACAATGCATAACTGCTAAATATGTAGACAGAAAAACCAACACTCTCCAAAGGTTATTAGAATTAATTTATCCAAACTACCTTCTCAAAACTGTTTTAATGTATCAAATCCACCAGTTTCTACAGTCATACTAAGAATTTTAAACAGAAATACTGTTTTCCCTCCCTGTAAGTTTCTTCTCTTTACTATTAGCAATAATGTTCTTTCCTCTGGATTTGCTCCTAGCTTTCTAATCTTCCTCTTATTTCAATTTCATGAGCTGACCTCTTGTATAATTACCATTTCACCCAGCAGTGTAAATGATGTCAGAAAGATAAATACATGCAATCAAAGTTCTTCACTTAGGTAGTTTTCTTATTAGGTCCTCCTGTCTTTCTCTTTTCTTTGATAATAAAATAAAAAATTTATTCAACAAATAGGAATTGAATGTAATAATTATAAAAGGCAATACATACATATGATAAATTATACTTGTTAGACAACATCCAAAAAGCTTTACATTTACTAGTGTATTTAATCTCCATGACATCACTATGAGGCTGAGGCTAGTATTTCCATTTTAAGATGAGGAAATTGAAAAATATTCAATAACTAGCCCACATCCCACAGCTTATAAGCTTTAGCAGCTGAATGACCAGGTTGTCTAGCCCTGGAGTTCATGTTTGATTATTTTTGATATATGATTTACCACCTGAGTAGCAACTATGAGTTTGAACTATGTATGTACCGCAGCTATGTAATAGACACTTTGCTGGGTTCTGGGGCTAGAAAAATGCATTCACTCAAATTGAAAAGTGGGCATTTTTACCTACTAAATGTGTTTATTTCATTAGTGATTTTTCTAATTTTTGTTTTTAAAATATGTTATTCAATTTTAAATGAGGATTTCAAACACCAAAACATGCCAATAAGATGTTTGAAACATTTGATGGCATGTACAATATTTGGTTTCAAAAATTAGACACAAAACATTTATTTTTGATGCTTTAATGGGAATAAATTAGCACGTTTACTTTTACATATAAAAAAAGAAAAATGGGTAAGAAAGCAAAGCCCTTGGTCTCTCAGGTCATAAGGATCAGAGGAAAAAATGACAAATTATAATGCATGCTGATATAGATGACATTCAGAAAGGAAACCTAATTTGGTAGACAAAGGTGAGGAAGAGTTTCTCGTAGGTATTTATGCCAAAACGGAAGGACAAGTCAAAATGATAAGTCAGGAACTGTACTGGCTATGTAATTTTAGGGGGCAATTGCAAAATTTAATGTGGGAGTTTCTATTTAAAAACTATTAAAATGCCAAGATGACGATGACTGCAGCATATTAGCTCAAACTTGGGGTCGTTAAAGAGTGCAGAATCTGTGCAGTTGCATGAGTTGTACCCCTACAAAGTCAGCCCTCACCAATAAAAAAGTAAGAAAAGTAGGAAAAAAATGGTAACTGTGTGGGCTTGAACTTGAGGAAAAAAAAAGCTGTGTTGAAAGAGTTTAAAGGGGCTCACTGGAACTATCAAATTAAATATGAGGTTGAAGGGGTAAGATATGAAAGAGTTAGAGAAATAAACAAGACTACAATAAGAAGTACCCAAGCAAAAGAAAGACCAATAAGATCATGAGAAGATGCTGAAACTCACTAGCCATCAAGGACATTTAAATCAAAATCATGATACCACTTAGCATTCATTGGAGTGGCTACCATGAAAAAGTCAGATAGTAACACATGTTGGCCAGGATGTGAAGAAATTGGCACCCTCATGCCCTGTGAGTGGGAATGTAAAATGGTGCAGATGTTTTGTATAAAATGTTTGACAGTTCCTCCAAATGTTAAACAGAGAATTGTAATTACATTCCAAAGAGAAATGAAGATATATGTCCACACAAAAACTTGTACATAAATGCTAATGACAGCATTATTAATAATGTCAAAAAGTGAAAACAACTGAAATGCCTATTTACTGGTGCATGGATTGAAAAAAACAAGTGGTATAAACATACAAAGGAATATTATTTGGCCAAAGAAAAACCAAAATGAAGTACTCACACATGCTTCAACATGGATGAATCATGAAAATGTTACAGTAAGAGGAAAAAGCTGATAACAAAGGACTAGTATTGAATAATTCAATTTCTTTGAAATTTCCAGAATAGGCAAATCTATAGATACAAAAAAGTAGAATAATGTTTGCTTAGGGCAGGCAAGGGGAATGGGAGGTGGTGGTGAGGAGATTGGGGGGTGATGACCAAAAGAAGTGATCAAATGATCCAAAATTGATTGTGTTTATGATTGCACAACTCTAGGAAAAAAGGCTTTTAATTGCACAGTTTAATGGGTGAATTGTTTGCTATGTGACTTATACATAAATAACACTGTGAAAAGGTAAATATCAGTTGAAGGTTATTGGGTGTTTTACGAACAATTGGAAATGGACAGGATAGGTTTTAGGCAGAGGAATAAAGTAGATGCACTTGTGATTTAAAAAGATCACTCACACTGCAGGAAAAAAAGTAAATTAGAGAGGGTGCTATGGTCTGAATGTTTGGGTCCCCTCAAAGTTCATATGTTGAAATCCTAAGCCCCACTGTGCTGGTATTTTTGGAGGTTGGGCCTTTGGGAGTTGATTAGATCATGATGGTAAAGCCCTTGTTATTAGAATTAGTGCCCAATAAAAGAGCCCACAGAAAGCTAGCTAGTCCCATGCACCATATAAGAACACAAGAAGAAAACAGCATCTTTGACAAAGTGAGCCCTCAGCACACCTCAAATCCATCCTGCTAGCACCTTGATTTTGGACTTCCCAGTCTCTAGAACTGTGAGAAATAAATTTCTGTTGTTTATAAGCCACTTTACAGTATTTTGTTATAGCAGCGTGAACAGACTAAGATGGTGGGGGAGGGAGAACAACTGGAAATACATTATTACACTGATGACATGCTGGGAAAGGTAATGGTAGTGAAAATGGAAAAGAGTGAGTGGATTCCAGAAATATATTAAGGTGGAAGTGAAAGTGTTTTTAGTAAATGACCAAATGAGAAAGTGTTGATGAAAGAAAAGAGAAAAGAAATATTTCTTGCATTCTGTCACAGACCCTTTAGGTATAAAATGTTATCTACATTAGTAGATTGTTACCTCTACATAAAATTATACTATGGCTGTATACATTTATATTTTAAAATAAGTACCCATATTTTAATACATGTATAAAGTCTATTCCGTATTTCATATTCAATACTTTAAAAATAATATTTAAAATTAAAATATTATGATAATAAAGCTTTAAGTAGAATAAACCTTTTAGAGATTATTATTTTTAAATTTAAAACATGAGACTAGAGACTAGGTGGGTTCCAACAGACAGTTGTCAAAATGCTGGTTTTCAAAACATGACCTGAGTATTTATATTATTGCACAGGCATCCTACCTACTTTAATGTAATATAATAGTTAGGACCATAAATTGCAGAACCAGAATGGATAGGCTTATATCCTGGCTGTGGCACCTATAATCTCTAAAGCCTGAGATTAACTACTTTACTTAGTGGTACCTCAGTTTGCTTTTCTGTATAATGGGTATGATAAGAATACAGATTTCAAAGGATACCTATGCAGATTAAATGAGTGAATATTTGGAGTTTAGCATCTGTAAAGTACATAATAAATTGGCTAAAGCTACTGATATGCAGATCTAAGCAATAAATATGAGTTTCATACACCCATCTATTTCATTGTGATTTCCAAAAGCATTCTACATATATTCCATCTCAAAGTAAAATAATAACTTTCCCATACTCTATTTAATTGACAGTTTATTTTGCTGCTAGACTTTTCTCTTGATCCCATGAACCACGTGCAAATAATTTATAGTATTTTTCCATGGCCAATACATAATATATTTAGTAAAAGACAAAATACAATTAGGACAAATAACTACTATAGGAGGAGACAACTGCTATAATAAATAATAAAACATTTCACATAACTCCTTGTCAAGGTACATTATCAGGATGATGGTGAATATAAAAGCCCAGATTTCACCAGCATGTAATATATCGATGTAACAAAACTTTAGTTGTACCCCCTAAATCTATAAAAAAAATCACCAATAGATAAAGAAGCCAAGAAGATAGTCAGATCTAAAATGTACATCTTGTAAAATTTACTTTCATGTCACAAAACTATGAAAACCGCAAAGAGAAATCTGAAAGAATGAGCCAAATTATATTATGAAGCTCTTCCTTTTAAAAATGCGTTATAATATGGTCAGAGATATGGTGATAATGTATGCCACATAATTGAATTCACCCTGTGAACAGCGATACCATGTTATTAAACCACACTGCTCTCAAGTCATACAACTAGTCATTAGTAAGTATTGACTGCATTGTTTCAAGGTTTTGAGGGAGTCATACATCATATGGATCAACTATTTTAAAATCGAAAATTTAAAATGTTTTGGTATCTAATACAAAGTCAAAATTCCCTACTGGAAAACAGATAAAGTGTGATACTTAAAACGTGTGAATTGGAAGGGAAAAGTATTGATAACTATTGAAGCTGGGTGACATATACATGGGATTTGATGACACTATTCTCTAGTACTTGTCTTCTTGTAAAATTACATTTTGTATTTTATCATGGAAATTTTCAAACATCACACCCCAGATGGGATTTTCCCTGCAGGCTGTTTCCTGAATTAAGAGAATATGTGGAGCAGATCAGAAACCAGACTCAGGTCTAGAGCATGCTGCTATAGCATACTTAAAAGAGACCTACAGACTTTTGTATTGAAAGCTACTGAGATTTTGATGACATTTTACTGAAGAATTATGACAGCACAAGTGGACTAATGCACTCATTTAGTGCTGGTTGCTTTAATCCACATCTGGTGAGAATTAAATAAGATTAGGCAGGCTCCATGCTAGGTACATGATAAATATTGTTAAAATCAGTGATATAATTAGTACCCAGTGCCTAAGCAGTATAGTTAATCTAGTTCAAATTACAGACAAATGAGAGGTTGTTTTTTTAAGCAAGAAGCACAATATCCTACAGGAGATGCTACAATATCATATGATATGCTTGTAACAATATGTGACGTATAATAACTATTAAACAAATGTTAACTATAGTCATTGCGCTTGTCCTTTAGTATGTTTTTACGTAAATCTCCCAAAGTGGAAAAATACAGTAAATACACTATGAAGAAACTCAGAATATTTTGGGAACATTCTTCTCTATGCTTCTTGCTCTATCTACCAGAACAAATAAAAGTCCCATTCTGAGCCTTTGTCCACCCCATACTCACAGCATGGAAAAGACACAGTTCAGGTCAAAGGATATATTCACCTTTTTTCCTGCCTAAAACGGGAAACAGTACAAAGCTTTTTCAAAGAACTAAATATATCAATCGAGACAGCAATCCCACTACTGGGTACCTACTCCCCCAAAAGGAAATCATAGCACTTAACCTTTGGATAGATTATGGTGCTATGTCTTGATTTTGCTAGTCATTTTCTGCAGTATCCACTATGCTACTAATCCCGTCCAAGGTCATTTTCAGTATTGAAAATGTTGTTTTTTCAATATATACAATTTTTATTTGAGCTGTTTTATATCATCGGCATCTCTCCTTGTTGTGCTTGTGCTTTTCTGTATCTTCTAAATACATATGCAGGGCCCATTAAAACAATTGATCGGGTAGTGTTCTCGCCTACTACCATCATGTATGTCATCGATGGTATGTTTCTATTGATACTGTTTCTGTTTTTTCTTATTATGGGTTATTTTTTTCACCTTGCATATGCCACGATTTTTTTAATTTTATGCCAGACATTGTAACTGATATATTTTGAGTGCTATATGTTTTGTATTCCTTTATGTATGTCCAGTCTCTCTTCTGAGACATTAAGTTACTTGAAAACAATTTTATTCCTTTGAGGTTTGCTTTGAAGCTTTGTTAGGTGAGTTGGGAACAACTTTTAGTTTAGGGCTATTTTGGCCACACAACCAAAGCAACAGTTCTAGCATTCCAATGATTCTTTCCAAGGCCTTGCATTGTTTTTACACACACACACACACACACACACACACACACACGCACTAAGCAATAATTAGCTCAAATCTCCAACGGAAAGCACTGAAGATCTCCGGAGGTATTTCTCTGTGTGTGTGTGAAATTCTGTCATCTCCACAGGGCTCTGCCCTTTCAGCTACCCCACTGTGCGAATTCCAGCACACGTTGTCACCCAAACTCAGAACACTGTCTCCTAACAGGGAAAACAATTGAAGCATTCATCCCTGTGCTCCCGCCTGAAATCTCTCTCCAGGCAGTAGGCTTGAGCAATAATGGAGCTTACATCACATGCTTCTCTTCTCTTGGGGATCAATGTGCTGCCCATCACATTGTACATTTTGTTTTGTTGTTGCTGAGGATTTTTAAGTTCATTGTGCAAATCAGGCCCCACTTCATCCATTATGGAAGTTCTAAAAAGTATTTTAAATTGTCACTAGTTCCATAGTTAATGTCAGTGACATCTAGTGACCACATTTTGTCACCAATATGAGATTTCTTATGTTATAGAACACATCCTTATTCAAAGTATTAATTTTATTGGACTGATACCATAAAATTAAAAGTATCTGGCAATATATACATATATAGATGTATGTGTATATGTATATGTACATATTTATGTATACGTATACATATACATGTATATACATGTGTATATATGTATATATACAGGCTACACATACATTTTCTTTTTAAACAATCACATTATGCTAAATACATGTTAACATACCTATGTCATTAGATGTATAAGAAATCTTATATAGTCTATATGTATAATTACTGTTGTATGTGCTGATATTATTATAGCAAATATATGTTTTATTTTGAATATGGAGACATGCTGAATGATTCATATGCATTATTTGTCATGATGCCTTATAACTACACATTGGGTGAGAAGTTCAAGAAGGGTAAAATATATCTATATTGTGAGCTTTGAATGATCCTCAGGCTGTCTTGTTAACTCATGTATAATTGATAACAGATTTATATTTAAATAAATATGCCTATATTTATTGGAAATATTTTATACAGAACATGAAAGAAACATCAAAATACTAAAAAAATTAAAATCTGAAAACCGCAATTTCATCAAATTATTTTTGTTATAGAGACATAGAAACAACCTATCTCTAAGAGATGAGTGGCTAAAAACTAAAAGTGTGGAAAACAAATAGATGAACTCCACTGAGTTGCTTTTCAGTTTTGATTTTGCTTTTTGTTGTCTTAGTGTAAAGCAACCCTCCATGAAGAACAGGTAATTTATACAAACACTCTATATACAAATCAAGCTTTTTGTGATTGTTAGAAGCCTTCAATTAAAAGAGAAGAAACTCTTCAGAGAGGATCTAACAGAAGTTATTAAGATAAAATAATGTATAGGAGAAACAGAGTTGGAAATGTTGATAAAATGTTACGCTTTTTAAGCAAAATCAGGAGTCTTATCAAAACACCTTCCCAGTGTGGGATAAAATATACAATGCTGCAACAACCATAAACCATTGATAGAGTATGGATTTTGTAAAAAAAATAATTAAAACAGTACCAGGAATAGTATATTTTCTATATGATACCTTTTCTATAAAAAATCAAAGAAAATCATGTGTCAGACTGTGATGAATCTTTAACGTATATCAATCACCAGATGATTAATAAAACACTATGGATATTTTCATTAAAGGTAAGTCTGGTGACAGGGGAGCTAAAGACCCACGAAGCAGAAATGGTCTAGAAAATTATATGTATCTTTGCTAAGATATAAAAATGATGAGAAACAGCCTTTTTCCAGCTTGTAATACTGTGTTGGGATATGCAGGTATGAAAAGTGTTGAGTATTTATAGTACAGGGAAAATTGAGGCAAATTGTATGAGTGGGTATTTAAAAAGTATTCTACCTAGTGGTAATATCTGCAATATGACAACTTATGATGCTGATCTAAACAAAGCTAGCCATGTTTCCAGTAACATAGAAAGAGGTAGTTATGTCACAATAAATCTCCAAAATGTTCTCTATAATACACACAATAAAAGCATGCAGTTTCATTGCTCTTTAATCTCTTGCTTCTATAAACTTGTGTATGATATGTTAATTATCACTTTCTCTATCATTTGGCCCCAAAAGAGATTCTAGTTTATAAACAAATTATTCACTAATCAATCAAAAATTACATCTATTTATTCATATGTTTATCAATGAATATGCTACTAAAAATTTAATATAAATTTGTGTTTTGTTTTAAATTTTGGTTCCAGTATTATCAAAGCTCTTGTCACTCTACTGGGTATAGTGAACTTCGGAATTAAATGCAAATATCCATATAGAAAATCAACTATAGTGTGTCATGTACATTGACTTTTCATTTTGTAAGTTGAATGACAGTGGACTGAACTTTATCCTTAGTTTTTATCTAAAGAATCCAACAATTAACCTAAACATATTCATAGTTATTACCTGTTAAAAATCAATAGTCTATCATATAGATTTCAGTTTGACAGTTCAAGCACTCTCTCAGAAAATACAAAAAATAATTAGAAACTTCAGTAAGCATATTAAAGTTTTGAAATAGTTTTTACTGAATTTAAGACTTGCAATTTGCAGTCTTCTAAATGGATAAATTACCACTGAAGAGTTTGCAATGCCCTAGGATTTATGGAGGAAACATGAAATTTCATTGATTCATTAATTGATCTTAAGAGTAGGATAAGCTGGGCATGGTGGCATGTGCCTGTAGTCCCAGCTACCCAGAAGGCTGAGGTGGGAGGATTGGTTGACCCAGGAGTTCAAGGCTTCCGTGAGCCTTGATTGCAGCACTGTACTCAGCCTGGGTGAAAGAGCAAGACCCTGTTTCAGGTTTAAAAAAAAAAAAAAGTAGAATATGAGGAAAAGCAGGTTGTCACAGCAAATGGAAAAGTGGTCTATCATGTAAAGCCATTAAATAAGAGCAGAGAATTCCAAATTATATGAGACTATTAAAGGCTTTTGAACAGAACATTTATATTATATGGCTTGTTTCAGGTGAATCAATCTAACCATTTTAATGAAAATAACAGGCACAAGGGTGGATGCATTAAGAACTCACTGTTGTGTTCAAACTCTGTTCAAATAAAGCAAACGCTGGTCTGTAACCCATCCAAAAAAAAAAAAGTTACTGAAATAACGCAGGCAAGTAACAATGGTTTCGGCCAAGGCAGTAACAGCTGGTTGTTGAAAAGTAATTGAATTATGGATATATTTAAAGTAGGGCTAATAAAATTTGCTAAAAATATGAATTTCTATAATCTGTGCTTCAATACCCCACAATGTACAATTTACCTATATAACAAACCTGTACGTGTATGTCTGAACCAAAAGTAACAGTTAAAAAATGTATTTCTAGCCAGAATAAAAATAAATAAAAGCCAAAGATGTTTTCAAGCATTTTCCTAAACAGAAAAAGACACCACTTAATGAGAATGGGATGATTGAGGGAGAAGCAAATCAAGGGGAAAAAGAAGTACAGTATTGAACTGAATATTTTAACTTTGAAAGATTTATTTAATATCCAAGTGAAGCTGTCTGGTAAGTCATTGGACATAGAAGACTGGAGTTCAGTAGAGAGGTCCACAGTTGAAATTTGGAGATTACAGAATCCAATTGATCATTAAAGCCGTAAGACTAGATGAAATCACCAAGGACTCAGCATCATTAGAGAAATCCAAGAAAAAATGGCAGACTAGGGTGCCCAATTATTTAGATGTCAATTAGAAGACAAAGAATGATCAAAAGAGATTGAGGAAGTGAACAGCATAGTAAGAAAAAAACCAAGAGAGTTCACTAGAAGCCAAAAAAAACATGGTACAAACAGAAGAGGTTGTTTAACTAGGTCAACCATTAGGTTTCATAAAGTGAAGGTTATTGGTAAGCTTGCCAGAGAGTTTCAGTGGAGTGGTAAAATCTAACTGGAGTATGTTCAAGAGATAATTGGAAGAACAGGCACACACATAAATATACACATACGTATGAAGGATGTGTATGTGTTTGTGTGTGTGTGTGTATCAAGAGAAATAAGAATAGCTTTAAAAGTTATGGTAATGATCAATGAGGTATGATTATATATAGGGAGATGAATTACTGGACTGATGTTAGAGTGGATGAAATCCAGACTCCACATGAAAACTCAGATATTTCATTCATGGTAACATACAGGTTCCACTGGGTATGTTTGCAGGTGTAGTAGTCAGGATTTATTAAGATTTTCTTCTGTTTCCAACTAATTAGTAAAAGAGGAAGTGAATCATCAGCTGAGCTTTTTGATGATAGAGGAGTTTTGTAAATTTGAGAATAGATAAAAATTTATGAAGTAGTTATCTAAAACAGTGGTCAAGAAAATGAACCAAGAAAAGGTAGGATGAGTTCTAGGCAGCAGAAAGAATTTACGTTATGTTCTGGAACATAATTTTAAATACAGACCACTTAAAATTACTGTGGGATTTTCTTCAGCTATATTCAGCTGTGCTACTGCATGTGGAGAAAGAGGAGAAAAGTAAATTAAACCATGACTTGTGTTTTGCCAGAAATGTTTCTTTAAGCGAAAAAAAAAAGACTGGCATATACATAATGCACTGATTATTGTAATAGACAGTAAAATATAAGTTGGTGATTGAAAGGAGTGAACAAGGTAAGCGCTATGAACCAGGGGTAAAATGGTAGGATTTATGCATACTAGAATTTTACTATTCGTACTTATTTGAAAGAGTATGAAATACATTATCTTATAAGTAGATATATTATTGTCAATCTAAAAATCATGTAACTTCTGAGAAAGAAAGACTTAGATAGTCAGACAAAAACTTTGTGGATTACAAAACAGAAGCATTGATGCTATCATAAGAGATAGATCATGACAATATAATATCATAGCGAAGAAAGATTCTTACCTAAGAGTTTTTCACCCTCTATAAACACAGCTACTAAACATACGGTTGATCTTATAAATGAATATGTTCATTGAATATATCTTTTTTAAATGTATTATGTCAATCCCTGAGTCAAGAGAAATGAATCCATTGCAACTTCTGTGTTAAGGCAATTTTTGTTATAATGGATTCCATCTTATTAATTAATTATTGTGAAAGCAGTATTATCTTACGCACTGGTTTTTGTTGCATGCTTAAGCTCAACAATGAAATTCATCAAATGTATTCTTTTGCTGCAATTTTTATTAAAATGTTTGCTCAGATATTTTCATAGATACTATACTTACTTGTATATAATTTATTCAAATTGTTTTTCTATATATTTTTAAAAATTGAACCAAAATGCATTGCTGTACATACATTCATTCAAATTTATTTAATCTTGTTGTTTAAACAATTTAACATTATTCACTAGAATACCACATACCTAACTCAAATTACATTACTAGAAATTTGTTGTTTTTGTTAAGTCTATTAATATTCACTGATATATTTAGACTTCTTTATAGTGATACGATTTTATATTTTCTTCAAGTGTAGTAGTCGACTACTTCATAAGCAGATGTAAATGCTAACTGAATTCTGTATGTAGAATATGGTATTTATAAGAAGAAAATAATATATGTTTTGCTGCAAAGCCTTATTAAAATCACTTTTAGTATATAAATAACATTTTCCCCCAAACAACTATCATAAAATTGTAAACTACTATCACATTATCTTATAAAACTGACGACAGTTTTTTTAAGTGAAAGGTCTTATTATAGACTTCAAAATAATAGTTCATTAGTAAATGATGCTTTTAAAAAGACATATTCAATTTAAAAATATTATCTAGAATTATTTCAAAAACAATTTTTAAAATGACATTTTCAACATATGACTAGACTTTTCTGAAAATCTTTATTCAAGCTGTGTACAGAAAAAGATTTCAGAAAGTTGTAAATGATTGAAAATCCACCTCTCAGCAAGCTCAGAAGCATCAAGGAAGATTTCTAACAGGCCTAATTATATTCTACCACCTACATCAGATGGGGAATAGAAGTATCCATTTTGCCTACTGCCCAGCAGGGACTTATATTATTGCTCTTGGGGCACTAGTATGAAAAAATGCATTAGGTAGATCTTTAAAATGTCATTCAAATAAAAAATCCTTCAGAAAAGTCCATTATCTCTGTTGAAAAAAGAAAAAAGAAAAACACACACACAGCGTGAAAATCTACAGGTGCCAGGAACTGGTGGTATGTTGTTCAGCATTCTTCTCTACAATCAGAAGTTGACTTTTGTTTTCAATTTAAAGACATTATCCAAATAACCTTGGCTTTCCTTACTAATTGATTTATATGGAAAGCTAAACAGAAGAAAATTGAAGAAACACTCCCTCACTATACAATGTTATTAGAAAATCATCAACTAAAAAGTTAGTAAATATCAAATTTATATGAATTAAAAACTATCTAAAAATTTGTAATATTTACCGAGCCAACTGGAAGACTTACAGAATAAGGGGATGTTGCAGATTGAAGGAAACTTATTTATAAATGGTAGACTTGTACCAGAAAAAGTTATAACAATTTACCTGCTATCACAGAGCAGATAAATCAGTGTTAAAACTACCACGTAATACTAGTTCATTAAGCTCTATTTTATATAAACTTGGAATGCCAAAACTATCATGATTAGGAAGACATGAGTCATATGAACTAATTTGTTTTATGTAACTTATTCTATATGTAGTTGTATTTAATATCAAAACCGTAATAATTTTTCTAAGTAACAAATGTTTCATGAAAGTGGATGTGCGTGTATTTTTGTATGTTGAGTGTATGTGTGTGTGTCTGTGATAGAATAAATAAAGTAATTTCAAAGACAGGATCTCTATAGGGCATATACACAAGAACCATTTCTGGACATTTTCAAAATGAAACTCTTTAATCCCCACTGAAAGTTAGTGTATCAAAAGATCTGAAAGGTAGGTGCAGTTATATCTTAGGGAGTGAGGCTCAGTCAGGTTTACTTGTATACAGCTCCTTATGTGATTCTTACGTACAAAAGTGAGTTAGTCCCACTACGCTGAATACTAACTCACAGATCTAAATCCTAAACAAGACAGAATATCAGGGAAATATAGATTATTTGAGATCCTCTACGGCAACATCACATCGAATGAAAATATTTTCTCTTAGACATTGATGATCTTGCAGATTACGCTAGAGAAATTCAAGGGAATAGACATTCTCTTGTTTGGAATGTAATGCATGCTATTATCTATAATCTCTGTTGCAAATTCTATGCGTTTTCGTAATTACAACCCTGTTGATGTACTACCATGCACAGTAAGTAAGCAATGTGTCTAGTTCGGCTGTATGTATGACTAAAATATCTGAACAAACATATTATTGTTCCTTCAATTATTTGCTAAAGTATTTTATTAAGTTTATTTATTTGATTTTTATATTAAACTTATCTCTTTGACATTTGTTCTTCGCTTTTTGTTCTGTATTATTTGTTTTTTTATTTGTCTTAGAATCAAACACTAAGAATTGTCTATAATTGCATCCCAGAATGCACCTTCAGGGTTTGGTAAAAAGGTAGAAATAAAATTCCTCATATAAGTAATAAAAATAAAGTTGTAAAAAATTTACCCAGAAGTATAACTACTCACAAGGATGTATAAAAAAAAGACTTACATACTGTCTTTCAATCTTAAAGACAATGCTATAAATATGCCACTTTTTTATATTTTAGTTTTTCATTTCACCAGAGCTTTTTTTAAAAGTGCAGATATTTGAAATGCTACAGGCTCCATATTTTAAATCAATAATTATGGATTTGTTGGTTTCCTTTTGGTGATTTCTATTTGAGGTGAAAAAAGGAAGTTCAAAATCTTAAAATGCCCCCTATAATATAAAGATGCTTCCAATTAAGTATACCGTTACACATTTTTTAAGTTTTGTATTTTTTATAATCAAAGTCTAAGTAATTTTTGTCAGCCTGAAACAAATTACGAGGAGATATTTTGGTGATAGAGTTTGCAAAATACACTGAAAAAGAGGACTGTGAGGCATACGCATTGAACGGGCCTGTGTAAGTGTAAAGAAATATGCCAAAGCTATATTTGTGACCTTGTGAAAGCCCACTTGTATACTCAAAACTGGTATTTTGTATATGAAAACTGCATATTTCAAAAGTGTATATTCATAAAAAATGACTACTAATTTTAAATGTAGTTTAGTTTCATCTCCCCTCTTAAATTGCATGGACCATGAAGCAAGAAACATTTATTTATTTATTTATTTATTTATTTATTTATTTATTGATGGAGTTTCGCTCTTGTTTCCCAGGCTGGAGTGCAATGGCGCGATCTTGGCTCCTGCAACCTCCGCCTCCGGGATTCAAGCGATTCTCCTGCCTCAGCCTTCGGAGTAGCTGGGATTACAGGCATGTGCCACCACGCCCTGCTAATTTTGTATTTTTAGTAGAGATGGGATTTCTCCATGTTGGCCACGTTTGTCTCGAACTCCCGACCTCAGATGATCCAGCCTCCTTGGCCTCCCAAAGTGCTGGGATTACAGGCGTGAGCCACTGTGCCTGGCGAAACTTATATTTTTAGCGCTACACTCCTTGTGTCTAGATTAGCACATGCCAATATAAAAGTCTTCATTATTTATTGATAGTTGTTAAGTGAATTGGGGTTAGTAATAAAGGAAATGTTAGTTACATAAATTACTATGACTGATTAAGTCACTGCTTATATTTTATAAAATTTATTTTCCAGAAGTTACATTTTCTTAAGAATAAAAAAAGAAACAAAAAATATAATGTAATCTTCACATTTTATAAATAAAAATAATCTAAGAATTTTGTATTGTGAAAAGTTCACTCCATTGTTTTCTGTCTTCCAATAAACCTGGCTTAAATAAATAATTTTTAAAATATAAAGTTTGCTTAAATCCACAGTAGGAACCGCGAACCATAAATGACAATATTAAATTGCAATAAAATATTTGTAAGTATATAATAAAGAATAATATAACTGAGAATAAAACAATAATATAATAATGAATGCAGCAGTGTTGTAAGAAATATTTACGTGGTGAGATATTTAAATTGTTATAAGTTTAAAAGCATCATATTTTATTCATGTAGTTGTATTTAAGGAACTGCCTATCTTTATTCCTGAGAGAAATTCCTTTTGAATTGGTACTTTAGTCTGCAAAATATTTTAAGTATGTATTCTTCAGATCATTGTGTCTAAATTCGTGGAGGAAATACTATTTCTACACTACGGAAACAGCAAGGACCACTTTGGTAAAACTACAATTTATGTGTATTTGTGTGTGTTGATGCGAAATTAATTGTTAAAGGTGACTATCCCTACTTTGAATTAAAATTAAGGCCGGGAGCAGTGGTTCACGCCTGTGATCCCAGTACTTTGGGAGGCCGAGGTGGGTGGATCACCTGAGGTCAGGAGTTCAAGACCAGCCTGGCCAACATGCTGGTCTCTACTAAACATACAAAAATTAACCAGGCGTGGTGGCACGCGCCTGTAGTCCCAGCTACTCCGGAGGCTATGTCAGGAGAATCATTTGAACTCGGGAGGCAGAGGTTGCAGTGAGCCGAGGTCGTGCCACTGCGCTCCAGCCTGGGTGACAGAGCGAGACTCCGCCTTAAATAATAATAATAATAATAACAGCAATAAAATTCAAATAAATAATCTTTTTCCTTCCTTCCTTCCTTCCTTCTTTCCTCCGTCCCTCCCTCTCTCCCTCCCTCCCTCCTCCCTCTCTCCCTCCCTTATTTCTTTTCTTTCTTTCTCTCCTTTTTTTTTTTTTTTTGAGACATAGTCTCAGTCTGTCACTGTCACTCAGGCTGGAGTGCAGTGGCAGGACCTCGGCTCCCTGCAACCTCTGCTTCCTGGGTTCAAGTGATTCTCCTGCCTCAGCCCCCTGCAACCCCCTTTTCCCGGCCCCGTCCCGAGTAGCTGGAACTACAGGTGCACACCACCAGGCTCGGCTAATTTTTTGTATTTTTTGGAGAGATGGGTTTTTGCCATGTTGGCCAGGCTGGGCTTGAACTCCTGGCCTCATGCGATCCATGTGCCTAAGCCTCCCAAAGTGCTGGAATTACAGGCTTGAGCCACCATGCCCGGTCACGAAATAATCTTAAATTTCAGTTTTAATACATCTATTTATTGGAAGGAAGAGAAGGTAAAACTGGACTCACAGTACAAAAATTAAAGTTGAATCAGTTTATTTTATTTAACACAGAAAGACACATTTTCTCAATAAATGCAAAATCACAAAAAATACTACTATTTTGATTACAAATTATGCAGGTGATCTAGGCTAAGACCAAGGCCAGCATTTTATTATTTCACTTTAGCAGAAAAAAGGGAAGAAATTGCTTTTAAAGCTTATCCCGCTGTTTTATTTATTCAGTTTATTGGTCTCATCCTAAAAGAACATTTAGTGCTAAGGACTGGAAGTAAATGAGTTTCTTTTACAATGATTTGTGAATAAACTCAGTGCCCATTAGTGAAGTGAAGCATATTATTTACTGGAGAAAAGTGCATGGACCCACAAACAGGAGGATGGAAAACAGGTTCTATCCTAATTACAACATCTTTAAACATGTCCCACTCAATATTTCATAGCTAAATTTTGTATCACATTAATTCAAAATATGTTTGGACACAAAAGCAGAATTTCTAAAAATGTGATCTGTGAACCACTGGGGGAGGGTGGATACGCTGAGGTTAGGTAATATTTTGAAAAACAATTGTACTGTATATTTTGTATTAATTTTAATGTGCATTTAAAAATATAACTGGCATATGTATCATACTTTTAATTTCACTGATCATTTGGGTACAGATAAGAATAAATAAAAACAATTCAATTTAAAGAAGAAAGAGGACATGTAACAGTTCAGGCAGCACATGAATACAGAAAAGAGATGAAGCTGGTTATCAAATGACTGAAGTTGAGAAATGCTGCCTTAAGATAGTTATAATTTATTGCTGTACATTTCAGATACTTATTCAATGTACAGTGGGATTAATTTCTAGTGGATGTAGGTCTATACTACGTAGGAGAAGTATAACAGGAATAAAGTAATTATAGATTCTGTTTCTTAAGAGATGATAAATGATACAAGGGAGATGTCATCTGCTAGATGATATAATAAGCACTTTATATTTATGATATAAAACATTATATTCATATACATAAAATTACTTACTGTTATGTTTATCATTTTGTAAGAATTCTAGAGGCAAAATCACTCCCTCGGTAGAACTTTTTACTTCAATTTAATACTAAAATTGACAAGTAACATAGCATTTTTAGACAAATGTTCTAAAAACACCCAGTTTTATCATATGATATAAAAACATAGTTTGAAAAATAGATGAAGAACAAAGCATTCTTCAATAACTTGTTTTGTGGAGCACAATATGTTCTTTTTTTCCTACCTTAATGCCCTATTTAGGTACTTCTTAGAATGTTGAAGAATCTTTTCCAAATCAATATATACTGCTATAAAATGTGAAAGGTGTATAATGGCCCAAAGAAGGAAAAAACTGACTCACTTCCCACAGAGGAAAAATTTGAAGGAGTTAGGCAAGACAGATGTGAGAGAAAGGGAAGAAAAAGATGATGATATAAGAAATCTATATTTCTATTCTGATTTTGTGCCTCATAGGTAGAGACTAGCCTTCATCACTTAAGAGTGGCCTGAGAATCTATCTTCATCTAGCATAGGACGTGAGAGACCTTATGTGCACTCGCCTGTATGGATGGCGATTGAAGGCAAACATAAGGTGGTTATGACAAGAGCCAAATGCAGACTTCCGACATTGTCAACTTCCAAAAGGAATAAGATATACAGTCACAAGATCTGGAATTTAGTGTGGTAAAACCTGATATATGAATCACTGAATTAATATTGCTAGAGATTATTTTAGAGTAAACTTTGTAGCTATACGGAAGCACAATCTCTGACAACTAAGGGTAGAAGACTCAGTCATTTTTTAGATGGTATTCCATCATAAAGTACATAGGACTATGCTTTAAAAATTTTTATCTAGTCTCTTGTGTGACAGCAGTCATTGAAACGGAGTTAACATATTCATTTTTCTTTATGAAAAATGTAATTGCAACATAACAGTATGTATAATATGGAATGAAGACAGGATAACTCCAAGAATAATAGAAAATAACACTTTCCAGCCTGGCCAACATGGTAACATGGTGAAACCCCATCTCTACTAAAAATACAAAAATTATCTGGGCATGGTGGCGGGCACCTGTAATCCCAGCTACTCAGGAGGCTGAGGCAGGAAAATTGCTTGAACCCGAAAAGCGGAAGTTGTGGTGGGCTGGGATCGTGCCACTGCACTCCAGCCTGGTCAACAGAGTGAGACCCTGTCTCAAAACAAAAACAAAAACAAAAACACTTTCTTTTTTTTTTTTTTTTAATTTTCTAATCTTTTTTTTTTTATACTTTAAGTTTTAGGGTACATGTGCAACAACTTGAAAGTGTTTTTCTAGTTATACATTCTTCTAAATGTATAACTAGAAAAACACTTTCAAGTTGTTGGGCTTGTGTCTGAGATATTGTTACATGTAATCTCATTTCATCTTCAGAACCCTTTTTCAGGTAGGTCTTATATCTTGATTTGTACATGCAGAAACTGAAATCAGAGATGAGAACTAACATGGTCAATGACACACCAAAAGCAAGAAAGTCAGAATTAAGCTTTAATTGTGTGACACTTTCCATGACTTCCCATTATAATTCATCAATATCTGTGATTTCTATGTATACTAACATTTATTGATCAAGAAGAATGATAATAAGAGACGATCTAAATAAATTTGGAGCCAGGCAAGGTGGCTCATGTCTGTAATCCCAGCCCTCTGGGAGTCTGAGGCAGGTGGACTGCTTGAGTCCAGGAGTTCATGACCATCCTGAACAACATGACAAAACCCTGTCTTTACAAAACACCACCACCACCACCACCAACAACAACAGCCAAATAAAATAAAGTAAAATAGAAACCTACAAAAATTTAGCTAGTCATGGTGGCATGTGCCTGTAGTCCTGCTACTCAGGAGGCTGAGGTGGGAGGATGCTTGAGACTGGGGGGCTGAAGCTTGAATGAGCTGTGATTGCACCTCTGCACTCCAGCCTGTGTGACAAAGCAAGACCCTTTCTCAAAAAAACAAGGAAACAATAACAACCAAACAACTTTGATTCAAAAACAGATGAGAGCCTGCAATCCCAGCATTTGAGGAGGCTGAGGTGGGAGGATCACCTGAAGTCAGGTATTCAAGACCAGCCTGGCCTATATGGTGAAACCCTGTCTCTAGTAATAATAATAAAAAAATTAGCCGGGCGTGATGGCGTGTGCCTGTAATCCTAGCAACTCCAGAGGCTGAGGCGGGAGAATCACTGGAACCTGGTAGGGAGAGGTTCCAGTGAGCCGAGATCGTGCCACTGCACTCTGGCTTGGGCAACAGAGCTAGACTCTGTCTAACAAAACAAAACAAAACAAAACAGAAACAAACAAATGAACAAATAGATGAGAGATGTTTATATAAAGTGGCAATATTTAGTAGGTGTTTGTTATGTGACAAAATTATGTTAAAACACTTTGAACATACAATCTCACATATATCTCAGATCAAGGCTTTGAAAAAAAGCATGGTTTAATTTAATAAAGAAAAGTTTTTAATAAAAACAATATATTGCTTAGTATGTACAAGATAATTCAAAATTTTGACTTATGGCTATTTCATATTCTGTGGAAAGAGCTTTGGTTTGTCTTAAGCTTTATTATATACATTTAAATATTACAATTAAGTACACAACATTAATTAAATAAAGAGGTCAGGGTTTCCAATTTGTAAACACAAGTGCATCTTAAGAAAATGCCAAATTTCTATGAAAAGTTTAAGCTGTTGATTTATTTTTGGATAGCCCTACTACTGTACATCAATTATATTTTAATGGAAATATCGCCAATAATATTTGAGTTATCACTAAAATAAATTGCCTAGAAATTTAAAATAAACTAATAATTAAAAGTTAGTGACAACTAACTCAATAAAATAGAGAAAAATTATCTTGAAATTATATTGGATATTAGAAAAGTTTCTTTTTTTTTTTTTTTTTTTTTTTTTGAGACAGAGTCTCGCTCTCTCTGTCTCCCAGGCTGGAGTGCAGTGGCAGGATCTCAGCTCACTGCAACCTCCGCCTCCCGCGTTCACGCCATTCTGCTTCAGCCTCCGGAGTAGCTGGGACTACAGGCACCCGCCACCACGCCTGGCTAATTTTTTTTCTTTTCTCTCCTTTTTTTTTTTTTTTTTGTATTTTTACTAGAGACGGGGTTTCACCCTGTTAGCCATGATGGTCTCCATCTCCTGACCTCGTGATCCACCTGCCTCGGCCTCCCAAAGTGCTAGGATTACAGGCGTGAGCCACCGCACCCGACCTAGATATTAGAAAACATTTCTAAGGAAAATAGATACGCTTATATGTATATCTGAAATTGATCTGAACAGTTTTAAAAATTGCATATATTATTTTACATGTACATAAAATGCTTTGGATGACAGATAACAATAGTCATTAGTTTAAAATAGCTCTGTTTTTAACCAGTGTGAATTCTGTTGTTTTTGAAGGATATCACATTATGCAAAGCTATTTTGTGCTGTATTCATATGCACAGTTCAACAGTTCAATATCTTCCTCAAAGCAAGGAAGGGTTATTAGCATCAGAAACCAGTAGAATATGAGAAATTTCATATAAAAGGCATAATTTTTTTCCCAGTAGCATTTATGTGAAATAATATAATTCTATCACTATTTGAAGCTGTCCTGGATTGTAGTATAAAATTGTGCCCAATAATAAAATAAAAACAATTAGGAACACATCGTAGTTAGTGAGTTACAGTTATTAAAACTTTAACCCATTATCATTGAAGATGAACTCTGAAAATATTTATTTACTATCTTAATCATTTATTTTACAGTGAGAATAGTGTTAAGTTTCTAGATTTTTTTTAATTTTTAATTTTTAAATTTTTAAGTTTTGGGGTACATAGTAGGTGTATGTATTTGTGGGGTACATGAGATGTTTTGATACAGGCATGCAATGTGAAAAAAGCACTTCAAGAAAATGGGGTATTCATTCCCTCAAGCATTTATCCTTTGAGTCACAATCCAATTACACTTTTTAAGTTATTTTAAAATGTACAATTAAGTTGGTATTAACTATACTCACCCTGTTGGACTATCAAATAGTAGGTCTTATTCATTCTTTCTATTTCTTTTACCAATTAACCATCCTTACCACGCCCCACCTCACTATACTTCCCATCATCTGGTTACCATTCTTCTATTATCTATGTCCTTGAGTTCAATTGTTTTGATTTTTAGATCCCACAAATAAGTGAGAACATGTGATGTTTATCTTTCTATGCTGGCTTATTTCACTTAACACAATGATCTCCACTTCCATCCATGCTGTTGCAAATGACTGGATCTCATTCTTTTTAGGGCTGAATAGTACCCAACTGTGTATATTTTCTTTATCCATTTCATCTGTTGATGGACACTTAGGTTGCTTCCAAATCTTAGTTATTGTAACAGTGCTGCAACAAACATAGGAGTGCAGAGATCTCTTTGTTGTACTGATTTCCTTTCTTTTGGGTATATGCCCAGGAGTGGGATTGTTGAATCATAGAGTAGCTAGACTTTTAGCTTTTTAGATGAACCTCCAAACTGTTCTCCATTGCTATTTTACTATTTTACCTCCCCACTCAGAGTGTACAAAGGTTCCCTTTTCTATACGTCCTTGTCAGCATTTCTTATTGCATAGTTTCTGGATATAAGCCATTTTAATCAGAGTGAGAAGATATCTCATTGTAGTTTTCATTTGCATTTATCTGATGATCCATGACATTGAGCACCTTTTCATATATCTGTTTGCCATTTGTGTATCTTCTTTTGGTAAATGTGTATTCAAATCTTTTGCCCATTTTTTGATTAGATAATTATATTTTTTCTATAGAATTATTTGAGCTCCATATATATTCTGGTTAATCCCTTGTCAGGTAGTTTACAAATATTTTCTCCCATTCTGTTGGTTATCTCATCACTTTGTTGATTGTAACCTTTGATGTGCAGAAGGCTTTTAATTTGATGTGATCCCACTTGTCTACGTTTGCTTTGGTTGCCTGTGCTTGTGGGGTATTGCTCAAAAAATTATGCCCAGGTCAATGTCCTGGAGATTTTCCCCAATGATTTCTTGTAGTAGATTCATAAGTTGAGGTCTTAGATTTAAGTCTTTAATCCATTTTGATTGGATTTTTGTGTTTGGTGAGAGACAGGGGTCAAGTTTTGTTCTTCTGCATATGGATATCCAGTTTCCCCAGCGCCATTTATTGAACAGACTGTCTTTTCCCTATTGTATATTCTTGGCACTTTTGTTGAAAATGGGTTCACTGTAGTTGTGTGGATTTGTTTTTGGGTTCTCTATTCTGTTCCATGGGTCTATGTATCTGTGTGTACACCAGTATCATGATGTTTTGGTTAATATAGCTCTATAGTATCATTTGAAGTCAGGTAATGTGATTTGTCCAGTTTTATTCTTTTTGCTTTGGCTATTATGAGTCTTTTGTGTTCCATATAAATTTTAGAAAGTTTTTTCTATTTCTGTGAAAAATGTCATTAAATTTTGATAGGGATTGCACTGAATCTGTAGATTGCTTTGGGTAATATGGACATTTTAAAAATATTGATTCTTCCAATCCATGAACATACAATATTTTTCCATTTCTTGATGTCCTCTTAAATTTTTTTCATCAGTGTTTACAAAGTTTTCATTATAGATACATTTCACTTCTTTGGTTAATTCCTAGGTATTTAATTTCATGTGCAGCTATTGCAAATGGGATATTTTTTATTTTTCACATTCTTCACTGCTGACATATAAAAATGCTACTGATTTTTGTATGTTGATTTTGTATCTTGCAACTTTACTGAATTTATCAGTTCTGACAGTTTTCTTGTGAAGTCTCTAGGTTTTTCCAAATATATGACCATGTCATCTAAAAACAAGGATAATTTGACTTCTTCCTTTCCAATTTGGATGTCACTTAGATCTTTCTCTTGTCTAATTGTTCTAGTTGGTACTTTGATTATTAAGTTGAATAACAGTGGTGACAGTAGGCATCCTTGTAGTGTTCCAGATCTTAGAGGAAACACTTTCAATTTTTCCACATTCAGTATGACACTAGCTGTAGGTCTGTCGTATATGGCTTCTATTATTTTGACATATATTCCTTCTATTCCCAGTTTTTTGAGTGTTTTTATCATGAATGGATGTTAAATTTTATCAAATGCTCTTTCAGCATCAAATGAAATGATCATATGGTTTTTATGCTTCACTTTGTTGATATGATGTATCACATTGATTTTATATGTTGACCCAAGGAAAAATCCCACTTTGTCATGATGAATGATTTGTCTAATGTGTTGTTGAATTTGGCTGCTAGTATTTTGCTGAGGATTTTTGCATCAATATTCATCAGATACTTTTTTTATGTGTCTTTGTTTTAGGTATCAAAGTAATACTGGCCTTGTAGAATGAGCTTGGAAATATTCTTTTCTCCTCTATTTTTTGAATTAGTTTGAGTAGGACTGGGATTAGCTCTTCTTTAAATGTTTGGTAGAATACAGCAGTGAAGCCATCAGGTTCCAAGCTTTTCTTTATGGAGGATTTTTATTATGGCTTTCACCTCATTACTTGTTGTTGGTCTGTTCAGGTTTTGGATTTCTTCCTGTACCATGCTGTTTTGGTTACTATAGCTCTGTAGTATAATTTGAAGTCAGGTAATGTGATTTGTCCAGTTTTGTTCTTTTTGCTTAGGACAGCTTTGGCTATTCTGAGTCTTTTGGGGTTCTATATAAATTTTAGAAAGTTTTTTCTATTTCTGTGAAAAATGTCATTAAATTTTGTTTATGTGTAGGTTGTATGTATATAGGAATTCGTCTATTTCTTCTAGATTTTCCAATTTATTGGCATATAGTTGCTCATCAGTATTGGTTGTAATGTCTCTTTTTTCATTTATAACTGTATTTACTTGTATCTTCTTTGTTTCTTAGTCTGTCTAAAGCTTTGTAAATTTTGTTTAACTTTTTAATAAAGCAACTTATTGTTTCATTGGCCTTTTGTATTTTTTAATTCAATTTCATTTATTTCTGCTCTGTTCTCCATTATTTATTTTCTTCTACTAATTTTGTGTTTGGTTTGCTCTTGCTTTTCCATTCTTTATGATTTATCATTAGATTGCATATTTGAAGTTTTTCCTCTTTTTTTGATGGAGGCTCCTATAGCTATAAACTTCCCTCTTACTACTGCTTTTGCTATATCCCATAGGTTTTTGTATTTTGTGCTTCCATTATCATTTGTTTCAAGAAGTTTTTAAATTTCCTTCTGAATTTCTTCATTGACACACTGGTCATTCAGGAGCATATTCTTTAATTTCCATGTATTTTTATACTTTCAAAAAGTCCTCATTATTAATTTCTAGTTTTGTTGCATTGTGGTCAGAGAGGATGCTTGATATTAATTTTTTAAATATTTTAACATTTGCTTTGTAACATAGTATATAATATATCCTTGAAAATGATCCATGTGCTGAGGAAAAGAATGTGTATTCTGCAGCCATTGGATGAAATGTTCTATAAACATCTACCAGATCCATTAGATCTATAGTGCAGATTACATCTGAAGTTTCTTTGTTGATTTTCTGTCTGAAACATTTGTCCAATGCTGAAAGTTGGGTGTTGAAGTCTCCAGCTATTATTGTGATGGGACCTCTCTCTTCAGCTCTAATAATATTTCCATTATGTATCTGGGTTCTCCCATGTTGGGTGCATATATATTTAAATTATTATATCCTCCTGCTGAATTTACACATTTGTCATTATATATTAACCTTCTTTGTCTTTTCTTATAGTTTTTGTTTTGAAATCTATTTTGTTTGACATAAGTATAGTGACTCCTGTTTTTTTTTTTTTTTTGGTTTCAGTTGGCATGGAATATTGTTTTCAGTCTATGTGAGTCTTTATAGATGAAGTATGTTTCTTGTAGGCAACAGATCAATGGGTCTTATTTTTGTTATCCATTCAGCCAGTCTATGTCTTTTGATTGGAGAGTTTAGTCCATTTATATTCAATGTTATTATTCATAAGTTAGGACTTACTACTACCATTTTGTTGTTTTCTGGTTGTTCTGTGGTCTTCTCTTCCTTCTTTCTATCCTTCCTGTCTTCCTTCAGTGAGGGTGATTTTCTCTGGTGATATGATTTAGTTTTTTGCTTTTTTATCCTTGACCATTGGGAGTTTCAGTATTAAATGCCTTGAGGTATTAAATGCCTGTGCTATTATTTGGACGCAGCAAGTCTCAGAGGCTTACCAAAGCCCTTGATGTAGTACCTTCTTTAGGGAAATCTTTTGTGTTCTATAACTTTCCTGCGGTTAGATATTGATATTTTTCTCTAGGTTTAGGAAGTTCCTATTATCCCTTTGCATAAACTTTCTACACCTATCTCTTTCTCTATCTCCTTTTTAAGGACAATAACTCTTGATTTTCATTTTGAGGCTATTTTCTAGATCCTGTAGGCATGCTTCATTTTTTTTATTCTTTTTTTCTCCTCTGTGTATTTTCAAGTAGCTTGTCTTCAAGCTGACTATTTCTTCTGCTTGAACAATTCTGCTATTAAAGGACTCTAATGCATTCTTCAATATGCCTGCTGCATTTTTCAGCTCCAGAATTTCTACTTGATTCGTTGTAATTATTTCAATCTCTGTTAGATTGATCTGATAGAATTATGAATTCCAACTCTGTGTCATCTTGATTTTTTTTAGTTTCCTCAACACAACTATTTTGAATTCTCTGTCTGAAAGTTCACATATTTCTATTTCTCTAGGATTGGTCTCTGGGGTCTTATTTAGTTCATTTGGTGAGGTCATGCTTTCCCGGATGGTGTTAATGCTAGTAGATGTTCTTCAGTGTCTGGGTATTAAAGAGTTAGGTATTAATTGCATTCTTCACTGTTTGGGCTTATTTGTATCCATCCTACTTAGGAAGGCTTTCCAGATATTTGAAAAACCTTGGGTATTGTGATCTAAGTTGTATTTGCTTTAGAGGGACCCAAAGCCCAGTAATGTTGAGGTTCTTGCAGACTCATAGAGGTAATGCCTTGATAGTCTTGGACAAGTTCGGGGAAAATTATCTGTATTACCAGGCAGAGACTCTTGTTCTCTTCCCTTACTTTCTCCCAAACACAGTCTCACTCTATTTTCTGACCGCATAAAGCTGGGAGAAGAGTGACACAAGCACTCCTGTGGCCATCAGCAGTATGGCTGTGCTGTTTTAGACCTCAAGCCACCACAGCACAGAGTCTCACCTAAGGCCTGTTGTAACCTCTCCCTGGCTACTGCCTATGCTCGCTCAAGGCTTTAGGGCTCTACAATCAGCAGGAGGCAAAGCCAGTCAGGCCTGCATCCTTCCCTTCAGGGAAGCAAGGTCCCCCTTGCCCCAGGTGGGTCCAGAGGTGCTGTCTAGGAGTCAGAGACTAGAGGTCTAAAACCTTAGAAGTCTACCTGGTGTTCTATGGTACTGTGGCTGATCTGGCACTCAGACCACAAGATTCAGTTCTTCCCCCTCTTCCCTCCCATTTCCAAAGGCAGAGGAGCCTCACCCTGTAGCCACCACCACCCCAGACCACAAGGAGTACTGCTAGACTACAACAATGTTCCCCTGAGGCTGAGGTGCTCTTAAGTTAGCTTGTGGTGAATGCTGCCTGGCCTGCAATCACATTTCAGGACAGTGACCCACAGCAGGTCCAGAAATGGCATGCAAGAGTAAGGTCCTGGATTGGCAGACCCTACGACCCCACTTCATGCTTTACCCCCATGGCTGTGCTATTATTTGGACCCAGCAAAGTATCAGAGGCTTATCAAAGCCCTTGACGTAGTACCTGGGTATCACTGTGGATTATTCAGGGCCCAAGGGCTCTTTAGTTAGCCATTGATGAATGCTGCCAGGACTGGGTCCTTTCATGAAAGCCAGTGTGTTCTCATCTGGCCCAGAGTTTGTCTATTATAGAAACACCGTTTGGGAGATAAGACATGGAACAAAGTCCTCACAACTCTAACAGTTGCCCTATCTTGCTGTGGCTGAGCTAGTATCCAAGTCCTCCTTACTCTTTCCTTTCCTCTCGTCAATCAGAATAAAGAGGTCTCTTTTGGAGCCACAAGCTGTGCAGGCTGGGGTTAGGGGAGGGAAGATGACAGCACTCCTTTGGCCACCCCAGCTGGTGTATCTGTATGTCACATTCCTCCCCACCTGACACCAGTCCACTGTCTCTTGGCCCAGTTCAGCGCTAGGACTCTCCTAAGAGTTGCAGTCCTTATGGCCTAGAGTTTCATAAGTTTTTTCAAGTTTACTGGGAGACACAGAGCACTTTGGTCCTCACTGGTGAGGTTTGCAGGCACTCAAGTTTGTACCGCTGGAATCGGTGATTCCTTTCTGGCTAGGGCTGGTTTAAATTGTCCCTCTGTGGGTGGGTGTCAGTTGAATTAGGTCTTGTTTTCCTTTCTGCTCTAACAGGTCAGGACTGAGTTCACTGCCTCAAAATTGCTATGTTCTCTCTCCTCCAGCTCCCAGAGAAGCTCTCGACACCATGTCAAGGCTGCTGAGGGTGGTGGAGGTTTGTTGGTGTTGTTTATTCAGGACTATTTTTTTCTATCACTTCAGTGACTCTTTCAGCAATATGAAGTTAAAACCAAGTACTACAACTGTTCACCTGATTTTCGGTTCTCATGAAGATTGTGTGTGTGTGTGTGTGTGTGTGTGTGTGTGTGTGTATGTGTATAGATAGTTGTTAACTTGGTGTCCTTGCAGGGTTGGGGAGACAATTGGTGGAGCCTTCTATTCTGCCATTTTGCTCCCCTCCCACACCTCTAGATTGTTTTATATGGCATGGGTTTTCAAACATTTTGGTAGTACCCATTATACGAAGTAATTTTTTACATATATGTATTTTAACAAAAACCAGTAAATAGTTTTGGTGTTTACTGAACACTATATTTTAATTAGTTTAAAATAAGTAATATCAGATTATAAACAAGTTTTAAAAACAAAGCTTCTTCTGACTTTTCAATTATTTGATTAAATGGAAATATAATTTAAATTCCTATGAGAGTGCCAGCCATACACTTTAACAGAATCCTGAAGCCCTTGCACGGGCATGCACTATGCAGAGTGAGAGACCACAGTTCAAATCCTGCCACTGCCACTTACTCCCTGTGTGACCTTGTGCAAACCCCTGAATTTTCCTGAGCCTCAGTTTCCTCATCTACAAGCCTGGGAAAATGATTGGACTTAAGTCATGGGAATATTTTGAGATAAATTGTAGATGCATTTCCAAAGATGGCCTTAACAATATCTCCCACCCCACATACTTATCTACAATATGATTGTGAATCCTTCCCCATCAAGACAGAGTGCCTAATTCCTCTCATGTTGGATTTGGGCGACCTTATAATTTGTTTGTAACCAATATACTGTGGCAGAAGTGAGAAATGTGTGACTTCCAAGACTATGTCAGAGTAGACCAGATAGTGTCTGTCTGGCCTGATTCTTCTGAAATGTTCTCTGTGGAGAAAGCCTGCTGCCACAAAAGACAGCAGGCTGCTCTTAGATAGCCATACTGGAGAGGCTTCATATAGATGTTCCAAAAACAGCTCCACCTGAGCTTGCAGCCCACAGTCAAGACTGAATTCCAGCCACTTAAGTGAGCCATGTTGGCTTCTCAGCAAAGTTGAACCTCCTCATAACTACAACTACAAGCAACATTAGTAGCAACATCTGATACAAGCACATTAGAGATTCCAAGTGATATCCATCTGGCCAAGCCTTACTCAAACTTCTGATCCACAAAATCAAAAGTGAGAGAAAATTATTGGTTTGTGCCATTATATTATGGGGTCATTTACTATGCAGTAATAATACCAGACGATAAACTGAGATAGTTATGTATATGGTGATTTAAATGTTATTAGCATATTGTTAGTTGGGCAGTGAATGCTACTCGTGAACTCTTAATCATTTATTCCATGGGGAGGAAGGTCTTCCAACATACCACAGTTGGACTTTTCAAGTCCCTTACTTTTTCTCCCATGGGAAGTGAAGAGATATCTGATAGGTAACTATGGGGGCACAAAAAATTAAATACACTTCCTAACCACTCCTTTTTTTCTTTTCAGAAAGGACCACCCCAAAGAGAACATGGGTTCACCATTGTCCCCCTCAGTCAAGGTTATCTTAGCATGTCTTCTCACACAGGGGAGGGCTGTAAGTCTCATGCTACTTGGGACTGTGTTGAGTATGTTTATCTAATTATTGAGCTCAGTATAAGAGCATTCACTCATCTATACATTTAAGTCACATGGTA
This sequence comes from Homo sapiens, assembly GCF_000001405.40. Lineage (NCBI taxonomy): Eukaryota > Metazoa > Chordata > Mammalia > Primates > Hominidae > Homo > Homo sapiens. The sequence goes on along the minus strand of NC_000021.9, from coordinate 21,341,769 downwards.
TTTTATCCCCATTTTTTTTGTCTTATCTGGTGATTGAGAACTTAGACAAAAAAAAAAAAAAGAATATTGTTAATTGAGACCCTCCTCTCTGAAAAATCTAAAATGATGAACATATTTGCTAAATACATTGCCATGTTGTTAGATGAAATTATTAGTTTTTACTACACGACATTTATGATATTTCACTATTTTTGATCTATATATTTTAGTTTCATCAAAACTTGACTGATACATGCATAATGGAAATTTTAGTTTAGTTTTGTTTTATAGTTCCCAAGCCCCCATCAGGTGTCAACTAATTGGTTAAGATCATTTTTCTGTTGGAAATATTAGCTGTTAATTTTCATCCTTACTTGAAGTTGTTTCCCAAAATATGGCTTGAAGACTAACAATATGACACCAACTGATGAGTTTATTTAATATGCATTCCTATGCCCTGGGCTGCATATACTAAATCAACTTCAAGAAGTGGGAATCTAGAATCTGCATTTTCATAGTCTTCCCACGTGATTCTTATGGAAAGTACAATCCCATGCTACTTTCCATGATAGGAATAATATGATCTCATTAAAGTTCAATCAAACCTTAGTTATACTTTACAGAGGCAACAAGATAAACTATGCTTCAAGCGTGACTTGACCATTCTCATATGTAATTTCATTTCTAAGCTGTATTATGTGAGGCCATACTGTAAATTTGTAATATGACAAAGTAAAATGTGTAAATTTGTACTGTAAATTTGTAATATGGCAAGGTAAAAAGTAAAGTTTATTGGATATTTATAATATGATAAACATTGATATGCATTTGTAATGTGCTCATCTTCCTTATAACAAGAGGGTAAATATCAACATTTTAAAGATGAAAAAATTCATATTAAAAACTCATATTAAAAAGAGTTCAAATAACACTGGTAATGTTATTTGGACTCTTTGAACTCAATTTTATCATGCTGAGGCATCATAAATGGCAGAGCTGAGATTCAAAACTAGATAAACTTTACTTCAAAGTTCAGCTCAACCATTTGATTTGTGAATTATGCTATTCAGGAAACTAGAAATATTAGGGGAAAAGAAGTGTACTGGAGTATAGAAAAATAAGTCAAGGATCTTAAAATATATTTGGAGAAATATAATAGAAATACAATAGACTTAATTTCTTTATTGACTGGATTAAACTTGTGCAGAAAAGCATATTTGAGTTTCTATAATTGTTTATTGCAAAGAAACCAAGTCAGATTTTCTTAAAACAAGATGTGTTTTTTAATATACTCCTTAGGAAACAAAAGCTTTAAGATTATTTTTCACAGTTACTACAGAATAAGTATCTGTGTGTAGTTTGGGGTGGCCTGAGGCATAGATCCAAGAATAAAATATAACAGCTTTCTTGTTACTTGATGACATTTATTAATGAAATAACTGAGTATAATTTATCTTTCATTCTCTGCATAATATATAAGGTAACATTCATTAAATGCAGAGTAAAAACTATCTTTGAGAAGATAACTTTTAAGAATTTTGCAGTAAGCTGAAAAATAATTAGAAAACAGCATTAGAAATATGAAGGTATGATAAAGTCTAAGGGCATGAAAGTAAATACTTTTGAGTGATCTAATCTAAATAAACATGCAAAATTGAAACAAAAACAATCCTCTATGGTTTCAGATACGATTGTATTTTTTTAATTTCACATAAATTTAATTCTTTTCAGATTTGGCAACTGTGTCATAGTAACATACATTATTTTTTGTTAAGAATATACTAAAGCAAACTATAACTTTTATCTGGGTTGCAGAAGATTATGACTGTCATTCACATTTTATAAATTTGATTTTCAACTTGAATATATAAAATAAGTATATCAAAATAGTACAATTATCAAATAATCTCTTAAAATGCCATTATGAGGAGAAAATGAAACAAAAAAGGGTAACATATATGATAACACAGTCTTTCAAAAGGAAAGTAATAAATTGACCAGAGAAGTTACTTTTTTGGTGAATTTATGGGTTTAGCATGTTGTTAAATATAACATGATGGGATGGACTGATTGATGTAAAGTGTACTATGGACAAACATTTATTCTTCTCTTTTTTACTATCAATGTTAATAAATCAAAGTTATATTGAGGTGTATGAATACTTTAGAAATTGGACTCTTTACCTAAATAAAGTTAATAATGAAAAAAGTTTAAAGGAGGTTTCTCTTTAACACTGAGTAGAGAAAAGCAATGTAATAGCCTAATGTTATAATCTTCACTTATGTGAAATTGCCAGTTCTATCATTTCAATATTTCACCATCTTTTCCTTTCTCTTTTGTTTGTATTTGAAGTTCATATGAAAAGTTGTGAAATATAATAGTAATTAAAATCCATTAGTATAGTGAAACATATAGTAATGTTTCATTAATTTCTAAGTAAGTTGAATGCATTCTGGTTAAAGGTCATCACAATGCAGTAATTTGTTTGTACCTATTTCTCTACATTAGATTCTAAATTATATGAAAGCAGAACCTACACTTCTACTGCAGAAAGACAATTTCTAAAGGGTAAAGCATTGGATGACAGTCAGACTTTTTTGAATTTAAATTACTCTTTTGCTTTAGTTTCAATAAAGCTTTATTTACCAAAACAGGCTGGAAGCCAAATTTGCCCTATGGACTGTAGTTTGTTGACACCTGTCTAAGTAGAAAATACATTAAATTAATTTGAAGTAAATCTTCTTCGCCAATCCCAACGCTCATCACTCACCACAGTGTTTTCTAAATATACAATCATTTCTTTAAGAAACTGAAATTGCTGAGGTTTAAAGTTAAATGTACTGGTTTGTAAATCTTTATTCCTGTTTTTAAAATGGCAATATTATTTGTCCTAGCACTTTTCTCATGGTCAGTGAATTTGCAAAGGCCAGATACTCACACAGCAGGGGTTAAAACTGCAATAACATACTTTATAGATTCAACGTATAACAAAAGTCTAGTTAAGCAATGCTAGTAATACCAATAGCCTAAACGTTTGTGACTTAATAAAGAACATCTTTAAATATTTCATATTGACATTTCCCCTCCCACGAAAGTGGTAAAGCCGACATTGTGTTAGTTACCTTTTTAAAAATCAAACCATTTATTTGATCCTACAAGTTACTAGGTAAATTGGAGACTAATTTGTGATTTAATGATATTGAAAATACTGAAATTGCATGGTAATGGAAACCATTACATATTGAGATGTGGTTACCTTATCGCCTTCAGTGAACGTGAAGCCATCCACAGCTCTTTTCCAAGTGATTTCTGGAATAGGCTCCCCTTCCGCATCACATACGAGTGTGACTTGACCATTCTCATATGTAGTTTCATTTTTAAGCTGTATTATGTGAGGCTGTACTGTAAAGAATATATATATTACTCAACCGGTATTGGAGGAAAATATTACTTCTCAGACAAAAGTCATGATGGGTGTTTAAGTCTACTATAGTATAGTATGATATTATTAGCTTTGTAGAATTACAGTGGCCTGCTTTGCCTTACAGACGTACCAGGACAGTTGAATAGCACAGGAAAAAAAATTTAGGAAATAAAACTCATCTGTTACCATTATACAAAATAACTTGAGGTGACTTAGAAACCAACATCCAAATTATAATTTGTTTCAAAATTCTGCCAATTTAAAAGTCATCTCATGATTTATTTTCCTATCTTAAAGCCACAAAATCAAAATTTCTTCCTTTAAAGGCACATGCATATGGGTGCATATGTGTGCACATATATGTATATATACACATACACACACATGAATATATTTATACAGACACATGCACACACAATTGGTTTAATTCTCTCTTAAGCTTTAACAATTTCACCAAAGAAGTAAATGATATATCCTGAAAATGTAGCAAGTAGAATCATATAAAATTTTGAAACATTTACTAAGTAAATATATTTACTTTACTTATATATATTATTCCACTTGATTTATTTTGACTTCAGTTTACTTAACAATATACTAGACAACGTAACTAATTTTTAATCATCAATTGTATAAAAAGAAAAGCATTATGTCTACTAATTTTAATTATCTTAATATTAAAATATGTCCCTCCATAAACTTACATAGTTCCAGAGAGCTTTATTTTTTGAAATCTGTGTTATTTGTATTTCCTAAATGTTTGCTTGTTTAGATATAAAATGGATACAATCAAGTACTCATTATTTCAGTGTGAGTTACTTTTTATATATTTTAATACATTTAACAAAGAAACACAAATAAGTTGTTCTTAAGCTCAGAAAATAACATTCTTGGTATCAGAAAAACAGCATACAGAATTTTTAACAATTCACTCTTTATTTCATTAACTTTAATAGATTTAGTTATATTCCCACAATATGCATACAATTTTGTGTCAGGAGCAACAAAAGTTTGTTGAATGTTACTACACAAAAGGGATTATAACAATAACATAACATGTAAAATTTTCATGTATTATGTTCTACTTGAAAGGATGAAAATATCAGAAATGTAAAAAATCTTTTTTCTTTTTCACTGCAATCCTGATAAAAACGATGTAAATACTATTTCAGATGAGTACACTGAGGCAGATTAAGACCATCTATCCTTTGGAATAATCTCACACAATACTATTTCTAATATGATTATTTTTATACTGAATCATACTTATTTAATTTTGTAGGTTTTATAGAAAAAATATTTTCAAGTGGGGAACACTGCTAGAACAAGTTAGGGACTTTCTATAATTTCTAAAAATGTTAAGTATATTTACTTTTCCCTGTAAGTGAACAATCTTCTCCAGGCTCTTAGCTTGGCCTACTTCTGATCATTAGAAGATCATCATTCTGAACATCACCTAAACATTATCCTGCTGAATAACTTTCCAAACACTATGCTATCCAAAACAATACTTCTCTTTATTCAATGCTTCCTGATTTATCCAATTTCTTTCTCAAAACATCTCTACTTTTAAAATTGTATTTTTTATTTTAATACATTTTGGTATAGCTGTTTATTCTCCTTGTCACTCCACTTGAAAATAAGCTTTATAAATATCTCTCTAGCTCAGAAAATGCTTCCAGCAGTGACTACAGGGCCAGTCTGCAGAGGGCGTGTCCACGCAGGGATTACCATTCATCTCATGGTCAGTGTAAGGGGCACTCTGCACCTGTCAACTGCAAACACTGGTCCTTCTTTTTTTTTTTATTATACTTTTTTAGGGTACATGTGCACAACGTGCAGGTTAGTTACATATGTATACATGTGCCATGTTGGTGTGCTGCACCCAGTTACTCATCATTTAACATTAGGTATATCTCCAAATGCTATCCCTCCCCACTCCCCCCACCCCACAACAGGCCCCAGTCCTTCTTATTCTAACAGATTTCTCCTTCCTTCCTTTTCCCTCTTTTTGTTGTGAAAGCATTTCAATAACAGTGTTTTTAAAGTTGGAGAAAACATATTAAATGTTAATAGGGCATATATTTTTTAGTGTTACACTAATTAAAGGGAAAAATTCTATTAGAAGCACCCACTGCCATCACTGTCTTTCTTCTTGTAAACATAATTGAAGCTACGTCATTATATTTCTGTAAAGTACTAGTTTTATATGCTCTATAAGTTACCCAAATAAGATAATATGGCTCTTGGTAAATATGGAAGATATTTATCTTATATTTTCATTTAGTTAAATGAAAGCAAATATTTAAGTATAGTTACATGTCAATGTTTTTAAATTGTAGCCTTAAAAATGTGCCCTTTTGAACTATATTGTAAGTAAAACTGATCCTAACATGTGTCATTTAGAGACTTACAGAGATCCACCCTTACAGACACAGATGACAAACCCCACTAGGTGTAATTTAAATTATTTTTTTCCAGCTTCTGTAAGCATATCAATGACTTACAAAAATTTGCATATGTAATTTTACGTTATTCTTCAAAAAATTCTATCTGGTAGCTGAAATTTAAAAAACATATTACAGAGAAGAGGAAACAGATTTAATATGGAAAGTTTAAATAGTTCAAATGATTAGAGTAGAATTTCACTCTGATCTTCCAATAGACATAACAGTTTTAGCCACTATGCTATAATACTTACCAAAGACTTGGAGGAAAGCTTGCTTTTCATCTTCTCCTGCCTTATTTGTGGCCCTGCAGACATAAGGACCACCATCACTATTGATTATGTTCCTGACAGTGAGTTCTGTATTGCTCCCTTTCAATATGTACTTCTCATTTTCTTCAATGAGCTTGCCATTCCTAAAGAAGAAAAAAGAGGTTCATCCTCACAGATCTGGCTTTATAATTTAGTAGATTTTAATCAACTTTTTAATCTATAGGCATTGATGACTATATGGCTATCATCATTGAAAGACAGGGCTATATTCCAATCAAAAGTATATTTTTAGTAGCCTCAGAACTTAACGAATAAACAATAAAATTATACTTGAAATTTTTTTTGAATGTAAACACAAGAATAACATTTGAACTATGTCAAAATCTTAATAGTTACCAGGCAAAAAGTATATCAGTTCAATTTGTACTTTGATTATTGGCAAAAAAAACATTTTGTTTGCTGTTTTTAATCCCATACACAATTAAATGTTGGTGAGACAATACATATTTATTATATATATTTATTTACTCCCCTCTTGGGACACATTTAAAATAATTTATGTAGAAAATTTCTTCACAGAAGCTTCAAAGTAAATACAATGTAAATATATCATAAATGTATATTGCATATAAGTACTGCCAATAAAATAGTAAGATGAGAGAATTACATGAAAACACAATTAATTTAGAAACTATTTTGAATGTGATAATTTTATTCTTTAATGAGGAAAATAAATTGTTTTTCTGTTTCCTCTTAGTCCCAAATAATTATCAATATTTTTAAGGTTTTTTTTCTCTACTGAAATACATCTCACTCTGCTCCATTCTAGTCTAAGTTGTCCTTTAAAACCAACCACGGCTTTCAAACATTTTTTACTATAATCTACAGTAAGAAATATTTTCAATATATTAAAATCTGAACTATTTCTATGATTTCCCTCGGTATTTGTGAAATCGTTTTATATTGTGTATTCTCCTTTCATTTTATTCATCTTTTTTCCTCTTTTCTCTTCTTTGCATCCCCTCCTGTATTTTTCTTATAATAGTATTTTGCATGACTGAATTGATTTTAAAACCACTAATGGAAAGTTCTGGAATTTGTCCATTGGTATGGAGACATTTGCTTGTCCATACAATTGTAAATTTAAAAAAATCTCTATAAATATTATTAAAACTATTTTCTAAAATAAAATCAAACATTTCTCTGATACACTAAGCAGTTCCTTCCAGTGAATTCTGGTTCTACTTTCCAGAAACCACTAACACATATATGAACATAATCTTTATATGTCTATACTCAATAGAATTTATTGTTCCAGTTTCTCATGACATCTCTAAATGTACCATGAAGTACACAACATTTCTTAAGAGGAGTGGAAGATTGCAAAATTAGGATTCATAAAATAATAACAAATGGGTCGGGTGTGGTGGGTCATGCCTGTAATCCCAGCACCTTGGGAGGCAGAGGCCGGTGGATCACTTGAGGTTAGGAGTTTGAGACCAGCCTGGCCAACATAGTGAAACTCCATCTCTACTAAAAATACAAAGACTAGCCTGGCGTGGTAGCAGGCGCCTGTAATCCCAGCTACTCCGAAGGGATGCTGAGGCAGGTTGCAGGGAGCTGAGATCACACCACTACACTCCAGCCTCGGCCACAGAGTGAGACTGTGTCCGAAAAAAAAAATAATAATAAATGCATATATAGTATCTTTTATATATATTTTTGATATTATTACTAATGCAATCTTTACAACAGGTATAAAAATGACATTTCAGAGTTTTTATCTAGAATTTAATATGTAGATAGGGTTTTCATCATAATTAGGGATACAATATATTTCTCAATATCTTCAATGAAAATTATTCATTTGTTTCCTAATAATAATAATAATAGCACGGTAGAGGTTTCAGCACTCACAATTAGCCCATAAATGTGCATTTTCCCTCTGCTTACTCATTCAAAATCAGAGAACTACAGTATGTGTATATCTCTACTCCTCAATTCACAAATAAAAAGACAGGCTCACCCATTAATAAAAGCAGCAGGTTAATTAAGTTCCAATGTTCTTTCTAAAAAAGAGGGTTATCTCCTTACTTCATATAAAACATTGTGCTAAATGTTTGATGTATAGCAAATTAGTTGCCACCCATCATGAGGAACCCATAATTTGGTTGGCATTAATAGAGGTTAATGCAGATTCCATTAGTGGACTTACAACTTTTTTGAGCAGGAGGTGATCTGTTATAACGGGAGATATGACAAGGAAGATGGCTGTACTACTCTGGGAATTTTCATGAGAAAATAAAAATCCTTGATTTGGCCTTTGAAGTAGAGGGGCAAAACTTGAACATATTTAGAGAACATAAGTGTGTACAGATTACATTCACTTTAAATGCTCAATAGGAAATATAATTAAGCCATCATAAATAAGGGAATATTACCAATGCTTTATTACTCCCTCCCAATAAATACCTTATTACTCCCTCCCAATAAAGTCAGGTAGAAATGCTCCTATTGCTATTCACAATCCATGTCTATGAAATGTCAACGTCTAAAAAATCACTCCAAGGCATTCTGACACATGCATTAAGCCCATTCTTTGAAACTCAAACCACTTCTCTAAGCGTCCCCTTTTTCAGGTACAAGAATGTAGGGGTCAGGATTACAGAATTAATGTAAACACTAAAGAATTGAATGATAATTTCATTTTGAACAATATTGTATTAACATAAACTATATGCTCCCAATTTAAACAACAAAAACACTGGCTATACATATAAAACAATAGTTTTCACACATTAGCCAACTGGTTGCATATGACAGTGGCATATGAGTACCTCCATCGCTGACTGCCTGAAGAGAGTTTTCAGGCTGCAGCTGGGGGAGGCAGAGAACACGAACAGAGTCAGGCAATGTATCTGGGTTGGAAGACAGAGTGTGCAGTTGGGGGAGGTCAAAGCGACAGAAGGTGCAGGTTAGATAATGTGAGAGAAGACAGCTGCACAGACAACAGAGCTATAGATATCTGCAGAGGGTTCCCAACAAATCTTTAACTGAGTATTGATCAATGAGTGTACACCAGTAAGGCCTTCTCAGATGAGGGAAAGAACCATTAGAAAATATAAAGTACAATAATTCCAGAAGCTCACACAGCACCAGGAATAATCTGCAATTCAACCATCCAGAGTAAAAAGATATCCTAAAACACAGGACTTAAGTCATGTCCTTAGAATAATATTGCATCAGTAATGGAACCAGATTAACCCTAGACTGAAGGTGGTTTGGATCCACCTAAAAGAGCCTAAATGGAAGCTCTCCCTCAAATAAAACTTTTTCCAAGTCACTTAACTGCATCTATAAAACAAAGTAAAATAATACAAAAATATTCAGCACCCCAAAACACAAAATTCTGAATGTCTGGAACCCAATTAAAAATTCCTGGCTGGGCATGGTGGCTCACACCTGTAATCCTATCACTTTGGGAGGCCGAGGCGGGCAGGGCAGATCACAAGGTCAGGAGTTACAGATCAGCCTGGCCAATATGGTGAAACCCGGTTTCTACAAAAAGTACAAAATAATTAGCTGGGCGTGGTGGTGGGCGCCTGTAGTCGCAGCTACTTGGGAGGTTGAAGCAAGAGAATCACTTGAATCTGGGAGGTGGAGGTTGCAGTGAGCCAAGATCACACCACAGCACTCCAGCCTGGACGACAGGGCTAGACTTTGTCTCAAAATAAATAAATAAATAAAAATTCCCAGGATACGGCCAGGTGTGGTGGCTCACACCTGCAATCCCAGCACTTTGGGATGCCAAGGCAGATGGATCACCAGAGGTCAGGAGTTCAAGACCAGCCTGGCCAACATACCAAAACCCCATCTCTACTAAAAATACAAAAACTAACCATGTGGTGGCACGTGCCTGTGTTCCCAGGTACTCGAAGGCTGAGGCAGGAGAATTGCCTGAACCAGGGAGGTAGAGGTTGCAGTGGGCCAAGATCGCACCACTGCACTCTCCAGCCTGGGCGACGGAGTGAGATTCTCTCTCTCACTCTCTCTCTCTCTCTCTCTCTCTATATATATATGTATATAGAGTATATATATATATGTATATAGAGTATATATATATATATATAGAGAGAGAGAGTATAGAGTATATATACTAACCAGGATAGTAAATAAACATGAAAATACAACCCAGAGGAAGGAGAAAAATCACCAGGCACAGTGGCTCACTCCTGTATCCCCAGCACTTTGGGAGGCCAAGGCAGGAGGATTTCTTGAAGCCAGGATTTGAAGTTCAACCCTGGCAACACACTGAAACCACTTCTCTAAATAGTAATTAAAAAGTTAATTGGGCATTGTGGCGCATGTCTATAGTCCCAGCTACTGGGGATGCTGAATCAGGAAGATCACTTGAGCCCGAGAGTTGGAGGTTGCAGTGAGTGCCACTGCACTCCTGCCCAGGTGGCAGAGCGAGAATCTGTCTCCAAAAAATAAATAAAACAAGAGGGAGAAAAATCAGTCAGTTACAAAATATAGGTATGATACAGAGGGTAGGTGAGTAGATGCCTATTAAAACAACTATTAGAAATATATTCCAATATTTTCAAGGAAGTAAAACATGAGAATGGTAAGAGAGGCATGGAGGACATACAAAACATCTCCTTGAAACTCTCAGAGAAGAAAAATAAAATTATGAGAAATACTCTGATGGGATTAAAAACATTAGATATTACAGTAGAAAATATTAGTAAACTTGAAGACATAGTGACGTAACTTAGTTCACTTGAAGACATGGTAAAATGAAAAACAGAAAAAGACTGAAACAAAGTTCTATATGGTATCATTTTTTTCCATCCTTAAAGCCCTTAAATAATAATTTTCATAGTACTGATCTACGTGAATAAATGTTTAAACATATAATACTAGAGCTTCAAAAAATATGAAGCAAAACAGAGAGAACTGAATATAAAAATAGACACATTTAAAAATAAAGTTGGAGAAGAATCGTTACAAAAAAATATAGAAGACTTCCACAATACTATCAAGGGAGTTGATCTATTTAATATTAGGGATTTCTCCATACAATAATAGTGGAATACACATACTTTAATTTAAGACTCAATAAAGTTAAATAAATTGAAACCATTAAAAAGTCTATTTCCTGATAAGTATAGAATTTAGTTAAAAATCAACAGCAGTAATATTTATGAAATATACCCAAATACTTAGAAACAAATCAGCATACTTCTAAATGAATAGTATTAAAAATAACATGAGAATTAAAAACAAAATTTAAACCCCTCCAAATTGGAAATATGACATATCAAAATTAGCAGGGTGCAATTACAGCCATATTTAGAGAGGAAAAACAGATGCTTGTATTAGAATAAATGATTAGAATCAATGACATGAGTCCACCTTAAGCAATCAAAAATGGAAAAGAAAATTAAAGACAAAGTAAACAGGAGGAAAATAATAATAAAAATAAAACCAGAAATTAATGAAATGGAGAATAGGAAACAAAAAAGAAATAAGTGAAGCCAAAAGCAGATTCACTGACATTAGTATGTGCATAGACCTACATCTAGAATAATCAGGATAAAAAAGACAGTAGAACAAATAACCAGTTATGAGGTTATCAAGATGAGAGAGGGGAGAATACTACAGAAAACATGCAAATTGAAGTATAACAAAGGGATACTATGAATGACAATGCCAGTAAATACCATTTAAAAGAAATGGACAAATTCCTGGAATTGCGTTAATCATCTAAGCTCACTAAAGAAAATTACCTGAATAGCCCTATTTCTATGAAAAATATTATTGAATTTGTACTTAAATGTGAACTTAAGAAAAATTATGACATGGATGGTTTCACTGGCAATTTTTCCAGAAATTTAAGAAATAATAAACATTACATAAAAGTTATATTGGAAAACAGAAGAGGAAGAAATACTTCACTACTCATTCTCTGACACTAGTAATGCCCTGACCCCTAAAAAGTCAAGAACAAGAAAATGATGGAACAATATTTCTCATAACCATGAATATAAAAAATTCTTAACAAATTATTGACACATTGATTCCAGCCATGCATAAAAAGGATAATGCAGTCATGCATTGCCTAACCACAGGGGTATGTTCTACAAAATATGTCCCCAGTCAATTTTGTAGCTCTGTTTACATCATAGAGTGTACTTAACACAAACCAAGATGGTATATAGCCTATTACACACCTAAACTATATGGTATGGCCTATTTCTCCTAGGCTGCAAACTTGTACGGTATGTTACTATACTGAATGTTGGAAGCGACTGTAACATAATAGTAAATATCTGCATATCTAAACATATCAAAACATAGAAAAGGTACAGTAAAAAATATGGTATAAAAGTGTTTTTTGCTAGGCGTGGTGGCTCACACCTGTAATCTTAGCACTTTGGGAGGCGGACGCGGGATAATCACATGGAGTGTGAGACCAGCCTCACCAACATGGTGAAACCCGTCTCTACTAAAAATACAAAAATTAGCCGGGCATGGTGGCACATGCCTGTAGTCCCAGCTACTCAGGAGGCTGAGGCAGGAGAATCAGTTGAACCCAGGAGGCAGAAGTTGCAGTGAGCCGAGATTGCACCACTGCACTCCAGCCTGGGTGACAGAGTGAGACTCCATCTCAAAAAAAAAAAAAAAAAATTAATGCTATACATATATAGGGCATATATATATGTTGTAAATGGAGCTTCCAGGACTAGAAGTTCTTCTGGGTGACTCAGTGAGTAAGTGGTGAGTGACTGTGAAGGCCTGGGACATTACTGTATAGTACTCTAGACTTTATAAACACTGTATACTTAAGCGACACTAAACATTTTCTTTCTTCAATAATAAATTCACCTTAGCTTTTTTTACTTTATATACTCTTAAAAATTTTAAACTTTTGACTCTTTTTTAATAACAGCTCAAAGTACAAACACATTGTATAGCTGTACAAAATATTTTCTTTATTGTTTATTTTATAAGGATATATATTTTTTCTTGTTTAAGTTTTTATCACTAATTTTTTTTTTTTTTAAAGGAAGATACCCCCATTAGCCTCGGCCGACTCAGGGTCAGGATCATCAATATCAATGTCTTCCACCTCCACATCTCATCCCACTACAAGGTCTTTTGGGGGCAATAACAGGCATGGAGCTGGCATCTCCTAGGATAACAATCCTTTCTTCTGGAATATTATCTAAAGAAACTGCCTGAGGCTGTTTTACAGTTAACTTCTCTCTTTTATAAGTAGAAGGAGTACACTCTAAAATAATGATTAAAAGTACGGTATAGTAAATATATAAACCAGTAACATATTTATCAAGTATTATGTAGTGTATAAAATATGTATATGCTTTTATATATTGGTTTGTTTACACTAGTGTAACTACCAACTCATGAGTAATATGTTGAGCTATGATTTTATGATGGCTGCGATGTCAATAGACAATAGGACATTTTCAGCTCCATTATAATCTTATGGAACCACCATCACATATGAGGCGTGTCATTGATAGGTCATTATGCTGGGCATGCCTGTGTATCATGATTAAGTGGGGTTTAAATGGAACATTTTAAAATAAATTAAATTTATGAAATTAATGGGCTAACAATAAAAATCCATATTGTATTCTCAATATAGAAGTACCGTTTGAACGAAAATGAAGGGGGGAACCTTTAGAGTCACTGCTTTTACTCCCTCTTGGATTTACATGTCACTAAGTGCTTTTGATTCTCTTTGTGAACATGTTTTATAATTCCCCTATTATGGTCTTTAATTATCTTATTGATGTTATGAACTAAATTGGGTTTTCCCAACCCTCAAATTCACATGTTGGTGTCCTAACCCCCAGAATGACTGTATTTGAAAATAAGGCCTCCATGGAGGACATTAAGTTTAAATGAGAGTATAAGAGTGAGGCCTTAATCCCATAAAACTGGTGGTTTTTGTTTGGTTGGCTGAAGTTTTAGTAACTGTATTGAGTGGTTCAACCATCACAAGAGATCTCTTATACCCATTCACAGTTAATCTCTATTCTCATATCCAGTCCCAGGCAACCAATTATCTACTTTCGGTTTCTATAAATTATACTCATGTAACAAACCTGCGAATCTAAGATAAAAGTTGAAATTATTAAAAACAAACAAAAAAGGATTGCTGTTTCTGAAAGAGGAGGAAGATAACCAGAACTCTCTCTCTCCATGAGTTTGTACACAGAGGGAAGGCCACCCTGCTGGTATCTTGATCTTAAACATCTAGTGTCCAGAAATATGGGAAAAGAAATTTTTTTTTTTTTTTTTTTTTTTTGAGACAGAGTCTTGCTCTGTTGCCTGGCTGGAGTGTAGTGGCGCGAACTCAGCTCACTGCAACCTCCGTCTCCCGGGTTCAAGCTATTCTCCTGCTTCAGCCTCCAGAGTAGCTGGGACTACAGGCGCGTACCACCATGCATGGGATTTCACCATGTTGGTGGTTGCTTGCGCCTGTAATCCCAGCACTTTGGGAGGCAAAGGCAGGCGGTTCACGAAGTCAAGAGATCAAGGAATTCCTATTGTGTGAACTACCCAGTGGGTGGTATTTGGTTTTGGCAGCCCAAGCTGACTAGTACAACTGACTTCACTTATCTCGCTTGGAAATATTATCTCTATGAAACAGTCTGGACATTTCTCTCGGGATGCTACCCTACATTTCCTGATACTTTCAGGAATTTTTTCTTTTCCACAAACATGACATGTCTATATGTCAGATACAAGGTCAGAATTTCCCTCTAACACAAATTTTACCTTCGTTAACGTTACAACCACACATTCTCATCCTCCCAGTATATATTTTATATCCAGAGACTAGAACAATTATTTAGGTTTTCAATAAATTGTTATTTCATTCTATCCAAAGGATGAAACTAATACCATATGAAGATATGGAGAAGAAAAAATATAAATTTAAATTACTCATTATATTATTCTTTGAATCTGATTTATACTAGTCTATATAATACTATTTCTAATTAAATATAAGAAAACAGTTTTGAAGGAATGTAAAACTTTAAGAAAAAAAAATCTCTGCAGAAAAGAAGTCTCTCTGAAAAACCAAGCCAGCTAACACTTCCCAGCTGCTGGAGGATCTTGGTATTCTGGTGAGAAGTAATTGGTAAGCTGTTATTTGAAAGGGTTGTGCTGCAGACAACTAAACTGACCAAACTAAAAGCATCTAGTCTCACAATTACTATTCTGACTTGATGGTAAGTGTTCTAATATTATCCTAAAGATGGGACTAATGAGGAATCTGCATAACTTAACATCAACATAAATAGGTGGGGAATCTGAAATTACTATCAAACTTGGAATCATTGTGATCAAGTAATCTCAGAAGTAAAGGAGATTTTCTTCTTAAACCTGGTGTCATATTTTTCAAGGACATATGTTCTAACACTGTAACAATCACACACCCAGTTTCCATGTATTTCTGCCTCAGAAATGATGAAGTGCACGTCAGGACGAATTCACAGGATAAAGAAACATGTTCCTTTCTTCCTCTTGAATGCAGGAAGACTTCTAGCCCCTTTACACAGAACAGTTTACATTTTATAGCATTCCTTAATGAATGACTGGAAAATTATTTCAAAACAAGGCTTATTCACCTGTACTTTCCTACCAGCTACTATTCCCACTATTGGTTTGTGGAATCATCAATTACATTAGCTAAGATCGGCATAAGCTTGAAGTTTAAGATGTTTTTCCCACTACATACAAAGTGGAACATGAGTATCTCAAGCTCATGTTTGTTGTTCAATTTCCTGCTCATATTATTTTTGTGCTTTACTTTCTTTATCTGTTAAATAAATGCTGTTCAAATAAGAAAAAAGAAATCTCTGTGGAAATACAAAACCATAGGAAAAAAGATTGTAGAACAGTATTTTTTCATTGGAATGAATGATTCAGTAGCTTTTCTGTGATACAATTAGGTCTGATATGGACTTTTAAGGATCCACATTAGTAAATCAGCAGTCACTGAGACAGACGATGATTATCTGGGGTGGATATGTTAATATTCAAGGTGTAATCCTACTAAAAAATACCAACAGTTTGTCCCAAGAAAATTAGTGTCTGAAAAGAACATCAAAACACACAATATTTGAAGAAACATCTCATTTATTGTTACATCCTATATTAAAATGATAAGCAGTAGAAACAAAGGGTTGAAAGTTGAAGGTAATATCAGTACATGCTCAAGCAAAAAAGAATAAAAGTTAGTTTGGGATTTCAATTGTTGTCCTTCAAAGAACTTTTAAAACAACAACCTAATACTTAGTAGGGACACTTTTGCACTTCTGATGTATATTTTACTAATCTTTTTAAATAATTTTTCACTATATGGTTTATGAAGTGATTCTGTAAATACTTGTAGCTAATGCTTCTGTAGCAACCTGCATTACTAATGCATATTTACAAGATGGTCCAGTTTTAAAGTTCATCGTCTCCAATTTCGTAGTTTGAGACACAATCTAAAAGAATGGAATATTTTAAAAATATTCTTGAACTTAATAAAAATCAAATAGTATTTTAAAATTCTAAAAAAATAAACTATCAAATTATAGATTTAGAATACAGAATTTCATTTGATGAGGTAATTTTTAAAAATTACACATTAAATTCATTGAATTTTAATGCTATAAATCAGTTTTTTCTATAATACAACATTTTGTGTATAATACAAATATACACAATTATATTCTAATAAAATATGATATTGTATACATATGACAGTGGTGTCAATAACACTAGAATATCAATTTCAAGATAAATTGTAATGATAATAAAATGTTTGAATAAGTCACAGGTGCTCCTGGTCCCATTTTTCCAAAAGTCTGCTTTTACAGACAGAATAAGTATAATGGGTACAGCCTTTGACTCAGAATATTAGAGCGGGGTCACACTGTTGATCTCTTTAGCAGTTTAATCTAACCACCGTAAGCCCCAAAGATAGCACCAGGATTTTTTTTTAATGAAACTAAAATGCAATGGTTTGCTTTTTACCAAAATGATTAAGATCCCCAATACTGTTCCATAAGCCTGATAATGGACACAAGCCAGAGGGAGGGGGGTGCATAACCTACCTGAACCAGGAGATGGCGGGTTCTGGAGAGCCTGAGGCCCTGCAGGAAAATGTCATTTCTTCTCCTCTCTCTGCTGTGGCATTAAAAGATTTCTGAGGCATTGAGATTGCTGGCGGCACTGAAGGAGAGATGAATACAGAATAAATAGAGACGAAAACACCTTCACTACCATCATTTAGAGAATTTTTGCTACATTTTAAGCTTTCAAATGTCATCCTTCACATCTCCATTTATATTAATGAAACTGATTTGGTTTCACAGTAAAATAACTTTATCACTGATCTGCGTTCTTTTTTATTTTATTTTTATTATACTTTAAGTTCTAGGGTACATGTGCACAACGTACAGGTTTGTTACATATGTCCAAATGTCCATCAATGATCTGTGTTCTAATGTGCAATAATTATATCAATTCATTGTAAAGCTATTTCACTACTAAATCTGTTAAACAATAAAGTACATATTTTAGCAAACATATATACTTTTAGGAATTATGTCTCAGAAAAAGACAATACCACCCTAACTTACATCAATATGGAGATCTACTTTGAGCATAAGTGGATTTCCTATTTGGCTTCTCATTGGTCTGTGTAATGCCATAAGCAATATATCACTGCTTCAAAACAGGGCTTTCAAATTAGGTGTCAAAACATAATGTTCTTTCTGATTAACTAAACTTAATTTCTTCAAGCAGCTATAGAACATTTTATGAAGAGAAACTGCATAAGCCATACAGAGAATGGAAATAGATTTTCATGAACTGTTCAATTTTAAAATTAAGCATCTCCAATTTCTAACTAATTACATTGCAAAAACTGTATATGCTGCACATTTGGAACATGTTGAAACTGTTACTGAAATGCACTGTTTGCAATAAACAAATCACTAGCATCCACAATAGAAGCTAAATTTCAAAGTAGAGGATAAATTGTGACTCAATGCACACTTTTATAATTTTAAGCTGAATATCATAAAGTAATATTCCTAAAATTAAGTATATTAATATTTTTTACATATACTAAACAATACCAGACAGGCATTTACAAGTGTGATTATACTCAAATATCTCTATAATAGCATTCAGGTCAGCGTTGATGCCACATTACCTCCATTGATGGTAGAGATAAGAACTGGTATGTAACTTAGTAATTAAACACAATAAATCAAGTTTCTGCCCTTATGAATTTAGATACAAGAAACATAATCTGACATGTTGTCTCTAAAGTAACATAATAATTACTAGTATTACAAAAGATAGAACTTTTTCAGATATTAACTCTGAATTTTAAGTACATTGTCATTTGACTATCTGTACCCTGTTTTTCTTCCTCTGTAATTATGGGAAATAACATTTTAAACAAAATGCATGTTTTACCTATCATTATTTATACATTAGTTGCAAGAGCAGTATTACTCTTTTTATTACAGTAAAGGTTTTTCATTCCTTAGAGAATTACAATGAAATGAATTCTTTCATGGATTTGTATTCTGTATGTGTTAAGTAGTCAACGCTTCCTGGAAAGTTTCTATTTTTTCTTTAGCTGGAAGGAACATGGGGATGTATAGTGAAGTAGTTCTATTAACTCCCACTAACATGGACGTGGTGGACTACCTTCAAGTTATAATTCTCCTGACCGGTTGCTTAGGCAACAGAGATACCACTAATTTGACAGACTGATTTACCTTTTATGAATAATGGCATGCAGCAATTTCATATGTTTTCTGAGTCTTCCAAGTCTTTCCTCAACCCTCAGATATTTCTCAGAAGATAAAGATGATACCAACCATGAAATGCCTATTCATGTCACAGCTTGTTTGGTTCAGATTAACCGGCACCCACTAATTCCTTCAAATTTATTTGAGCCAAGGAAAACTAACTCCACTCAAGCACAGCCAGGAAGTATACTCATTTGTAATTCAATTCCAATTCTGTTTTAAATATAAAGCAACAAATAAATGCACACATAGATTTTTCACCTAGCAGAGGACTGCTAATCTTAAGACTCACAACCCTTTTTTTCTCTTTACTTCTTTTTACGTTTTCTTTTTTTGGATTCAGGGGACATATGGACAGGTTTGTTAACTGGGTATATTGCATGATTCTGAGGTTTGGGGTAAAGGTGGTTCTGTCATCCAGATAGTTAGCATGATACCCAATAGGTAGTTTTTCAGACCATCCCACCTCCCTCTTTCCCTTCTCTAGTAGTCCTCAGTGTCTATTGCTGCCATCTTTATGTCCATGGGCATTCAATGTGAGGATATGCAGTATTTGGTTTTCTGTTCCTGTTCCTGTGTGAATTTGCTTAGGATTACGGCCTACAGTTGCATCCATGTTGCAGCAAAGGACATGATTTCATGTTTGTTTGTTTGTTTTTTGCAGTGTAGTAGTCCATGGTGTATAGGTACTGCATTTTATTTATCCAGTCCACCGTTGATGGGTACCAAGGTTGACTCCATGTCCTTGCTATTGTGAATAGCACTGTGATAATCGTACGAGTGCATGTGTCTGTTACAATTTATTTTCCTTTTGGTATTTACCCAGTAATGGGTTTGCTGGCTCAAATGGCAGTTCTGCTTAAGTTCTTTGCAAAATCTCAAAATTACTTTCCACGATGGTTGAACTATTTACATTCTCATCAACAGTGTATAAGCATTCCTTTTTCTCTGAAGTCTTGACGGCACCTGTTATTTTTTGACTTTTTAAATAATATTCATTCTGACTGGTGTGAGATGGTATCTCATTGTGGTTTTGATTTACATTTCTCTGAGGATGAAAGCTGCACACCTATATCCATCTGAACTTTGACAAAGTTAACAAAATGTTGACTCCTTATTCGGTAAGTGGTGCTGGGATAAATGGCGAGCCATATGCAAAAGAATTCAACTGGACCACTATCTTTCATCATACACAAAGATTAACTTAAGATGGATTAAAGGGTTAAATGTAACGCCTCAAACTATAAAAAAGTATATATAAAAAAAACTTAGGACATACACTTCTCGACACTGGCTTTGGCAAAGAATTTATGGCTAAGTCCTCAAAAGCAATTGCAATAAATACAAAAATTGACGAGTGGGACCTAATTAAACTAAACAGCTTTTGCACAGCAAAACCAATTATCAACAGAATGAACAGACAGCCTACAGAATGGGAGAAAATGTTTGCAATCTATGCCTCTGATAAAGGTTGAATATCCGGAATCTATAAGGAACTTAAACAAGTCAACAAGAAAAAAATAATAATCCAATTAAAAATGGGAAAATGACATGAACAGACATTTCTCAAAAGAAAACATAAAAGCAACCAGCAAACATATGAAAAAATGCTCGTTATCACTAATCATCAGAAAAATGATTTTACATTTAGGGCTGTGTGTCCATTAGAAAGTCACAGAAGTGATCTTGGTTCCTGGCCAAGAGAATAGATAGAGCAGATTAACACCAAAGTTATTTGATAGTTCTAACATTCTCTATTTATATTCTCAGTCTGCATGAAAAGCAAATTAGTTTATTTCTTTGGGTCTTCCCATAATTTCATTAACACATCTCTTTCCATTGCATTTTATTATATGAAGTTAGAAAAGTGAAACACCTGGGAAGCCACATTTGCAAAGCTATTTTTATTACTCATGGATAGTAAGAAATTACATGTTTTCAGTTAATTTTAAGAACCTTCCTTTGATAACAAATGAAGTACCCTCATTTTTCAATTTACATCTTTGACAATTTTTCAAATACTTAATTGCTTATATGAGGTAAAGAATGACTAGTATTTTAATATTATATAGCCTCTCAATATACAATAAGACATCTCAATTATGGAGAATGCATTCATCATGATTTTGATCATGAAATTGTTACTTTCATATAGTCATATCAGGCATCAATGAAATCCATCTGTTTTCTTTTTTTAAAAATTTGTATGTTCTGCTCTTCCCTACTGCTGCAAATGCTGTAATATGATCTAACAGCTCTCAATTTTCATTAATATTGCTTCTGGTTAATTGTCATAGTCCTCCATTCTGAATTTATGAGGGTGATCAATTTAAAGTGCTATTTAATGAGAATACTTTTCTGGAACTCAAAATGCATACAAAATTTAAAAATGCAAAGTATAAAATGATGGGCATAAGGAACAATAATTTTATAATTTCGTTTGGAAAAAAAAAGTCTATCTTCCTGATTACTATAAACTAAATACGTACATACAATTCTTTTTAAACAAATGTAGCTGAGTGGTCTTCAATCTTCAGTGTCAACTGATTTGGTATATCCGTCTTGTTACAAAATCTAATCAATAGAGCATTTCTATGCATATTTGACGAATAGCAAATTTTGGGCATTTTCCACATGGTTGTTCCTAATTTGTGAATATAGTAAAGCCGTGACCTAACTGCCATAAGGTACTGAGTACTGACTTCTAAAATCAAACCTATCTGAACAACACAGTAAAGGCTTTATATAGTACCATCAGACTGTAGAAGCGTGAGGATCAAATTTGGCTCATTAAGTTGGTTTAAGAAAAATCAAAAAAAGGTTCCATTGGCATTTACGATTACATTCTTAGTGAAAGTTAATATAAGAGGAATCAGCAGTTTAATCAAATAAGTATTTCCTTCCTTAGACAGCAAGTACAAAAACAATGAAAAATTGTTAACTGATGCTTTGTTGCATTTTCATAATTACGCTTTTCTCCATTTTCTAATTATTTGCCAAAGGAACCTGATTATTATGTTTCTTTTAAATTGGCTTTTTGCGTAGATCATATGTACAAGATCAAAAATAAAAAAAAAATAAGAGGCAACTAAAATTATTGACCTTTTCATTTTCCTGGTTAGTTATTATTGTTTATTTTTTGTTCTTATGGAGTCTCACTCTGTCGGACAGGCTGGAGTGCAGTGGTATGATCTCAGCTCACTGCAACCTCTGCCTCCTGGGTTCAAGTGATTCTCCTGCCTCAGCCTCCTGAGCAGCTGGGACTACAGGCACGCGCCATCATGCCCAGCTAATTTTTGTGTTTTTAGTAGAGATGGGGTTTCACCATGTTGGCCAGGCTGGTCTCAAACTCTTGACCTCGTGATCCACCTGTGTTGGCCTCCCAAAGTGCTGGGATTACAGGCGTGAGCCACTGCACTGGCCTTGGTTAGTTATTTTTATTAATTACAGTTGTTAACTCGTATTCACAGAGGATTGATTCTAGGAACTCCCTCAGATAGTTGTTATACTATATTGTTCTTTATTTGTATGTTTTCATTTTTGTATTGTTAATTTTATTGCTATTTTAAAAAATATTTTCCATCCAAATTGGTTGAAAACACCAGTGTAAGACCACGAATATGAAGAGCTGACTGTGCTTGCATTTTTTTTTGTTTGTTTTTCTTTTTGATACAGGGTCTCCCTCTGTCACCCAAGCTGACATGCAGTGGTGTGATCATAGCCTCTCACTGCAGTCTCCAACTCTTGGGCTCAAGCAGTACTCCTGCCTCAGGAGTGTCTCACAGAGCCTGGCCAGCATATGCATTTATTTATGCAAATATTGATTAATATTTCAATATTTTTTCTTTCTTTTAAAAATACGCCTGCTTCTGTATTCTGTTTCTTTTATCAAGCTGACATTACATGTAAGAGACATATTTATGTCAATATATAAATAAGTCTTCACTCTTACTCAAACTGATCAGTATTCCAAACCCTGTGGATACACTATTGGGCAAGTATAAGTCACCTGGCCAAATATGACCAGATACATATCTATTACAGCATTTGTTTACATAATAAATTCTATATTTAATTAACCATAATTGAAATTCATAGGTAAAGTGGTAAATGAATATTTAATATGTTGATTTAAGAATATAATCAGCTCTTTTGAAATGTCCTCAGTAGACATTATACAATTTTCTATACTAACATTGGATTATTTTTATAATCAGAGAAGTATAAATGAACAAATTAAAAAACATAAAAATAAAAATGTTAATAGATTTTTTAATACAATTTACTAAAGCTAATCCATCACTAGATGTCTACGACATTTTACCACCAATCTAAAGGGCTTATTAAATAAAATCTAAGTGAAAAGTTACAGTTGAAAGGAGGTAAAACATTACTGTGACTTTATTTTTGTCAAAAGAAGTCTTTCCACAGTATGAGATAATAATTAAATAAAAGGCCATAGTTAATATGGAAGATCTCTCAAGTCAATAAATATATAAATAAATAAATTCAAGCTTGAATGTTCCTTTAATTCTTGAAAGTTAATTTCACCACTAAACATGGCAATTTTTATATTCTTTCAGCGTATATTCTACAGTTAACAATATTCTACATGAAAGGCCCTCAGAGTATTTCAAGAAACCTTGAGGTCCCAAACACCTTTCAGAAACTCTCTTGGGTCACCCCTTTTCCAACCATGTATCTGTGTGCAGATGGATTTTCTTTTGAGAAAGTCAGCTATTGGATTGTGCTAATGGAGAAAAAGTTCAATTATCTCCTTATCCAAAAGTCTTTCTCAGGTTCTAAAATATATCAGGAAAGACTGATTGCAGAAACTGATCTGAGAATTCACCTGTTTTATGTCAACCTATACATTAAAGAAAAGTTTTGGGACCACCTGGGGTACAAAATGGACTAGAATACAAGTTGGTAATTCAAGTTTAAAAAGAAGTCAAGGCCTGGTGGCTCGCACCTGTAATCCCAGCGATCTGGGAGGCTGAGGCAGGAGAATCACCTGAGCCCAGGAGATTGAGATGAGCCTGAGAAACATAATGAGAGCCTGTCGCTACAAAAAAATAGAAAAAATTAGCAGGATAGGATGGTGTGTGCCTGTACTCCCAGCTATTTAAGAGGCTGAGATGGGAGGATAGCTTGAGCCTGGGAAGTCGAGGTTGTAGTGACCTGTGATTGTGTCACTGCCTGGTCAACAGAGCAAGACTCTATCTCAAAAAAAATAATTAATTAATTTTAAGAATCATATAAAACTTATAAGAAAAATAATGTATAATAAAAGTCATGATGTATATTTAAAAGTAATCTAAAGGTGTAAGATTTCAGAACGTATTTTTAGAGTTGGTAGTACTCATTTTTGCAAAATTCTGCAGAAAATAATCTGTTGGAAAGTATAAGTAAGTGTGAAGATTTCAGGACTCATCAAGGAAAAACTTATGATGATAGGAGGCATTAACACATAATGAGTTTGACTTAGGTGCTACTCATACAAGTTGCTTGACATTGGAAGTTCCTGATAGCAGGAGGCTGTTTAAAGACACCATGTCCAGTCACCACTCAGAGAGTGGGAGAAGGGGAAGGAAACTCCTGGAAGAGTGAAGAATCTGAGAGGGGGATAATGTGTCCACGTGATGTCACTCAGCAGTACAGCAGCGTCTCTCAGACTCTCTCAGAAGGTAGAAGGGCAGCTGTGGGCTTGGTGTCTTGTATTGCCCTTGGAGTTTGTGTATGGCTAGCAGAAGTTAGGTGCAGTTTTGCAGTTTCCAAAGCAGGCTGATTGTAAATGTTTAAAATAGGCTTATGCAGGGTAATTTAAAACAGTCGGATGTGTAAATTTTTGAATTTGGCACCGGGGGGTTTATGTGCTAATGGTCCAAGGACCAATATACAGGGGCTATATTTGTTTTATTTATATATCAAGAATAAATATGGCCGGGCGCGGTGGCTAACGCCTGTAATCCCAGCACTTTGGGAGGCTGAGGCAGGCAGATCGCCTGAGGTCAGGAGTTTGAGACCAGCCTGGCCAAGAAGGTGAAACCCTGTCTCTACTAAAAGTACAAAAATTAGCTGAGCGTGGTGGTAGGCACCTGTAATGCCAGCAACTTGGGAGGCTGAGGCAGGAGAATCACTTGAACCTGGGAGGCAGAGGTTGTAGGGTTGTAGTGAGCCGAGATCACACCATTGCACTCCAACATGGGCAACAGAGTGAGACTCTGTCTCAAAAAAAAAAAAAAAAAAAAGAATAAAAGATAAAATTGGAAGATGATGGAGATGTTGGAGAAAGGGTCATCTTGGTTTTTAAAACTGGTCATTTTACTGTAACATCTTAATAATACAAAAAATAAATATATGATCTGGTGTTTCAATTTTGGCAAGTTATTATTGCATGTTTTTAAAGTAAGTTAATGGGTGCAGCACACCAACATGGCACATGTAAACATATGTAACAAACCTACACGTTGTGCACATGTACCCTAGAACTTAAAGTATAATAATAAAAAAGTAAATAAAATAACAAATTTTGTAAGAACAGCATTATTTCCACCTTTGATAAACTGCCAGAAAGAAATAATTGGAACTACTTTCATTTTTCTCCCCTATAAATCTTTTACTTTTTATCCCATTAACTAAGAAAAGTATGGCTTTAAATACACAGCTTTCAAAAGGCAGTAAGAATCCTAAAGTGTGGGCTAAATGTTCAAAGTCACACTGAAGTGATCAATTAAATATCAATAAAAAAGTAAGCATCTGAAAATCACTTTGTTAATATATATATTAATTCCTTATTGTTTAAATAAGGCTCTGATCATATATATGTCAACAAGTTTAAAAGTAATCACAGAATTCCAGTTCTGGATTAATTCGAGACATCTTGCAGTGTCCTATCTCCCCACTTAATATGACCAATATATTTGGATAGAATATGTATGTCATCTATTTGAAGACTCTTAAAAGTAAATCGCAGCAGACATATTGCTATTAAGAAATATAACAGAATTTAAAATATCACCAGACAAACTGTGAGATAACAATTTTCTTTTCAGAATTCCATGGCCTGGATTGAAGGCATCACAAAACCCAGAAGTTGTCATCAACACTGCTCTAGAAATGTCCAAGAAAGAGAAGCCTTCCAGTTCAGACTCAGGAAGCAGGAAGGAAATCTGGCAGTGACAATGTCAACAGAGGAAAGCTGCAAACACCCAATTCTCTGAGAGATGACATTCTTCTTCAATCAGATAAACTGTAGTCCTAAGAGCAAAATCTCCCATTGCTTTTATCCTCCTCATTAATCTCATCAGTTGAACCAGAATAAGGCCATAGTTGGGGCAGAGAGAGATAAATAAGATCGCAGCTTTCTGGCCAGGGGACTAAAAAGTGGTGACCTAAGAAATAGGAAAGTATGTCAGAGATCATAGAGTAGGAAGGTCTTAGGAAGGCATCCACAGCAAGTTCTTTAGGAAATCTTGAGCTCTGTCCTGACCTGTGCTTATTGAATCGGATTCTAAACATTGCTAAGATTTTGTGAATTTAACTAAAAGGTAAACCTCCATATGGGTCCTGGAATGGCCATTGGTACACATGCAGGACAGATCTGACAGTCACTGAAAGGTAATGAAAATGGCGTCTGAATATAAAACCAAGAAAGATGGTCAGAATTTGTTGTCTGATCTAAACAAACTGATTGCCTACAAAAACAACAAAAAAAGTGAGCATTTTCCGTAATACTGAAATAAGATCCAGAGTCTGATTATGTAATATTCAAAGTCCTAAAGATAATCTATTGTTTTACCTGTTAAGAACTAGGAAAATCATGTCATTGGAAATGCCAATGGCATGCTGACACATGTTGGATTATCTAAAAGCTATTTTAAAGCAACTGTTTAAAACATGTTCTAAATAATTAGGTGAAATAAATGGAAATATAGAAAGTCTCTCCAAAGACATACGATATATTTTTAAAACCCCAAATAAATATTAGCATTCTACTTATGTTAACAACAACAACAACAACAAAATTCATGGATGTGCTGAATTGATTGACAGAGAGAGTTATCAAACATAAAGAATTACAAATGGAAGTTATCCAATTTTGAAAACAAAAGGAAACATATTAAAGGAAAAAGTGAATAGACTTCAGGAACTTCTTAGACACTACCAAAATGTCATGAAATCCAAGAAGGAAAAGAGAAAGACGACCAGGACAAAATAATGTAGGTATATACGTGTACATATGTGTATGTATCAATGCATCTGACATCTGAAAACTTCTCAAATAGGCCAACAGCATCGAACCCAAGAAAAACCCAAAACAGTTCATGTTGAGGCACATCATAATCAAACTTCTAAAAACCAAAAATATACAAACACCAAAATATGCAATAGTTATAGGAGAAGAATGATTCACATGACTGAATTTTTTGACCAGAAATCATTAAGGCCAAAAGGAAATGAAACAAAATTTATAAAGTTCTGAAAGAACACACCTGTCAAAGCAAGGTCTATGTTCAGCAAAATCCCCTTCAGACATGAAGGTAAAGGAAAACTATTACAATTTCTACCAGCAGACCTGATACAAAAGAATTGCTCAAGGCGCCTTCTAAAAGAGAAAAGAAATTAAATCAAAGGAAACATCAAACTCCAGAAATAAAACGTGAGTTACAAACGGTAAATATCTGAGAAATATGTCACACTATTCACTTTTTAAGTTATTTAAAGTAATTTAATGGTTGAAAGAATAAAACAAATTCTCTGATGGAATTTTCAATGAATGGAGGTATAATACACAGGAAAAGTATGATATAAAGAGAAGATGTAGGGACCTATATGATGCTATACTTTCTACATTCAAATTGAAATGGTAAACATTGATTCTAACTTAAATAGGGACATTGAATTACAACGGCAACACCCCCTCCCCACAAATTGTGAAAACAGATATAGCCAGAAACATTATAGATACAGTAAAATACAATTCTAAATAATGTTCAATAATCAAGAATTTAGAGCAGGGAAAATAGAAGAATGAAAGACAAAAAGAACAGACTAAAATAACATTTTAAATGAATGATGTGTAAATCTGAATGAAGTGTAAATGGCTTAATTTCATGAATAAAAACACAGAAACTGGCATAATGAATAAAATATAACCTAACTATATGCTGTCTATAAGAAATCACTTGAAATGTAATGATAAAACTAGAATAAAATAAAAACAATAGAAAAAATATGCCATTCAAATGCTAATCAAAAGAAAGCTGCAGTGGCTATGTCAATATCAGAAAATGTAGGTTTCAGAACAAATGAAATTAAAAGATGTAAAATAGAATATTACATAATGATAAAAAGGCCAATTAAGCAGGAAAATATGACAATCCTACATGTGCATTCAACTTGAAAAAGTGCTTCAAAATATATAAAGCAAAATCTGACAGACAAAAAAAATTGGAACAAATTCACAATTACTCTTTGGGATAGCCTAATAAACTAGATAAACAAGAGCAAAATAAGCAAAAATTAAGCAGGAGGAAGAAAACAATATAAAATAAAAGGATAATAATGAAATTGAAAACAGAACAAAATAGAGAAAATTTTTTTAAATGAAGTTTATTTGGAATAAGAATACAATGATTAAACCTCCAGCAAGACTCAGGATGAAAAAAGGAGAGATGACACATATTGCCAATATCAGGATTGAAAGAAGAGATATCAGCACAGATTGTACAGCTAATAAAAATATTTAAAAAAATCCAGATAACATTATGCACACAAACTTATCAATGTTGAAAATACGAACCACATCCTTGAAAATCAGAAACCACAAAGTTACTCAAAATAAAATATATAACAAAAACAATCCTATAATTATTAAAGAAATATAAAAAATACATTTATTTAAAGATAAATCAAAAGTCTCCTGAAAGGAAATGTTCAGACTCAGTTTATCTGTTGAATTTAAAAAATATTTAAAGAAGAAACAATAGCATTTCTGTAAAATCTCTTTCAGAAAATATAAGAGGAGGGAATGTTTTTCAACCCATTTTTATGAACACAGCATTATGCTGATAATTTAACATGTCATATATGGTACAAGAAAATAAACCTACATACCAATATTTCATGGAAAATAGGTGCTTTTATTAAAAAATTAGAAAAAAAATCTAGCTGTAAATAGGAAATATATCAACATTAAGTTTTTTTTTCTTTTTCCTGTGAATATAAGGCTGACACAATACTGTTATCAGCAAACAGTTTCTTTAAAGTGTTAGGTTGGATAGATTAATTGAGTATTAATATAATTTAATTATATGACATTAATGAATAGAGCTTCAGAAACCTCTGAACCTAATATTATTAAATAATTGTTCTTTAAACTGTTAGGTGGATAAATTAATTGAAGATAATTAAATTATATTAAGTATATTGAGTATTATTAAATTATATTAACTATATTAAGCATATTAATCAATACTCAATTAATTTATCCAACTTAACAGTTTAAAGAAAAAATCATGTAATAACATGAGTTGATGCTAAAACAAAAAAACAACAAAATTCCTCATCCACTCATGATAAAATCTCTGAGCAAACTATGAATAAAGGAAGACTTCCTTATCATGATGAAAAACACCTGCCAAAAAATTTAGACCTAACATTGATATATAGGTAAAGAAGTGAATACTTTATCTGTAAGACTGGGAGCAAGTAAGGAAATTCGCTGTCAGCTCTCCTATTAAACCTCATGCTGAAAGAACAACACAGCACTCAAGTAAAAATAGATTTAAGACGTACAGTCAGAAAAGAAAGAAATCTTTTCCAATTTGCAGAAATTAGAAATAGATTGTTATATACAATATAAACTCAAGGAACCTTCAAAAATATTGCTAGAACTAATTGTTGAGTGTAACACAGTCAAAGGATTAAAGAAAAACACCCCAAATCAAATCTCATATGCATATTAGCAATAAACATTTGGAAACCAAAATTTTTTTTAAAAAAATGTACAACAGCTCCAAAACTATCACACTTAGGTACCAATCAAGCAAAATTTATGTATGATATCTGAATGTTGAAAACTACAAGGATCTGATAACGGAAACAAAAGAAGACTTTAGTAAATAAGAAGTCATACCATGGGCCGGGCGCAGTGGATCACGCCTGTAATCCCAGAACTTTGGGAGGCTGAGGTGGGTGGATCACGAGGTCAGGAGATCGAGACCCTCCTGGCTAACACGGTGAAACCCCGTCTCCACTAAAAATACAAAAAAATTAGCTGGGCGTGGTGGCGGGTGCCTGTAGTCCCAGCGACTCAGGAGGCTGAGGAAGGAGAATGGCGTGAACCCAGCAGGCAGAGCTTGCAGTGAGCGGAGATTGCATCATTGCACTCCAGCCTGGGCCACAGAGTGAGACTCCGTCTCAAAAAAAAAAAAAAAAAAAAAAATGCCCCATATTTGTAACCATCTTTTGCATAAAGTCATTTTTGTTATTCGTTCATTCATTTAACAAAAGCATATTGATGTCCCAAACACTAGGCCAACAACAACAACAAAAATATATACCATGTTAATATATTTGTAGACTCAAGATAGAAAAAAAGTAAAATTCTTTTAAAACTAATATAAAGCTCCTTTACAATTGTGATTAAAATCCCAGCTTGATATGTTTGTGTAGACAAATTGTTGTGAAACTTTCAATGGAAGGCAAATAAATTATAATTTCTAGAACCTTTTGTAAAAGAACAGTTGGATAAATGATACTACCTGATTTTAAGTGCATTGCCAGTGCACTGTGATATTTTGAAAGAAATATTTCCTGAGAAGTAGGTCTCAACTGTGGGACTTACTATAAAGCTGTTCTAAAGCTGTGCTAATATGGCACTCTGGAAAAGATAAAATTATAATGGCAGGGAAAGAAGTGGTGGTTGTCAGAGTTTAGAGGTTGAAAGAGGAAGTGACTATAAAGGGATTAGAGAGTGATTTGGGGTGAAAGAACAATTCTGTATACTGACTGTAGTAGAGCCAAGATGAATCTATGTATACGTTAAAATTCATAGAATTCTACAATTAAAAAAGTGAATTTTACTGTATGTTAACTTGAAAACAAACATGCAAATATTAAAAATCATATTGATAGTTAAAAAATTGTCATTGTGTTTTGTAACAGTTACAATCAGATTCAATAAGCTGATACTCTGAAACAGCCCATCCTCCTGGAGAAGTCAGTTCCTGATCTAAAGCAGAAAAACATTTTTAATTCTGCCTATTTGAGGGAATCATGACTCTTCTTCAAGGAATGCCTGTTTCTACTTCAGTTCATCAGACTCTTCTCTTTCTTTAAATCATTGCTCTGATCTACCCAAAGTATTCTGAAGATTCCTTCACTTCCTACTGTTTGTCTTTGTTATGAACTTCAGATTGCACTGGTTGTATATTCTTCATGTTCCTGAGACACCTAAAATGTGGGCCATGTTTCAGTTCATAGTGCTACATATTTTGAAAAAACCATTGTGATACCCTGCTGTTAAAAATTCACTGGCAAACCTGAGGGAGAATTAAAGTAATTAATTAATAAAAATAATTTATTATAGAACAAGATGTATGGATAAAGTAGGAAGAAAGTGAAATTCAGACATAGCTATCTGAAATTGCTTTGAGTTTAGTACAGAATGAGAGATTAAAATATTTAGAAGTCAGGTCTTCCTATTACTAGGATACATTTTTCAAAACCTTAGAACACTGAAATTTTGTTTGCTGTACTGAAACATATATCTAAAAATATCAGTTTCCAACCAAGATGCAGAAACGTATACCCAATTTATCTTAGCACCTGAAACAGCTAAAAATGTCAGAAACATTGTATAAAACAACTGTTTTTCAAGACTTTGTGAATCAGTCAATGAAATCATTCAATAGAAATTCCTAAAATATGGGGGGAAATGAGGTGAGTCCTGCTGTGTCTCAGCTTACTGTCTAGAGAGAGTTTCTAGATTGCAGCACAGGAATGAGGATCTCAGTTGGAGTTTAGAGGTCTCTCTGAGTGCGGAGGTAGTGCTAATAGTACAGAGAAGTGGATATTGGCTATAGTTCACAGGCCACAGTGCCAGACAGGACTTAATGGCAAAGTGAGGATTCCCTGAGATTTGCAGTGATTAACCCTGGAGCCTCCAGATGAGTACTGATGAGTGCACCCATGAGAGGAAAGTAACTGAGGCCAGGGAAAGAACTGTGCAAAAGAATTGGAAGGAACAACTTCCAAGCTCAAACAGAGCAAACAAAAGTTCATACTCTCATGAGCCAGAATAAAATCAACTCCTAATGCATGACAGATAAAGAATTCAGAAACATTCTTATCTCATGGGTGGGGCAAAGAAAGTCCAGAGCTATTCTGATCAAACTTAACAAAGCTTAAAGGCACAGACTGAAGGATTAAACTGTTTCCAAGTAGTTCATCTGTATTTCTAGAAAAAAAAGGTCTAAAATATTGAAAAGAACAACAAAACAAAAAAACAGCAGATAAAGAGGTAACATTTATAACATCTAGCATCCATGCTAAAATTATTATGAAAAGAAGCAGGAAATATAAGATATAATGAGGATAAAATATAATTGGCCAAAAACTAACCCAGGAATAACAGATGATAGTACACAATAACATTAAATCAGTTATTATGATGGCATTCCATGCAACCAAAAATCTAGATGAAAGACTGATCATGTTGAAGACTTCACAGAAATTTAACTTATTTTTATTTTCATTTTCAGTTCTGGGGTAGGTATTTTAAAAATCATGTGTCTACATATTAAAAGCTAAAGTGCCTGAGATGAAGCCTTCAGCAGAATGAACAGTGGATTAAACATTGCCAAAGAAAAGATTAGTAAACTAGAACATGTAATAAGAGAGAATATCCAAAAATTAATACAAAAAGGAAAAAAAGGAAAGAAAATGATCAAAAATGAAAGATAAGATTATTTTCTGAAAATTATCCGGAAAATGAAAGATAAGATCAAGATCAGTTGGAACATTCAAGTAGCCTATATATGTGAAATTGGAGTCCCAAAGGAATGTGGGACAGAGAACAATATGTGAACATCTAATGACTAAAACTTTTCTAAATTTGTTAAAAATGATCAATCAAGGTCATCACCAAAACCTGGGTACAAGTATGATGAAGAAAGCTTCACCAAGGTATAATGTATCCACACTGCTTAAGAAAAGCGATAAAGCAAAAATCTCTAAGAATCTGGGGGTGACTGGTTGGATGGGATACTTTATGTACAGAGGAACAAAATGTCAGAGGAGTTTGTATCTAAAAAAACTCAGGCAAACATAATGATTCATAATGTTTATAGTACTGAAAAAATAAAATCTGTTCATTTAGAATTCTATATCCAGCAAAAATGTATTTTATATATAAAAGTAAAAAAAGGTTTTCTCAGACATACAGTAGGTGAACTGAATCATTAACAACAGAAGTGCACTACAAGAAATGCTAAAGGAAGTCATTCAAGCATCTGGGAACTTATACCAGATAGAAATCTGGATTTACACAAAGTATTGAAAAGCCTTGTGAATAGTAACTATGTAGATAAATATAAAATACTTTTTTCTAATAACTTTAACATTAATTTTAATGTAATAATTTATGAATATGAGCTAATTGGAAGTTTGAATCTATACATAGTGTGTGTACGTGTGTGTGTGTGTGTATGTGTGTATGCATAGCACAGTTGTTGGGGGAAGAATAATGTCTCTTCCCAAAGATGTCAATGCCCTAACACCTGGCCATCTATGAACACATTAAATATCATGATTTAAAAAGACTTTGCAGGTGTTTTTTAAAGTTACAGACATTAAGTGAGGAAATTATCATGAATTATCTAGGCGAGACCAATCACATGATCCCCTTTTCATCTGATATTAAAAGCAGAGATTTCTCTTCAGCTGTAAGAAGAAGAGGAAGGCAGAAGAGATGCAGCAGAAGAGAGATGTGTCAGAAATATTCCAAGTATGGGTTGGATTTAACATACTGCTGCTACAGAGCTTTAGAGATTCCCATTCAAGGTTCAGAAGGGAATTGCTCAAAGGTAAAGGCACCCTCCTGCAGGTGACTTCAAGCAAGCCAACAGGACCTCAGTCCAACAGAAGAAAGAGGCTGGATTCTGCCAAAAACCTGAATGACATTAGGAAGGATTCTGCCTCAGAGCCTCCAGAAAAGATCATAGTCTTGCTGACCCCTGGATCGTGATCTTATAATATACTGAGCAGATCCCAGCAGAGCCTATGTGGACTTCTGACCTAATTATTAATTTCTGCTGTTTTGAGCCACAAAATTTGTTGTAATTTGTTGGAGCAGAAATAGAAAACTATTATGAGTTTTATGATTAATGTAAAAATATCTGATAAACTTAGCACAAAGGCTGGAGGGGGTATTTTTTACATTATATGTGAAGTAGTGCAACAGCATTTGAAAAAAGACTGAAAACCACGTACTAAAATAAGAACGAGTTATAGTTAACAAGACAAAATAGGAAATTAATTGATTCATTAAAATATTCAAAAATGAAGAAACAGAAGAAAAATAAAACTATGAACAGATATCAGACAATACATAGCAAGATGTAATAGGCTTAAACCCAATTACATCAGTAATATATTCAATGTGTGGCACTCTAATTCAAAGGTAGAGACTGTCAGAATGGATTAAAAAACCACAACTGTACACATCCTACAAAAACCCACTTTAAGTATAGGTAAATGCTTATTTGCAACCACATGGATAGAACTGCAGATCATTACGTTAAGTGAAATAAGCCAGGCACAGAAGAGCAAACATTGCATACTCTCACTTATTTGTAGGATCTAAACATCAAAGCAATTGAATTCAGGGAACAGAGAGTACAAGGATAATTAACAGGGGCTGGGAATTGTAGTAGGGGGTTGGGGGAGGAGGTGGGGATGGTAAATGGGTACAAAAATAGAAAGAATCAATAAGACTTACTATTTGATACCATAACAGGGTGACTATAGTCAATAACAATGCAATTGCACATTTTAAAATCTCTTAGAGTGTAACTGGATTGTTTGTAACTCAAAGGAAAAACACTTGAGGAGATAGATACCCCATTCTCATGTGAATGTGCTTCTTTCACATTGCATCCTTGTATCAGAAAATCTCATGTACCCCATAAATATATATGCCTACTATGTTCCCTCAAAATTAAAATATGTTAAAATTAAAAGAAAGGAAAAAAGATACACCATGTAATCCTTAATGCAAAAAATGCTGGGGTAGCTATATTGCTAACACTCAGGTATTGGAGCAAATATTATCCGGAATAAACAGAATCAATTCCTAATGAGAAAGACGTCAATTCATCAGGAGGACATCATGATTCTAAACTTTTATCTATATAATAAGAGAGCTTAAAATACATGGAGAATAAACTGACAGAACTGTGAAAAGAAATAGACAAATTCTTAATTTTATTAGAGTTTAAACAGCTATTTCTCAATAACTAATAGAGCAAGTAGGTTAAAAAGATACAGAAGACTTGATTAACATTACCAATTGACTGTAACCTAACTGATAATTACCAAAACATTAACCAACATCAACAAAATACACATTCTTTTTAAGTGCATCAGGAATATACTTGATCTAAATCATAGTATGTTCTCTGACCTCATTAGAATCAAATTAGAAATTCATGACAGAACTATCTCTGGAAAATCCACATATAATTGGAAGCTAAGTGCATACTTCTAAATGTTTCATGGGATAAATAATAAGTCAAAAGGGAAATTACAAAACATTTTAAAATGAATGGCAATGTATATGCAATATATCAAAACTTGTGAAATAAAGTTGAAGTAGACATATAGGGAATTATTCAGCACTAAATACATGCATTAGAAGACAAGAAAGATTTCAAATCAGTATTATCAGGTTTAACCTTGAGAAAACAGAAAAAAAGATCAATATACCTCCAAATAAGCCAGAAAGATAAAATAATAAAGATCAGATGGCACGCTGATAAAATAGGAAAAGGAAAAACAAATATAAAATCAAGAAAAACCAAAAGCTGTTTCTTTGAGAGATCAATATAACTAATAAAACTCTATCCAGTCTGATCAGAAAGGAGGCAGACAGAGAAAAATTCATTATTGATAAAAAAAACTCAGTAATTTAGGAAAAGGTCAGTTTCTCAACCTGATTTTAAAAATCCCTGAAAAGCCTATATCTAAAAACATTTGATATTAAAAGAATGAATGCCCTGTCTCCCAAAGTTTATGGACAAGGCCAAGTGTGTTCAATTGTATCATTTCTATTCACCAGGAGAGTCTGTCTACCCAGTATAATAAGCGAAAGTGGAAAAACATACAGATTGGAAAGGAATAAGTAAAAGTGTCTTTATTCATAGTGATATTATTATTTTTATTGTTATTATTATTATTATTTGAGACAAAGTCTTGCTCTATCGCCCAGGCTGGAGTGCATCGGTATAATCTTGGCTCACCGCAACCTCCACCTCCCGTGTTCAAGCAATTCTCATGCCTCAGCCTCCCGAGTATCTGGGATTACAGGTGCCCACCACCAAGCTCAGCTAATTTTTGTATTTTTAATAGAGACGGGATTACACCATGTTGACCAGGCTGGTCTTGAACTCCTGACCTCAGGTGATCCACCTGCCTTGGCCTTCCAAAGTGCTGGGATTACAGGCGTGAGCCACTGTGCCTGACCCACAGTGATATTATCATTTATGTAGAGAATTCTACGGAACCATAAGCTAATTATGAACTACTATAATAAATGAATTTAGTACATTTCAGAATATATTATCTATCTTTATATATGATGCTACAATTAACAATTAAAATGTGGTTTATAATAGCATCAAAATATATGGAATAATTAGAGATAAATCTGCCAAAAGATGAGTTAGGACTGTATAAAAAACACTTAAGAACACTGCTGAGAGAAATTAAAGAGACCTGAATATACAGAGATTTTCTGTTTCTGGAACAGAAGGATCAATAATGTCAAGAAGACAATTATTCTCAAAGTGATCTATAGCTTCAACACAATTCTAATCAAAGTTATGGTAGTGGATGTGTATGTGTGTGTTAGTGCATATGTATATGTAAAAATTGAAAGCTTGATTCTAAAATTAATATGGAAATGAACAGAACCTAGAGTATTTTATTCTATATTAAAACTACTTTGAAAAGATGAACAAAGTTGGAGGACTTATAATACATTATTCTAACTTATCATAACGGCTTTTGTTGGTGTAAAGGGACAAATAAATAGATCAATGGAACAGAATAGATTCCCTAAAACACATATATTAAAATATATTTTAAATAATGAAAAGGCAATTCTGTTGCTAAAGTACGGTGTTTTTAGCCAATGATGAAAAATCGGACATTCACATGCCAAAAAAAAAATACAACAAACCAAACAAAACCTTTCGCCAATTTGTCACAATATCGTAAGAAATTAAGAAAAAATTATCATAAATCTAAACTTAAAAACAACAACTACAAAACTTCTAGAAAGAAGAATTGGGGAAAATCTTAGTATTAACATATTTGTTTTACACAATACATTCGTAGATTTGAAACAATAAGCATGATTCATATGAAAAAAGAAAAATTAAACCTCATCAACATCTTTCACCCACTGAAAGGCAGTGGTTAAAAAATAGAAAAACAAGCCACAGATTGGATAAAAATATTTCTAAATCACATATTTGGTAAGTGGATTACATTCCAAATACATAAAGAATTCAGTAAACTCAATAATAAGAAAACAGCCCAGTTAAAACTACGTTAAATATTTGAAAAGACATTTTACCAAAAATGATCAATGCTGAGTTGTATATGAGAAGATGTTTAACATCCTGAGGCATTAGGGAAATGCAAATTAAATCCACAACATGAAACCACTAAACATGTATTAGGATGTCTAAACATAAAGTCCTGAGTATGTCAAGTTTTGGTGAGGATGTGGAGCAAGTGAAATACCCGAAATACCCGTACACTGCTTTGGGGAAGGTAAAATAGTACAATCACTTTGGAAAACTTTTAGGAAGTGTTTTTTAAAAGTGATAAACATACACTTGGCATGTGATCCAGCCATTACCTCTCACAGGTATTTAACCAAGAGATATAAAAACATGCCCATACCAAGATAATATATAAATATGTATATATTTGTAAGCCAAAAATCTGAAACTTCCCAAAAGCCATTTTGGTGAATGGGTAAGAAAATTGTGAAATCTTCTTAAAATTGAATACTAATAGCAATAAAAAGAGATGACATATTATGGCATGGGATAACATAAATGAATCTCAAAATAATTTTTGAGTGAAAAAAGGGTAAGAATCCACTTAAAAGAAAATACATATTGCACGGTTATATGACATTTTTAGAAATTATTATGGATAATAGATACATTCACTATAGTCACTATCTTTTTTAGCATTTCATAAAGTTTACTATGTTTTCATTTCCACTTCTGACTTCTTTTTAAAGCTTTATATTCTTTTTTTTTTCAACTTTAGATACAGGGGTACATGTGCAGGTTTGTCACATGGGCACATTACACCCAAGCAGTTTGCATAGTACCCAAAAGGTCGTTCTTCAGCCCACGCCTCCCTTTCTCCCTCCCTGCTCTAGTATTCTGCAGTGTCTATGGTTCCCATGCGGAGGTTCATGTGTGTTCAAGGATTAGCCCTTACTTGCAAGTGAAAATATGTGGTATTGGTTTTCAGTTCTTGCACTAGATCACTTACGATTATGGTCTCCAGCTTCATCCATGTCACTGCAAAGGACATGACTTCATTCTTTTTATGGCTGCATAGTATTTCATGTTGCATATGTAATACATTTTATTTATCCAATCCAATATTGATGGGAATCTAGGTTGATTCCATGTGTGTACTATTGTGAATAGTGCAGTGATGAACATACACGTCTCTATGCCTTTTTGGTATAATGATCTATATTCCTTTGGGTATATACCCAGTAAAGAGATTGCTGGGTTGAATAGTATATCTGTTTTAAGTTTCTTAAGAAGTCTCCAAACTGCTTTCCACAGTGGCTGAACTGACTTACATTTCCAACAATAGTTATATACATTCCCTTTTCTCTGCAGCCTTCAACATCTGTTGCTTTTTTGACTTTTTAATAATAGCCTTCTGAGTGGTGTGAGACAGTATCTCATTGTGGTTTTGATTTGCATCTATCTGATGATTAGTGATGATAAGCATAACCAAAACAATGTGGTACTGGTACAGAAAAAACAGACACATAGTTCAATGGAACAGAATAGAAAAATCATACACTTAGAATCATTTCAGCTTCAACAAGGCCAAAAAAACAAGCACTGGGGAAAGAACTCCCTATTCATTAAATAGTGCTGGGATAACTGGCTGGTCATACGCAGAAGATTGAAACTGGACCCTTACCTTTCATCAGATACAAAAATTAACTCAAGATGGTTTAAAGATTCAAATAAAAGACCCCAAACTTAATCCAGTCTATCATTGTTGGACATTTGGGTTGGTTCCAAGTCTTTGCTATTGTGAATAATGCCGCAATAAACATACGTGTGCATGTGTCTTTATAGCAGCATGATTTATAGTCCTTTGGGTATATACCCACTAATGGGATGGCTGGGTCAAATGGTATTTCTAGTTCTAGATCCCTGAGGAATCGCCACACTGACTTCCACAATGGTTGAACTAGTTTACAGTCCCACCAACAGTGTAAAAGTGTTCCTATTTCTCCACATCCTCTCCAGCACCTGTTGTTTCCTGACTTTTTAATGATTGCCATTCTAACTGGTGTGAGATGATATCTCATAGTGGTTTTGATTTGCATTTCTCTGATGGCCAGTGATGATGAGCATTTTTTCATGTATTTTTTGGCTGCATAAATGTCTTCTTTTGAGAAGTGTCTGTTCATGTCCTTCGCCCACTTTTTGATGGGGTTGTTTGTTTTTTTCTTGTAAATTTGTTACACCATGGAATACTATGCAGCCATAAAAAATGATGAGTTCATGTCCTTTGTAGGGACATGGATGAAATTGGAAACCATCATTCTCAGTAAACTATCGCAAGAACAAAAAACCAAACACCGCATATTCTCACTCATAGGTGGGAATTGAACAATGAGATCACATGGACACAGGAAGGGGAATATCACACTCTGGGGACTGTGGTGGGGTGGGGGGAGGGGGGAGGGATAGCATTGGGAGATATAC
Organism: Homo sapiens; assembly: GCF_000001405.40. NCBI lineage: Eukaryota > Metazoa > Chordata > Mammalia > Primates > Hominidae > Homo > Homo sapiens. The sequence continues at coordinate 21,301,506 of NC_000021.9, read as the reverse complement.
CTAATGCTAGATGACGAGTTAGTGGGTGCAGCGCACCAGCATGGCACATGTATACATATGTAACTAACCTGCACAATGTGCACATGTACCCTAAAACTTAAAGTATAATTAAAAAAAAAAAATAGAAAAAAAAAAAGACCCCAAACTATAAAAATCCTAAAAGAAAACCTAAGAAATACCCTTCTAGACATCCAATTTCGCAAATAATTTTTGGCTGAGTCCCCAGAAACAACTGCAACAAAATAAAAACTGACAAGTTGGACCCAAATAAACTAAAGAGCTCTTGCACAGCAAAAGAAGCAATCAATAGAATAAACAGACAATTTACAGAATGGGAGGAAATATTCACAAAGTATGCCTCCAACAAAGATCTAATATCTAGAGCCTCTAAGGGACTTAAACAGATCATCAAGCAAAAAACAAACAATCCCATTTAAAGAAATGGGCAAAGGACACGAACAAATACTTCTCAAAAGAAGATATATTCACTATCCGTGGTGATTATTTTTCCGACACACAAACGCATATCTATATATACACATACATTAATAAATATATGTTGAAATTTTAAATCTATGCAGATTATTGTACATGACAAACTTAAAATACATGCAAGATATCTGGAAGTGCATTACTAGATTGATAGTTTGAGGAGGAAATGTTCTCAAGATAATAGTAAAATAACTTGGATTATATAATCTAAAGGGATAGAGAAAAAAACTAAGTAATAATTATGAAATAAAATATCTTTGTGATTGAGATAATCACATATTTGCACAAAATAATTAAAAATTAAAGAAATCTTTCCAGAAGTTATAGACCGCCTCCTGTATGCAAATCTCTACAGTATACCTTAAGGTTATAAAATATCACCTTTTTCCTTGAAGGATTAATGGTGTTATCTGTGAGATAATGTCACACATAAATGGATAATTTCAAGTCAGTGTGAAAGGTACATTGTAAAGAGGCTGTGGAATGGAGTTGGTTTCTGGATCAGCTGGAAAAGTTCTATCAATATCTTCAAAGATACGTGGATGACTTTTGGCCAAGGTAAGGACATTGGAATTTATGATGGACCAGAAAGTTTCCTGGCAACCTCCAAAGTCATTTTCTGCACTGATAGTTTGGACTCAACCTAAACAATTTGTGAAGCTTGGCTAAATTACTTAAAGAACTCTACCTGAGAGTCTCTTTGAGGTGCCTCATTTGGATCTTCGTGGTTCAAGGTGAACATACACATCATCTTGTTTGCAAATAGGGCCCCTGGAAATCTTGTGCAGGGGATTGTCTCTCACAGGTCTGACACTTTGCATTCTTTTTCTGGCTGCACCATATCCTTTTTTTTAAGAATAGGGCATTTACATGACTATACAGTCAGCCCTCTGTATCCCCAGGTTCTGCATCTGAGGACTCAACGAAGCAGGGATCAAAAATATTTTTAAAAATCATTTAAAATACCAATACAGCAATAAAAATAGAACAATTTTTTTAAAATACAGTGTAACACTATTTACACAGCATCTACAATGTATTAAGTATTATAACTAATCTAGAGCTGATTTAAAGTATATGGGAAGAATGTGTGTAGGCTATATGCAAATACTATGCCTTTTTACATAAAGGGACTTGAGCATTCATGGATTTGGTATCCCATGGATGTTGGTCCTACAACCAACTTCCCATAGATACCAAGGAACAACTGTACTTTGTGAAGCCTGCTGAGTCCTTTCAAATACTTAAGCGTTGAAAAGTTTACAGAGTGGACCTAGTACTATGAGATCTCATGGGAAGAAATCTTGCAATAAGGCAGGTCATATTTAGAATTGCTTTCTAGTTCTAGAAATGATGCTTGGACTAAGTTTTATAAGACAAATAGCAATCAGTCTGGCTAAAAAGGGAGGGAGGGAGGGAAGGAGGGAAGGAGAGAAAGAGAGAGAGAGAGAGAATCACATTTTAGACGGAGATTGTGAAATCTCATCCTAGAGAAATTAAGCATATCTGCATAAAAAGAAAAACAAACTATGCTTAAGAAGATGATGTAGCACATGGAACTAGTTTTACTTATAACTGAGTGGTTATTTCATTTTTATGTAACGTGAGTTGAATTCTCTCTGCTTTATTACTTTCACCATCAGAAACAGACATTCTCCGAATACCTATGCTTTTATTAAAAGCCATAGGATATGACACAAGCAAAAAAAAAAAAGGCAAGAGATAGTGGTGATACTGGTCATTCGTGAATTTCAGTGTGAATAAAATACTGATATGGTTTCATAGGTTATCCTCTAGTGCAGCACATTTTGAGGAACAGGACCCATGAATGTCTCTCCAAAGTTATTTAGACATTAATTTTCCTGAATGCCATTCATCTCCACAATGTCAGATGGCATCTTGATGGTGACTTTTATTTTACTGATTGATTCTATGAAATGATAAAAATTTGCATTATTGCAGTATCTTGTGATCCCTATAGATTTCTATAAGTTGTGGTTTCACAAATGATAGGATTCACTTCTGTACTCATCAAATAAATTTTAGAGAACAACATACAAAGGTCAGCCCCTAATCAACAAGCAGAAGACTGTTACACTTGAAACAGATAAATTCAGAATGGGAATCCAATTCAAACAATGAGAAAATTCTGCCATATATTTAATCAGGGATTAAAAGTACAATGTTGAAAAATCAATACATGCTTTTCTACAGCTTTTCAAATATGATATTATGACACTAAGTGTACTTAGAAAATCTGAGTAAAAGAGAAATAGAGACTTAAGGAAAAGAACTGTATTAAATACTCAAATCAATTACTTATATGGAAGAGAAAAGCAAAGAAAGATGTGCCTAGATCTGTGCAGATTATCTCTATCTATCATCTATCTATCTATCTATCTATCTATCTATCTATCTATCTATCTGTATCTATCATTTCTCTAGTTTATATAAACTAAAAATTTCTGAAGTAACAGTTATATAAGAGATAAGGAGAAAAAGATATACTTTTCTTTTCTTGTGTTCCCAGATTGCCTATTCTTGAAATTTAATAAAATCATTAGGGATACACAATTAATAAAACTATAAAATACTCTGGTTTGGGTAAATATTTATTGATTTGGGTAAATTTATATATTGTATATTATATAACATTGTTACAAACTACAAATTCCCTCATAATTTGCACTCATTAAACTGACTTAAAATAGCTGTCTGCATGGTTGATTCAATTACATGATTCAACTACAAGAGACAAATTCACTCTTTCATACTTGTATATGCTTTACATTCTAAAACACTGCATACAACTTAAAGAGAAAATTTTGACTTAACTTTTCATTTTTTATAAATAGAAAAGTTTTTTTGCCTCATTTTCATGACTTCAAGAAATTGCAAGAAATAGGTAGGAATACAAAAATTACTGCCTGGGGGTTACTGAGATAACAAAGTGCACTATACATTCAGACACTCATTTGTACGGACATCTCTGGCCATTATCACCCACTGTTGATTTTACTGTTCAAAGATCGACTAAAGAAACAATTGCTTTACAATTGCATTACTAGGTGTTTTTTATCCAATCTCAATTGTTCCTGCCTCCATTACCCCAATTTGAACCTGCAGTTAGTGAATCACTCTTTACAAATTTACAAAATATTCATAAAATAATAAATCACTATACGTTAGAAGAACATTTTATAAAATGAACACTCTACTGACTGTATTTTAAGTTTAAAAGTTATTTCCAGGTCTTTCATCTATATGAGCCTTTTTTTTTGAGTAGTACAGTGTGTATTATTTAACTAAAGCCTAGGAATCAGATGGTGGGAGAATATATGTGGGTTAAAGTAAGAGAGACAATATTAATCCTCTTTTAGAAAAGCGTATCCATGATGTGTAAGTGGGCATGTTTGTGTATATGTATAGCACAATTATCTAGTTAAAAGAATATGAATTTATGGAAAAGGTAGCCAATCAATTCAGTCAATGTCTCTGTTAATCTGTTTTTAAAAGATTTCACATAGTATGTCAGAGTGAAACAAGGTATGATGATATGAGGAAAGCATTTACTCAGAGGTTCATGAACAGAAAGGTTTTAGGCAGGTTGGAGAGCTTACCTGAAGATCCAATAAAAAGTTTAATATAAGCAAGTAAAATTTTTTTATGACTATCAAGATTATATCAATGTTTGTTCGGTGAGGGCAACCAGCTAACTGAAAATAGAATACTGAAGTCATGTAGCAGGATTTCTCTCAAATTATTGACCAAATCTACCTATGAATTTATGCACGTCCTTACTCATTTTTTAACTCATTTCCTCCAGGCTCAATATAAAATATATTCTCCTTATGTTCAAGGTAATATTCCTTAATATTGTCCTAAAGCCTCAACAACATCCTATAGTCATTAACTCAACTTTGTGATGTTCCCCATTTAATAGCTAAGTCCAAAAACCTTAGGTAGCAGGTCTTTAACTTTTTTTTAGCTTTCATCCTTTAAAAAATATATGTGTACCTTTATGCTTCAAGTCCTTGTAATCTGAATTTAACACAGAGAACATAAGCAGTATCATCTACCATAATGTCTCTTGCAACCTCATAATCTCTAAATTCAGCACACTTATTTTTGTGCACACTGTATTGGTCATTTTTGCTTGCATGGATAACTGGAAGCCCTAAAACCCACACTAGAAGTCTTAAAATTACCCTTGATTCCTCTTGCCTCTGTGACACAGGTATAACATGATGATTTTGCTTTGAAATCTAGTTTTATTGTACGCCTTCCTCTTCATTTCCTTGCCCTTTAGTAAAGGCCCCAATTATCTCTCACATGAACTCACTTTTTCTCCCTGCCAATATCCTTGTGTCAACTCCCTTGCTCTCTGGATTACTTGCTTCTCAATGGCAGCTCTTCCTTGTCCCATAAATCAGGTTTTTAATAAAGCATCGATGGTCATCCATGATTGACTGCTACCTGCTTTTCAGCTGCACCTCCACCTAATCTCCAAACCAACCAACACACCATTGTTCTTATTCCTGTCAAAAAACAGTATATTTCAATCACAGTTAGGTGCTTGGATTTTTTCACAACTTATGCTCTTGTTTGTTTTACAAGTGTTGGTCTTTCTGTCTGCAACATATTATTGCCCTATTCTCCTAAATAACAGTTTTCCTTCATTATATTTATCTTTAATACCAAGGTACTCTCCTGTCTTCAGCTGCATTGGGTTTCCATTCTCAAAAAATAGTCTGTGAATATCTAGGAAAACTGCATTTGTTAAATGCTTTTGAATCCAGCTACCCCATAAACAATAAAGGACTTTAGTAAAGTTGATTCTTACAGATTGTTGAGCTACAACTCTAAGTGTCTAAAGGGAAATGATGCTGTGTTAGGCCTTTTAGTAGTCCAAGCACAATATAGTGTAAAACATATAGCCAGCACTTTGTATATACCTGTTGAATAAATATATGAAAACAATATAAAATAATTTTGAAATGACAGTAAAAACTCTTCAGCTAAATTTTCAATACCTCAATAAGGTGACAAAAATTTGTCATAAATGATCACCATCAGGGAAAGTGAAAAGGGACACCAAGGTAAGTAATTTCAAAAGTACACCTAGGTCAGATGGTGCTTAAATTGATTGTTTAAAGACAGAGAGAGAGAGAGAGAGAGAAACAGACAAAAGCACTAGTTTTGCATTTGTCTGTTTTTGTGTGTGTGTGTATGATAACAACTTTAAAATCTCAGTGCTTAAAAATATACTTTATTTTGTACTCATGTTATGTTGTCTGCACTTGCAGATCAACTGTAATCTGCTCCTCCTGTGTTCATCAAGGTGCCCAGGATGAAGGGTAAGTCCCTATTTGGGTCATGCTCTTTTCATGGCGGAAGGAAAAAAACAAGAGAAAAAGAGAAAATATGTGATGTTTTCTTGAAGTTTGATTTCAGTCATGGTGTGTATTTTGTTTGCTTCTAAGTCACTGGCTAGAGCAAGTCACATGATCGACTGGGTGAAGATGCATAATCCTTCCTTTGGAGGCGCCATACTTCACATATCAAAGGCATTGGTGTATAATCTTCTTCAAGGGAGGGGAAGAATATTTGTGAAAAACAATACCCAGGCATTGAAAAACACATTAAGAAAGTCACAGAGGGAGGTAAGAAAAAATAAAGGAAGTAATAAGATCCTAAACATGTATTATTGCTGGTACTACAGAGGAAGCCAGCAAGGATATCTTTCAACTAATTGGTGAACAAAAGAGTATGAATTGGTAGGATAGAAATGTGATGGAAAAGTTTTGCAAGAACAAAACGTAGAATAAAGGGCAGGTCCTCCTACAAGGCCAAGATTTGACAAGGAAGCGCTGCATGTGAAAAAACATTTGACTGGGGCATTTGGGTAGGACTTCGGTATACTTGAGGTGGAAGAAGATGAATGAAAGAGGACCAGAATAAATGTCAAATTGGTAAAGATAAAAATTAGTAGCAATTAAGTGAGAGGGCTGGGAATGTAAACTGAGAGGAACAGAATAGGGCAGCAGTCAAAGTCAAAGTAATTAAAGATCAAATAATATGAATAAAAGTAGCACTTTTATTTTATTGGTATTATTTTTTGCAGCCTCAAAATTTTCACTGAAACATCTTTAAGCAGTTTTATAAAAGAGGCATAATAAGGGAAAACTTTCAAAAAAAAAAACCTCGATATTTAAAAGGAGCCAGTAAGCAGGGTGAAAGTCAATAAGACTGGAGTAAAATGATTTTTCTGTCTTAAGGCAAAATGTGAGAGAAAAGCACAGGCGTCTGATGGCATTAGTCAATGCATTCTCTCAGCAGTGTCCAACTGCATCCTCCAGACGGAAATCAATTGATACCTGATTTTATGAACACTGTTATTTAAAATAAAAGAGATTCCAGGAATTTTAAGCTACGCGAGTTTGTGATCCTAAAGGGAAAAATGAGACTAATTATCAATGTCCGAGCAAAGATGTTCATATTAGAATCTATGGTTGATTCTGTTAGAGGAAAGTGGGAGACAGAGGAGAAGAATTTACTTTTGGGAGGGTCCAACTGATACAGACAAAACAGGAATTATTTGCATGATTGATCAGAAATGGCACATAAAAACATATTCCTATATTTGTCTCCTTATACATCCTGAAATAAATAAGTATAGAAATATAAAACTAAATATTCCAGTTGAAATGCAGACCATGATGGGCATGAAGATTCACACTTTATTAAAAGAATATTCATACCTGAATAATCATTTCTTTAAAATGAATGTAATCATAATAATCACAGATAATCTAGTAGGGAAAAAGATTACAACATGCTATAAATATATTAAAGAAAATATTAGGTTGGTGCAAAAATAATTGCGGTGTCTGTCATTAAAAGTAATGATAAACACCACAATTACTTTTGCACCAACCACATATTAAAGTAGAAACTACAATAGCAGAATGAATAACAAAGGGTTACTATGCCTGCTGGATAAATTTCATTTTAATATCAAACTTGAATTAATATTTTAGTGTAATTATATGTATATATAATAACAATAATAGGAAATACTTATATACTGTTTCCTATAAACTTAACCAATTTTAAAGAATTTTACATATATTAATTTTTATTATAATTCCCTTTTTCATAAGTACGTACTTAACACAAAGACTGCTCATGATGAAATACACTTACATATTTCATCATAAATCTTTTTGGATACAAAGTATGGTAGACAATTCAATAATTAACAAACTAAATAGCCACTATATATTTATTACCCTTGTTTATTGTATACAATAAAGAGAAAGAGTTACATATTGATATAGATAAAGGTTAGATACAGACATCTCCCTATTTAAACCTATCCTTTATGCACTGAAATCTTCCTCCCGCACTGAAGGTTAACTACTCCACTGATTATGGCACCCTTAATAAATATCGGACTCTGTACTTCTAGAAAGACCATTGAAAAATACTAGATCTCCTCTAAGGACCCAGTTTCCCTATGACTGACATCTAATGGCAGAATGCTTAGGGAAGGGGTGGATCATAATGGGTTTTCTATGCCATGAAAAGTCGTTTTGATTTTGTCTTGACAGTAGTGAGAAACACTGAAGAATTATTACAGTTGAAAGTCTTGGTGGAGAGAAAGGTAGAATTGTGAGATTAAGTGTAGAGAAACCAAGTTGTATGAATTCAAGAAAAAAAAAAATTAGATCACCACTCTCATGGAAAACAACATGATAGAGAAAATAGAGTATGTTTGAGAGATGTTAAAATATACAATGGATATGTCTTCATAACAGATTAGACTGCCAAAATGGAGATGAAATTGTTCAACAAAATCTGTGTCTTCAACAAAATTTCATCCCATGTTGTATTAATAATTCCCAGGTATCCCAGGGAAGGAACTGGTGGGAGGTGACTGGATCATGGAGGCGGTTTTCCCCATGCTCTTCTTGTGACAGCGAGGGAGTTCTCATGAGAGCTGATGGTTTTAAGTGTGGCATTTCTTCACTCTTTCTCACGCACTCTTGCCTGCTGTCATGTAAGACATGCCTTTGCTTCTCCTCTGCCTTCTGCCATGATTGTGTCTTGAGGCCTCCCCAGTCACTTGGAACTGTGAGTCAATTAAATCTCCTTTCTTTATAAATTACTCAGTCTCGAGTATTCTTTATAGCAGTGTGAAAATGGGCTAGTACAGGAGACAGCCAAGATAACTGTAATGTATTTTCCAGCTCCATAGAATATCATGTTAACACAGGAAGGAACTATATAGGAGAAGCAACTTTGGAGGAAGAGATTTCATCATGATTTCATAAAACCAGTCACTAATGTCCATTAATACTTGTAAATATAACCTTAAAAATTTAATTATTAAATTTGAGAAACATGTAGAGTAAAATATGTAAATTTAAGCAAAAATAATTCATGTAATTTAAAAGTAACATTTAGTATGATACTGTACTATGTTTATTTGATATTCTTTCAACAACTACAATTCCAGCAAAAGGCAATTACTCACATATAGCCTATTTGAAAAGGGTTATGAGAATGACAATGTAACATAAGTCATGGATCCTGCCTTGAGGCTGTAATACAATGTTACAGATGCCATAATAAAGATGGAAAGATTTCTTCCTGGTATAGAAGAGGTTTATTAGATAAGACTTGTATTTTGAGTTCACATGGTTGCCATTTAATAAAAAACATTGCTAAAATGAATCCATAAAACATGTACAAATTATTTACTGCTTACCATTAACAATAACAATGATATCACGGAAGTCAATTTCTCCCCTGGCCTCCACTCTTCCTTCACATCTGTATATACCTTCATCACTTTTATTGATGTTGAGAATCTGCAGGTTATTGTTTGCTAACATAGCGAACCGATCTGGAAAGAAAGCAAAGGGGAGAAAATGGTATCAGTAATTGAAGGCTAAGTCCAGAGTGCTCTAAATTGTTAAGAGTTAAAATATGGCACTGTCTGACACTATCAAGCTTTTCATCAGCAAACAAATTCAAATTTGAAAGTAAAATGTAATTTCATGACTTCAATTTTTCCACTCTACACTGCTTTGTTACACCTTTTTTTTTTTCCTAAAAGAATAAAATAAAATACATTCAAGACTTTATATCCACATAAAATGGTTAGGCTATTATTTCCCCTTGGTACTTTGGATGCAGAAATGATACACAAAAGAACAATGCAGAGAGATTAGGTATCACAGATGTGCAAACTTTTGACTGCAAATATGCGGCAACATGGGTGGAAAAGGGCTAGAAAATTTATTGAACATCCTTCTTCATACAATAATTAAACAAAAAATTTTGCGTCTCTGTGGAGGCAACTAAATGATATAATAATATTCAAGTCATATAAAGGATATAAAAAAGATTATATCTCAAATTTATTCAAGGGATTTTTTTGGCTAATAAGATAATCTGTATTAGGAATAAATAGATTAGATTTTGTTATTTTATTTCAAGATTCCATTTGTGTGTGTGTGTGTGTGTGCACATGCATATATAAAAAAATAAGCTGGTATACAGCCTGCATTCACTGATTGTGTAAAGTAATCTGCTACAGTAATCTGTGACACCTAAGCAGCATCTCAGCCTGGCATTATTTTTTGTGTCTGCCCTGATTTTATAAGCATCTCAATCTTGCTGCCATGCTAAAACCTTTTCTCTCCTTATCATTCAAAGAATGCTTTTACATATAGTCCAATTTTGAAACTCTTTGTACAGGCAATATCTAAAATTTCCTTAATTAACACATCCATAGATCTCATTGACTATTATCTGTTTGCTGGATACTGTATATAAGACACTTTGATGAATAAGAGACACCCCGCCTCTATCCCTTTGGGATTTTTGATCAGGTAGAAAGGTGATTATTTTAAGGTACCCAGCCTCTAACATATCTACAGTCTATTGTTTACCTTTGGGCCTGTTCCAATGTGTACTGCTTTTTTCCCTATCTGTGGCTTGATTATGAGGTTAGGAAAACCACTTGAAGCCACATGTGAAAAAGGCAGAGTCTCCATCAGCCTGATCGTGGAAAGGATATGGTAGGATCCTGCCTATACCTCTGCTGCCAACTGGACTTTGCATGAGTGAGCCATAAACTGCTAGGGTAGTAGGCCACTCCAATTTGGGGGCAAATTTGTCATAGCCGTTCCTTAATGAGAGGGGAGAAGTCGGGGCTAGAAATAACAAATAGAAGAGTCATCAGGGCATAGATACTCATTAAACGGACAAGCCTGTAGTTGCTTTTTGTTTAAGAGGTAACTAATCAGGGGTGAAAATGCACAGATTCAGAGGCTCCCCCAAAGTGAAAATAGTGATTCTAATGCTACGGCCACATGATTTGCAGCCCATGAGGTGTAAACTTTTCCATAATGCTCACTTTTTCCTTAGGTTGAACCTAAGAAGAGAGACAAAAATGTTTATTCAGATTCTTTCCCCTGGTAAATTAAAGCACAAACATGAAATGCCCTCATCAAAAGAAAGACTGGGGAGAAAGAAAACCAATCCACAAGAAATGTTAGAAGATAACTCATAAGTGGTCCTGAAATAACCAGAAACTCCTGAAACTTCATAAAGTTTCAAAGTCAATTAAAAATCCTCTCTTAAAGTGTGTGTTCAGAAATTTAGATGAGAGGCAATTATAAATAAATAAAATTTAAAATGAAGAGGAACACTATCATACTTAGATCATTGTATTACTGCATTTTCTAACTTTCTAAAATACCTATCATCCTTCACCTATAATGATTTTTACTGATTATATTTAATGTGAATTAGGAAAAATATATTTAAAATTTAGCTCAACATCTCCACCTGAAATTTATCACCTGGCATTCTCCAGTTCTGTCTTCACATGCCTTTACATGGAACTAGTTGCCAAAGGAATATTCCATAAGTGATGGAACTCCATGGAAGGCAAATTCCACGAGTCATTCTTGACATCTTCATCTCTCTGAGTCTGCAGACCCAATCAGACTCCATGTCTCATCACTTCTCTGTTTATCGTTATTTAATTTAAGTCTTCTTCTCCCTCAGCAATATTTCATTAGGACCTGAACTATTCTGAGTCTCAGGAGTTTTGCCTTGACTCCCATCTAATTTGTTGTTTTCACTGACATACAAATATTCTTCTCAACTGTATATTAGCTTATGTCACTGCATTGATTAAATCCCTTTAATGATGCCCCCTTTGAATAAATTACAAACTCCGTAGTAGCAGATATCAAGGCTGTGCTGACTTGGTTTGACCTCCTTCTTCAGCTTCCTTTCTTATTAGTCCTTTGTTTAAAAATCCTAGTTAGATTTACTCATTTGTAAAAGTATCTAAGTTGCACTTATTAATAAGTTCTAGTAATAATAAACTTATTCCAGTTTCAGAAATATGCTTTCATGCTGCTTTTCACCTCTGGGCCATTGCACATGGTCTTCCCTCTTCCTGAAAATTCCGCACCGACGTTTGCCTGGCTAATACGTGTGTATATTTAAAGGTAACTTTTTCCTCCTGGCAGGCATCTTTGACACTCTCTCTTATCCTACGTAGTTTACATTTATTTTATCATCCTTTATTACCACAATTTCGTTATCATAGACTCAATGTGTCTTGTTCTCACACTGATTTACCTATTTATCTTTCCCTCTAGATTCTTAGTATTTTGAAGGCAGTGAACTTATCTTGCTTACCATGAATCATAATCATCTGGTACACTACAGCATAGATCCTGTGTATTCCATAATTGTTGAATTAATCTTTTATACTAGAAGTAGGTTATATAAAAATTGTATTGAACAAGGTAATTTTAATCAGTTTTTTTAATGCAGAAGGAGTATATCAATTAGGTGTTGGCCAAAGCATTTAAAAAGTTTAAGAGAGAATTTCCAAACTGGCCAAGATTGAATGGATATCAGCAAATAGCATATCCCTCCATCACGATGACAGATATTCAACTTGTATAATAAAATGTCACCTTTACTCCCACAATGCTTGGATCCTTTAGCATACGGATCTCCTTTCTATGAGCAACATGGAAAATCTCCACTGCTTTTCTGCAGGAAGTTTAATTCTGAATATCTGCCACGCAGCTACAATCAAAAGCATAGCTAATAAGATGAGCATTTCCAAGCTTTCATTATTTCCTCTGGAATATCTATATTTTACTTTTGAATCAGATTATGGCAAAATAAATATATCTGGGTCCGTGGCATTATTCTAAATCCTCATACATAATTGTAATCTTGATCTTATTTCATCAGCTTTAATAAAGGACTATATGAGGTATAAGCAGTGAATAATATTATTTCATATAAGTCTATTATAAATGTACAAATTGTTCAATAATGATTTATGTGATAAGTTTCTACACTATTTCAAGGTTAGAAAAGTGTGTCCTTCCTGATAATTTACTTGAATACTTTAAATTCTATAGTTAAAAATATGATTTTATTTTATTTTTATTTTTCACCTGCCACACAACTTAGTGTTATGTTTCACGTTAAACTATACCCATTTCTTCTACATTGGATTTTCTGGTTCTAGATATAACCTAAACACATGTAATTTTAGCAAAACTGATTCCAAGATTTAAAAACTCATAGAGAAGGAATGAGAGCGATACATGTCATTTATTAAGAATCTAATATATAGCCATATATTTTATTCATTCACTTAACAAATGAAGTATAGCTGACCCCCCATATCCATGGATTCCACATTCGTGGATTCAAACAACTGCTGATGAAAAATATATTTTTTAAAAACTGCATCTTTATTGAACATGTACAGGCTATTCCTTATTTCCCAAATAATACTGTATAGCAACCATGTACATAGTCTTTATGTTGTATTTGATATTATGGATAATCCAGATGTAATTTAGAATATATGGGAGGATGTACATAGGTTATACCAAATACTATGCTTTTTATATAAGAGACTTTGGCATCGGCTTATTTTGGTATCTGTGGGAGGTCCTGGAACAAATCACCCATAGATGTCAAGAAAGGACTTTATGTCTAAAGTCTCATTTATGACACAAAGCCATTATTTTAAATGAAGGCAATCATCTGTGTTTTACAGATAAAGAGTCTGATTTAGGCACAGAACATTTAGAAAAGATGTTCAAAGCTTCAGGGCCAAGGAAAGGAGGAAAGCCAAAATGGAAATCTGGCTGTACGTCATTTAGTCCTGGGATGCTGGGGAAATACGTATGAGCTCTAGCATGGAAATATCACTTCTCCATCACCACTACCCGTTGTCATCAGTCTTTGCTTTGAGGCTTTGCTCTATTTGACTTTTAAAAATAAAATTTACTTCAAAATATTCTACTAATAAAGTTTTACAATAAACCTACACTTGAGGTGTAAGATTAGACAGTCTGAAAATATTTAGACATTGTCATTCCACCGTTACAAAAGGACTGCTTTTTCTTTATTATTGAGGGGAAAAGAGCTAAAAATACATCAACCCATTTACTCATGTGACTTGTTAATACACTGTACAGAGTTATGCTGAAACAGAACAAGAGGAAATAAAGTGTTATTTCTCATTAATGTATTATAATGGAAACTGACAAGCATTGAACATGCTAAGCTCAGAAAAATTCTTTCAAAATTAAAAAAGTGACTATTGAACATGATTATCATACATTCTCCCCACATATTCAAAAATAGATATTATTTTCTGTCTCTTCTTTATGCTGTAGAATCTTCATCCCTTGGACACAAATCAGAATCATCGAAGATGGAAACTACTTTAAAAGATTCAATTATTTTGTACCTCTCTGCTGTGCAGGTGCATTGAAAAAATTCTAAATTGAAAATGCTCCCTATGAACATGGTAAAGGAACATAATGTAAGCAAATTATACATTCGATTTCAGATGTCATATTATTCTGAAATTTTAGCACAGTCTAAATCAAAATCATGAAGACAATTTGAATGAAAGTACTTTTCTATTATCTATATGGATCTTTCCATAATATTTAGAACTTGTAGATAACCTTGAACGTACTGCCCCAGAATAATAAACATAATTCACATCAATACTAAGTTTACATATAGTGATACCATAGAATCATGTATAAATTATACAGAATTTGAATACAGCAGGATGTACTCCTTCATTTACTTAGTACTGCTTATAATGTATTCATCTTTTCTTGACACTAGAGCAAAGGTCTGCAAACCTTTTCTGTAAATCTCCAGGTACTAATGATTGTATTTTTTTTAGGCTAACGATTGTACATTTTTTTAGGCTAATGATTGTATATTTTTTTTAGCCACAGCTTCTCAACTATGCCTCCAAAGCTGCCACAGACAGTATGTGGTGAACGGGCATAACTGTGTTTTGATTACAACATAGGGGTAAAGGGCAGTGAATTTGCCCTGAGATCCCTAGATTGCAAAATCCTAATGTAGAGCTTACAGGTTCTCAAAATAGTTGTTGAATATTTGGGGTCAAAAATTCAAATTTCTACAACTAGACACATAGATTCAGATTTTTAAAAACTGCAATAGTATTAGAACATATAACTTAGGGAGTTACCAAAATACTAACTGTCGGAAATAGTGGTGACTTCCTCATTATGATACAACCAGCTGACAGCAGGTGCAGGTGAACTGCTAACTCGGCAAACCACTTCTGCATCTTCTCCTTGTTTGAATTCTTGTGGAGATACCACTTCTCTGAAAGTGAGTTTTTCTGTATCAACAAAGTAAAACAAATCACAAATCACAAATCACAAAAGTATCATTGCTTATTTCTCCCAATAACATAATCCAGACTCTATTGATACTATAATAAAATAATTAGGGAAACCTAGATACTTTAAAATCTTAAACTAGATAATCTACTTCTCCCTAATACCTTCCTATCTCACTGAGAATAAAATCCAAAGATCTTTCAATGCCATATGAGGTTCTGTATAAACTGGAGTGTATCTCCTCAACTCCAATCTCAATTTCTCCTCTCTCTTCCTTGTCACTCAGGAAAACTGTCTTCTTGGAGGTTCCTTGAACATTCCAAGTTTGTTCTCACCACAGGGCATTTGCACCGCCTTCAATTCATTCAGATTCTTATCCAACCTGCCTATATAAAATAGCAATATTCCTTTCCATTTCAAGGTTCTCTATCTCTCTACCCCAGGTAATTTATTTTCCATAGGATTCCATAGCATGTTTAGCTAGCATCTATGTATCTGTTTCAGTTTATTTATTGTCTGTCTGTCTCTGGCTAGGACTCAGAATTATAGTGGATACACACCTAATAAGTGTCTTTAATGAATGAATGAATGAATGAGTGAACATGGATATTTATGCTTGATGAGAAATTCTCACAGAAGTAATGAATTGTTCTTGCAAAAATTTTTTTTACCTTTGCAAATGTCACAATTCTTCTTTTGCATCATTTAAAATAAAGAAGTATTTCCAAACATTATATCTATAAAATGACCATTTCAATTTAATTATTTGCTATTGTGAAATAGATACTCTAGGGGGTTACATAAATTAGGAAAATATCATTTCTTCGGAAGCTCAGAATCAAATGGGAGGGAAAAATTCCAAATCAGGAAACACAAGAGCAACAATGTGCCCACAAATTGCGTTGGTCATCAAACAGGAAGTCCTACTGTAGGAATGTTCCGACTTTGTTTTTCATATCCTATTTCTAGAATAACAAACAAAACACAAAGCTACAGATATGAGATGATTTAAGGGCTTGCATTCCTAATATATATATAATTTACCATTGGTAGAAATGCTAACTACCTATTAATCGTAAGGCATTGTTGTAAGTACTTTATGCAATATAATTTAAGGTAGTACTCAAACTCCATATATCACATAGGTACCATTATTATCCTCAGTTTATATATGAGGAAACTAAAGACAGAGAGGTTACATGATTTGCTCAAGGTCACGAAAGTAATTGGGATAGCTTGCTTTAAAATGCAGGAGTCAACAGATTTCAATGTTCCTAAACAGGTTAATGGTTCTTAAATATAAGGAGGAGAAAGGAACATAGGAAGAAATCCATCCCAGGACATAAAATGAAGTGCAAATGTGGAAAGCTTTGCTAATAAAAACACTTAGTGGTAAAGAATCCTGACTCAATATTATTGGCTACTAGATCAGTTTCAACTTTCTGACTACTCTTGTTCACTGACCCTTCCCCAGATTCTCATTCTACAATGGTCAGTGCTGTCACACATTTTCATTTATTCTAATCATGACCTTCTATTTTACAGTGAAAAAAAAAATGCTGAATAAATATCATACCACTAAATAAACCACTATTCTCTATATACCCAGTGAATTCTTAATGGCTTGAGAAAATGAAAACATTTTTATTAATATTATTTAATATAATTGATGCCCTATATATGTTTATAACCACTTATTATCTGTTAGCTATTCTATTCTAAGATACACTCTGGTAAAGCATAAATAAACTGATATTTATTTTCAAAGCACATAGTTCTTAATAAGTGTTATCAAACATTTTATTTTTTCGGTTATTTATAAGCAACTGAAATTGAATAAACTAAAACATATAAATACATTACTTACGGTAAATTTCCAAAACTACTGTAGCTTCTTGTGTTTGTCCTTTGGCATCTGTTGCTTGACAACGATATATCCCTGCATCTTCTATATTTGCATTGTAGATGGTTAACCGTGACCTAACACCTTCCTTTTGCACTACTACCCTCTGTGTTGAAATTATCTTCTCTCCTTGAGGATTATACCAATCTATACTTTCAGGTTCACCAATCGCTGCAAAGAGCCATGGAAAATAAAGGTTTGAAAATTGTTAAAAATATTTGTTTGAACATTGGCATTTACTATTATGTAATAATATTAACCATTTAGAAAAAAAATTATGTAACAGACTGGAAATCTGAGAATCTTACAAAACTTAAAGTAAACACAAATGTTAGTGCAAATGTTCACCTTTGTTTATCCAACATGGAAGATTCACGCTTGAGTAAGCAATACCTAAAAGTTTCACAGCAAACTTCTTGTACAGTATTTAAGCTATGATTGTTGAAATTTTCCCTTGGTAATCAATGGATTATTACATTTAAGTTCTGAAACTTCCTTGACTGCTGAGCCAGACATACAACCCACTTATAGATAATATCTGAACAGAACCACAATTACTAATATGATTTCATCTGCTCAGTGGTCTTTGCTAGGGTCAGGAGATAGCACTTAAATCTCTGAAAATGTCGAGCTTACAAAAATGTAAATCTTTCACAAAACCAACTTTGGCCTTTGATAATACTAAATTTGAAATTAATTTCCCTAGTTGCTAAATTTGAATAGATAAGGCCAACGACCGTTTTTATAATGATGTCCTAATCTCTTTTCCCAAGAGAAATAAGTAGTTTCATTATTTTAATCTAAAACTGTTAACTATTTATTCATATGATAATTTCAATGCATTGAAATGATACTTATCTAGGTAATTACAACCAAATCATTACAGGGTAAACATTTATTTAAGTTTTCCAATTCAGAATCTAGGTTACTATCCTTTCATTAAAGCTGAAGATTTCTGTGTCTGCTTTTAGTCACCAAAAGGATGTATTTCACCTAATTACTTCAGATATCATTTATGGAAGCAGCAGACACTATTAACTCAAAAGTATCGATGTGGAAATGCATGAAGTCAACTAACATCTGCAGGACCTCTTTGAAGAAAATTATTCCTTCTCATTTTTCCGAAGAAATGGTTTTAGAAACAAATTATCCTCCTTTCTATAAGAAATTAGACATGCTTGAGTAAAAGTATGAAAGAAAGTTTAGTGAATCTTAAAAAGATCTCAGTTACATTATCTTCATCTTTTTCTAAACAAATCATAAAACCATAGTTGTTACAGAGTAATGCATTTGAAGAGGAGGGATGTGTTTTATTTAATTCCTCCATCTATGGAGAAGTCACAAAAAATAATTTAAACATTCATCTCTTTACATTTGAATAATACAAAATAATATTTTATATAGTAAGTTAAATAGGATATTCTGATAAATATTTTGAGTCTTTTCATTCTTAATATAATAGAACATTTCATTTTCATTAACAGTTTATTGCAGATTTTCATAAAGCTGTTATAATTGTTTTCTTTCAGGCATCTCTAACAAATAATTTCTATCAAAATTTTCCATTTTGATAAGGCTGGACTATTTGTACGTACAGATTATTTATAAATAGCATTAAACTTTATTTTCTTAAATGTAGTTATAACAATTTTCTGTATGACACTTCTTTAGCTCTTTGAGGGTGTAACATCCTTCTAGTTTAAATTTAAGATATTTATTTTATTGAGTTTTAGATTTTGTATTTTTAAGGCGTCTGGAAATGTTGGAGGAGTATCTAGATTGTCAGCATTGTAGTAGAAAAATACATACAAGCAGAGTGGCTTGCATGGTTTTCCAATATCTTTATTTTTAGAATCTTGTTTTACTACTATATTTAATATAAATAAGACTACTTCCAGTACTATAGAAAAGCTCTAGGTGATACATCTTTATATAAAAGAAAATAAATGCTTACTTAGTTTACATTCTTATTAAGAGCAAAACTCATCACCAATGAATGGCCTTAATTCACTTTAAAGTATGTCTTAATTTGAGCTATGCAATACATACAGGCAAATTAGTCTGTGCAATATATTTCATAGTAATATACAAATCCATAAAAGTACAACAATTTCATTGTATTTTCAAAATTGATTTTTTAACTATTTTGTTATTCTACCTTTATGTGATACAATTCGTGTGTTCTAATTTATGAGGATATTAATAAAATATGGATGGGATTTAGAAACAGTAACCTATATGCTTGTGTCAAATTTCTGCTGACATAATATATGATGCTGAATCAATCTCTTCCACACTCTCTGATTTTTTCATTTGTCAATATACAAATACTTGTATTAACATAACTATCAACTGACATCTTTAAGAAGGAAAATGTATAAAGAATCATGGGCTCTATTAATATTCCTATAAAATGTGACATGTTATACATATATGCTCTGAATATGATTTATAAAATGTTATAACTATATCTTTTATTTATAAAATATTATATCTCTATATTTATAAATTTGAATCTTGGTTTAAATAAATCATGTCATTCTCAAGACAATTTTTATAATGCATTTTATGTTTCTAGTGTCTATTTTAATCCAGTTTTAAGTTGATTTAGTGTAATCAAGATTAGAAACAATTCTAAAATAGTCTCAACTAATTTTAGCACTAAGGTTTAAAAAATTATTTAGGTATATCATAGTTTGGATATGAAGACTTGTATTTGTAAAAATGAATATATTGTACCTAAATAAATAATGCATTCATTTGTCAGTTCTATAATATGTTTGATTAAACTTTGATGCTGAAATATTTAAATTTCTTTGGAAAGAAAACCATATGTATATTATTATTCTGAATGAGGCCCATAAAATATGCCATAGGCATGATGACATATGATTCTTTCCATTGTCATAAAAATCTAGTCAAAGCTTTCCTGACTAAATAACTATTTCTTCAATGAATATTAGAATAAATTTTTGGCCTAATATTTTCATTCAAGTATAACTATAGTGCAGTGTGCCATACCAAATTTATTCATTGCATATTTACAAAAATGGTTCAGTTATAATCTTTATATTCATCCTAATATTACTGTTTAGACAGAAATATTTAAATTGATTTAAGTTATTATCAGATATAATGCAAGCATAAGGTATTTTCAAAATAAATGATCTAGATTAGCAGTCTAAATTAACAAATTAACAAAAATAAAATTAATATCATTTTATATGCAAGTTATGGCTATTAACACTTTTCCAATCATTATAAGCCCAACAATGGCCAGGTATGATGGCTCACACCTGTAATCCCAGCACTTCAGGAGGCCAAGGCGGGCGGATCACTTGAGGTCAGAAGTTTGAGACCAGCCTGGCCAACATGGTGAAACCCCGTCTCTACTACAAAAACACAAAAAGACAAAAATTAGCCAGGCATGGTGGTGAGCACCTGTAGTCCAGCTACTGAAGAGGCTGAGGCAGGAGAACGGCTTGAACCCAGGAGGGGGAGATTGCAGTGAGCCGAGATCACACTACCGCCCTCCAGTCTGGGAGACAGAGCGAGGCTCTGTCTCAAAAACAACAAAAACAAAAACAAAAAACCAACTGTAAGATGTTATTGTTAGAGAACTGAGTTTTTAACTAGTTAAATTTAGCCAACACATTTTATTAATATTTTAACAGAAACCACGTTATCTGAAGGTATTTACAGAAATACGTACCTGTACATGTGAAGAATTTAGATTCTCCAACACTAAGCTCTACTTTGCTAAGTGAAATTGTCACTTGAAGAAGAGCTGAAAAAAAATTGGGAAACAATTAATGGTGATTTTTAAGCGTGATTTCTAAGATTTTAATGCATGATGTCTAAACCACATGGTCCAAACGCTGATTATTTCCCCCCAATTTTTTATTACCTATAAAGAAAAATGAAAGTTTTGTAAAACATGATCTACCATTATACATATTACTTTGTTATGCATTTAACCATCAGACTAAATACAGCACTTCTTCAAGCTGATAGTCTGAAATTCTGTTAGTCAAGTAAATGAACAAATTCACACTCAGACAATCTGTTCCTTATTCAGAGATTAGGTCTTATATGTGTGACCACATTGGGCAATAGCTAAAAAAAAGATGTTTGCCCAACAGTTGTATAAATCCTATATTATCATTACAACAACTACACACACACACACACACACGCAAATTAACTACATGTAGACACCTACTAAAAATTGTCTGTGAAGGCAGGCATACAAAGGAAAGAAAGCACTGCACAGAGTAAGATGAAGCAGCACTGATTTTCACAAGATCAGAAAGTTAAGTGAAGGACCCAGGACAATAAAAGAGAGGAGATGCCTGATATTTTAAATAATTTTTTTGTGAAATTTGAAATAAAATACTTGAATATCTAGAAGTTTAGAAGATAAGCAAAGTGTTATTTTAATATGAATTGACATATTTCTAACAATATGGTAGAAAAGAGAGCATGACCACTTTCCAAACTCCGTCTCACCTTCCACGTGCTCAAATGCACGTACTTGAGCTTTTGGTAAAGTGACAAAGCTGCAAGAGGTCAATCAAGGAAGATCTGAAACTAGAGTACGAACCTGCACTGGGAATTTATTGATCATAGTAACCAAAATGCTTATTTCAGTGAACACAGACTACACACAGATAGGATCCAAGTTTTCCCAGAACAACAGGCTGTGATAGAACACCAGATAACGACCACGCCTGTAATCCCAGCACTTTGGGAGGCCAAGGCCGGCAGATCACAAGGTCAGGAGTTTGAGACCAGCCTGGCAAACATGGTGAAACCCCGTCTCTACTAAAAATGCAAAAATTAGCTGGGTGTGGTGGCAGAAGCCTGTAATCCCAGCTACTCGGGAGCCTGAGGCAGGAGAATTGCTTGAAACTGGAAGGCGGAGGTTGCAGTGAGCCGAGATCGCACGACTGCAATCCAGCCTGGCAACAAGAGTGAAACTCTGTCTCAGAAAACAAAAACAAAAAAGAACACCAGATAACACTGGACTGGAATAAGATTTACCATCAAAGGAGGGTATAAAATCAGTCAACCCAATGGTGAAGGGAGATTACAAGGAAACTTGCCTCCCCCAAGCTGGGAAGGGGGAAAATGTTTCTCATTAGATAAACCAGAAGTTTTGCCATATCCCATGTTTGGGATTTTAATTATAAACGTGTTCTTTGGAAAACTTCAACCTGGAAAAACTAAAAAGCAGTCTCACGTGTAGGGCTCACAGCTAAGTGGCAAAAGCAATCACAAAAACCATTCAGAAGAACCATATCATAGGCTCATACTGGCCAATAGTTGTATAAATGAGGCTGTCTTCAATCTGGGGGTGTAGTCTGACATTATAAAACACATGGTGAAATAAGGCCTGTAAGCAGGAGTCAGCTGAAACAGCAAATAGGAGAAATAAACCCATGAGATTTCAACTAACATAATTTTTAGACTAAGAATATAACACAACTACATTGAAAGTATTTAAAGAAATAAAATGTGTAATAAAGAACAGGAGGAAGCAACAAAATATTTACCAAAAAAAATAAATAAATAAAACCCTGGTAATTATGCTGTTTAAGCTCTTTAAAATATGTTTCCTCACAGTCTCCACCTTAAATTGTTAAATTCCTTCCTCCTTTCCAGAAACCTCTCTGGAAAACTTGGGCAGGGTCTACATGACTTTCCTGGGTCCTATTTTTATTCATAATTTACCAATACTCAGAGAATGGTTGTGATATTATAGAGGCTCAATAAATGTTCAAATATATCTAACGTTTCAGAAAGAAAAATAAAAGTGCAAGTCAGAAAGAATAAGAAAAGTAGCCAAGGGAAAAATAGATTTTAGGTACTCTCTTTTTCTCCCTTGCCTACTTTTCTTGTAGATAAACCATTAATGCCAAATCCAGTGAAAATTCAGATGTCTTTTTCCTTTAAATAAGTAAACAATTTTCTTTTTGAAGTTAGCTTAAGTGGAATGAGGTCAACAGAGGCAAAATGCAGAACTCAAGAAATTTGAGATTGCCCTTATAAGAAGCTTGAATCTGAAGAGATGTATGGGGTTACTGGAATCCACAATTCTGGGCAGTAGGGCATGGATTTTATAAATTGAGAAGACTTGAGAATGTTTATGGATAGAAGGGAAAGAAGCAGAAAATATATTACAAGTTTGAAAAAAAAAGGGAGGGGAAATTATAATTATGTGTCTTCTCTTTTCTTTCTTCCCTTTACTTTCTTCTTTAAGATATAATCTTATTTCCCCTAAAACTGTACTTTCTCAAAATCTAATCTTGCCATCTTCAACCTGCAGTTAACATTAGCATACTTCAATTTCAAATTTTCTGTATGCAAACCAAACATATTCCTCTAACATCAAAATTTGCTCACGGTTCACTGTCCCATTTTTAGTCACCATCAATCAATTTTCAAACATTGCCAATATAAACTATTTGTATGCATTTTTTTATTTTTAAATACACGCACTCATTAATTTTAATCCAATATATTTCATCTGCCATATTTTTTCTCACTTTTGCCTCTTTAATCTCTTTTCCCTCTAATGTATTTGTCAGACTACTGCATGCATATATTTCTAAAACTATGTTTAATTTCACTCTTCTGCTCAAAGATCTTCAAAATTGATTTAATTTGTCCCTTACCATACAAATTATAATTGGAAGGAAACTTGCCTTTCCAAGTTTATTTGCTATTACTCATTTCCAATGCTTCTGCAGCTATGATCACCTAGGATTCATTCTCTCTCCTCTCCCCAACTGACTCACACTTGCCTACCATTGTGCATTTGCCCAAACTGTTTTGTCTGTTCTAATCTCCTTTTTCTATACAACCCCTCATGGCTTCCTACTTTCTATCTTCAAAGAAAACATAAAATATCATGAACTTTACAAAACAGTGTGTGATAGACCCATCTATGGTATCAATAAATACATCAATATCTTTGATCAGTAGGAATTTCCATTAAACAAATAAAACTTATTTTGTTGATCATTCTATTTGGTTCTCTACCTTATTTAAATATAAATTTCTGGAAGTGAGGGCTCATTCATCAAACTTTATTTCTCCCAAACTAATAATATATGAATGAATGGCAGAATAATTGACACTTACGAAGAGCTTATCATGTGCTAGTTATAGAACACCGACTGTATTGACAACATATAATTTTGGAATGACTTCATTTAAGGATATCAGGAATCTAAGAAATGTGTGTGAATTATTACTTAATGCCTACCACTGACCTTAGGAGTAAATTTGCTTTTCTAAGGAAGGGTTTATAAAAAAGAACTTGAAAGCTATAGAAATTTTAAAAGTCAAATACAGTTCTGAAAACTGTTTATACTGATTTGTTGATCTTAATTCATTTTAATAAAATAAAATTGAACATGAAATTAATTAATTTATTTATATTAAACATCTGGTTAATTTTTCATTCAGTACAAATTACCAATGCACATATTAATTAAGCCATATTATTCATGGACATTTTGGTGAATGGGCACAATGATATATTTCATTGCTATATATGTTTAAAATATATAAAGAAAATATAATTCTCTACTTCACTATATTTCCCAAAGACCAGATTTGCTCTAATTGAACTATACATATATATTAAAACATTGGCATATTAGTAAATCCTACATAACTAAAATTTGAGGTTGTGCCTTAATCTTGCCCTAGTGGCTGATTTTTGACCCAAATCAATATAAGGTAAGTGATGAGTTTATCACCTATGGCAGCCAGAAGAAAACTAAATTGTTTCCTAATGTCAAAAATTTATGTTTGGAGAAAATTGGACAAGAATGAAACATTTGATAGCTATCCATAAATATCATCACAAATTTCTTACTTAAGGTAAGGAAAAGTTTTAAACCCAAGGACTCAAAAGTAAATGCATGATGAATATATGTTCTCTGTGAATAATTCCCAAAGAAGTGCATGAAATAACAATCTTATAAGTAGAGTTGGGTAAATTAAAAATTATGTACTATACTCATAAGTATTTATTAACTATATGTATTTTGCAAATCCCTCTTCTAAATATGATCATACTCAAAAATAGCAAGAAATACTTTCTAATATCAAGGGGTTTAAGATGTATTTGGGAGGACTATGGGGTACATAAAATTATGAAAAATAAAATAAGATGGGGTGTATCAAGTTTGCCCATTATAAAATTTATGATCAAGAAGACTTTATAGACGACAATGAAACATAAAAAGATAAAAAATGCCATAGATATTGTTATAAAAGGATAGAAAAGAATAAGGGCATTCCACATTGGGTAAGGCTGAAGTGTTCAAGGAACATTTAGGAAATTAGTAGGTCAGTATAGACAAGGTCCATCTCATCTAGAATATTGCTGAAATATTGGAAAAATAGTTTGGAAAACACTCAGGAGAATATCAGAAACAACTGACTTGAATTTTTGTCCAAAATTACTTATAAATAAAAACATACATGATAAAATTGGCATTTGGTAAACACTAGTTGTGAGGTAAAATTACTGACAAATTGAATGAAGGGAGATAAAAACAAGAGGGTATCTTGTGATAAATATATAAGTTTACCTGTGGCAAAGAATATGAAAAGGTAGAGAATAGATGTAAGAAAAGATTCAAGGTACGTTACATCTGTGATCAGTTAAAGCATTAGTGATAAAGGAGAAAAGTCAAAGATGTTAAGATTTTCTACCTCTGTTGACACAAGGGTTATTGATATGACAAAGAATTTTACTATGAGTGTTTACCTACGAGAAAGGTAGGGAGACAGAATTTTGGATATTTCTCATAATCAGTTAATGGAGGGGAAAATATAAGGCCATAAATTTATTTATTTTTATTTTTTATTTTTCTTTTTTTATTTATTTTTATTTTTTATTTTTTTATGACAGAGTCTCGCTCTGTCGCCCAGGCTGGAGTGCAGTGGCATGATCTCAGCTCACTGCAAGCTCCGCCTCCCAGGTTCACGCCATTCTCCTGCCTCAGCCTCCAGAGTAGCTGGGACTACAGGCACCCGCCACCACGCCCGGCTAATTTTTTGTATTTTTAGTAGAGATGGGGTTTCACCGTGTTAGCCAGGATGGTCTCAATCTCCTGACCTGGTGATCCACCCGCCTCGGCCTCCCAAAGTGCTGGGATTACAGGCGTGAGCCACCGCGCCCGGTCCAAATTTATCTTTTTAAATAAAGATTATTTCTCAAAATAAAACATAGGTAACATTATATCGAAGATAATCATTATCATAACAGAGATTAAATTAATATTTATAAGTAAGCACCCAGAGCAAACAGATATTCAAAAGATATTTTTAAAATTTATAGTAATATAAATATAATGAATATATTAGCATTTCTAAGTTCCATCAGGGTACCAAGCGCCCTTTGCTATTTGATACAACATTTAGCAGTGGCATTTAAAATGAGTTTATCACCTACAGAGATTTAAAAACTGACAACTGAACCAGCCTTCTAACTGTCTGACACAGAGCCTGCTTTGGTTCACTTAGAATTTCATAAGACATGTGGAGATAACTTAAGACACTGATTGATCTTGGGACAACGAGCTGCAACATTTTTCAACAAGCACTTTTTTTATTTTTCTAGGCTTCCACATTAACAGTGTTAAAAGACTAAGATATTTATTTAGTAATTATAGAAAATCTCAGAGTATTACTCCTTAAAATGTTCTTATAAATTATTGATTATAGCAAATGAATACAATTTTCTCATTGAAACATATTTTAAAATGTTATCTGCTGCAAAATAATTATTTACGTTATTTAATTATTCTCTCCTTGTTATTGGATTTTTATAACAGTGCATTACAACAGCCTATGTGTGTTATTTGATTCTGAAAAATGCTACAATATTCAAACAATTTCAGAAATTTTGGATCACTTAGGAGAGAAATTCTCTAACGTCAAACATTTTAGGAATTCATGAATATTTTTTAAAAATTATTTTTATTGTTTCTTCTAATTGTAACAAGAAAATAAAGTTAAAGATTTTAGTGTAGTTCCTCTTTACCTGCATACATCTTTATATCTGTACTCAAACCTCTTTGATCTTCTCATCCTAAATTAGGAAAATAGATGTCCCTGCTATTAGGTCATCTGAATCCTTCTAGGGCTAAGTGATTAAAATTTTTTTTTTTTTTTTTCAGACAGAGTTTAGCTCTTGTCGCCCAGGCTGGAGTGCAATGGTGCGATCTCAGCTCACCACACCTCAGCTTCCGGGCTTCAAGTGATTCTCCTGCCTCAAGCCTCCCAAGTAGCTGGGATTACAGCCATGCGCCACCACGCCCGGCTAATTTTGTATTTTTAGTAGAGACAGGGTTTCTCCATGTTCTTCATGCTGGTCTCAAACTCCCGACCTCAGGTGATCTGCCTGCCTCAGCCTCCCAAAGTGCTGGGATTACAGGCATGAGCCAACGCACCCGGCCTAAACTTCTTAGTGATTCTTTTTCTATAGCACTTTTCCTGTCAAGCTATGCACACTCTTTAATAAAGTTTCATCCTAAACAAGAAATAATAATAAATTTAAAACCAAAAGAGAAAATAAAACAAAATAACCAAATAATATTAAAAAATTATCTCCCTAACCCTCTCAAATTAATACAGTATATCCTACTTGTCATTACATTGTTTTAAAAAATGAACTTTCTAGTATCCATTCTTTCTTTGTTTTTTATTCTGTCCTCTCCATTCTACTAATAAGTTTAGTGTTCTTAAAATAAACCATAATCTTCTCATTTTCCAACCCAATAATAGTTTTCAGTTTTCATTTTTATTTTACTTAAGAATGAGATACTGCCAACTACTTTGTTCTTTGACCCTCCTGTTTCCTGACACCTCCATATTTATAGTTTGCTCACTTTCCTGACTATTCTTATATTAGTAAGGATAGTATATAGTATAGTATATAGTAGTATATGGTATCTCTTCTACCATGTATCCCTTAAATATTTGTTTCTTAGCAATATCTTCTTTGTTTTCTTCTCTTGGTGTTCTATCTATCTTCCTGTACTACAAACATATATGATATTTACTATGCATACCCACAATAACTACTTTATTCCTCAAACATTTCTATAAAGTAGATACTACTATAAGGTAGATATTTCAATCTTGTTTTAGAGATGAGAAGGCTGAGGCAAAGGATTGTGTCATTGCTACTGGCCACTCAGCCAATATACGGTGAAACCAGATTTGAATCCAGCCATTTGTTTGGTCCTTCTCAAGCACTTGAGACTCAGCTTCTATATGCCCACCATCTCCTTATCCCTTTATTCCCTTTTCTATATTTTAATTACAGATTGTGTGTGTGTGTGTGTGTGTGTGTATGTGTGTGAATGCATGTCCCGTGTGTGTGTGTGTGTGTGTGTGTGTGTGAATGCATGTCCCTATTATCATTTTGGAGTCTGGAAACATATTTGCTAATACATTAAATACCATATTACTTTGAAAAATTTACATGTCTCAAATTTGGCATATCAAAATTCAAGAGCATTCTCTTTCTGTCTTACCTTATTCCTTAATCCTCATCTTCAGTAATGTAATTGTTATCCACTGAGCCTATTTGCCAGATAACTGAGAAATGTATAAGATTATATCTCCTTTTCTCAAATATAAATACTCAAAATATCCAACTCATTCTTTTTTTAAATGTCCCTTAAATATGTCTCTCTTCATTCTTGCTTAGTTTTAGTCTCCCCATTGCTAGGCTGCTCTAGTGAATATTCTGCAAAATTGAGTCAGGTCAGGTATTGAATTTATCAGAAACATCTGAGGAAGTGTGTGTGTGTGTGTGTGTGTGTGCGCGCGCGCGCATGTGTGTGTATGTGTGCGTGTTTTTTTCTGGTATATGTGTGTAGTTTTTAAATTTAGTTTTGGTCTCATCACTGGAAATTCTGATTCAGTATATTTGGTGTAGGGCCAAGGAGTCTCATATTTAAGTAACTTCCAGATGCTAACCATTGCTACTCAGAAAGTGGTTACCAGTCCAACACTAGTGACCTCAATTAGGAGCTTCTTTGTAGTACAGATCTCAGGTGCCATTTCAGAGTAATCACAATGTATAATTTAAGTTGATTGCAGCACACATTAAAATGTGATCAGCATTGATTTGGACTATGGCAGTCTAATATGTCTACAATCTCTAGAACAAATATACTTCCCACTGTGTATAAATAAAATCCAAACTCCTTCACACTTTATCATTTAAGCTTTTTAACAATCTGGACATCACCTGACCTTACTAGAACTTATTTCTTTGTTTTTTAAATTATACTTTAAGTTCTAGGGTACATGTGCACAACATGCAGGTTTGTTACATATGTATACATGCACCATGTTGGTGTGCTGCACCCATTAACTCATCATTTACATGAGGTATATCTCCTAATGCTATCCCTCCCCACTCCCCTCACCCCATGACAGGCCCCGGTGTGTGATGTTCCCCTTCCTGTGTCCAAGTGTTCTCATTGACTAGAACTTATTTCTAACCAAATCAAAATAACACAAACAAAAAATAGTAAACTATCAGGAAATTTTGCTAAAGGCCCCACTTTTTTATTACTCTATTTCTTTTCACATTTTGTTCCTTATTTATTAGAACTCTTTCCTTTTTCTCAACTATGAATATTCCTATCAGTCATACATGAGTACTCCAAATAGCCACATTGTCTTATAAATAGTACTCCAAATAGCCTTTCATTGTCTTCTAAAATTCTGTAATACTTTTTCTTAGAGCATATAACACACTGCACAGAAATAGCTTGATAAGCATTACATAATTTTAATATGCAGAAAGCACAAAGAAAGTTTAAAGGCATGATATTACCCTACACAAAATAATTTAGTGCTATTTAAGTTAAAATTAATCTAAAACTGAAAAAGGCTGTTTGTTTTTAGTTTCTGTACTATTTGCTAGGAGCACTTAACACATATGAAATTTTATTGGCACATTTGTCTCTCCACTGGATGATACGCTCTTGGAAAATAGTGACAATGTCTTGCCTTATTAATCTTAGTCTATAAACCCAGCACAGGTCTGGAAGAAAATACATGCTAAAATATTTGTGCATACATGAATATGTACTTTAGCAAAAATAAAACAAAAATTAAATACATTCTTTTTAGATTTTTATTGAGTTTAAAAGTTGAATCCAATAAAAAGCAATTTTAAATTTATTTCATTCTCAGTAGACTTGTTTTATTCAGTAGTATGTGGGTGTTTTTCATTTCAAACATACACATATCACATGTGAACATAAAATGTACAAAAATGTCATCTAAATAATCAGTACTGAAAAACTAATTGATGTCCAAAAGAGGCCAATTGAATAAAATGGAAAAATAAGGTTCAAATAAAAAAAAAATAACTAAAAGAGAAGATGAGAATATCTGTTTTAAAAAGTGCAGAGATGATGAACTAGGGAAGGCCATGATGGTCAGGCAATGTATTATATAATCATTACAGGCCCATCAGACATCAAGCCACAGAACTGAAAAAAAAATCAAATAGGTTTTGAAAATCTCCCAAAGGTCAAGCATGTAGAAACCTGGGCTCACCAAAAAATTAAAGTGAAATACATCATACTAAAAAGAAAATATTTATGAAAGGAGGCTTACGCTACTTTGAATATGCTTTTGTTTTGAAAATGGAGGGAAATGATTATTTTCCTAAAACGCATTGTATGAATTAAATAGCTGCAATACATTTAAGAAGTAAATATAGAAGTCACAACTCCAAACATAAGTAAACATTATTGCATAGAAATACCTAGCAATTAGTTTATTAGTAAAAGTAAAATCATTACGTTAAGATTCAAAAACCAGTAAGCAATAGGACCACCTGTCTCATATTTTTGTTTTAAAGTAAATCCTTTTTGTCTTATATCATTTAATGTAAATAAAAGTAGGAAATATATCTTAGTGCCAATTAGGCTGGGGAACGTTGTCTG
Source organism: Homo sapiens (assembly GCF_000001405.40). Classification (NCBI taxonomy): domain Eukaryota; kingdom Metazoa; phylum Chordata; class Mammalia; order Primates; family Hominidae; genus Homo; species Homo sapiens. The sequence goes on along the minus strand of NC_000021.9, from coordinate 21,270,361 downwards.
AGTCATGAGTCAACCAATCTGTGCTTATGTGGTAGTTAGGCCCTGAGTACATTATGAGACCAGGAACAGGTCACTCATCACTTACTTTGAGAGTGATATTTAATTAAAACTAAAATATCTTGAAGAGGCAGCTAATCCCAAATTATACATCCAATCCAAGTTTATTTCAACAGGCAACACTTAGACATGTAAGTTATTAGCTGCCTTGATGAAGTCAACATAGAACATAGTGTAAGATTTTTTTATCACCACTAATATTACGCAGTACTAAATTAAATTACAGGAGTGTTTGCACTGTGCCTAATACCTAAGTCTCCAGATGCTTATGTAAGTGCTTTGTCTTCCCCAATGTGGGTATTCTCTCTCCAGACTAAGGTTAGCATAAACCTTGTGTAGAAACCTGACAAATCAGAAATCAAACATATCTGTCACATAAAGGTTCAGTCAGAAGGTTTTGCCTTCCTTTCTTTCATGAATTATATGATACTACTAGATATTCAACACTTACATTGCTTAACAGTAAACTTTGATGTACATTGTCAGAAAATGTGAAACTTATCAGAGTACTGCAAATGCTACTACAAAATATTGTAGAGAAAAAGGAAAACACCCTCTTCCACATTAGAAAAATAATGATTTTAATTAGAAGCACTAAAATGAGAGACTTATGAAAGATGTTACCATTAATGTGAGAATATACTAATTTCTTTTGTTAAGTGCCAATCATAAAATTACTGTAACATGAACTTTATATTACACATTCCAAAATATTTCTAAAGGCATACCCTTCTTTAAAATAAACAATTTAGAAAGAATATTACAAGGCATGTGTAGGTTTTCAGTAGCACATGGTAACAGTGATTACCCAAATAAAATCGACATCTATAATCAAAGAAATATCTAACAATTTACTCATTACTTAATTGGTTCATTCAAAAGCCATGCATGGACTCACTGAGGAGATGTGTTTGAACTGCTATGAAGTGTGCTGCGATGTAGCCATAGGAAAAATATTTCACCAGGCTGAAAAACTCCCACTTTCCATAAAATCAACCATTTAAATGTTTTAAGTAGTAAACAGCAATTCTGTTTCTCAGGCCTCCAATCAGTTGCAGGAGCTCTTTATATTATAGCCAGGGACATTTATGTTTAGTACCAAGATTAAGTATTATACAAAGAAAACACAGTTTACAAAGAATGCACTCCAAAGTATTCATAAAGATAGGGAAAGGATGACAGATAAATTTTTAAATGGCAAATAAATTGGAGTGGCTAAATACAGAAACAACCTTTTGTTTAAGTTTTTTCAATGCAAGTATTTCAGGCATCTCAGAATCTTGGATGATTCTAGCCTGAAGGTGTCTCCAGGATCTCTAGTCTAATAATCTCAGGTTACATGTGGGGACAGGGTTCAGGTTTATTTGTTTCTGAAGGATCCATAGTTAGATTAGTTAGATTTAAGTGCACCTGTGCTTAGACTGTAACTCCTAGCCTGAATCAACTTTCGATCTCCAAAATACTTGGTGCTATTTTGTTGATGCTGCTAAAGAATTTAAGTGAAGGGGCAAATTCGGTACCTTCTCAGAATGAAGAAAAAGCTAAGCTTGGGGGATTCCTTCCAGGTTGGAGGAGGCAACAAACAGTCCATCCCTTCTCCGATGAAGCAAAGTGAATCAGAAGAGAGATAAGAATTATGGGGATATCAGATATATTCTCATGTACAATGGCTTCCCAGCTTGAGATAAAATAACAGTGAGAGGTTTTCCACATATTGAAAGAAAGGCTGATATAACGAAATTGGAGCTCACAATTTTCTGGGGCTATATGTGTGTGTGTGAATGTGAATGCATGTGTTTGAGAGAGAGAAAACAGCGTGAGGCAACTCCCAAGACAGTGATCCTGCATCAACGTTAAACACTGCAAGGAAGCAAAGAAAACAATTCACTGTGGCACAGTAAGTCCAAAAGAGAAGCAGTGTCATGTTGTTGGGTAATTCTTGGCTCCTGTGTGGTGTGGGAAGGTGCAATGTCCCAAAACCCAAACATGCAGCACAATGTAGCTTCAGTCATTAGACTTGCTGTGAGAAATTCCTCCGTGAGAGATAAGTGACTGACCTTGAGGTGCACAGCAGCCACGAGTGGGATGGAACATGGAGCTGAACTCCGAAAAATCCTCAGCACCAACAAAAACTGAGATGGTGCCATGGCAACATGAGGGAGCCCCTTGACTTAGACCGAGTCATGCGTGCAAACCACATATTCACCAGGAATTTCTCTAAATAAGCAGTTCAAAGAGTCAGAAATTCACAAGAGCCAAAAATGCTGCAGCCGAACCAATGAGCAGAATATGAGCATGTATCTAAGGGTCCACCAGTAGCCACAGCCGTATATAAGCACATTTTCCCTTCTCATGAGATATACAGGTGATATCTCAGGAAGGTATATTAAACCAAGAGTCTATCTATGAGATATCCAATTAACTGTATAAACTGCAAGAAACAAACTTTCTGTCTTTAGGACTTTCTTACATAAAACTGTGAATTCAATACTAGCTCCATTATATTTACAAGAAATAGTATAAAGAATTTAAATCAGTGTTTGACACATTGTAAATAATCAGTAAATGTTAAATGCTGTAATAGTAACTCTTCCTCTTAACTCTAGAGGAGCTCGCAAAGACAAATGTATGTAATTTTTGTTTGTTTCACACAAGAAAATTGCTCCATATTTGTACACCTCTGAGTGGAGATTGCCAATCAAAATTGTATCTACAATTTTTTTTCTTCCAAATGAACTGTGAAAAATCTTTACACAATCCAAATTTAAATGGAATTTATTTAAACAAAATTAGTTTTCCTACATTTGATGATGTTGACTGACATGCTTAAGATTTCCAGCCCAGGTAAGGTTGTACAACAAGCTGTAGAAGTTATAAGCAAATAATACTCAAATATTCAAATACTCTATTACCCTGGTGAGGAATAGGAAATGCAGTGCAAAATTTAAAGTTTTATTCTTATAAAGCAAAATGAAAACAGTCTATTGCCTTAGTAAATATTTGAAGAACATTGTGTACTAAACAAAGCTTATTATAATGTAACAAGTATGCTTGGAGTCACCAAGTTTCTCAATCAATGCTAAGAAAAATTGTAATAGTATCAAAAGTGCTTTATTTATGTCTAACTAGTATGATAATAAACATAATTAAATATTAAACTGTGCAGTATGCTTCAAATTTGGTCACATGGAAGTATGACTCTTTTCCCAACTGCTTCCCCTGGTGAGTTGTTATTTACACATCAGATATCTCCTTGGTGGGAGAAGGGAGAGGATTAGGAAAAATAACTAATTGGTACCTAGGCTTAATAGCTGCGTGATGAAATAATCTGTACAATGAACTCCTATGACACAAGTTTACCTGTGCAACAAACCTGCATATGTCTCTCTGTGTGCTCCCACAGCTCATTTTGGGCATAATTATTATTATTTTTTATTATACTTTAAGTTCTAGGGTACATGTGCACAACGTGCAGGTTTGTTGCATATGTATACATGTGCCATGTTGGTGTGCTGCACCCATTAACTCGTCATTTACATTAGGTATATCTCCTAATGCTATCCCTCCCCCCTCCACCCACCCCACAACAGGCCCCGGTGTGTGATGTTCCCCTTGCTGTGTCCATGAGTTCTCATTGTTCAATTCCCACCTATGAGTGAGAACACACGGTGTTTGTTTTTTTGTCCCTGTGATAGTTTGCTGAGAATGATGGTTTCCAGCTTCATCCATGTCCCTACAAAGGACACGCACTCATCCTTTTTTATGGCTGCATAGTATTCCATAGTGTATATGTGCCACATTTTCTTAATACGTCTACCATTTATGGACATTTGGGTTGGTTCCAAGTCTTTGCTATTGTGAATAGTACCGCATAATTATTTGTTTATATGGCCATATCTCTAATTAGAATGCAATTTTTGCTGAGAAAAGAGAATGTCTTATTGAATTTATGAAACCTCATGGTCATTCTCAGAGGCTGGAACATTGCAGACATCTATAATGTTACTTAAATAATTTAGGAATACAGTAGTTGAATTAGTTGAATGAGTAAAAAAACAGTATGTTTAAGTCTAAATTTCCCAAATAAAAAGATGCAACTCTACTCCCCACTGTCATCCCCAGAAAAGGAGTTAATTATTTTACTCATATTTTTGAAAGGGTTTTTAAAATCAAACCATTTTTTTAAAATATCAGGTAGAAGGAAGCAAAAACATTTGAATATATTCTAATTGATTGATTCTAAAGAAAGGTGACTATTACCGTATCACTGAGTTCTAGATAGGCTTCAAAATCAAAATAACACCCTCACTTATTCATTAATATTTTTCATTCAATCATTACATCTGAAAACAGAGCTGGTTGTATGAATAATAAAACAATCTTTTATACTATAATTTTTTATTATAGATTCAGGGGTACATGTGCAGGTTTGTTACATGAGTAGTTGAGTAATGCTGAGGTTTGGGTTTGAGCCCATCACCCAAATGGTGAACACAGTGAGTAGTACTCAGTAGGTCATTATTCAACACATTTCCCCCTCTCCTTTTTCCCCATTTTGAAGTCCCCAATGTCCACCTATATATCCATGTGTATCCGTTGCTTAGCTCCCACTTATAAGTGAGAATATGTGGCATTTGTTTTTCTGTTTCTGAGTTATTTCACATAGGATAATGGCCTCTAGCTCCATGTTACTGTGAAGGACATGACTGCATTTTTTTTAATGTCTGTGTAGTATTCCACTTATACATATATACATACATATATACATACACACATATGTGTGTATGTGTATATATACACACATATATTATATATGTGTATATATAATATATATACACACATATATTATATATGTGTGTATATATAATATATATACACACATATATTATATATACACATATATAATATATGGTGTGTACATATATGTGTATGTGTATATATAATATAATATATACATACATACACATATATATTATATATGTGTATATATACGTGTATGTATACACGTATATATACACACATATGTGTACATATATGTGTGTATATACGTATATATACACATACACATGCATATATATAATATAATATACTATATACACACATACATACACACATATATTATATATACATATATAATATATATAAGTATATATGTATATATATTATATATGTATATATAATATATGTATGTATATATATTATATATGTATATATAATATATGTGTGTATATATATACACATACACATATATAGTATATATGTGTACATATATACACAGACACATATATAATATATATGTGTATATATACACATACACATATATAATATATATGTGTATATATACACATACACATATATATACACACACATATATATGTGTATATCTAATATATGTGTATATATATACACACACATATATATATCCCACTATGAACACACACACACGTGTGTGCGTGTGCATGTGTGTATATAAAGTGGAATATATATACGTGTGTGTATATATATAGTGGAATATATATATATGTATATATATAGTGGAATATATATATATGTATATATATACACACTTATGCCAAAGATCTTAACAAAATGATGTATGTGTGTGTATGTATGTGTGTGTATATATGTGTGTGTGTGTATATATATATATGCACACACACATACATACACATCACATTTCATTTATATAATCCAACATTGATTGACACTTAGGTTGATTCTATAACTTTTCTATTGTGAATAGTGCTATTATAAACATACAAGTCCAGGTGTCATTTTGAAAAGTGATTTGTTTTCCTTTGCTTAGGTACTGAATAATGGAATTGCTAGGTCAAATGGTAGTTCTATTTTTAGCTCTTTGAGAAATCTCCAGACTGTTTTCTATTGGGGTTGAACTAATTTACATTCCCATTGATGATGTATAAGTGTTTCCTTTTCATCTCAGCCTCACCAACATCTGTTAGTTTTTGACTTTTTAATAATAGCCATTCTGGCTGGTGTCAAATGTTATTGCATTATGGTTTTAATTTGCATTTCTCTGATGATTACTGATGTTTAGCATTTATTCATATCTTTGTTGGCCACTTGTATGTCTTCTTTTAAGAGGTATCTGTTCATTTCCTGTGCCCAGTTTTTAACAGGGTTATTTGTTCATTTCTTGTTGATTTGTTTAAGTTCCCTATAGATTCTGGGTATCAATCCTTTGTCAGAGGCATAGTTTGCAAATATTTTCTCCCAATTTTGTAAGTTTTCTGTGGGTTTTGTTGATGGTTTCTTTTGCTGTGCAGATCTTTAGCTTACTTAAATCCCATTTGTCTATTTTTGGTTTTGTTGCATTTGCTTTATGATCTTCATCATAAATTCTTTGCCTAGGCTAATGTCCCAAAGGACATTTCTTTTAGGATTTTTATGTTTTTGGACTTTATATTTAAGTCCTTAATTCATCTTGAGCTACTTTTTGTGCGTGGTTCAAATTAGGGGTCCAGTTTAATTCTTCTGCATACGTTTAGCCTGTTTACTCAGCATCATTTATTGAATAGCCATCCTTTCCCCATTGTTTATTTTTGTCAACTTTGAGAAAGATCAGTTGGTTGTAGGTGTGTGGCTATATTTTTGCATTGTCTATTCTGTTTCATTGATCTATGTATCTATTTTTGAACCAGTAATATGCTGTTTTTGTTATATATTCTTGTGGTATAGTTTGAAGTCAGGCAATGTGGTGCCTTTGGCTCTGTTGTTTTTGCTTAGGATTGCTTTGGGTATTTGGCTCTTGTGTGGTCCATTATGAATTTTAGATTTTTAAAAAATTTTTTGAACAATTGGGTGGTAATTTTATATGAATTTCATTGAATTTGTAGATTACTTTGGAAAGTATTGTTATTTTAACAATATTGATTTTTCCTATCCATTAGCATGGGATGTTTTTCTATTTCTTTGTATTATCTACAATTTCTTTGATCAGCGTTTTCTAGTTCACCTTGTAGAGATCTTTCATTTCCTTGGTTAAATGTATTCCTAGGTATTTTATTTTATTTTATTTTTTGTGGCAGTTGTAAATAAAATGGAGCTCTTGATTTGATTCTCTGCTTCAGCATTGTTGGCATATAGAAATGCAACTGATTTTTGCACATTAATTTTGTATCATGAAACTTTACTGAAGTCATTGATCAGGTCTGGAAGTCCACTGGAGGAATCATCAGTGTTTTCTAGGTATAGGATCATGTTGTCAGAGAAGAGGGATAATTTGATAATATGGTTTGGCTGTGTCCCCACCCAAATCTCATATTGAATTCCCACATGTTGTTGTGGGAGTGACCCGGTGGGAGGTAATTGAATCATGGGGGCAGGTCTTTCCCATGCTGTTCTCATGACAGTGAATAAGTTTCATGAGAGCTGATGATTTTAAAAAGGGGAGTTTCTCTGCACAAGCTCTCTTCTCTCTCTGCTGCCATCTGAGACTTGACTTTCACCTTCTGCCATGATTGTGAGGCCTCCCCAGCCACGTGGAACTGTGAGTCCATTAAATATCTTTATTTTGTTAATTGCCCAGTTTGAGGTATGTATTTACCACCAGTGTGAAAATGGACTAATACATCTGACTTCCACTTTTCCTATTTGCAAGACATCTTTTTTTTTTTTTTTTTTTTGACTGATTGTTCTGGCTAGGTCTTCCACTATTTTATTGAATAGGAGTGGTGAGAGAGGATATTCTGTTTCTGAACCAGTTCTTAAGGGAAATTCTTTCAACTTTTGCTCATTCAGTATGATGTCGGCCATTGGTTAGTCAAATATAGCTCTTATTATTTTGAGATGTATTCTTTGATTTTTCTTGCAAGTATTTTGTTGAATATTTTTGCATCTATATTCATCAGGGATATTAGCCTGTAGTTTTCTCTTTGGTGTGTGTGTGTTCTTGTCAGATTTTGGTATCAGGGTAATACTGGTTTAATAGAATGAGTTAGGAAGAAACCCCTTCTCCCTGATTTTTAGAAACATATTCAATAAGATTAGTACTAGCTCTGCTTTGTACATCTGGTAGAATGTGGCTGTGAATCTGTCTGGTCGTGGGCTTCCTGTGGTTGGTGGATTATTTATTACTGATTCAAGTTTGTAACTTGTTATTGTTCTGTTCAGAGTTTCTACTTCTTCCTGGTTCATTCTTGGAAGGTTGTGTGTTTCCAGGAATTTATACATTTCCTCTAAGGTTCCTAGTTTGTATGCATAGAGATGTTCATAGTGGTCTTTGAGTATTTCTTTTATTTGTGTGGTATCAGTTGCAATGTCACCTATTTCATTTCTGATTGTTCTTACTTGAATCTGCTCTTTTTTCTTAGTTAATCTAGCTAGCCATCTATCACCTTTGTTTAACCTTTCAAATAATTAACTTTTTATTTCATTAATTCTTTGTATGATTTTTTGGTCTCAGTTTCATGCATTTCTTCCGTGACCTTTGCTGTTTCATGTTTCTGCTAGCTTTGGGTTTGATTTTTTCTTGTTTTTCTAGTTTCTTAAGGTGCAATGTTAGGTTGTAAATTTGAGATCTTTCTATCATTTTGATGTAGGCATTTAGCACTACTGCTTTCATCTTAACACAACTTTTGCTGTATCCCAACAATTTTGGTATGTTGTGTCTCTATTTTCATTTGTTTCAAAAATTTTTTGATTATTTTCTTAACTTTGTTAATTACCTAAAAGTCATTCAGAAGTAGGTCAATCAGGAACAGGTTGTTTAACTTCCATGTAATTGTGTGGTTTTGAGAGTTCCACTTGGTATTGCATTCAAATTTTATTCCACTGTTGTCCGACAAAATATTTGGCATAATTTTTATCCTTTTGAATTTATTGAGACTGGCTTGATTACCAAGCATGTGGTCAATTTTAGAGAGTGCCCCATGCACAGATGAGGGGAAAAAAAAGCATTTTCCAGCTGTTGGGTAGATGTTTTGTAGATATCTATTAGGTACATTTTGTCAACAGTCCAATTTACGTCCAGATTTTCTTGTTAGTTTTCTGCCTTGATGATCTAGAGATGTAAGTGGGGTCCTGATGTCCTCCACTATTATTGTATTGCTTTCTGTCTCTTAGGTGTAGTAGTAATTGTTATTTTTTAAATCTGGCTGTGCTGATGTTGTGTGTACATATCTAGGACAGTTAAATCTTCTTGTTGAATTGAAACCTTTATCACTAAATAATTCCATTCTTTTTTTTTCTACTGTTGTTGGTTTAAAATCTGTTACATATGATACAAAAAGAGTATCCCTTGTTCTTTTTTTTGTTTTACATTTGTGTGACATAACTTTACTTCAATCTTTTGGGACTGTGGGCATCAATACACATGAGACAGGTCTCTTGAAGGCAAAAGATGGTGGTTGAGTATTTTTTTTAATCCAATTTGCCAATCTATGTCTTTTAAGTGGAAAAATCAGACTATTTCAGCTCAAGGTTAATATTGGTATGTGAGGTTTTGTTCCTGTGATAGTGCTGTTAGCTAGTTGCTTTGTAGTCTCAGTCATGTAATGGATTTACAGGATCTGTGAACTCTGTACTTACATATGCTTTTATTAAAGGAAGTACTGACCTTTATTTCAATGTTTAGGACTCCTTTGAGCATTTCTTGTAGTGGTGGTCTGGTGGTGACAAATTTCCTTACTCTTGGCTTGTCTGGGAAAGACTTTATTTTTCTTTATTTATAAAGGTTAGTTTGGCAAGAAATAAAATTCTTGGCTGGCATTTTTTTTTTTCTTCAAGAAGGCTAAAAAGAAGCCCCCAGTCTCTTCTGGCCTGGTGAAATTTCTGCTGAAAAGTCCGCTGTTACTCTGATGAGATTTCCTTCATAGGTAATTTGTAACTTTTCCTTAGCTGCCTTAAGATTTTTTTTTCTTTTGTGTTGACTTTAGATAGTTTGATGACTATTTACCTTGGTTATGGTCATCTTGTACTGTAACTTGCAGGTGGTTGTCTGAATTTCTTGTATCTGGATATCTATCTCTCTAGGAAGATTAGGAATTTTTTTTGGAATTATTATTCCCTCAATTATGTTTTCCATGTTGCTCGCTTTTTCTTCTATCTCAGGAATGCCAATAAGTCGTGGGTTTGGTTGTTTTACATAATTCCACATCTCTTGAAGGATTTGTTCTTTTTAATTCTATTTTTCTTTATTTTTGTCTGACTGGGTTAATTTGTAAAATTGCTCTTCAATCTCTAAAATTGTTTCTTCTGCTTGATCTATTCTATTGCTCATAATTCCACTTTTATTTTGAAATTTCTTTAGTGAAATTTCAATTCCAGATGTTCTATTTTTTTAATATAGCTATCTTGTCTTTCACATCCTGAATCCTTTGTGTGTGTGTGTGTGTGTGTGTGTGTGTGTGTGTGTGTGTGTGTGTTGCTTCTTATTTTTATTTGGATGTAACTTTTAAAAAATTATTTTGTTCCTTGAGGGTATGACTGTGATTTATGTTGTGTATGGTTGTTTGGATTCATTGCTGGGTGCTTTCAGGGGCCCAAGGCTCTGTAATGAGTGTTTTGGTTGTGGACAGCTTCTGTGCTGTGGCTTTCTCAGATGGTTCTTCTTGTAGCAATCCATTGTACATTTAATCCAACAAACTATGTCCTGCTGGGCTGAGGGTGCAGAGGTCTCAGTAATCCTATCACATGAACTAGCACTAAGCCATTCTAGCAGCAGGTTTTTTATTTGGTGGTGAATTTTGGGCTCCAGTTCAGTAGGTGGCATTTAAGAGTAGGAACCAGCTCATCCTCTGGTAGGCTGTTTAAGTGTGGAGCCATCCACCCTGACTAGGGGTGGGGTTTAGAGGGAAATTGTGTTGAGGTGTACTGAGGTCTCAAGAGAAGGGGCTGGGGGATGCACCAGCTCCTCATCCTGAGTAGGAAAGATAGAAATCCTCTTCCCTATCATGCTGCTACTGCAGGACTTACGACTTTCAGTTCATACGGTTTTTGTGCTTTGGTTCCTGGCCACAGTGTGGCTGTGGACCATGAATATGCCCCTCTGGTGGCTACCACCAAAATGGGCTCAGCACAGAGACTCTTCTCTCAGTCCAGAGCAGACAACTCTATGGCTTGTCTGTCCTCTGTTGCTGGGATGCTGCCACACTGTGTTGGGAGGGGAAGTTGGGCCCCACTCTTTTTGTAAGTCCAAGCTGCACATCCTCATTTTCAGGGGGAGTGGAGCCACCGCAAAAAGTGTGAAGAGCACCTTCTCCAGGTACAAACATGACGACCCTCAGGGGGAGAACCACTGCTTCATCTTCAGCAATGAATGGGGCAAGGCACAATGATGACCCTCCCTCCACATCTGTTCGTGGCCGTCAGTACCTCCCTGTTCAGCAATTGGTGCCACGTCCGTGTTTCCTTTGTCCCAAGATGAGCTTTATGGAGCTGTACTTTTCTCTCCTTTAGGGGCAGCCCAAACCTAGACGTAGATGTCCAGGGGTCCTGCAGCTCCGCAGGCACTCTCTCTGACTTTGGCCTGTGCTTGCCAAAGTCAGAGAGAGTCATGTGGGTATGTTTGTGGGAGAATTAAAGGTGCAGGGACTCAAGGGTGGAGGTTCCCTGGGGAGGGCAGTGGCCCACCATGCGTGCACAAACAGTATGGCGCCTGCCACCTCAGTTCATGTTTGAGGAGAGTTCAGGCTCAGCTGCAAGCCAGCCACCTGGTTCTCTGACCCCAGCAAGTTCCTATACTGCCACTGACAGTGTTTCCTTAGGTCCTGAGGGTGGAGGGCCTCCCCAGCAGATTGGCAGTCAGCAGGTTGTTGCAGGGGTGAACGAAACAGAGAAGCTCTCCCACTTACCCTTTCTGTGGGGTTGTGATTACCTCAGGAGTCAATCTCTACCAGACTCTCTCTGCTTTTGTTTTTTTCACCCCACCTAGTTCCCATGGGCACTCTGACAATTCTTGGCTCTTTTCCCTTAGTTTTCCATTAGGAAAATGTCCATTCATCACTTTGATCTTTGTCCTGAGCAGAACTGGCATCTGATGTTCCTAGTCAGCCATCTTGAAAATCCCCTCAATATTTTATTACTTACCCTAGAACTTCAGCAGATGTGAAAAAAGTATTACCAGTGCATATTAAATACCTATACTTTAAAGTAGAAAATTCACAGCAAAAAAATACACATTCTGTGACTCACAGGTAATGTTCCACTTCTTCTACCCAAGTTGTTTTTCCAGATAATGAAAAGTGTGTGAATCTGTCCTGAACTTATGCTTTTAAACTTCATCAATCAGTCCCTTTACTCACAAGTTCAAGGCATTAGGAAACTAAATAGAAATAAAAACCAAGAACAATAATATGATGCAGTTATCTAAGATTTCCCCAATAACTGCAAGCCTACATATGTGGATCTCACCTCTTCACCATACGTGTGTGAGTAGACCAATCACATAACAATCAACATTGGGGGCCCGGTACAGTGGCTCATGCCTGTAATCCCAGCACTTTGGAAGCCCGAGGCGGGCAGATCACGAGGTCAGGAATTTGAGAGCAGCTTGGCCAACATGGTGAAACCCTGTCTCTACTAAAAATACAAAAAGTAGCCAGGCATAGTGGCGGGTCCCTGGAACCCCAGCTACTCAGGAGGTTTAGGCAGGAGAATTGCTTCAACCCGGGAGGCAGAGGTTGCAGTGAGCAGAGACTGCGCCACTGGACTCAGAGCAAGACTCTGTCTCAAAAGAGAGAGAGGAAAAAATAAAAAAAAGAGTCAACATTGCATGGTCTTTCTTGTACATGATAGTTTCCACATTCTTGATGTTTATTTTTCGTACTGTCTAATCTAGCAAAGCCTTTGAAGACATTGTTAAATTGTTTGGGTTCTTACTGTCTCAGATGATAAAACAACGTGCTCTAATGATTACCAAGAAGACTCCACAGGACATTTTATCTGCCATCAAGGGTTCCTGAAGCTTTTGTCTTCCATTCAGAATGGGGGATAAAATCATGTAAACAGTTTATTTCGTTCTTTACTTAACTGATGGAAAGGAGTGCTTGGCTGTCAATTCTATGATTACTTCAGTGACCAGCCTTTGTTCAGAACCTCCAGATAAATTTGGTTGTATTCCAATTTAATCCATCTCTTTATGTTACTGTCAAAGAGTTTACAGTTTATGGCAATCTCAGACAACTGGTTTCTTCTTTATGACTTGTTTATCAAAAAGACTGAAATAGTACAAAGATCTCCTCCTACATTCTGAAAGCCCAGAACAATGCTTCCTAGAACTGGACATCCTAAATCACTGCAGAGATCCATTGTACTTTAGCAGCTTGATTAAAAAGATGAATTGCTGCAGGTTCAATTCAGAAAATCAGAGGAAGGAACTCAATTATCTCATCAGAGACGCCTCTGCAATCTTTGCAAAGATCAGAAGATCCTTCCTATTCTAGAGTTACTGAGTACACTCCATTTGAGGTCATTACATTTTAGGTAACATTTTATGAAACTGGATTTCCAGCGTATATGAAACTTCCTCTGGATGATGATCACAGGAGGTTCCAACACACAGAAATGACTCGACTTCTCTTAGAAGTCCATTAACAGTAGTTGAATGTTTATACTTACAAACTATAATATATGTAAAATACATTGTAAAGGGTTTTTTTAGTTGGCCTTATGTAAGTCCCTGATCTCAGTATCTGGATTCATGACACTCCTTAAAAAAGGCATATGATTGTAGAGGTGGAGCTTTATGTCATCAACAAATTAGGGGGACTTTCACAGAATCTGAGTGTGGAAGACTTATAATTAATGGTGTGTAATATAGTTCACTGCATTTGCAAGAACATATGAACAGTCCATCATCAAACTTATACCATCCAGCTAAAATAATAAACATCTACAGGCAACGAACAGGAGTAGCCTGGTCCCCAGTAGTGTCTATACTAGGCTAGTAATTAGAAATATTACTATTATCATCATTATTATTATTTGAGACAGAGTTTTTTGCTCTTGTTGCCCAGGCTGGAGTGCAATGGCGTGATCTCGGCTCACTGCAACTTCTGCTTCCCAGGTTCAAGTGAGTCTCCTGCCTCAGCCTCCCTAGTTGCTAGGATTACAGGCGCCCACCACCACGCCCAGCTAATTTTTGTTGTTTTTAGTAGAGATGCGGTTTTGCCATGTTGGCCAAGCTGGTCTTGAACTCCTGACCTCAGGTGATCCACCCACCTCGACCTCCCAAAGTGCTAGGATTACAGGCGTGAGCCACTGCGCCCAGCCAGAAATATTATTTTTTATATCTCCATTCTAATCTACCTAACCCAGTATACACTACATTATTGAAATTTGGCTTTTAACATGGGCCTAGGCAGGGCCATGGACTTACACTAAGGAGGCAGTTACTACCATAATTCTCTATGTTGTTGGTCATAATCAGAGATTATGTTGAGGTCACAGTCAAGCTGCACCAAGGACAGAATGAAGCTGTATTCTGAGGAAAGAGCCAATTTCCAAGGGACTCTGGTGCTCTGAGACTCTTAGACCTAATCATCACAGCCTGGAGTAGATAAGGCACATCTCAGCCTATACCAACTAAGTTGGGCCATGTTTATTTAACAAATATTTAGAGGAACTTAGGCAGTTAGGTCACCTTTGTCAAGACAAAAGATGGAAAACTCTGCCACTGTGAAATTTACATTCTAGTAGCTGGGAGACAAAGAAATATGAGAAGTCGATTATATATTAGGAATTGGTTAGTGTTATGAAATTAAGAAAACATACAGCATTCTTCAGAACAGTTTGAAAGATTTTTACAATCAAACACTTCCAAAAGGCTCCCATCACAGAAGCAGAAACACTATCAGCTAAAGGATACAGTATAATGACAGCAATGGATTACTTCCACCTGGCAATGGTGCCAGAGAGGCAGAAGTGAGCAGAGACAGCTTAGAGATTTCACAGAAGGTGAAGCCCTGCTTTATTAAACGGGCAGCCTTAGATCCTGGGAGGCAAAGTCTTTAACAAAGTGCAACATGAGAAGCACATTTCAGTCTCTTCAATAAATAGAGCACAGCTCACAGGGATGTCTGTAAGCTACTCATAAGCTAAGGCCTGTTCCAGTGTACTCCAACGTACTCGGGGATAACTCTGATCCAGTGCTAAGACCACAGACAGTCCTACAAGACATAAAGGGCTACTACGATCCCAACCTTCAAAAAACCATGAGATCCCGACATTTAACCTGTGCCCTTCCCAAATTGTTAATATTATTCTGATAGCTTGGTATGTATTCTATCCAAGATATCATTTGGCACCCAAATCTGTTTTGATGCAAAAAATTATTGATAACGTTCAGTATTATATAAACATTATACACACACACACACACACACACACACACACATAGATATGCTATGTGGGTACACATACACACACACACACACACACACACACAAACTATTATCCAGTGGGTACATATTGTTAGAAATAACGTATGTAACATCTGCCTGTATTCACATCTGTTGTGCCATAAACAACCTTGCCACAAATGGAGGGCCTATAACCCTATCGCCGAGGTGATCTTCTTATTCTAACACCCCTACACATACTTCATGCATATTTTTTCCTGCTTTAGAAGTATCCTGTTCCATTACAGCTCTTTACAACTAGAATGTGCAAAGGAAATGGTGAAATGAGCTTCATAATATCATAGGGCCAACTTCAGCCATTAGCATGGTAAGAAGATTATGGTCCAGACGACTTGTTATGGTCTAGACATTAAAGTTCACCTTTTTTCAAAATAATGCTCCAGAAGAAGGAAGAAGAGGAAACTTGAGGAGAAAAGTGTGTCAATTGATCAACATGCCATTTTCTGATCATCCACAAACACGACTTAACTAGCAGATTAAAATTCAAGCTATAAAGAACATCTTCTATTGCAGGCAATTGACCTAGATTTCCAAGCCAGGGTTATGAGTGATTAAAAGCTCAAGTTTCAACAACAAACCTGAGTAGATAGGCTGGCGTTGCGACTTAATAGCTGTGTAACTTCAGTCAAATTTCATGATTTTTCAGTTTCAGATTCTTCACTTGCCAAGTGGCAGATGAGTAGCATTTATGTTATAAATTCTGTCTAAGAAATAAAAGGAATAATACGCTAAATGTGCTAAGTGCGGCTTTTGATACTAAGCTGAGACAAAAATATAAATAAGACAAATGAAACTAAATAAAATGAATATTTACTGCCTTGATTTTCAGTCTCCTGAGATTGTACCCTTGTTTTGGTACTTTATTTTCTGGTGTAAGTTTTTGGTTTGACAAATTGTTATATTCTCCTTTTTGATTCTTAAAATTGGGCATCCTCCATAGGTCTTAAATTTTATAATCCCTCTGCATTTTGAAAATTCCTGTATACTCGGATAAAATCAAGGATATTTCACTGAGGTCTGATGCCAAAAGCCTGAGCATATAAATCACTAGTAATTCTGTGTCTGAAATCTAGGCTCGTTACCTACTGGGCCTTAGAACTCAAGTGTTTAAGCGATTTCCCTGATATCTACAAGTTCATAGCGTAAGCATTTTAAGTTTGAATACTTTTCTAGTGTAAAAACAAACCATTTCTAAATTTTGGTTAATTTTAGGCTAGTTCATCCAAATAATGTCTTAGTATGTTTGGCCTGCTATAACAAATTACCAAAAATTATGTTGCTTATAAAGAACAAACATTTATTTCTTACTATTTTGAAGGCTGGCAAGTCAAAGATTCAGGTATTCCAGATTCTCACAGATTCTGGTGAGGTTTGTTTTCTGGTTCATTGATGGAGCCTTCTAGCTGTGTCCTCGCATTGTGGAAGGGGCAAGGCAGTTCTCTGAGGTCTCTTTAAAAGGGCACCAATTCCATTTATAAGGGCTCCAATGACCTAATCACCTCCCAAAGGCCCCACCACCTAATACTATACTACTGGTAATAAAGTTTCAGCACATGAATTTGGAAAAGACAAACATTCAGACCATAATAAGTAGTGCTTACTGAGGAACTACCATGTAAAGGAGGAATTGTTCTCAATACTATTAAAAATTACCAAAATGAACCCACTTCCATTCAAATTGCTTAATGAATTTCGTAGGAAACTTGAAACATAACCATCCATGTTGATATTCAGGAAAGAATGTGAGAGAAGTGCATAAGCAAAGTGTGATAGTTGTAAAAAGAAGGATAACAGTAATAATGGCAGAGAGTTGTAAAAGGACTTTAGAAGAAGCAGTTCAATGATGTCGGTTTCTAATTATTGAGAAATCAAGATCAGAGAAAAGGGAAGATGGAAAAGTAAAATAAAAAACACATGGAATGAGAAAAATGGCCAGTTTTCCATTAGCTTTTAGTGCTGGGAGATTTGACAATCTGGAGTAAGATTATGATAATGCTTCGGATGTTCACTAAAAGAGATGATCATCAATATATATGTGAGACATAAAATGTAAGGCTTGACTTGTCTGAGTGGTAAGATAGCAATGTCCCTGCAAGAACAGGAAGGAAGGAAATCAGGGGAGGGAGAGTAGACAGGAGAAAATAAAGAAAAATAACAGTTTTGGAGGTTTGACACGAGATGAATTCATTTTCACTTTACTTTATTTTGGCTACTGGTTTATCCAGCATAATTTCTCAAGTGTTTAAAAATGTAGTAAGAGTGTACGGGTGTGGAAATAGCTTCATTTGTTTAGCTGCTTGATATAAAACTGCATTACTGTTTACAGCATCAAGCAGCTCTACATATGTCACTCTTGTTTCATTTTGATTTCAGTTTTGAAAAATTTTCTTTCGTAGCTCTCAGGTGCTTTGGCATATTCTATAATTGATTGACTAGATTGTGTCTTATATAATGAAGGTGATTAGATTATATCGTATATATTATATGGGTTATAATAATTGATTATATTTTATATAATAAAGGAGAGTATATATCTTATATATTGTATCATATAATTTTATATAATAAAGATTATATTTTAAGGGCATATTTGGATAGCTTATACAGCAAATAAAGTTTGATTCAGGGATACACATTTGTTATCTTGTTAAGAATAATTCTAATTTACACTCCCATCAAGAGTGTAAAAGGGTTCCTATTTCTCCACAGCCTCGCCAGCATCTATCGTTTCCTTACATTTTAATAATCACCATTCTAACTGGCATGAGATGGTATCTCATTGTGGTTTTGATTTGCATTTCTCTAATAACCAGTAATGTTAAGCTTTTTTTTCCATGCTTGTTGGCCACATAATGTCTTCTTTTGAAAAGGGTCTGTTCATATCCTTTGAACCCCAAACTATAAAAACCCTAGAAGAAAACCTAGGTGATATTATTCAGGACATAGGCATAGGCAATGACTTCATGATTAAAACACCAAAAGCAATTGCAGCAAAAGCCAAAATTGACAAACAGGATCTAATTTAACTAAAGAGCTTCTGCACAGCATAAGGAACTAGCATCAGAGTGAACAGGCAACCTACAGAATGGGAGAACATTTTTGCAATCTACTCATCTGACAAAGGTCTAAAATCCAGAATCTAAAAGAAACTTAAAGAAATTTACAAGAAAAAAAAAAAAACATCAAAAAGTGGGTAAAGGATATTCAACCATTGTAGAAGACAGCGTGGTGATTCCTCAAAGATCTAGAACCAGAAATACCACTTGACCCTGTAATCCCATTACTGGGTATATTCCCAAAGGCACACGTATGTTTACTGCAGCACTATTCACAATAACAGAGTCTTGTAACCAACTCAAATGCGCATCAATGATAGACTGGATACATAAAATGTGGCACACAGACACCATGGAATACTATGTAGCCATAAAAAACAATGAGATCATGTCCTTTGCAGGGACATGGATGAAGCTGGAAGCCATGATTCTCAGCAAGCTAACACAGGAACAGAAAATCAGCACACATGTTCTCACTCATAAGTGGGAGCTGAATGATGAGAACACATGGACACAGGGAGGGGAACAACACAGGGGGTGGGGGGCAAGGAGAGGGAGAGCATTAAGACAAAAATCTAATGCATGTGGGGCTTAAAACCTAGATGATGAGTTGATGGGTGCAGCAAACCACCATGGCACATGTATACCTACGTAACAAACCTGCACATTCTGCACATGTATCCTGGAACTTAAAGTATAATAAAATAAAATAAAATAATAATTCTGGCTTATGTTAGATAAAGAGCACTTAGCTTTCTCTAATGACTTATAATCAATAAGGAAAAAAAATCACGACACATTTAATCCTTTCCCCAGGAAAGAGAATAGATAAGCCAGGTGTTAAAAATAATCATGCCAGGTTAAACTTAAGTTTCATCTGGTTCTGCACTAGTGGAGGACATATAATCTCATAAACAAAAAGCAATTATGATCATGTAATATTAGCATAGCTACAGAGGAACATCTCTGATCAAAACTGTTTTCCATGAATAAAATACAAGTGGACCAGAAAGAAATTCGTTAAATACTTATTCTACATATTCCAGGATCATCCTTTACCACTGGATGAAATTTAATACACTTTATAATATATTCATAATGAAGTGAAAGTTTGCAGTTGAAATTTTCTGTCATAGATTACAAAATGGAAATCTGTGGATATAGTGTGACTAGTAGAAATGTTTTGTTTGTCCCACAACGTTGTTTTTTAAAAACATGAATTTTAATTTGAAAAAAACATATGACTTCTGCGAAACCATTCACACTTAGATTTGCAGGGGTCTCCACCTGGTCTCTTCACTAATAATTGTTACCTTCCGCAGTCTGTGTAAGCCTTAGACTTACTGACCCATGTGTTGCATATATTTATAATTTCTTTGCTTATTGTTAGAAAAAATAGCCTAATCATATTTTTATGCATTCCTCGAAATGCTCTGTCCATCAAATGCAAACTTTGTAAATACACAGCACCTATGGTTGCATTATGTGACATGTCAACAGCAACTTTTCTCTAATTTGCTAACGAGTAATGAGATTAAACTCATAGGTAAAGTACGCACCTCCCTAGAGAGCATGAGTTGAGAAGGACCATAGTGCTTGTAACAAATTTAATGCAAATACAATTTTTTCTAGCATCCAGTTAGAATTTTGGTAACTCAAGTGCACTTTCTTCTTTATAAGCTTTGTCTTGCTCAATTAGCTTTCAGTGGTGCTTGAAATTCCCACTAGAAATGCCTTATGTTGACCTGTCCATTTTAATCAAGCTAAATACTACCTGGGAGGAAGATATATTAGCTATCACTTAGGCACAGATTAGTCTATCCGAACCTATTACTGCACATTTTCAAACAGCACAAAAGAGGACCTGAGGGCAGTGGTTCTTGAAATCATTCAAATGCCAGACCAGAGAGAGGCATGATACACTTGGTGGTATGCTTCATTCATTACTCTTACAACAATTAAATACATGTGGATGTGCTAAATCAGACGTCATATTTTACCGCAGTCTAATCTCATAGAAAAATTCATAGATTCAAATAATTTAATAGAAGAAAACTTGACTATGAACAGTTTATTCATATTAAATTTTAACAACTGTTTTTTCATCTGTGGAAAATCTCTTGTTCCTTGTAGGGACACTCTATTATTGACCTAAAGAACAGACAAAAAATACTTAAACAAATAAATAAATAAATAATTGTGGGGGTGCTGATTGTCTGCTAAAGAAAGTACTAGATTCTAAGAAGCCATTTATTGTAAGGCAGGTCATTATCTTAGCACAAATTTGTCAGGAAACAAAGAAAATGTGACTTGACTGAAGTACACGGTGGCTGTAAGACACATCCAAATTTCAGAAATGTGAAAAGATGTTTATAATAAACCTGAAGATGGAGCTCATCCTAATGATGAGCTCGAACTAACTGCCCTGGTTGGGTAAGGAGCAAGGTGGGGCAGGTGGGTATTGTTTCAGTATCCTGGGGTTCCAGCAGTTATGAACCACAGTTCTATGTAAAAATTAAGCTTCAGTGCTGAATTGTATGCAATGTAGTAACTTTTCTCAAGTGCATCAATAATTGTATTAGCTAAAGATCATGCTTGAGAGAAATGTGAAAATAATCACTCTAATCATTTTCCATAAATTTAATTCTCTTGTGGAATCCTATTTCAGAAGACTGGAATATGTAACTGAGGAAAGGATCATGGATATTGGGAAAATCATTCTTTTTGATTTAGATTCTAGGTAACATTAGTTAACAGTGTAATTATCATTATTATTATTTTATTACTATTTTTACCTCATAATTGGTAAGGAAAGCTAGATCAGGGATAAAAAATGCATTTCTCAAACATTAGCATTATCTGACCTTCAAGATATTTTTATAACCCAGGCAGTCAAACAATTCAGCAGATACCTGGACATTTATTTGGGAGCCTCAAAACTGTTAACCCAATAGGTTAAATGCCATTATTCAAGATAAAGTGCAAGTTCAATCAGTCTATGCCCTTAATGTGAGAGCAAAGCACTTTGCCAAAGAAAGAAATTCATAAATCTTTTTTTTTTTTTTTTTTTTTTTTTTTTTTTTTTTTTTTTTGAGACAGAGTCTTGCTCTGTTGCCCAGGCTGGAATGCAGTGGCACAATCTCAGCTCACTGCAAGCTCCACCTCCCGGGTTCACGCCATTCTCCTGCCTCAGCCTCACTAGTAGCTGGGACTACAGGCGCCCGCCACCACGCCCAGCTAATTTTTTTGTATTTTTAGTAAAGACGGGGTTTCACTGTGTTAGCCGGGATAGTCTCAGTCTCCTGACCTCGTGACCCGCTTGCCTCGGCCTCCCAAAGTGCTGGGATTACAGGCAGAAATTCATAAATCTTAATGGACTTTTTTCACAAGAGAGCAAAGACTAAGATGTGACAATTTTTTCCTGTGTTTCAAGGAATTTTTTTTAAAAGAACATTGGAAGATTATAAAGAGGAAGAAAAGTAAGGTTACTCAATTGTTTAATGATAATCAAAATGAAATTATTTAAATGATGAGGGAATATTAACATTTAATTCATCAAATAAATAGAAAGAAAAGTAGATTGGAAATCATAATTCGGGTTACTTTTATATAACTGTATGTTTTTTTTTAAATAAGCTCTGAGAAGAATTAAGCATACAAACAAGTCAATTGGACTTTTTGTTCCTGAAGATTTACATCTATAAAATGGAAATAATACTTTTTTGTCAATTCAGGGAAGAATTCCATATACATGTAGAGTTTACTTATTTATACACATACTTATATAATATTATTGTCTATTTAATTGAATTGAAAAACTCAAAGATATCACACACACATGCACAAGTGCCTCTTCCCTCACATTCTGTCCTCTGTATATGCCTTATCCCCAACTACAGGAATTTAAAGTCAGTTTAAACTCATAAATTAAAAGAATTGAAGAGAAAGAAGGAAGAAGGGAAAGGAGAAAAGGACGAGGAATAGAAGGAGGAAAGAAGGCAGGAAAACAAATTCTACTGGCAGTGATGAGCATTAGTAGAAAAATATTTTCATTCAGATAAATTGATTCCTACTATGATAATTGATTCCTATTATGATAAAATCATAAAAAGTATGTACTGGACAATAAAAATAAAGCAGATGTGAGTAGAAACAAGTGTGCATTCTTCATACCTTTAAACGTAATACTGTAATTACATAGAAATATGACTCTATCTAAAGCAAACACTGGTTAAGATAAACAATGTGATTACAGGGTGACTCATTTCATCCAACACAAAATTCCTGATGAGATAAAAATAATTCAGCATAAATTATAGGGTAGCTATATTTCACTTTCACAGTAATAATTTTAGGAATACCTAGATAGATTTTCATTCACCCAAAGCATAATTAGTGAAATGCAGATATTCTAAGATAAAAGAGATCTTAAACTTTTAATTTCAGAAATTAATTTTGTATTTCGTTTCTCTTTAATAGATTTCCTTGAAACAGCCCTAGAAGCAAGCAAAATCCCTCTGTTTAATTAAAGTTTGTTGTTGTTGTTGTTTGAGACGGAGTCTTGCTCTGTCGCCCAAGCTGGAGTGCAGTGGCGAGATCTCGACTCACTGCAAGCTCCGCCTCCCGGGTTCACGCCATTCTCCTGCCTCAGCCTCCCGAGTAGCTGGGACTACAGGTGCCCACCACCACGCCAGGCTAAATTTTTGTATTTTTAGTAGAGACGGGGTTTCACTGTGTTAGCCAGGATGGTCTCAATCTCCTGACCTCATGATCCGCCCGCCTCAGCCTCCCAAAGTGCTGGGATTACAGGCGTGAGCCAACGCGCCTAGTCTAAATTTTTTTTAAACATATTAAACTCTATGAGACAGACTACAGAGACAGTGCAATGGGAAGCTGTTTACCCAGTAGGTTAAATGCTATTATTCAAGATAAAGTGCAAGTTCAATAATTCACATGCTAGCCCATAATTTACATACTAGCCACTCACTAGCTATGTTGCCTTAGTCTTCCCATCCATACAGTACATTTACAGCCACGGTACTTCAGAAGATAGAAAAATATAATTGACAGTTTTCTGAAAAGTTTCAAAAATGCATGTTTAAATTTAAAATTTGAACCAAATATTGAGAGTGAGAAAATTACATTGAACAGATAACTTTTCATGGATTTATTTTGCTTATTTTCAATCAATGTGATTATTAAGAATATCTAGAAACTGCAATAAAGATGAAATAGAGAATAAAAGCTCACAGATTTATATGCAATTTGTTACTACCAAAACCTCAAATTTGTGGCAAAATTAATTTACATAAAATAACAACTATCACTTTATTATTACATACGTTTTTGAATTTTCAAACATATTTCTGTAATAACATATCTCTTTGTATGCAAATATATTGGTATATTTTAATTTTTCTACTTCTCTCTGATTTATCATCTATCAATTTGTCTCTCATCCACTATATTATCTATTTCTGCTATCAAATTACCCCAAAAATAATCACCTAAAACAACAAATATTTACCTCATAGTTTACCGAGATCGAGAACTCAGGAGTGGCTTAGCTGAGTGGTTTTGGCTAGGATCTTATAAGCTCATGAGCTTGCAGTCAGGATATCATTTGGACAGTTCACTTCCCAGATCACTCACTTACATGACTGGCAGTAAGAAACCTCAATTCCCATGAGACTCTTCATGGGCTGGTTGAGTGGCATGGCAGATAACTTCCCCAAAGTTGAGGGATCCAAGAGACAGCAAGGGAGGAAAAGGCTCAGTACCTTTTATCACTAGTCTTCAAAGTAGTACGCTGTCATTTTAGCTATAATTTATTTGTCAGAAGTAAGTCATTAAGTACAATCCACACCAAAGTGGAGGAAATTAGACTTCCTAACTTGAAAAGACAGGTATCCAAAATTTATGGACATATTTTAAAACCATATCTACTGTCTATCAACACATATCTAACCTATCTACCTACTTACCTTCCTTCCTTCTCTTCCTTATCCTCATCTTCCTTATCTCTCTCACTAACCATCTGCCATTTATCTCTCTACCATCTCCCTATCTATCATCTACCATCCACCTAACTTCCTCTCCCTCAGGGAAGAAAGAAAGAAATAATGTAACTGAGGGTTTTAGGAAAAAGTATCTGAGAAATAAAATTATGAAACAAACAGTTTATGAACTTTGGTGTTTACAACATGATTTTGGGGAATCAGTGCAGTGAAATATTTAGGCACATGTTTAAAGAGGCAACCTCGGGCAATTTGGGTCCAAAGAAGGAGATACCTTGACCCACATTATCTTCATGGGTCTTCCTGACAATCTTCCTGAGTGGACACGTCTGGCCACTGCAGGTGGATGCCATTACTTTTCTGTCTGTGTGAGAAAACAACTTCCCATGTACATCCAAGGACAGCGAAAACTGATGCTTATGCCAAAAGGAAAAGTGATGCCCATGTTATCAAGCAACTTACAAACAAAACAAAAGAAGGGTCGAACACATATGCAATCACTCACATATGAACATAGAATGTGGTAAGACAGAAAAGTTTGTGGAATTACAAGGGAGTTAGCCATTAATTATCTGACGCATGGAAATGGCGAGTGTAGCATACAGAGAAGTTGATAATAGTTGACCTCTGAATGAAGAATGAGTGATATAGAGAAAAAAAGGTACCTATGCAAACACAATAGCAAAAGCTTGGAGGAATGCATGTGCATAAAATGTAGTGTTGATGAATGGTACGGCCGCCACATAGAAAAATGAAGAAATGTGTAAGGAGTGATCCCAGATGTCTCTCAACACTCTCAGTCCTCACATCAGTCCTTGGAGTGTGTATACCCCCTTGAATACTGGTTATTTTATGTCTATCTTGATTTGAAGAATTCGGACTTCTGGTTCTGTGTGTTACAGTTTCAATTCAAGGAAGCAGTTGGGAAAACAGATATTAAATGAAGTTAACGGATATCACATTGAAGTGCTGTAATACCGTATGTCCTTTTTTTTTTTTTTTTTTTTAGACAGAGTCTCACTCTGTCCCCAGGTAGGAGTGCAGTGGCGCGATCTCGGCTCACTGCAACCTCCGCCTCCCAGGTTCAAGTGATTCTCCTGCCTCAGACTCCTGAGTACCTGGGATTACAGGCACCTGCCACCACTCCCGGCTAATTTCTGTATTTTTAGTAGAGACAGGGTTTCATCAAGTTGGCCAGGATGGTCTCGATCTCTTGACCTCGTGATCCAACTGCCTCAGCCTCCCAAAGTGCTGGGATTACAGGCATGAGCCACCGCACTCGGCCTGTTTTTTAACTGTGGCCTATATATAATTTTGGCATTTAATATACAACGTATATGATAAATTCAAATAAAAACAAAATTATTTAAGGTAATTTTTGGGTGAAAACTTCGTATTATCGATAACAAAATTTCATATTCTTTTAAGAAGGAAAGGCACCAAGGTACCTGAGAGTTTATGATGGGTTTATTAGAATATGCATAAATTGTGTACTGTATTTGACTACAATTCATCAAATTTATACTAAATAAACATTTCCAGTTACTACGGGTTTTGACATTCTTGTTACTTCTATTTTTTTCTTTTCTTCTTGGGAGCAACAAAAGGTTTCCTTTTATAGTAAAGGGGTTTTATTCTTTTGGCTAGCTAGTCAAAACTTTTAGGAGATGAATAAAAGAGGATGGCCTGTGTTCCTTGTTCAAGGACTTGCCACCAACCTAAATCAGCCTCACATTATTACAGTTACTTAGACAAACAAACATCCTTCCTAAACTGGACCAATGGATATCACCTCTGGTTATACATTAGATTACACTGGAAGCTCTTAAAATTTACCCATGCTTGGGTCCTATTCCCTGATCTACTGACTCATAATTAAAGGGAACAAATATAATCATTACAAAGCATTCTCCAGGTGATCCTTATGGGCATACAGTAACTAGAATCATGGCTGTTTATCTTCCTCATATTTTTATTATGTTAAAGATCAACTCTATCTTACTTTCCTTGAACAGGACCTTCCTTGAATAGGACCGATACAACCCTCTATCTATTCTTTCCATCATAAGGCTCCCAGATGTGTGTGAGCTTTAGGACCTGTTCTAGTGGATGCAATATGGATTTGGAAGCCATGGAACACGTCCATCTTCTAAGCAGCATTTGAGTGGCCTAGACTTCTTTTTAGAGGAATAGTCTCAGGTTTCTTAAGCTAGATAGTCATGTGATGGTGGGCATGCCACCATGGGCACAACTATCAGAACCAGGTGTCATAACCAAAGCCAAAGTCAGCCAACTGCAATATGGGCAACAGCTTTGAAGGCTTCCTTCTCGACATCTCTTAACTGTCAAATAAATTTTCATCAACTGGTTAGCCCAAGCATGTCTGTACTTCTTAAAACCCAAAACCCCAAAAAGGGTAATATAGCACCAAACACATTTCAATCAGTAATAACTGAACCTCTGCTAAACTTTATGAGCTATAATATTTCCCCTACAAAAAATGTAATAGTATTTTATGACTTTTTTCAAGGTGTAACTCTCATTCTCAGATGGCCTGAGAACATATCTATGCATTCTAAATTATTTCTTCCCATAGTTCTAAGACTTTTGCTCTTTATTAATAGAAATACTGAACCTCTGGGACAATACTGAAACCTCTGAGTTTCATGCAACTGCTGCCTGCACTGACATTATATTATTTCTTTGGCTCTTAAAACGTTGGAAGTATTTTGCCCTATGGGTTTTCTGTGTCTCTTTTAAGATTCCCTGCTTCATCTCTACATTCTATGTATGAATTATTAATTTAATTATTTTATGAAACCTTAGCTGAAAGTTCATCTGGTTTTATTTTTTGAAATAAGAGAGTCCAAAATACACAGAGAATAATTATCTTTCCCTATATGTTTTCTTCAATAATTTCTCCTGCTATTGTCATTTCTGCTTTGATGCATTTCCCATATACCTCTTTCCCTTCATAGCAATTCCAAAAGCTTTTCCTCCTACTTAAATGTTAAGAACAAATAACAAAGAAATGGATAACATGATGCCAAAAAGGTATTCATTCATTGCAGTATGATTCACATTAGTTAAGATATGGAAACAAACTAAGTGTCCATCATCAGATAGATGGATAAAGACAATGTGGTCTTATATACACAATGGAATACTATTCAGCTGAAAAGGAAGGAAATTCTGTTATTTCCAACAACAGAGATAAAGCTAGAGGCCATAATGCTAATAAGCCAGGCACAGAAAGACTACTTCGGCAGGATCTCACTGACACCTAGAATCTTAGAAAGTGAACCCATAGAAGTAGAGAACAGAATGGAGATGACCAGAGTTATAGAAACACAGGTGATTGGGAAACGAGGAGATGTTGCTAAAAGGATAAAAAGGTTTCAGTTAGATATGAGGAATAAGCTTTATCAATCTATTGTACAGAATGACTATGATAAATAAGAATGCATTGCATATTTCAAAATTGTTTTAAAAAGTAGATTTTAAATGTTTTCACTACAAAAAAATAAGTATGTTAAGTGATGGACTTGCTAATTAGCTTCATTTAATAATTCCACTATGTACACATATATCAAAGCATGTTGTATCACATAAATATATACAATTATTTGTCAATTAAAATATTTTTGAAAGATAAAAAGTTAAATTAAAAATACAGACAATAGGGAGGTTTCTTTTTTAGTAACAAAGAACTGGTAAACATTTGTCGATGTACTTTGTATATATCAAATTTGTATTTCACCACTTAATGTAATTCCAGAAATTTAATAGGTATTTGACAATTTTAGTGTAATGGCTGACTGAATGAATGATTTACTTTCCACATTCTTATTCTGAGATCCATTATTTTAATATTTTCTGAATTTTTACTTGATTATTAGTCTGCAAGCTTTCAAAATATATTTCTAGCTAGAGCCAATTTTTATAATGAGCAATATTTTTTCTTCCTACTTGTACTATCAATTAGTGTAGAAGCTAACCAAATAATGACAGTTTTTGAACACTCACCATCAAATTTTATCGATCAAAACCAAAATGTTCTCTATGCAGACCCTGGTCAACATGGAACTCAGAAGTATGCAGCCTTTTGTCCAAACTCAGATTATGTTATTAATAAAAAAAAAAACAGAGCCTTGGTTTCTGTTATTTAATTTACCTGGAATAAGCCCTTTACAACCTGGCAGTTCCTTCACATGAATGGAGTTGGCAAGGTTTCCTAGACTGCTTGCCATTAGACCCCTCTTCACCATCTGCCCTACTGCAGTGGGGTAAAGCACATGTGATTTACACTGAATAAATCTGGGCTACAGCCTGAACTCCATCACATATTTTCAATGAGCTTGTCCAAGTTAAATAGCTTATATGCATTTAATTCCATAATTTATAAAATACAGAAGTTAACAATTTATATGCTATATAATTCAAAGGAGAACTTAGAATTTAATGTAAAAAGACCCAGCCTATATAAACTGTGAAAATACTGTATGTTTTCTCATTTAGAATAATTTAGACAAGGATTTTTTCATTGATAAATCATCAGGAACTTATCTTTTTTTAAGGTCAATGAGTAGAAATAATTTCCAAAAGAACAATATATTTTTAAAAAGCCATTTTTTTGTTGTCATTGTTCTTTTCTTGACATTCTAAATGTCCAAAAACTTTTTGTTTTTAATTGAAAGTGTTTGCATCATATACTATTGTATGCTGAATTTATAAATCACACTTTACAAATGGAGAATATTATAGTCTTCAAGATACATTCAGATGCCATATATAGTTTGCTTCCATCAAATCACTATGATATTGTCATATAAGATATTGTCATATAAGGTCCAAGCAATTTTAACTATAACATGATACTGCTAACAATAATGATGTTCTTAAAACACCATCAACAATAATAATTGAAATATTTATTTGTCCCAAAGACTGTTCTAAACATTTTATAAATATTAATTAATCCTCAAAATCCTGTGAGATATATATAATTATCCCCATTGTTTTCAGAGGAGAATTGAAACACAGAAGGTAAGTAAATTGCCTAAATTCACTATAAATCCTGAAGAATTTTTACTTAACCAGGTCACAGTGTCATTTTAAGGGACAAGGAGATTCACCAAATCCCTCACTGGGGTTGATGTGAGAAAAATATGAGATGGTAGATATAAAAATAAAATTAATAAACTATTAGAAAATTCAAAATTTCACAGAAGAATAATTTGTCATTCAAAGAAGTTAGGGGATTTCTCCAGAGACAACGTGGGTAATTAATGACGGAGTCAGAACCAGAGTCTGGGTTAAGTGCCTTTTCCACCACACCATGAGGCTCTCTGGTAAAGAGACAGAAAACTGACGTAGCCTTCCCTTTGGCTGGATATCCAATAATCTTATGTAAGAATCCATCTTTTTTCTCAGAAACAATTTGTGCAAAATTGTAGCTTTTTTTGCTTTTTTTTTTTTTAGCATTTTAGCAAAATTATATAATATATTTTTGCATGCAAATGTTTCAGTAGTTAAAACTCTATAAAATTTTGAGAAAATATGGTATGCTTTGGCACATTACTTTTTAAGAATGTATGCCACCACCAATGGGAATACATGACAATCCAAAAATGGCTGAAAGAAATCTGTTGGGCATTTGACATAGTCCCTTTTAAAACAGTTTTAGTTTAAATCTTGCTCTTAACATTTCTTCAGTAGAGCCATTTTACAACACTAAAAATATATGTTTAGTTCAAACACAACTTCTTCTAGAAGAAACAGAAGATAGGTGATAATATTATTTTGTAGATGATGGTGTCATATTGTGTATGTGTGTATAAGCTTAAGAGACAGAAACATAAAGGGAGACAAAGAGAGGGGGAGAGAGACAGAGAAAGAGAAAGAGATTGATTTTCCTGAGCCAAGTATCCTTTGGAAGGAAAAAACATACTTGAGATTACCCAACACAATTAGCATTTATATAAATATAGACACAAGATTTAAAAGAATCCCAACCTCAATTTTTAAAATGCTAGTCCATCTGTATTTAAGGTGTATATATTTTATATATTAGGGAATTTTACTTTTAAGTCTACCTGTCCTCCAGGTACAGTCTTCATAATTAGTTTTTGAAAAGACTGACTATGATAAAATGTGCTTTAAGAGCAGAGAAAAAAAAAATTCCACCTTTTAGGAATCAGTGTCTACATTTATTACTGAATGGCCACTAACTCCATGACCATGAACACATCATCTAAAAGTTTTAAAGGAGGGTTTAATAATTAGGTGATGTATATAATACCTTCAAATTCAATGTTTAACAATAGAAAGCCTTACTTTTACTAATATCACCCTAACATTGAACCATTATCCAGAATACCTGGTAATATCTTTAAAGGGAGATAATTTTTATGAACATTGCTGGTTACAAAGAGCCATACCCTATATATAGATGATGGGCATCAGACTGCTTGCATCCTGTCTCCTGCATCCGCCACATATTTTCCCTTTTAAAATGTTCTGCTCTAGATGTCTACTTGGATGAGCATTGCCTGAAGATGGCTGTGGTGGGAGGCGCTCTCTGCCTTTCCACACGGAAACATTTTATATATATTTTTAATATGGGTTGCCAATGCCTCAGGGAAAAATTTCTGGCCAACCCTTTTAGCATTGGGCTTGCCCAACATCTGATTTTGCTGTTTGCATAAATGTTTAATTTAAAGAATAAACATTCTAGAGGCAAAGATAAAGGAGATGAGGGAGCTCTGTGTATCTTTGTACAATGTCAACCCCACCCCCCGTTTATTGCTCAATAAATGCTGACAACGTTTTGAAATATTCTTATCTGAAGGAAATTGGGAATCTAATTTCATTTAGTCCAATTGTATCTAGAGGTTACAAATGCTTCCATTATCTGCTGTAATGACCCACTGAGGGGAATTGCTCTGAGAAGATTACGCCATGTGATTGAAGCCTTCATCAGTATTTTAATACATATTTGAGGAGCTGCCATTTTGCAACCCCAGGAAATTGACGTAAACAACTCTTTGAACTTCTAGTTGATTATGTCGGTAGAAAATGGCCAATTTATTACTTACAAGAAAGAAAATCGCCCTAATATTTATTACCGAAATGACCAGTGATTCTATTTTTACATGCTTTAACTCTTTTGAAAAGTGCTCTGATGTAGGCCTGAGTTAACAAATACTAATATTAAGAAGAAAAGAGTATTGGCACACCATATTCTCTTTAATTAAAAATAAAAATATATTTTTAAATTTAATTTCCCCCCAAACTAAATGTTCACTGTTATGAACATCTTTATGATTTCACGTTATCTGTTTTCTGAGTTGTATATGTAATAATATATTTGGGCTTCTGTAATTTCCATGTTCAGAATATACATTTTCATTCACCAGATCAAGTAATGCAATCTGTCAAACTTCCAGTGAATAATGTTAGATAAATACTGTTTGGCTAAGCAAATAAATGTATGTATTATTTTAAATGAAAACAATGAAATAAATCAAATTAGCTTTTTATTTTTGTTCTAATAATCAGTTCTTAAGGCAAATTAAAATCAGTAATACTGTTTTGGGTGGTCGCGGTGGCTCATCCCTGTAATCCCAGCACTCTGGGAGGCCGAGATGGGCGTATCACCTGAGGTCAGGAGTTTGAGACCAGCCTGGCCAAGATGACAAAACCCCACCTCTACTAAAAATACAAAAAATTGGCCGGGCGTGGTGGCACGTTCCTGTAGTCCCAGCTACTTGGGAGGCTGAGGCAGGAGAATCGCTTGAACCCAGGAGGTAGGGGTTGCAGTGAACCGAGACTGCACCACTGCACTCCAGCCTGGGCGACAGAGCGAGACTCCGTCTCAAAAAAAAAAAAAAAAAAAAAAAAGAATTACAATGCCCTGGACAAAATTTAACAAAGAAATGAAAGATTCTTTAAAGGAAGTATCATTTTTTTTTTAGTATATGCAATTCAGCATTTTACAAGTATAAAACTACCAAGTAATGCTAAATATGAGTATTGGTTAAGAAATTCCACTGAAACCATAACTATACTATATAATTTGTGAAATTAGCTTTCTTTTTTTACATTAATGCCCTTTATTAGGAAATATAGCTATGGGAAAATGAATTTACCTTTACTAAAATTTCTGAAAAGACAAGTCTCAAATTAATTTGAAAAACAGTAAACCTTCAACTGTCCAATAGAACATGTGCTTTCATAAGAGGGAAAAATAAAATGAAATAGAAATTCTTAATCTGGGATATAAATCCTTTATTTAAACATAATCTTGAGGCTGAAAGGTAAGCTAAAAGATCATTTAAAGAAACATTTTTTCCTCCTAATTCATAGAAAAATAAAAATTTTATCTCTGAGTTCCAATGACAGAAAGAGAAAATAGTACTCACAATGTTCATAATTATACTACAATTTGCTATAAAATATTTAAACCTGCCCAGAGTTTTACGTTTCATCTTACCTACTGACAGAGCTAATTATAGAAAGTAGCTAGGTAGAATTTTCCTTAGAAGAGGTAATGATATGGAACCTTAAAAAAATTGAAACCACAGTGACAATATGAGCTGATTTCTCAGGGCTCTCTGCAGGATTAAATACTCTACTAAATGGGATGCCTGACTAATGAAAGGATTATGGAATTAGGTAGTCATGCCGATTATATTTGTATTCTTTCTGTTCATTCTCATGAAAATGCCAACCATGTGCCTCCAGAAATAGGATTAAATATCAATCAGTAATTAATGATCTGAAAAGCAGAGAAAGCAGGGATAAAAACATAAATAAGGAGCAGAAGTCTAACGTTAGCAGGTTTGGCCTTAAGGAAAATAAAAAGACAGAAAAATGTTGAAAATAGACAAATGTGACAGAGGAATTGTAATGAAACACTATTGTCTACATAACTCTAGTTTTCTATCCTAAACGTCCAACTCTGCCGAAGTGCTTAAAGATTATTTTGTTCCTAGTGATATTGTGGATATTAGGGAAAGCATGAAGACTCCAAATTTTATTTGTAAAATGCACACGTGTGCATGCACACACACACACACACACACACACACACATATGTACTGATTTCTCTGAGAATCTATCTCATGGGAGAGAGGACCTATGAAGTTACCTAATGGGTATCTAAAAGTTTATTAAATACTAGGCAACATAAAAAGACCCAAGTTTATCTCACTTTATTTACGAATGGATATTTGGAGACTATTATGCAATGAAAATGTATTTATTATTTATCAGAGGATAATTATTTTAAAAGAAGCTACTCTTTTATGTTATAATTTGCACAAATTTGATTAAATACAATTTTGCAGACCACTAACTGCACAAATCACCATAAAATTACTTTCACATTTGCAAAAAAAAATTACAAAGAAACTGATAGTTATAAAACAGTTAAAACAACCAACACTGAATAAAAGATAACATAACTTTCTTTTAGTTTATTAACTTAAAAATATTTATTGATGGTTGTGATATCAACGAATTCTCCACCATGGAGAATAGAGGGAAAAATGACACAATTTTTGTTCTTCAAACTATAAGTTAGCAGAAATTACTCTATTATATTTATGATTATGATCAATGTCAAAAGACAGAGATAACATCTTGGGATTTCCTAGATAGGAAGCGCTTTATTTATTTATTTATTTGCTTGGATAATCAGGGAAGTTTCATAGAGGGTAAAATTTCATCAGAGATGAAATGACAAGCACTAAACAAGGCCAAGAGAGAGGAACATTATTCAGGGTATTTATGTCCCTGGTCATTCCATGAGTTAAGAATGGTAATGGGTGCTTGACTTCATTCAAGCATTCATTAACTCAGTAAGTACACATTACATGCCTTTCATATGCCAACCAAGGAAATAATTGGTTATGAAATGTAATGACTATATTACTACTAATAATACTAACAGTAAGTAATAGTGACAATAGATGGTTCTCTGAGGACATATAACAAGGGGCCTTGATTGATTTCAGTAAAGACAGGGGTTGAGGATGAGTCTTTAGTGGCATTGACCCATAAGCTGAGATCTGAATTCAGGGTATTGGTCAACAATTGTGCACAGATGGAGGAGTGAATTTTCTGCTGAGTTTGAGGTGCTAGATAAAGTTTCATCTACAGCTTCTATGCATTTCAGTTAGATGAGTCAAGTAATTCTGTTCACTATATAAATCAAATTGAAATTTTTATTTCAATTTTCTGTTATATTCAATACAAAAGGTCCTAACTGATTTGAAGATAGATTGACTACTTGAACTATAGCGTTTTCAGTTTATAATTTTAGGTATTTCTGGAGAATTTTGTAATTAATCAATTAAATATAATGAATTGAGAAAATGAAGTGGATTAGGTTTACCTACTTACATATTTTTTCGAATGCTGGTCACGTTAATTTACATATATTACATAACAAATAAATTTGATATTATTTAATCAGAGAAGAAATAAATAAAACTATTTCTTAAATTTCCCTGCAAAATTCCTGTAACATTTCAATCTCAAGTACTTCTTCCTTGCCAAAAGCTGTAATATAAAATGTAACTCATTTCATTAAGTTCTTATAAAAAATTGAATTGATTTTAAAAAGCAAAGATATGAAGCTTTTATAAAAATATCTTTCTTACTAAAGCATGTTAAAATTCATGTTAACTCTCTCCCCACTTTTTTTAATGTTTTAACTGTGTACCTGCCATAAGATTACCTAAGAAAAAAGGTGCTTAAATAATTGAATTCCATGCCCTATTCTGACTTGCCTGATGGACATATGGAAATAACTTCAAAACTATTTTGCTACGATGTTTCACTTTTAAAACTGCAAAATATTATAGCAGACATTATGCCATTATAAAAGTAGGCACTATAAATGTACAAGATGGAATTAAAATACCCTTAGCTGCAATTTGCTTATTACTAAATATCTACTTGAATTGAAAAAGAATCTACTGAACAATTTATTCATCATTCATTTAAATTCTCAGCACGGTAACAGCAATAATGACCTGTTGGTCAGGCATTTCTCGTAAGGTAATGATCATATGGATCAAGAGTCCTCTACTCTGCTTAAAAGCTCCCTCTGCTCCAGACACTCATTAACTCAGAGGAAAAGCTTGGGTTAAGAGGTCATTAATGCCGGGAAAACAATCGCATGTATGATTCACACCACGGATAATGTGCAAATGAGAAAAGTCCTCACTAAATAAAGTTATTATAAAATTGAAAATCAGCATTTTTTATTCTCTGAGCACTTTAACACAGAAAATGTTTATTTGGAAATAAATCGATACTTCAACACTCTCTTAAGAAAAGAGTTTATACACATTCTAAGTTAATTTAAATTCTTTCCTATGCATATTTCCATTTAATTAAAATGTAAGTGTATATTTAATATATATTCTTACAAGGAGTCTTACTGATCCTGTCTTTAAACTAAGCAAGATGCATCTATTATGTGCTCACATAGTGTCTTGTATATTTCCTAGCATTGTACATATGTATCCATTTATTTACTACTTTTTTTTTTATAGACTTAAAGTTCATGAGTGAAGGGTTCCTATTTTACTCCTGCATTAACTAGAGTACTTCCAGGGCAAGGTGCTGCTCTAGTGCATTGTAGATTGTTAATGAATGGACAGATAAAATAGTGCAGAAATATCCCTCACACATTTCACCTAAGTGGCAATCCAATATTAATAAATTTTCCTTACACTAATACTAGTAAAATCTCTGTGAGTATTTTAAATACACTCTTTGTCACTGGAGTATATGACAATTGAGCACTTGTAAATGTAAAAATTATGAACTTTTATACGCTCTTAAATAGAGTACTGTATATACCTACTGATAAACGGACTCTCCATCACACATGACATAAAAATTATAACTTCTTTCAAAAGTTAGGTATTTCTATTGATAATGGTATATAATATTATCACCAGATTTCACTCTATTACTTCTATTCTAAGACCAAACAAAAATGGTAATTTTTATTGATATTCTTAGATAGCAAAGAGAAACTATATTATGACCCAAATTACTACTTTCGTGGGGAAACACGTTATTGAATTTCAGCATTTTTAGACATTGCTGACATACAACTTATTGTGTTTTACATGTTATTTGTATCTATAGTGGGTGATGCCAAAACATCGTTTGTACTCACAATATACCTTAAAACAAGTTTTGAAATTTAAGTGCATTCAGTACCATTTTCCAGACAGCAATAAATATTTAATATGATCATTTTTATCTAAACAATATAAATTTTGTAGTATCTTATTAGCTGATCATTTCAATAATTAATTTGATTAAAATGTCTATATGAAGAGAAAATGGCATGTCAAATTAAAAATACTCTATTGCTTCTAAGGAGTTAAGAAACATATATTTTTGACTATTAAAATAAAAAAATGAAATCATATTCTATGAGAGGTCATCAGTAAGGGAACTCCAGTTTAAATGACATAAACTGAGAAAAATGTAAAAGTTGGAGCTTTATGGGAAACAGAAGAATGGTTGAACATCTTTTTAATGCTGCTAGCAGTAGGATGTTTCCAAGGCAAAAAAGTCAAATTTCATCCTGATTGTGAAGAATGTGTCTTGGAGAGGGAGGTAGAACTAAAAGCAAAACAAAACAAAGAAAGAAGAACTTGCCAATTTTGTATCAATCTTCTTTCTCCTGCCAAGTAGAAAATAAAAACTTAATACAGAAGGAAGTCACAGAAAAAAACCCAAAACTACCTCTCAAACATAACAGAATTTTTTTAAAAAATAGAAAGTGCAAAATCAGAAAATTAGTTAACATTTCAGGAAAAGCAACTAAGTTCTTCTATCTTAAAGGAAAAGTAGAAATATAGAAATTTTCTGCAAAATTCCCAGAATTTTAAGACTATGGAAGTTTTCAGGTCTTCAAGAACCAACATTTGGAAACCATTTTGTAATTAAATATGTCAAAAGACTGGAATTTTTTTAAGTCTGGGTCAAATACAGCACAAGGGTGAGTTGCTCCTACAGTTTATGACACTGATAGAAAGGATGGCATATAAAACTAAAGCAATGTTGGGATTCCACCAGAAAATAATTTTAAAAGCTAAAATATTTTGAAAACTTTTTCTTAATAATGTCTACACATAAAAATCATGCATGAAATATACGTTTACATATCTAGCAAAAATTAGTCCTATTAATGGATGTTATTTTTCCCATAACAAGTTAAATTTTCCTAAGATCATTGGCTGTATTTTTAAATACTCTAAATCCTATTTACCAGAAGAGAAGCAAACTGCCCTTCTGATGCCAAAGACATGACTGCCATCAAGTGGCAACTCAAGCAATATTCAAACACAGCTGTACAACTGAAACTCAAAAATGATTATTAACTGATTCCTCTAAAACCTAAAAAATATTTAATTCAATGTTTTTATAAATAGGATTGTTAATATTAATGTAACAAGTTAATATATTTGCTTTTCACAAGTCAGTAATCTGTTTTTTATTGGTAATTTATATATGAATGTGTATCCATTTATGTGTTGTTCAAAAATTATGTACATTTTCTTCATATAATTTGAGTATAAGAAAAATGCAAACATGCATAACTGGTAAAAATTTAAGTAACTCTAGCATTACTTGGGTGACAGGAATCTACAGCCCTCAACCATCAGAAAGCTCCTTCTGATCCTCTCTATGAGTCAAGTATCATCAGAGTTCACCCTTCCTGCAAGATAACTGGGGAGAAAGGATTTAAAATTATCTTTAAGAGTGAGGTGGAATGTGAAGGGGTGGTTCTGAGTTAGGAGCTAAAAAACTGACACGACTGAGGAAAATGTATTACAATTAAGAAAGCTGGTTTTTATAATGGTAAAATATCAAGAAAAGCCATTGTATTGAGCATATGCTGTTTATGTAGGCAGAAAACATACAAAATGAATGTAAAATAATTATGTAAAGAGGTAATTATATACACAAATATGGTTTTACATTTAAAGAGATATTCATCAGTTGTTTGGAAATCTTAGACCTCAATAGATGAGAAAATGACACATTAAGGTAACATGTGTTTGGTTGGAAACAGTATGACCTACATAATATCCATAAATAATATCTCATTATGAGTTCCCCTCAAATCAAATTATTCTGTATAATATTTACTCCGATGGAAATTTTTACAAGGTTTTAGAACCAAGATATATTAAATAAACTCTCCTATATTTTGCCCCTTAAAAATTTCTAACAATTATTAAACTACTAAAACTGTCCTTGAAACATAGTTTAATACATAGAGTCATTAGCAATTGTCCATAATAATATGCATTAATTCTATAGTATAAAATTATACTTATAATAAGCCAAGTCTTTTGGCAGTTATATTTAATTTTATATTCTGTTTCTTTTTCCAAAAGTGAAAGTCTTATACTGTTTTCCCAGGAAGTACATGATAATGATACATATATTCCTGTAAGTTTTTGTCAGAACTTTGCTCATTAAATTATAAAAGGGATAACTGCCATATAAATCCCAGAGAAGTTCAATTTATTAGGTAATATTTTGGATGTTCCAAGCACATCTCTCTTTTATGAAAAATTCTGCTAAATTTACTGCTCCCTCATCTACTAAATCAGCTCTATAGCTTCAAGAGTTAGGCAACTAGGTACTTTTGGCATTGTACTTTCAAATTTTCTTACTGAAAATCAATATATCACTTCTAGGGTTTTAGCAATAATTAATTCTCAATCACTCATCTTGCCAGAAATTGCTTGTTAATTTTGCAAATTTTTAAATTTTCAAAATTTCACATCCAGCACACACTGGAGTAATGTCCTCGGAAATACGTTATAATTTCCCAAATTGTGTCTACATATCTCTCATTATCTCTTTCTATAATAAAATATTCCAGTCACCTACAACTACAGGGAGAAGGTAGGAGAGCATACTCTGTCCATGGTTCTGAACTCCATAGGTATTACCAGAAGTGTTGTTAATGAACCAAGACCTAAGTATATTTTATGCAATATTTTTGTGATTAAATTATAAGCCCTTAAACGGAATACTCATGAAAGTGTGGTTTTC
This sequence comes from Homo sapiens, assembly GCF_000001405.40. Taxonomy (NCBI): domain Eukaryota; kingdom Metazoa; phylum Chordata; class Mammalia; order Primates; family Hominidae; genus Homo; species Homo sapiens. Next base: position 21,230,743 of record NC_000021.9, on the reverse strand, counting down.
CCATTTTCTGGTCCTAACATCACCTGAGAACATTTTGGAGGGCAACATGATTCAATTTTGACACAATGCTTAAAAACAGATTATGGCTAAGCACCCTACTGACAGCAAAACAATTTACAAATATGAATGAGACAGACTTGATATTTTTCATCGTGATGAGATGAGAGTGGGAAAGAGAGAGGATAGAGAGGAAAGAAGAAACATCACAGAATAATATTTCTACTTATAGGATGAAAGCATATGGTGATCGAAAAAGAGTGCTTTAGTATCTTTGGGCCTCAGGCTTGGAATACATGGTCCAGTAAAATCACATAATGGAAACAAAATAAATATTTTGGGAATAGACAGCGTGGCCAATTTTTATCTTTTTATACAGGACATTAAAATCAAACAAATCCGAAATCACCTTTTATCATCATAATCTCAAAAAAAAGTGAGACAATGATTTTTAAAAAACTTAAAAGAAGAATATGGATGAGATGAATATAGAAAAATGATTGCTTCTTTCCATTTTTAATACATTATAGAGTAATTAAAAATAAATAAAAATTAAATATTTTCTGTATTTTTTTTCTTTTTGCAAACAAATGGCATTTCAGGACTACTGACAGAGAGTAATCATCCAAATCAGGCATGTCATGAATATGAGAATTTAGACAAAGTCCATAAAATTTATATGCCTAAGATTACTCATTGTTAAAATGAGAATAATAATAACTACCTCTTACTTGTGTGTTTCTCTCAAATAAATATAAATCTGTTAGAACAGTTCTTGTGCATATATTTTAATAATGTTATATGATATTTTTATTGATTTTATACAAGACTTAATGTAATCTCCAAAACACTGACCAATTTACAGTTCAGAGAAGCTTAAAAACCTTGGCTTGTAAATACGTCTGAGATGGCTAATATATTTTTGGTTCATGAAAAATCCTTATCGCTTCCATACTACCAGTCCAGGAACAATAACTGATACAAGAATGGATTCACTAAATACTTATTGAACTAGTTAGGGACTAGATTCACATACAATATGGTATGAACAAAAGGGATTCATAGGCAGAATGAGATAATGAGATAATGAAATAAGCACTTAATCTGGAAGACAACTATTACAATGCAATTGCCATATGTACCACTTCCCGGCTATGCAACCTTGGGCAACTTACTTGACATTCTTGACTCTATGTGTCTCATCTATAAGAGCTGAGCCATTGGGTGTATGAAGATTAAATAAATGTATGTATGCAAAGTATCTGCAAATGTCCACAACACAAAGAAAGCAATAGAAAGTATTTATTAATACTATAATGCCTAAGATATAAGTTGTTAAAGTGACATCTTATTAAAGACACTATCATATTTTGTTTTCCATGTATTTCGAATATAATTTTGACATGAACAAAGTCAACACTATGAAATGAGAAATGTGTCTATAACTTCGTATTTACTAGTCTCTATTGCAAGCAATGCAGCAAATCAAACATAGGTTATTAAGATATTAAAGTGACAGGCATTTGATAATGCATTTAGGTATATTTTATTACTTTTAAATTATTTTGATAAATTAAAATCCCCTCAAATACCACATTAACATCTCCAAGCAAGTTCAATGTGTTTTGTGGGCAGCATAGGGTAGAGAAAATAATGGAAGAAGAAAATGTCCACCATTATTATTAATCTAAAGCCATTTCACAAGAACATACACACATACATTTTGAAATACAGAAAAGAGTAACTTAAATCATATGTTTATACAAAATAACTCTAGATATAATTTAGAAATTACTTGTTTTATGTTTAAAAACAATAATTAAATGCAAACATAAAGAAAAATACAAAATAAAAATGTAACAACAATTATGACCCAGTATTAAGATACAATGTTTTGCCATACTTTGTCTGGATTTTTATTTAATAAACAAAGTGTTAAAAGTTGCAGCAGATATGACTAATATCCAACTGCCATCCCTTCTCCTTTCTTGCCTCCCAGGTGTAAATACTATCTCCAAAGTAATATTGATGGTTCCTATGAAGAGTTTTATCTTTAGTCTACATATATGCAATCTAAACACACAAAACATATCATTTCTGTGTTTTAAAGTTTTACATGAACTGTATCCTTTTTAACATATAATTTTGAAATATTTAATATTTGAATACTTCTCTCAGTGTTTTTAGATTTTTTTCATCATGATTCATGAAGAGGTACTTCATTCCTCTTCACCAGTATATAATATTTCATTGTGAGAATAAATTGTAGTTTATCTATTCTCTAACAGAAACATACTTTTGTTGATTTTACTTATCTGTTATTACAGTCACTGCAATAACAAACAACACAAATTATATATTCAAGAGTTTCTGCAGACTAGATATCAGGCAGAAAATTGCTAATGTATCATGATTGTAAAACTTTAATTTCCTAAATTTAATAAATTGTATGACTTTCTATTTCCATTAATCATGTATTAATCTGACAGCCCCTCTAGCATTTGATGCTATTAGACTTATATCTTTTTACCAATGTCTTTGTTAAAATAACCATTTGTCTGATTACTAGTGAGACCATAATTGGCCATTTAGTTTTCATTTTCTATAAATTCTCTGTTGACTTTCTTTAGCAATTCTCCATTAGGTTCCTGTTCTTTTGTTATTGATGCATATCTTTCTAACCCTTTATCAGTGGCATGGGTTGTATGTTCCACTCCCTACCTGTGATTGACCTTCAGTCTGAGCTTTTATCATTTTTCTCATCTCACAGGAATTTTTAAATTTTATGAAATCAAATTCATTAAAAGTCATTAGTTGTATTATTTATCTTGTTTCCCTTACTTAACAATCATAAAAGATCACTTATATTTCTCTAAGTTTTAAAATTGTGCTACTCACAAAAGCTCTTTAACTTATTTGGAAAGACTTCTTTTCTAACTTGTAGGCTGAGACAGGGATATAACTCAATTTTTTTCCATTCAGATAGCCAATTTTCTATCAATTATTAATTGAATGATTTCTCCACAATTTAAAATGCTAACAAGAAATTAATACAGCTTTTATTTAGACATATCTGCTAGAGAAATAAACCACCTCGTTTTATTCTCCAAAATAATCTTTGCTATTCATCAACATTTACATTTCCAATTTCATTTTCTATTCGGAAGCTCATGTTCTATGAAAAACTATGAAATGCTGTTTGGAACTGACTTGGATTTGCATATTATTTTATTAAATTATTCATCATTATGTTTGATCTTTCTAACAATAAACATATCTTGTTATTATTTAGATCCTTGGGGTTTTGACTACGTTTTCTGTATTTTTAACCTTACTTTTACATGACTTATATTTACAACTCTAAAAAGTATCTTTTTATTTGAACTTAAATAATCTTCTTTTATGTTTTTATAGTAACTACCTTTTCTTTGTATGAAATGTGGATTCAGTGATCTAGGTGAACATTTTAATGGACCTTAATAGTTTGCCTGTAGATCCTCTTGATTTACTGTCATCAATTATATAATCTGCAATAATAGTATTATTTTTCTTTTCCAGTCCTTTTAAATTCTTTACTTATTATTTTTTCACTATAGCACTTACTAGTATCTTTAATTCTATGTTCAACAGAATATTTGTTTGCAGTAACATTGTCTTATGCCTTACTTTAAACATAATGTAAACTAACTTTCTCCATTAATTATATTTGCCATAGGTTGTTCATAGACTTTATCAGAGTAAGATTATATATTATTACCAACTTGCTAATAGTTCTTATTATAAATGAGTTTTAAATTCTTTCTCTTCTTCCATCAACTTCGATAATCATATGTATATTTTTCCTCCTTTGATCTATGAAGGTGGTCAAATGTATTAATATGCTTTCTAATGTTAAAGTACCCTTGTGTTGTTCCTAGGTGAAGATGGACAGTGTGTGAATTATAAGAGCTCTGTTTCTAAAGTGATTCAACTATACTTGCACAGAATTCCAAAAGCTCTACTGTTTATTACTCTTCATTACTAATACAGCCTTTGATTGTAAGCAGGCTGTCCTTTGTGAATAACAATCACAGATACAGACATCTTCAGACAGTTCAAGGCAAGTCGACTATGATCTCATCAGGGCAGTTGGCTTTCTTGCTACTTTTAAGGTTTGGTAGTACTTTATATATTTTTAGTTCTGAAACAAACATAATAGACATTGTGGCATGTAGTCCAACAAAACTGCCTGTGTTAAAATTCAAATACTATCTTCTTCTTCAGTATTTTCAAAGAAAATTGTATCAGGGATTTCTAAGTGTTATTCTTAGTTGTGTTTACTCAAAATTAAATCTGAGGTAATGAATATCAACCTAACTCACATACATTTGTTTCTGTTTCCCTTTATGTTGCCTATTCTGAAATCCAAAACTAAAGTATTTTATTTTTTATTTATTTTAATTTTAAATTTGGGGGTATATGTGCAGGTTTGTTATATGGGTATTTTGTAGGATGCTGAGGTTTGTGCTTCTAATAATCCTGTCGTCCCAGTAGTGCACGTAGCACCCAATAGGTAGTTTTTCATCCTTTGCCTCCCTTCTTCTCTCCCCGCTTTTGAAATCCCGTGTCTATTGTTCCCATCTTTGTGTCTGTGTGTGCTCATTGTTTATATCTTACTTATAAGTGAGAACATGCAGCATTTGGTTTTCTGTTTCTGCGTTAATTTGCTTACGAAAATGGCCTCCAGCTGCATCCATGTTGCCACAAAGGACATGATTTCATTCTTTTTATGGTGGCCTAGTATTCTATGGTGTGTATGTACCACCACTATCGATAGCCACCGAGGTTGATCCCATGTCTTTGCTGTTGTGAGTAGTGCTATGATAAACATATAAATGCAGGTTTCTTTTTGGTAGAATAATTTAGATATTACTACGTATGACAATAGATAAGTATGTTCATTAATTCTTTGGTGTGTTGGCCACACTCCAAATCAACTTTGGAATATTATTACATGCTGTGATTTCTGGAAATTCAATTTAATTTTAATTTGCTGCATAATTTACAACTTTAATTTTAGGTGAAATTTATGAGTAAATATTAAGATATTAAATAGAATATAAAACTAAAATTTAAATAAAATAAACAGGTTTATATCTAGTACTAGTGATAAAATATGCAGACATATTCTGACCCCTGTAATAAGTTATTTAGCATCATTTAATTAACACACTGAGATACAACTATGACATTAATTCATGATGTGAGCTTTGAGAAATTCTATAAACTGCCGTATATGTAAATTTCATCACCTTCAAAAGAAACAATATATGTTGGGTACTTGTTATTTTTTGTATTTTTTTTAGATCTGGGGTACATGTGCAGGATGTGCAGGTTTGTTACATGGATAAACATGTGCCATGGTGGTTTGCTGCACCTATCAACCCATTACCTAAGTATTAAGTCCAGTATGTATTAGCTATCTTTCCTAATGCTCTCCCTCCCGACCCCCTGACAAGCCCCAGTGTGTGTTGTTCCCCGCCCTGTGTCAACGTGTTCTCATTGTTCAGCTCCCACTTTAAGTGAGAACATGTGGTGTTTGGTTCTCAGTTCCTGTGTTAGTTTGCTGAGGATGATGGTTTCCAGCTTCATCCATGTCCCTGCAAAGAACATGATCTATTCCTTTCCATGGCTGCATAGTATTCCATGGTGTATATGTACCATGTTTTCTTCAGCCTATTGTTGATGGGCATTTGGGTTGATTCCATGTCTTTTATGTTAGGTACTTCTAAGTCCTCTGCAAAAACTGTAAATTGTTTTGTATGATTTGGAAAGGAGCCAACATTTCATACATGCCATTCTAATATATAATGAAGCAGAGCTCTTACTTTTCTTTTATAGTTGATAATTTTTAAGGTAATATGCAACTAACTTTTCTATTTCATCATTGGTTTTAATGGTTTTACAATTGCTAAGAGGAATGCTATGGACAATGGTTCTACATATAACATTAAAATCTATTAATTTTACAATAGGCTTCCCAATATAAGGGCATCTGTTCAGGTTCAGTCTTTGTCTGCTAATCATATATTACAAATGAAACTTTACCAAATATTGCCACTGTATAGATAATATTCTCTTTATATTAATTTTATTTGGGATTTAATGAATGTATATAAAATGAGGACTGTTGTGTGAAATTTAGAGGCAAATTTTTATATTACCTCTAAAAACATATTTAACATATATTTATATGTGCTTTTGCAATGATTACAAGTATTTTGTACAAACAATTATTTAAAACAATCCATTGGTGAAGGACAGCTATTTGAAAGTACAAGCTATAGATAAAAGAATAGTATCTACGTATTTGTTTATATTCTACCTGGGTTATCTTTAAACATTCTGTATATTTAGGATAAAACAAAAACATCTTAAGCATAGTGGAAATACAGTAACATCTGAAGCAGAATGGAGGGCCATTCGCTAACTCTCACAGCAAACAAAATTGCTTTTCTTTTTTGGAGAAATTTCTTTCTTATTCACAGAAGCGTGGAAATGTGAAAAACCTTCAAGTCTTAAAGACTTTGCAGTATCTGATAACACCCATGGGGGAAAATTTTGTCTTTAACATTCTGTGCTGACTCTCAAATTGCTACACATTTATATGGCTGGATTGAAAACCGAGTGTCAGTGGCTTCACAAGAAAAGTACTTTCTGAGCTCCGCAATGATAATAAATGTTCTAGAGAGCTCTGGGCCTCCCACTCCCCACCTTGCCATGCACTGTGTTCCGTGATTGCTTTCTCTTTCATATGGGCTATCTTTCAGGCCTCTCCAATTGTGTTTGAAATGTGATGATAGCAAATGCTTTTTCTGCTTTATTTTCTGTTTTTAGATGATGTTTTATTCGTCTTAGGCATGTCATTTTATCTCTGTTTATATTGTATGCAGTTTGGCAGTGTTTTGAGATAAAGCATTGACTTTTGAATTTTATTAATATAACTGTTTTCTCTTTCAGTCGTGTGCTTCAATCAAACTCTAGTCGGAAAAGAACTTTCAGAGCAAGGCTGCTTCCACAGTACTGACAAAATCTGCTATATATCACATAACATTGCATGGTGCACTCACTCAAACTTTATGTTTCCCTGTTTTATAAATTCTTAAGAGCACTGCATGGCTCACAAAAATCTAATACTGGCACTCTCTATGTTGGCGATTACTGAATGGAAATATGCATATTTAGCTTGAAAGAAAGAAGGGTAATATTTTCCTTGCAATTTATTCACCATTTCCTTTATATAACCTGAAATCATGAGCTTTGTGACACATTGGAAAAGAAATACTTTATTATAGAAAATATAACTAGATAGTAATGAGTTTTAAAGCAGAGTATTGACCATGTATAATGGTTCTCACAGATATGAAATGAAAAAATCCGAAAAATAAAAGTAAATCTCTTAAAAATACTAAATGTTATTGAACCTGTTTTTACTGCATGGATATTTTTGTGATTCTAGAAATTACCTAATTAAATTTTATATTTATAGAATGAAAAATCATGTAAGAAATTATGTAAAGGTGATTCAATACAATATGACATTTAATCAAGGCAGTTTAGTAAATAGTAAGAGGACTAAGAGTGCTAAATGACTATGCATATATGTGTGTTGCATAAAATAAAAGGAAAATGAGAATAATAATCCACACAAGTTATCAACAGAGTATGTAAGAAGTAAATTTTTTTTTACTGGTGGAGGGTTTTGCATCAACGTCATGGCTGCAGACTGATCAGAGAGTGGTTACTGAAGATTGAGGTGGTTGTGCCAATTTCTTAAAACAAGACAACAATAAAGTTTGGTGCACCCATTGCCTCTTTGTTTCACAAAATAATTCTCTATAGGATTCAATGTTTTTGATAGCATTTTATCCACAGTAGGACTTCTTTGAAAATGAGAGTCAGTCCTCTCAAAACTTGCTGCTGCTTTATCAACTAAGTTTTAGTAATATTCTGAATCCTTTGCCACATTTCAACAATGTTCATAGCATCTTCACCAGGTGTAGACTCCATCTAGAAACCACTTCCTTTGCTCATCCATAGGAAGGAAATCCTTGTTTGTTAAAGTTTTGTCATAAGATTGCAGCAAGTCTTATGTCACATCGTCATGCTCCACTTTTACTATAGTTCTCTTTTTATTTCCACCACATTTGAAGTTACATTCTGACTGATAATTTGGAACCTCTCAAGTCCTCCATGAAGGGTGGAATCAACTTATTCCTAACTCCTGTTACTAACGACATTTTGACTTCTTCCCATGCATTACAAACATTCTTAATGGCATGTAGAGTGGTAAATCCTTTCCAGAAAGTTTTCAATTTACTTTGCCCAGATCCATCAGAGGAATCACTATCTATAAAAGCTACAGCCTTATGAAATGTATTGCTTTAATAATAAGACTTGAAAGTTGAGATTACTGCTTGATCCATGAACTGTAGAATGGATGTTGTTTTAGCAGGCATGAAAACAACATTTATCTTCTTGTACATCTGCATCAGAGCTCTTGGGTGACAAGATTCACTGTCAATTAATAATCAGTAATATTTGAAAGAATCTTTTTTCTTGCGTAGTAGGTCTCAACTGTAGGCTTAAAATATTCAGTACATCATGTTATAAAGCTATGTGCTGTCATCCAGGCTTTGTTGGTCTGCTTACATGCACAGGCAGAGGAGATTTAGCATAATTCTTAAGGGCATTAGACTTTCAAAATGGTAAATAAGCATTGGCTTCAAATTAGTCATCAGCTGCATTAGCCACCCCCTGCCCCACACCAAGAGAGACATCTGTCCTTTGAAGGTTTGAAGCCCGGCATTTACTTCTCTGTAGCTATGAAAGTCACATAGATGGTATCTCCTTCCAATAGAATGTTATTTCACCTACACTGAGAATGTGTTGTTTACTGTAGCCATCTTCATCAATGATCTTATCTGGATCTTCTGGATAACTTGCTGCAGCTTCTCCATCACTATTTCCAAATTCACCTAACATTTTTATGAAGATGGCTTCTTTTTAAAAATTCCATGTGCCAGCCTCTGCTAGTTTCAAACTTTTTCTTCTCTAGCTCCCACAGCCTTTGCAAAATTGAATAATACTAGGGTATTGCTCCGGATTAGGCAATGGCTTAAGGGAATATTACCACTGGTTTGGTCTTCTAGCTAGACTAATAAAGCTTTCTCTGTATTAGCAATAAAGCTGTTTTTCCTTCTTTTCACCCAAGTGTTAAATGGAGTACATTTTAGTTTCCTCCAAAACTCTCCTTTCAATTACCAACTTGGCTAACTGTTTGAAGTGAGAGGATAGCTTTCAGCCCTATCTTGTCTTTTTCACATGACTTCCCTGGGAAAATTTGGGTGAGAATCACTTCTGTATTTTGTTTTAAATTGAGAGACCTGTTTGACTCTTTCCTTCACTTGAACACTTAGAGGCCATTGTAGGGGTGGTAATTGACCAAATTTCAATATTATTATGTGTTGGAGAATAGGGGAGCCAGAGAAGAGGGAGAAAAATGAGGGACTGGCCAATGAATGAAACAGTAGGAACACACAACATTTACTGAAGGATTCACCGTCTTATATGAGTGCAGTTCGTGGTGCCCCAAAACAATTAAAATTTTATCTTCAAAGATCACTGATCACAGATCACCGTAACAGATACATTAGTGAGAAAGTTTGCAATATTGTAAGAATTACTGAAACATGACACAGAGACATGAGGTGAGTACACGCTCCTGGAAAAATAGCACTGACAGACTTACTCAAGGCATGGTTGCCACAAAAATTCAATTTGTAAAATATGAAATATCTGTCAAGAGCAATATTAGCATGGTGTAATAAAACAAGTTATGCCTTTAGTGCCACCTGTGGCAATCTTATCAGCTCAGGATAGCAAAGTATGCTTTGTGTACCAGCAGCTTATAAAAAATGCAGAATCTAAGGCCCCACCCCAGTTTGAATCAGAATTTACATTCTACGATAATAAGAAAGTGATTCATGGGCACATTAAATTATGAAATACATAGGAGTATGATTTTGAAGAATTACTGGAATTGAAATAGATTTAGGAGGTCGAGTATAATACATGAAAGGGATGAAATAAGAGGAATAGTTCATTGAAGGAGCTGAACTAAATACAGTCATGAATTGCTTAATGATGGAGATACCTTCTGGAAAATGTGTCCTTAGGTAATTTTATCATTATGTGACATGATAGAATTTGCTTACACAGACCTAGACACTATAGTGTACTACAAACCTAGGCTGTGTGGTATAGCCTATTTCCCCTAGACTACAAAATTTTATAGCGTATTATTGTACGGAATACTACAGCCAATCATAACACAATGATAAGTATTTGAATATCTAAACATGGAACAGATACAGTAAAACACAGTACAAAAATTAAGAAAAAATAATATGCCTATGTATGACATTTACCATGAATAGAACTTGCAGGACTAGAAGTTGCTGAGGGTGACTGAATGAATGAGTGGTGAGTGCACGTGAAGGTCTAGAACATTACTATACACTACTGTAGACTTTATATACACTGTACACTTAGGCTACAACAATTTATTAAAAATATTTTTATTTTTAATTGTAATTTAGCTTTAGCTTACTGCAACTTTTTTTACTTTATAAAGGTTTTTTTTTTAACTTTTTGACTTTCGTAATAGCTTGAAACCCAAACACATTGTACAGCTGTACATAAATGCTTTCTTTCTTCATAACCTTATTCTATAAGCTTTTTTCTACTTTTAAAGTTCTTTTGGTTTAACTGTTTTATGTTTTTTGTTAAAAACTGTGACGCAAACACATACATTAGCCTAGGATCAAGATCAGAATCAGAATTATCAATATCACTGTCTTTTACCTCCACACCGTGTCCCACTGGAAAGTCTTCAGGGGCAATAACAAGCATAGAGCTTTCATCTCCTATGGTAACTGCCATCTGAAATACCTCCTGAAAGACCAGCATGAGGCTGTTTTACAGTTAACTTTTTTTAACAAGTAGAAAAGATACACTCTAAAATAATGATAAAATTATAGTGTAGTAAATATCTAAACCTGTAACAAAGACATTGATCATCAATATCAAGTACTATGCAGTATTCATAAAAGTATGTGCTATGCGTTTATTGACTGGCAACACAGTAGCTTTGTTTACATCAGCATCATCACAAACACATGAATAATGTGTTTTCACCATGATGTAATAAAGTCTACAATGTCACTAGGTGATAGGAAATTTTCATTCCATTATAGTCTTATGAGATTACCATCATATACGCAGTCCATGGTTGACTAAAACACTGTCATGTGACTGTAAATGTTTTAAATTGAGTAGAAACAATTTAAGTTGTACTTAAGCCAATTTACTTTTGCATTAGTTTTCTATTTGCTGCTGAAGCAAATTATCACAATCTTGGTGGCTTTCAAGTCCAGGGGTGTCTAATCTTCTGGCTTCCCTGGGCCACATCAGAAGAAATGTCTTGGGCCGCACATAAAATACACTAACACTAATAATAGCTGATGAGCTAAAAAAAAATTGCAAAGAAAAAATCTCATAATATTTTAAGAAGGTTTATGAATTTGTGTTGGGCTGCATTCAAAGCCATCCTGGGCTGCATGTGGCCTGTGGGCCATGGGTTGGGCAAGCTTGGTAAACAACACAAGCTTGTTTCACGCTCATCGCCCAGGCTGGAGTGCAATGGCACGATTTCAGCTCACTGCAAACTCTGCCTCCCGAGTTGAAGTGATTCTCCTTCCTCAGCCTCCCAAGTAACTGGGATTACAGGCATGTGCCACCACGCCCACCTAATTTTGTATTTTCAGTAGAAACAGGGTTTCACCATGTTGGCCAGGCTAGACTTGAACACCTGACCTCAGATGATCTGCCCACCTCGGTCTCCCAAAGTGCTGGGATTATAGGCATGAGCCACTGCGCCCAGCTTATCAGGTTAAAATTAAAGTGCCAGCAGGGCTGTGTTCCTTTCTGAAGGTTCTAGGAGAGATTTCACTTATTGCCTTTTCCAGGTTATAGAGGCCTCTTTCCAGTCTTCAAAGTCAGTAAAGTTGCAAATCTCTGCCTTTCTTCCATAGTTATATCTCACTCAAACTATTTTAAGGACTCCTGGGGTTACACTGGACCCACCTAATTTTTATTATATAATAATCTTTCTATTTTAAGACCAGCCGATTAACACTTAATAATTCATTGGCAATCTTAATTATTTTTTGACATATAATCACCAGTTCCAGACACATGGACATCTTTGGGGCCATTATTCTGCCTACAACAACCTTTAACTTAAACATTCACTATCTAGTTTGTGGCCCTCCGTATTGAACACCAACAGAGCTTTCTGAGAGTATACTTGGTCACAAACCTCTAAAGTGAGAGCTAATTCTCTTATTTCTATTTCAAAATATGCTAGATGGAATCTGGTAACTTAACTTTACTGCGCACTGGACTGTTTGAACAGCTCTTGGATCAGCTAATAGGCCACGCTCACAAGTCCAAGTAAGCCCTACCTAACAATATCCTAAACGCATTTATGCAAAGTGTTCTCTATTTTTGCCGTAATAAATGACCACACACTTAATAGCTTAAACAACACCCATTTATTATTTCACAGTTTCTGTGAGTCACAAGCATGGGCACAATATGGAACAGCTAGCCGTCTGCACAGGGCCAAAATCAAGGTGCTCACAGGAATGCATTTCATTCTGGAGATTCTATGGCTGTTTACAGAATTTGGTTCTATGTGGTTGTGGGGCTGAGGTTTCCATTTTCCTACCAGCTTTCAGCCTGTGTTCTTGCCATCTTCCCAAAGTCACCTCCATCCTGTTTTCGGTCCCGTCTTCAATGCTAGCAGATGTGGTGGTGTCTTTCTCTTACTTTTGACTCCCTCCACCCTCCCCTTCTGCATCAACTCACCTCTGCCATTACTTTTTGAGGCATTTATCTGACTGACCCATTAGCTTCCTCTGCTGCTTGTAAACACTGATGTGACTACACTGGATCCACCTGGATAATCCAGAATAACCTCTCTAGTTTAAAATCAATTATTGAGTTAATTAATTCTACCTTCAAAGTCCCTTCCTAGCAGTACCTAGATTTGTGTCTGATTGAATAACCAAAGTATGGGAATCTTGAGAAACCACTTTCAGAATTCTCCCTGCTACATGTAGAAACTAGTTTTTAAGATTTTTTTTCATTTCTATAGCACCTTTCAAACTTTCACTTCTGCAACAGAGACATAATTAAGTAAATCTGAGAAATAAAAATGTATACCCAAATATTAATTAGGTACCGGTAACATATACTCACTAGGAATCTTTATTCTATGTTTCTAGGCCAGATGGGCTGTCTTGCATGCTCTTGTTTTTGGACTTCGTGCTCTGGGGTTTGTGCACAGACTTAGACCACTATACGTAATTTACCTAAGCATTGATTTTCCATAAGTGTTGCTTGTACTGAGCAATAACAAAGACCTGGTGGTATGGTGTGTTATGATTGTGATCAAATATCAGATATACTGTTTACTTCTTGTCTGACTGTCTCACATACCATGACAGCAAAAACTGGATTTTCTACCCAGAGAAAAACTCCCTGGCACCCTCAGCATTTATCCTGTGCTATGTATACCCCTTATACCTTCAATCATTACACTGCTAGTCCTTCTAAGTTTAAAAAACAGCTTTGTTTCTTTGGGGAGTTTATGATTGCCAAAGATAATCACTTGCCCTGAGTTAACAGACAAAACTTCAACCAAGGTTTCCAAGCTACCTGCTTCAACCAGGAGACATTTGCTAAAGACCTTGTGATTTTCTTTTCTTTTAATTTGTGTCATGTGGCTCTGGCCTATTACCCAGGGTTTTCCCACCTGTACCTAAGGGAACCTGAAGCAGACTCTCTTCATATTTTCAGAGGAAAGAAATCCTCATTCAAATCCTCACCAAGGTCATGTATTGAAAGAACATGTCTACCTATCCTTAAATCCCCCTTATTCACCATAACCAGGACGGATGAGATATAATTGATAAGCTAGAGAGAAGGAACTGGGCATGCATGGTTCAGCCCCTGGCTAAGGACAGGACAATGCATTTGGCTATGTTCCCTAATCTCACAGTAATGCTACTGGGGCAAGCTGTAGTTTTGTATGGAGAAGTTCAACTCAGAGAGCAAGTATTAGAACACCAGATTGTGGCCACATATCTAGGTCATGTCCTTCCAACCAGTTTTAGCAGTAATAAAGCTAAAGTTTTGTTCTCCATCTGTCCAACTCCATGTCTATTTCTCAGTTGGTTTGTAACTCACAAGGGAAGAAAAAATGTGATTAATTGTGGTCCCTGAAAACACAGCAGTACCCTACATCTGCTCTAGTTTTTAATCCACCCTTCCCCCACATACTCCGTTTACTCACTGTGATTTTTCTACTTCTGTTTTTTGTTGTATTTTCTTTCCCAGATGTTAGAGACTCCTCGTGCCAGCTAATTAAGGGTCTGGGATTTTGACTATCTGATATTTTCCTGTTGCCCAGAATAGTGCCTGGCACATAGTCAAAAGCCACTAGTTATTTATTGACTATCTCTGCCCAAATTACATGTCAAAAATTGCCTTGGGTACAGTAAAACTGAGACCCAAAGTCCTGATAAATATATTGTCTCAGGTCTTTGAAAGAACAGGTCTAGCTTTCCTTGAAGCTCCTTAAACAGTGCCTATTTCAGTTATAAAAGAATATTTTATCAGCATTCGAATTCAGCTCATATTAAATTTTAGCTCTCTTGTTACTGTACTATTTATATATTTTCCCATCCAAGTGGAAAAAGGCAGGAAAAGGAGCTAAACAATATTGTTTCTTTTCTGTTCATGAAAAGAATCTTCATCAAACACCTTACAACACATACACATACACACAGGCATGCATGCATGTACATACACACACACACACGTTTACTCTGTTTATTTATTTATTTTTTTGAAATGGAATCTTTGCTCTGTCGCCTAGGCTGCAGTGCAGTGGCATGATCTTGGCTCACTGCAATCTTTGCCTCCCGGGATCAAGCAAACCTCCTACCTCAACCTACCGAGTAGCTGGGATGACAGGCTTGCACCACCACGCCCGGCTAATTTTGTTTTTGTTTTTGTTTTTAGTAGAGGTGAGATTTCACCATGTTGGCCAGTCTGGTCTTGAACACCTGACCTCAAGAGATTTGCCCACCTCGGCCTCCAAAGTGCTGGGATTACAGGCACACATATACTCTTGAAGAGACTGAAACATGTACAAACTCTATTTATTAGAGCAACATTTAAGAATTATTATTTAGTAAACTTTCTGTGTTAAAAATGATCTTTATATTTTTCAAATACCTCAACAATGTTGCTGCTCTAACATGAGAACATCTCTATGACTGTGTTCCATACAGCATTGCCAAAATCATTGTATTCTGAAAGGTTCTGATGCAGTATGCCTTACTCTTTGCATAATGATAAGCACATGCATATACAGATAATTTTATGCATATAACTTCACTAGTCATGGGGCATCTGGGTTGGCTCCCAATACAGCACCATATTTCCATTATCACAATTTTTTTAAGGCTTTGATCATCACAAATAAAATGATCAGTAAAATTTCAGTACCAGCCTCTGACCTTCAATATTTCATGTCCCTAAATGTATTCAAAAGACTTCTAAAATCAGCATATTTCCAGGATTACATCACTCCACTTGCCAAGAGTTTCTTTCAGTACTACTTTAAGCTAAAATTAATTATATCAGAGTTTAAGCCCTTCTAATAAGACAATCCTAATTTCCTTTTCATTTTTGTTGCTGTATTTGAGGCAGTAATAATTCTGTTCAACCATATATACACATATATATACATATATTCGATACACATATATACCTATATGTATATATATGTGTATATATATATTACATATATGTGTATATATAGTGTATATATATATATATATATATATATGGAATATATATATTTACTCCCCCTGATACCAGAGAAATGTCTAGCACATAGTCAAAACACACTGGTTATTTATTGACTATCTCTGCCCAAATTACATGTCAAATATATTTGAGGGTCTAAAACTTAATTGTAAGTAGTTCTTCCTTATAATGCCTTGTGCTGATAGCACATCCTGTATTTTCTCCAGAAACACCACTTAGGAGTCCCTAAGGAGTTAAAGACAATTACTTGGATTGGTAAGAAGAAATCAAATCTTAAGGCATTGCAGTTAATTGGCCAATTATCCTGGCACCCATATTACATATGTGACCCTACCCAAATTTTCACTAAGCTTTGCAAAATTTAATAAGTGCTTCTCCAAAATGAGATATCATGGAAAGAATAATGGAGCTAGCTATTTAGAAATACTGACATTACTAAAGAATGCAGAAAATGGGTAATTACCATGCTTATTTCCACAATCTCAATCTATAAACATTTTTCATAAAATTCTTTACTTGGAAAGACTGTAATTCTCAAAAATCGCAAAGCTACACAAAAATAAGTGGAAAGCACAAAATACACCCACACAACACCATGAGCTCAACTTCCTACACATCTTTAGTATGAGTGAAATTCATTCAGAGAAGCAAGGAAAATAAACATTTAGAATTTAGTTTTGTTATGTCTTACCAGGTTGAGCTTAAAGTAGAAGTTGGTGTTCAGGTACTGTCCTCCAAAATGAATCACAAAGGTTTCAAGGAAAAAATGTGTACTTAGTGTCAACCGTCAAAATACGGTTGTTAAATATTCAGTTATGTTGATCTGAGTTGATCAAAAGGTCTATGATTGCAAGGCCTGGAACATCCTCCTGTCACCCCTAAATACTATGTGTATGTTTACATTAGGCAGGTTTTATTTTATAAGAGATATCAAAGAGGAGATTATGTACTTCTTTATAAGTACTTGGAGTATAATTTGTTATTTTATGTTTTCAGTTGATGTTATATCCATATGTTAATATAACATTATAACACAATGGGCAGCCATGTTCATATAAAACCTGAATACTAACTGAATGTGTTTCAAATGGGCCTGAGTCTTTGGAGAACTGTAGACAGAAGAACAGTATTCCTTTTAGGTGTAAAAGGCATAAAAACGCTGTAATGTGACATATCTCTAAAGCATTATTCCTAATAGCATCTACCCAGTGCCTTTATCTTGAAAATTCTTCATAAAGTATGCATGACTCAGAATTTGGGCAATGTAGTTTCCTAGTACATTGGTAAGAGATCATGAGCTATACATCATATATTAAATAACTTAACAATATTATGCTATTCATAAATCTGTTTAATATTGGGAATCATCTATCTAAAACTGTGACTTTAGCTCTAAAATAATTTAAACTCTAGCTTAACCTTTAGTCAATAGTTGCCCCCTTAAAACTTAGTATTAACGTTAGAAGTTAAATACATTATCCATGTCATTACCATTAGAAAAATGCTCCCCTATTTGCTATAGCTGGTATGAATGAATCTAGCAAATCTAAATGTAATTTTAGGTCATCAATTAAAAAGTAAAAAAGAAGATGAGTCATAATTCTTATAGATTAACAGGCAACTAAATATTCATTCATTCATTCATACATTGACTCATTTGGGGGACAACTAGTTAGTGATCTACATTTTAAAAGCACAGATAGGTCAGGCGTGGTGGCTCATGCCTATAATCCCAGCACTTCAGGAGGCCAAGGCGGGCGGATCATGAGGTCAGGAGATCGAGACCATCCTGGCTAACATGGAAACCCCATCTCTACTAAAAATACAAAAAATTAGCCCCACGTGGTGTCGGGTACCTGTAGTCCCAGCTACTCGGGAGGCTGAGGCAGGAGAATGGCGTGAGCCCGGGAGGCGGTGCTCGCAGTGAGCCAAGATCATGCCACTGCACTCCAGCCTGGGCGACAGAGCAAGACTCCACTTCAAAAAAAAAAAAAAAAAAGCACAGATAATTGCAGATTTACATACCAATATAAGAAGCAATATAGAGACACCTCATGTACATTTTGTCCAATTCCTCCACTGATAACATTTTGCAAAACTATAGTATCACAACCATGATATTGTCAATGATATGACCCACCTATCTTAGTCAGCTTTCCCCAGGTTTACCTGTATTCATTTGTACGTGTGTATGGGTGTGTGTATTAATCTCCCTATAATTTTATCATCTGTACATCTTTCCATGTCTACCACCATAGTCACAGGCATGACACCAAACATTGCCATCATCACAATGATCTCTCTTGCCATTTTGTACTCACACTCATTTCCTTCTCACTTGCCCCTCTGATGTTGCTAACCATTGACAATCAATAATCTGTTCTTCATCTCATAAATGTTACCATTTGAAACATTTTAGATAAGTAGAATTATACAACTTTTTTGAATTGGCTTTTTTCATTCTGCATAATTCGTGGAAAATTCATCCAAATTGTTCCAAGTTTAGTTTATTACTTTTTATTACTAATATTCGGTGATATGTATTTTGTACAATTTATTTAACCATTCACCTCTTGAAGGACATATGGGTTGATTCCGGTTTTTGGCTATTACAAATAAACCTGCTATGGATATTTTTGTAGAGGTTTTGTGTGAATGCATGCTATCATTTCTCTAGAATACATGCCCAAGCACGAAATCGTTGGGTTATATGGGTATTTGTACATTTAGTTTTACAAGAAACTTCCAAACAGATTTCACAAGTGGCTGTACTATTTTACATTCCCATCACCAATGTACAATAGATCCAGATTTTCCAAATCTTTGCCAGTAGTTGAGGTAAAGAACTGGGAATCAGGGTTAACAGGACTTGACAAGTTCCTATCCTCAGGAGCGTATAGTCAAGCCAGGCCAGAAACTCTCAGGCTGCAGTGGACAGTATATTTCTACCATAGGAGATAAGGAACAAAGGAAGTTAATATTCCATGAGAGAAATAAACGAAAGGGACATGTGGAAAGAAGCAGTGACCACAGCATAGAGCAAACTAACAGCACTTCAATGTTGGACCAAGCTGTTCTTTTGGAAAACGTGTGCCCTGTTTTTCTGTTTTGTTTTGTTGTTGTTGTTGTGTTGTTTGTTTTGTTTTTCCTGCAGCATGTATTCCATATTTCAGTATACTTAGCCTAGTTATTTTCTGTAACTGAAAGTAATAATAAAATAATTCCCACTAACACATTAGGTGGTAAAAAGTGCAACTGCGGTTTATGGTAAGGCTATTTCCAGAAACACATTGAAAATGCTAAGGATTCTGGGGTCAGACAGATTTGAATCGGACTAGAGTCCTGGCTCTTAGCATATGTAAGTCATCTATGGTCATGGTAAGGATTAAATAAAGTATGTGTATAAATGAAGTATCACAATTCCTGGTAAATACCACAGTATTTTGTTTCTCCTAGTAAAAATAATTTGCTGGAAGTCAGACATGCTTCTGATAAGCAAGAAGTTTCTGTGCTTTTTAGATGAAATGGCTCAAGAACTGCTAAGTTCGTATTCGGGGAGGAGATGGTGTTGACCTTGGAACTGAATCCAAATAAAGGTATAATTTTAAAAACAGTATTTAATCTGCACGTTTATTTAGTACAGAGTTTAAGATTCTTAAAATGTATTTAGCAATTTATGAAATAAATTGCTGGTGGAAACACTTGATAATACTAACCCGTGTGTGTGTGTGTGTGTGTGTGTGTGTGTGTGTGTGTGTGTGTGTGTGTGTGTGTTTGGGGAGAGTATTAGTAAACTCCTGTACTTCTCCTATATGGAAGCTACCTTGGCATCCAGTCTAGTGGCTTCTCCCATTTCCCACCCTCCCAACTCTCCCCCTCCTCTGCCTTACCCCACACCACTGGTAATTTATCAAAGTATCCCTTTGAACTACAAGACACATTCTCCCTCTAGGGGAGTTCTAGTAAATAAGATGTTCTCCACCTCATTGCCTTTCAATGACATTTTGACATTCCTTATAGATTACAGCCCTGGGCAATGGTCCAGCTGACCTGTCCTGTAATAAGTCTCTGGTTGCCCTTCTTCAAGATAAAGTGCTTCGTTGTATTTCCAGTCAACAAAGAGACCTTGCCTGTTGTGATAATCAAGGTAAACTTGTCCTCCTGAATCAGATCTCACCATCGTGGTACTCTTCAAATAACTCTGAAAGAAGAAATTGTTCTTTAAGTCTCTTACACCCTTTGAGTTTTTAATTACTTGTACTTCATGAAGAATTCTTACAGTAAATATGTCATGGAGTGTCCTGGTGCTCTTAAATATCTCAGTATTTTGAAAATTGTTAAATAAATTAATTCCTCAGCTTATAGAATCTAGGTGATTAAAGTGTTTTCAGGTTATGAACCTCAAATGATCAGGTAGTTTAGAATTATTTCCGTTTGTAAATAAACACTGCATTTTAACGTTTTATGTTTTCAATCTATTGCCTAAGTTCAGTAAGTACAAAAGAGGCAATATTTAGCAATGGATACAGTCTTGCCAAATTAACCCATTTTTCTAATAAAATGTCTCAATGTAACATGTATTTGATTAGAGATAACAGAAAACAATGTATTGCACATTCAAGTTTGATCTATCAATGCATTTCCATTATTTCATGGCATGAAAAGCCATTGTTTATTTTCTGTGTCCTCCTCTAAGACACATTATGGAGTATGAGCTCTTGACTTCCACAATGGAAAGTCGGCCAGCCCTTCCAATCCCATACTAATCCTGAGTTATTGCTAAGAAATTCTAAGTATGTGCTTGGACAAGTTTTCCGGGATGTTTTAGTCGCAATATCTTACCATAATGCCATGTTACTGTCTTTGGGGGTTGAGGGGAAAGTAATAATGTGGCAAGTACCATCTTTGGGGAACATAGCAAGATTCGGCTAGTGTCTGCCACTGTTTCTTCTTCTCAGTTTTCTGAGGGACACTACTCAGCCATTGTATATTCCATCTTATGTGTAGAACACACGTATCTTTTAATTTTTTAACACAGAGCAGACAATCAGAGCTTTCATGATAGCAGACTATAAAAGAATAGCATTTTATAACAGACAACCTCTGCAATAACCTATACCTTTGTTGATGGACCCACTTCCATGACTAGCTGCAAGTCTCCCTGCCCTTTTCCCATCCTGCCTCATGTGACCAGCACAAGCTCCCACCCATACCAGATGCCTCACTATACTTTAAAACCCAAGCTAGGCCAGGCATGGTGGCTCACACCTGTAACCCCACCACTTTGGGAGGTCAAGGGATTTGAGACTGGAAAACATAGCAAGACCCAGTCTTTCCGAAAAAAATAAAAATAAATAAATTAACTGGGCATTGTGTTGTACATCTATAGTCGGAGCTATCTGGGAAGATGAGACAGGAGGATTACTTGAGTCTAGAAGTTCGAGGCTGTGGTGAGCTGTGATCGTGCCACTGCAATCCAGCCTGGGTGACACAGCAAGACCAATCTCGTAAGTAAATAAATAAAACCCAAGCTAAACCCATTATCAACCCTAGAAATGGCAATAAATTCCTGACCCTGGCCTAGGGACTATTACCATTTGATGTTCTCAAAGTTATCTCTTAATAGGACGCTGAGAGTGGGGAACATCAAGGTGTCGATAAAGCAATCACATTAAAGTAAAAAATCAATATATTTCACAGATTCAGAATTATTTTTACATTAAATCACAACACAGATGAGGCATCAATGTGCCAGTCCAGGTTAAAAAAAAATGATCCTGTTCAACCCCTGCCTATTAAGGATACAAATCTTATAGCTCAATCTCAACCAGGTTTATGTTATTGAACATAGAACAAAGAAAAAGAAGAAAATATTTATAAATATAAGATAATTTTAGGTTGAATCTAAAAACTTACTGAGCATGATATAAAATGATGCAATGGGAAAATTATATTGGGAGTTTTAAGAATTAAATTGTCACTTATTTTTCTGTGGTGATTTTTGCCTATAAGCTAAGCAGGTACAGGAAGAAAATGTCAAAGATTTTTTTTTTCTTAAGGTCTCCTCTACAATAATCTCCACATAGGCAGTTCCACATTTCAAGTTTTCACGGTTTTAGAATCAGAATCTGATATCATCAAATAAACCCACTGAATGAAAGCTGAAACTTACAACCATGTATATTTTACCATAAAGAAGCTAAAATAAAAAGATGCTGTCTTTTACCCAAGGTCATCCTAACATTGAAAACAAGAAATAAAATTATGACATTTTGTAGATGTCAGCACACTTGGGCTCTAAATATTACAAAGTCTTCTAACTGGTATTAATATTACAACAGAGACATCAATTCCACCCTCCCCTGCTGCCTAGTACAGATTGGATTTTATTAGTCTAAAGACATTTAAATGGTTTGAAGTGATAATTAAAACATACTTTTAATATGTTCTATTTTATTCATTGTCAGTTGACTCAAGGTCATACACCATTGTCCATTGTTACATTCCACTTTAAACATTTTTTATTGTAATTTATACCTTGGAAGTATTTATAGCTTGGTATATTTTCAATATATCTTGGAAAATTCTTTCTAGCAACTGATTGTAATTAACTTCAAAGGGGCTTATGATCTAACACAGCATTTCAATTAATTTGGTTACTCAAGTTCACAGAAGCAAAAATTTAATAATGTATTAAACAGCTATTTAATAATTCATAGGCATAGTTTTGTTTATTTAAGTTGGAAGAATGACAGTCATACCTGTTTTACAGAACCCATTAAAAAGCACAATTAACTCAATGTTTCAGAGCTTCTGTTTAATTCTTCTTGACAAGTCATATGAAAAGGAAGAGACTAAAGCATCTGTATTGCCCTGATAATATGCAGTTTACATTCAAGTGTAATATTTAGTGGTCAGCCAATTTTTATGCATATGAGTTATAATGATATTTTACTATTTGGGGAGGGGAGTGTCTTCCTATATTTAAAGTTTTAGTTTTCTGTCCTCACATACTCTCAGTCTCCTGTTGATTGGCCAGTCCTCATGCCATCCTGGAATAGGTATTTGGAATGGGTACCTGAATCATCTACATAACCCATAGCTCAAGTTTGCACTTGCAGGTCAGAGATTTTTATAAGCCATCAATAACTTTGTGTCCTGTTCCCAATAGTCAGGACCTTATTAATTCTCTGTGGGAAAGCCCCAACTTACACCTTAGTTCAAATAGTTTACATTCCTGTTTTGTTTCTCTGTGTTACAGTCACAGTCTTGAATCCTTGCTTGGCATGACAGATTCAAACACAGTATCTTTAATTTCCATTGAGTATTCAAGTTCCATCTCTCAACACCTGCCCTAGTGGTAGATCACAGGAAAATTGTGCAGATATACAGAGCAATAATAACATCCAAGACAGATAACATTCTGCTTCTTCCTGAGTGCCAAAAATTACCATTGTACACATTATTTCCCACTCTTTAAATTAAAGCTCGAGAACGCTAAAGCTTTTCCCAATGAATAAGACAAATTTTATTTTAACATAACAATATTCTGATTAATGTGTGTTAAATGCTGTATGCATGCAAACAATTATGACTACATAACTGATAAGGTGTCTTGCACTACATCTCCATTTTATGTTAACATTCAATAATAATCACAATGTCTATAGTTTAATTTTTGATTTTCTAAAGTAAATGTGAAAATTCTTAAAAATGTGAACGGATGTGGTTTTGGCTTGTTGAGATACTGATAAATACCTTGTATAGTCTAAAGAAAAGGATATTGGCCATCTCTTCACCCATGGGCAAATTATTTGCTTACAGTTTTAATAATACATAATTTAATATCTATAATAATCTGATTTAACTGTAAATGTTATAGATACCAGACCAAGAAGCACTTTATATTATTCCATTGGGTTCCTGTTGAATACATGCATGCATTCATCCTTTAATTAATAAGGCTTACAAAAATAGTTACATTTTCTCCAATTTCTATACCAAAGAACTAAGGTACAAATTTAAGATATCCTACATTCCTAATTGTGACAAAATTGAAAAAGTTATAAAACATGTAATTTTATGTCGCAGAAGCATATAACAACACCTGTAACCTAAAGCCATAAAAACAAACTCCGTTCCCTACACGTAGGTTCTTAAAGCTTGTTTTGCCCCATGAATTTATTGCGGGTGGTGTTCGTGATGCCATTAAATGTTCAAACCCAGTAAGACTATATGATATTTCAACATGCTAAGGAGTCTTTCTGCAAGGTCATAGCAGCATCATGGATTATAATTAGTTTAGAATAATTAGGTGAATCAATTATAATTAGGTGAATCTACTTTTATATTCTTCCATACACAACTAATTTAAATAAGTTTTTGAAGGCTGTTTGAACAGTTAAGTGATAACAGAAGTTTTCAAGAGCTTTCACAACTTTATGTTGTAAAAATTCTGTCCTACCTAAGGTGTAATGGTGAATTTATTATTACAAAATAAGAATTTATAACTGTGATATGAAACTTAATGTATTACAAATGGAAACAAAATCCAAGTTAACCATCATTCTATCTCCCACACGCTACTCTGAATACTCTTCATTCACTTAATTAACATTTGCTAATCACCTATGATGTCCTAAAAAGCACAGTACATATTTTAGAAGAGATGAAATTGAATAAGTTGCTAAGAGTACTGCTACAATCTGAATGTTTGGGTCCCCTTAAATGTCATATATTGACACCTAATCACCAATGTAATAGTTTCAGGAGTTGGACTTTTGGGAACTAACTAAGTTATGAGGGCAAAGCTTTCATGAATGGGATTAGAACCCTTATATAATAAGCCACAGAGAGCTACCTAGTCCATTCTACCATGTGAGTGCACCACTAAAAGGTGCCATTTGTGAAACAGAAGACTGATCCTCGCCAGATACCAAATCTGCTGACACCTAATCTTGGACTTTGCAGCTTCCACAACTGTGTGAAATACATCTCTGCTGCTTATAGGCTACCTCAGTCTATGGTATTTTCTTATAGCTGCTGAATAGAGTAAGAAAATCACTCCTAACATTTCTTGAAAGTTTAAAGTTTTTCCTTAAAAAAAATTAAAGATCCTGGATATTTCTTCTAAATAGTCAACTATATAAACACAAATAATTTATACTGTTAATTGCATTTCCTTGTTTTCCATTTTAAATGAAAAAAAGTGTAGGCTTTATAATGTGTCACTAGTTATTAAAAATTATCTAAACTTAAAACAAGATATAAGCCACATAATGTACACAACGAAACAGGTCTTAAACAAAGATAATATACATCAGAATGCCCCCAAAATAAAGGCTACACTCCATCAGATTCTGATTCCACTGGTACGCAGTAGTATCCACAGACTAATATAAATTAAAATACAATTTTAAAGTGTCACAGTTAATTCTGACATGTTGACAAACAATGCAAAAACTAAATACAGTTTTATGAGAAAATTGTGATGAAAAGCCTGCAGGTGCATGTAGGAAATAAACAAATGTTCAGTTTGTGTATTAAAATATATTTAATTTTTGTCGGCAGGTGAAATATAATATCCACACCATTAATGGTAGATTAGGAGAACAAGAAATGAATACGGTTTACCGTTAGACTCTTTCTTGTGTGCACATGTCACACATATACATATACACGTGAATGTTCACTTGCATATATATATATATGTTATTTTGCAGAAACTTCCATCAAATATCTCAGAAGTCCATTATTAAAGTGAATGATATGTGTGCTTAGAAAAAGGAGAGTTCGAACTTACACAAAGGAGGCAAAGAGTGAACGGAAAGTGGAAATATCTACTTAAAAAGGATACGTTCTATATTTATATGAAAATTGTAGTCAGGAGAGTTACAGCAGCTCCTTGCTGTGCATAACACACCAAAAAGCAATTAAGAAAAACATTTTCCAGATGGCCATATGCAATGATATGAATAAATTGGCAATAGCCCAATTTTTCTAAAATATTTTTCTATATAATAGAGAGTAGATGTATCAGCAGTCTGATAAAGGTTCTTTCAAATAAAGTGGACAGTTGAACTTTGGTATATGTAAATATTCATGGTAGAAACTAAGGGATCTGTGTTAATCTGAATGTCAAGGTTAGATGACACCTTGTCAGAATATTGGCTAGAATCCAACTCTAATTTCCAATATGGCTTTCTTTTCAGCCTTAAAAAGCATAACAAGTTTGAAAATGTTATTTACAAAACAGCGAACAAAACAAATATCTTTCTTCCAAAGAAATCCCTTTGTCAAATTGATTTAAAAACATTATGCAACACAAGGTTAAATAGTGTGTTCTGTATCAAGTACCCTGTATAAGAAAGCTACCGAAAATCTCAAAAATAAAATATGACCACATAAATAAATCCAGCAATAACTAGGGCATCATAAATAATAATATTTATATTTTTATTACATGGCATGGCTGTCTATAAATAATTGCTATGCCAAGATGGCAGCAGCAGTAGACATCAAAGAGCAAGATGCTAAAATTGTAAGAACCAAGGGAGATAAAGGTAGAATCACTTATATGTGAGCTCTGACTCAGCAAATACACCTATGTCAAAATTGAAGATGGATCATGTGCAGTAACTGGAGGTAAAGGTAAACAGGTATGTTAGAAGACACTTGTTGATACTCAATAGACACTTGTTGAATGAGTAACTTCCAGTGTTAACTACGGTAAGTATTCTGCCACATTATCAAAGTGATTTGTTCATTAATAAGAGGAAACAAACAAGAAAAAATCTTATGGTTGTAAGTAAACTGATTACATATTGGCATAGCTCAAAGGAAGAACTCATGTAAAATGAATACTTAATAAACTTAAGTTATAAATAAGCCTCTACAGTCATAAACTAACCAATCTGGACCACAATGATAAAACATAAAAAGATCTCAATACCTACACACTTTAAGAAGTAATCAGGAAAAAATCTTCAGTCTTATCTGCTTCAAATACTGATATTTTAATTACTTACACTGTTGCCTATTACAGAACTTCTACAGAAAAGCAGCATCTCCTAAAGTTGTTATAATTTCTTCACTCATAAACTCTTGATTGAGCATATAGTATGTATTAGGAAATGCAATAGATTCTGTGATCCAGGAATGAATGATACAAAATTTGTAACCTGTAGGAAATCAGACTACTGGACAATTGTATAAGCAGTTCTAAATTCACTCACCCTGACATCATTACTGTACATATGAAATGATACTCCAAAGGAACTTTGTACAGGCAAAAACAAATGCCATTAAATCCAGGTGTGGAAAGTCTGGGTGGTTTACACTTACAGGCTTTCAAAAACTGCATATTCTTATCTTAAACAGATTTGTTTTTCAGATTTTCTTGGTGAAATATGTGAGCATAAATGAATAATAAGCAGATCTAGAGGTAGTAATTAACAAGAGAGGCAAGAAAACAAGACAAAGCAAAGGCCATAGGTAAAAGGAGCCAATTAATTTAAAAGTCTGATTCCTCTTACACGGGAGTCCTTCATATTTTAATTTTCAAAATATTTGTGCCAAGAATTCATTTGACAGTCTAGTGACTCTAACTCAGAATTGTAATTTAAATCTATAAAATCAAAGAGAGTTTCAAAAACACCAACTATATTCTTATAGAGTTCAATCCATTAAAGTTGGTGCTCTTGGACTCCAGGTTAAAAACTGAAGATTGGAGTAGCCTGTGAAATTGGAGACAAACAACTGTTATTGATAGTGATGGTCACAGTGGCAAATAACCATATCTGATATACCCTGATAAAAATATGATGAAATATATGTCCTAGAAATTCATCCATCCTACATTGATAATATTTTTAATAGATATAGGTGAAATGGAAAATATCCACTTATAAATATTTAAGAGTTTTCATTACTGCAAGTTAAAAGTTTGAGAACTTAACCTAATTTATTTGTTTTAAGTTCAACCTATTCAAAATTAATTACTTTTTATAGCATAAAAACAAAGCATGGGCCCGGCACAGTGGCTCACGCCTGTAATCCCAGCACTTTGGGAGGCTGCGGTGGGCAGATGATCTGAGGTCAGGAGTTCGAGACCAGCCTGACCAACATGGTGAAACCCCGTCTCTACTAAAAATGCAAAATTAGCCAGGCATGGTGGCACATGCCTGTATTCCCAGCTACTTGGGAGGCTGAGGCAGGAGAACCGCTTGAACCTGGGAGATGGAGGTTGCGGTGAGCCAAGTTTGCACCATTGCACTCCAGCCTGGGCAACAAAA
Organism: Homo sapiens; assembly: GCF_000001405.40. Classification (NCBI taxonomy): domain Eukaryota; kingdom Metazoa; phylum Chordata; class Mammalia; order Primates; family Hominidae; genus Homo; species Homo sapiens. Next base: position 21,202,448 of record NC_000021.9, on the reverse strand, counting down.
GCAAAACTCCGCCTCAGAAAAAAAAAAAAAAAAAAAAAAAGGATATTTGCTTTATATTCAAGGCATGTAATTATAATACTTTAATGATAAGTATTCTAGCTCACATTTATTGAGCATTTATTTGGTGCCAGGCACTATTTTAGGTGCTTTACATTTCTTGGCCTATTTAATCATCACAACTACACTAAGAAATGTGTACAATTATTATCACCAGATTTATATGGTGGTAAACTGAAGCACAGATTAATTTATACAAAGTCACAAAACTGGGAAGTGGAGGAACATGAATTTTAACCCTGATATTCCAGCTCCAAAGCCAGCCTTGGCTCCTCACGACTCTCTAAAACCACTATGCTATGCTCCTTCCCCTTTTAAAGAAGGTCCTGTAAGGCTTGTGCTTCTCAACTCCAGATTCCATGAGACTTGCAAGAAACATTTAAGCGACACTGATGCATAGACCTCATCCCAGATACTGATTCTCAAGTTTGGGATACAGTTAGACCACCTGGAAGTCTTTTTTTAACATGATTTTGAGACCCATCCATATTTTCTGATTTAGAAGGTCTAGAGAAATATCTGAGAATTCAGATTTCTAAAAATTCCCCAGATGATGCTGAAGCTGTAAGTCCAGAGACCATTATTTGAGACCTGCTGCTCTAGAATACTGGAAAAAGAAAATCTGGAGTGACTGCATCTCCTTAAAGGATTCAATCGTGCAGCTAGGAATGAACCACTGCTTTACATTATCTACTTCATTAAACATGCTGTGGAAGATTACAACAATGAATATTAACAAAAACTGGGGTTGAACTACATTGTGTACCCAAGTTTAAGCATCAGAGATATCCATCTAGTGAATATTTAATCAGCCTGAGTCTTCCAGCTTCTATCCTTCTGGATAATACTTTTCTTTCCATTAATTCACTACACAAACATATCACTATTGTCCTTTAGTTTGTCAGAATTTCATAGTCATTTGTTGTTATGAAGTCATATTCAGATTGCCTAAGCTGGGATTCCCAGGATGTAAACTTGCTGTTTTGTGATTCTGGCATTCGCCTACTGGTCACAGGCCGTGGCACCTGTGTCATTAGGAGTATTCCTTACAAAAAGGCAGTGGGAGCAGCATAACTGAAAATCATGATCTTGGGGAATTGCACTGCTTTAGGTATAAACTATTTCATATCAGCTCAAATATAAACTTCTCTAAATTGGATAATAAACTCATATTCATAGTCTTCTCATATTTCCTAATAATCAATAAAATAAATTATACACGTGTATGGCAAAGAAATGGGATGAAAATGGGAAAGTTGTTTCACTTTGGAGATGTGCTTAGTAATCCGCACACACGGTATTAGGAAGTATCAGTAGTCTCTCATTAAGTTTCACTTTCATTAGGGCATTCTGTTGTCAAACTGCTTTGAAAGTGAAAATATATATTAAAATCATAAAAAAGTATTCTCCAATTATCCACTCATTAATATGCACTCTGATAGATAATGTTGGAGAAGATCTATACACATATTATCACTACACCCGAGAATCTGTGGTCTAGGGTTAGAAAAGTATCAGACAAGAAAACTCTCTCACACACACAAACACACACACAGTTTATAAGACTAATTTTATTTCTCAAAGATGGAACCAAAATGCTTTTGGGAGGGTTGACACTTCAAAAAAAAAAAAAAAAAAAATGAAGGGCCCCATTAATTTAGACCTATTTTTAAGGACAAACATGTTTTCATTTTTGTCCCTAATTGAGTCAAATAATTTCCTGTAAAATACAAGATAGCAGTGTGGTAAGTTAACCAGCAAAAAAAAAATGTTTATAGTCTGCATTTTCTATGAATCTGATTTTATGTTTTTATGTTTCACAGTGACCAGAAAGTTCTAAGGCTTTATAAATTGCATTTGACAGTTTTATCTGGCCACCTATTGGTTTCTATCTTCTTTATTTCTTAAACGTTGAAAAGTAACAGCTAGTAAAACTGTTAATGAAATACAATAAAGATTTCAAGGCTTTTTTTTTTTTTTTTCAGGCATGGGGTTGTCTTACTTGGAATTCTCAGAACCCATTCCTGAGAGTTGACGGACTATATGAGTCATGCGACTTCTGAGAACCCTCACGCAGCGTTTCCTGGTATGAAGGATGTGTTGTGACCCATGCAAGTCCATTTGATTATGTTCTAAAGTGTCATCTTTTTCAAAGTGCATTTCTATCTATTCTTTCATGGCATTGTTACTAGGGGTCAAGCCTGGGTTTCATGGGGATTGTTATCTGTCAGCTGAGTTAGTCCCATCTTAACTTTACCTTGGTTTATTACTCTCTTCTCTTTCTCTTTTGGGCTGCCTCCTTGAGAATTAAAAAGAGAGAGACAGAGACAGAGACATTTTCTTTCTTGGAATCCCTGACAATTCGGGGGCAGTCTTCATGGAGTGGCAAAAATTATCTTGCGTTAACATGCACAGCAATATAATTAAAAGCATGTGAATTCTCTCTTTAGTGGCCACTTATGAGAGTGTGTAAGCCATTGTATTAATAATTAGTAGTAGTTAAAGGCCCAGCCTCTAATGGTGAACCATTTTGACAAACAGAAGACACGAGATGTGACATAAATAGCTCACATTCATAAGTATAAGAATGCCATACGATTATAGAACAGGACAACAAAACTTCCATTAATAAAGTTTTTACAAACTGACATAGGCCTATCCTATTATACTGGACATAATCTATGCAGTGGTAATGTGTATTTCTTACGTAGATATTAATCTTACTTTATTATTTTTGTGTTCTTTACTGAGGTCATGAAGTAAAATCATTCAAAGTTGATTGGGACTATAGTCTGAATGAGATCACTACTCTCAAGGTTAGTCATTTTCACAGGAAGACGCTCTTTAGACAGGTCATCAGAATTGGAGGAAGACCCTAGACAGGAGCATGCCTCCATGTCTTGCTCCCTTGGGCCTGGATGCTAAGCTTCAGCTGCTTTTTCTCCAAGCTCAGTCATGAGGTTTTTCATCTCTACCCAGGTCTGAGCCACACAAGTCCGAATTTGGAATATTTTAGATATGGTTGTAACAACCTGCTAGTAGCACTGGGTATGTGTGTTTGCATATGTATGTTTGGGCACCAGGCATTTCAAAATCTCTGGCCCTTATGAAAGACAGGCAAGTTTATTAATGCAGAGCTCTCTGACTGTTTTATAATTGGAAACATTTTGCAATGAAAGACATTAATAAAACCTGAATCCAAAAAAATATCCTGGAGATATTAGATGTTCCTTAGAAGTGGAGGAGGACTGACTCTTTCCACAAACTATAAATGAAAATAGGGATATCGAAATGTAGAGTGGTCACACAATGCATACAAACTGGGTTACATTTAAGACTTTAAAGAGAAATGATTTTTTTAAATCCTAGGACAAAAATCATAAATGGGACTGTTCCAGCAAACCAGAACAGAAGGTAACCCTACATACAGGAGCTCTTAACTGAGCCTGAATTTGCCACCCAGATACATAATGGAAAGTGAATTTTCCATGTTTGCATCCTTTTATTTGATCTCTGAGACACTGGTAAAAACTCTCTTGAATGCTTCGTTCTGGTCTCTGACATTTATATTCATTCAGAAATCTCATAGCAAGTACTTTTTTATGTGCTAAGTTTCATGCTGTTGATTTGAAGGGTGTACTGTAGACAATATAGAGAGAAACAGGGAAGTTTATAGCCACAGTAGGCAGGGGTCTTAAAGAACACACGATGTCTGTTTTTTCTGTTCCCACAGCCTTGCTCCAGTAGTTATTATCAACAGACCTTGAGAAGAAAGTGAATCTTGAGGACAAGAGTCAGAATGATAAGAATTATTTTTTCTACATTGCTAGCCTTGGATAGTCAATGCTTCATTTTATTAAGTGAACTAGCAGGTTTCCATTCAACTTCTAAAGCATTTTAATTCATCTTTCTATAAGGTCATTCTCTATTCAAGGTAAGAAAGTGATAATTCAGTGCATTTTTTATATCATTTTCTTTCCAGTAAAGTACATTCCGGCCAACTTGAAAGAACATTTTCATCCACTGTATTCTACATGATTATTCTTACTCAAAGTAAATGGAAAAAAGAAACTTATACTTACTTTAATTGCATTAAAATGCAAATTGATAGAATCCAGTTAACTATATTAAAAATTTAGAAAGGACAGATCACCAAATGAATACACACACACACACACACACACACACACACACACACACACACACATATACTTTACATATTTAAAAAAATAACTAGATTCTGTTTAGGTAGATAAGTAGCAGCTGAAAAAATTCTGAAGAATAAATATATATAAAAATACATAAAAATGGTTTTCATATATGTTAACTCACATGATTACCCATAAGAGTGATATGAACCAGGTAAAGTAGGAAGTTTTAATATTAACATAATTTGGCAGAGGAGGAGACAGGCATGGAGACCACTGGTTATATCTCCAGTCATAGTAACAGTAAAGGCAACATTCAAACTCAGTATTTTGTCACCAAAGGTGCAATGCTGTCCATTTCACAATGGCTAAATGATATTTTGGCTCCATGTTAGACATGCTCAAGAACTTCCCTCCCAACCCCCTCAGTAGTTGCCTAGAAAATCCCTCAGCTCAGTCTACTGTTTCTTATGATCCCAGTCATCTCTATATTCTCAACTCGTTGGCCATAGAGTTGGAAGGGAATTGGTAAGGCTTATCCTTCATAAGAGAAAACACAGAAACGATATGTGTTAGACCTTGCAAAGTCCTATTTTAGACAGAAAATGCAACGTGTTCATCAGGATTTTAGATTTGAAATCCCTGAGTACTGCTTTATTTCTATGCCTCTTAACATATGGCTTTATGCTTGGAAGATTTAACAGAGCGGCTTCTCTTTGGTTATAAAATATATTTTGTTTGCCTCAAGTATTTGTCTGTTTCTGCACAGCTACAAAGAAACACCTGAGACTGGGTACTTTCTAAAGAAAAGAGGGGCTGGGCACGGTGGCTCACACCTGTAATCCCAGCACTTTTGGAGGACAAGGTGGGCAGATCACTTGAGGCCAGGAGTTCGAGACCAGCCTGGCCAACATGGTGAAACCTCATCTCTACTAAAAATACCAAAGTTAGCCAGGCGTGGTGCTGGGCACCTGCAATCCCAGCTACTCAGGAGGCTGAAGCAGGAAAATCGCTTGAACCCGGGAGGCAGAAGTTGCAGTGAGCTGAGATCGTGCCACTGCACTCCAGCCTGGGTAGCAGAGTGAGACTCTGTCTCAAAAAACAAAAACGAAACAAAAATGAAACAAACAAAAAAACGAGGTTTAGCTAGCTCACAGTTCCACTGGTCCTATGGGAAGCATAGTGGTTTCTGCTTCTGGGGAGGTCTCAGCGAGCTTTTACTCACAGAAGAAGGCAACACAGGAGCAGGTGTATCTCACATGGTTGGAGCAGGAGGAGTGAGGGGAAGGTGCTACGTGCTCCACACTTTTAAACAACGAGATCTCCCAAGAACTCACTCAGTACGACAGGAACAGCACTGAAGGGGACGATGTTAAATCATTCATGAGAAACGGCCCCCATGATCCAATCACCTGCCACCAGGCCCCACCTCCAACACTGGGGATAACAAGCGGGCATGAGATTTGGGTGGAGACACAGATCCAAACTAGTTCACCTCAAAATAAAATCACAACATTTTATTGTGATTAAATTTGATTTTTCAGAGGTCTGTGCTCTCCAGTTTCTGGCCCCTGCCATATCACCACCACACTCACTACTTGATACTTGAAGTCACTCACTCCACAAATTACTCACTTCACTCCTCTAGAATTTGATCTTGTGACCCTAGGGCCTAGACTATACATTTGTGGATGAGATCCATACATCTTATGTCACAATTTGGATTCTTTGTGAAGTAGAGTCCAAGAAACATCTAGTGCTCAAGAATCAACCCCTGTGGAAAGGAGGGCAGGAAGCAAGGATTGAGAAGAAAGAAAAATTCAACTGTGATGTAAAATGAAGGCCCAACAGGTTCAGCAATCCTCATAGGAAGCTGTGGAACCGAAATGGCTCACCAGAGTTATCTTGTGTTGGGAAGAAATGGTCAGTCCTTTTTGCCCAGCCTCAATCAGTCATTGGATGTGGGTTGACCCAGGAAGGGCATGATTCCTGGTGAGGTAGCTCTCTGCGGTTGAGGCAGTCCTTAGGGGTGCTGACAGCTAAGTCTGACAAAACTCCCAGAAGGAGGAGCAGCAAATTCTTTCTTAAAGTGGGAACTGAGTGGGCTTTCTCAGTGTCCACCACGCCATAGGACCTTAATCACACTAAAGAGTTTTTGGTTAGAATTTAAATCATGTAGGATTACAAAAACTTCATACACTGATCCAGCTTAAGTTGACTGAGAATGTAAAATATATTTTGAGAAGTCAGATTATTTTAATTATTTAAACTCAGATATTAATCACCTCTGTCACAATTTTAAACTACCTCTCCATCCTCATTATAAGTACATATGATCAATGTAGATCACACAGTTTTATTTCTTCATTCAGTGACTTAATTCCTAGGTTTGGCACTTTTGAATGTATAAAACTGAGAAACTATTACTAGAGTCTGACTAACATTTCATTTTTACACTTTGGAGTGTGCATTACAGCTACAGCAATCATGTCTGGAGTATCGCACATGCTGTCAAAATACATGTTCAAGAGTCAGTTGATCAAACACACATCAGAATAATTTTTAGTCATATCATTTTCTTATCCTTTTCTACAAAACAGAAAATGTCTTTCAGATTCTAGATTTTGCTTTTTACTTATCATATAAAAACCTAGTTCTTGCTAATGCTGTTATATTAATGTCAATTTTGAGAGTTTTATGCCCTTGGGATGATTTCCTACAGACAGAATCTCATGTCATAATAGAAGCAAAAACATAGTGATGCTGAAAAGAAGAATGCACATTCATTAATTATTCTGCTCTTCCTTTGAACTCTGTTTTTAACTGAATATTTCATTTTCTTATGCATGTACTTCTGTTTAGGTCTTTATGGATGAGATACATACTCAAAGCTTTATCTGTAGAATAATTTTACTGAAAGTTGTAAACATGGCATACTTTTAAAATTCAGATTTTTCCCCTTTATTCCATAGTTTACGTTACTAAGTTGAGGGTTATATTTCCTACATCTTAGCAATTTTACAAACTTATGCATGTTTATTTCTTTGAGGTTCTATGTGTTTCCTACCAAAATATAGCAATACGAACAAATGAATGATGTTTGTTTCTGTTCTCCATTCCTATATTTCCTCAGTGGTTGCTGTAACACTCATTCCCTAATCTTAAAGTCATAACATCTTCTCTACTCCTTTCATTATCATTCATTTCACAGAGAAAACTGGACACACAGAAATATAAACACTGCATATTCTAATTTATATACAGATCATAAAAAATTTGAATTCTTAGAAGCAGAGACTGAAGTGATGGTTGCCAGAAGCTCAGGGTGATGGAAATGGGGAAATGTTGGTCAAAGGGTACAAACTTCTAGGCAAAAGATGAAGAAGTTCAGGAATTCTTATGTACAACATGAGTGGTGATGGATGTTAGGTAATTTGATTGCAGTAATTATTAGACAATGTATACATATATCAAATCACCCCCATTGTATACCTTGAAAAAATGGATATTTTATTCAGCCTATATTTGTCAATTATTTAAAATTTAAAAATACAAAATAAAATATTGAAATCTGTCAAGTTTGTGTCTCTCAATTTAATTTTGTACATATTTAATACCATAGCTGCCAATTTTGTACATATTTAATACCACAGCTACCAGTAAGATTTATTAGTGCTACTGGACTCATGGAAACACTGAGTGTACAACAGAGTGATAAGGATAATAATGTGTTTGCCCCTTACTAGTGTAAACTACCTTGAACTAGTTAAATTTTGTGTCCATTTATCTAGGTTTTCACATCTTTATAAAATAAAAGTATATGAGTTAATAGATGTAAAAAGTTTAGGTCAAGTCCTAAGATATAATAATAACTCAGCAACTCTCTTTATAAATGTGGTTTCATTCATATCCTTATGTTTCCAAGTCCCTCTAGCCTGAAATGATTTTCTGATAAAGAATCAGAGAAATGAATAACCACATGGCAAATTAAAATATACTTAAATGAAAAAAACATATACTAATTGCAATTACAGTTTTAATAATAGAGAAATTGGAGCTGTTGCTGAAGCTTAGAATTTGTCCTATTATGGAACTGTACATTGTATTCCATGTATATATGGAACTATACATTAAGAACGTATTTCTAACGATAAGATTAAATGTAGGTTGTACGTGTCATCATATTTTCATTCTTTCTCATTGCTTTGTTTTTGGAAAATTGTGTAATATTTTTGGTATTTTCATATGAAATTAAAACACTTTAATACAAGGCACATAAAATTCAGTAAAAAAGTATCATCAAGATTAATAAAAACATTTTAAATTCAATACCCATATTTAATTGTAACAGTTATATTCTCCTCAAAATTTGAAATAATAATGCAAGAATAACAATATGTTGGGAATTTCTCAATAGAACTGTAACTGTCATAAAAATGAAAATAACTGAGGCCAGGTGCGGTGGCTCATGCCTGTAATCCCAGCACTTTGGGAGGCCGAGGTGGGCGGATCATGAGGTCAACAGATCAAGACCATCCTGGCCAACATGGTGAAACCCCATCTCTTCTGAAAATACAAAAATTAGCCAAGCATGGTGACACGCCTGTGTAGTCCCAGCTACTCGGGAGGCTGAGGCAGGAGAATTGCTTGAACCCAGGAAGCAGAGGTTGCAGTGAGCCGAGATCGCGCCATTGCACTCCAGCCTGGCGACAGAGCGAGACTCCGTCTCAAAAAAAAAAAAAAAAAAAAAAGGAAAAGTACTACTCCTATATTCTCACATTATTGTCAACTGTTTTATGAGGTTTTTCACTTTTGTTTTCCCTGTTATGACCACAATTATTCCCAGAACAGGCTGTACTTAACTTCCCATTTCTGTCAATCATGACTAAGTAGCTTTGTCTTTTCTTCCCCTCAGCATGGCTATAACAGGAAGAATTTACAGGAAATTTCATTTATTATATATTAAAAAAGATAATAATCTAATAAAATACCAATATTGCATACCTATAATCCTTTCATTCATTTAACTGTAATCTGAGTGCTTATTATGGATGCAGACTGGCTAGACATGATAGACACAGAGAGCTTTACTGTTACAATGGACTGGGATAAACAGAGAGATGGGGATAGTTACCTTGAATAATCCATAAACGGAGCTTTTGTTTACAGCCAGTATCTATTTAATTCAAAACTAAGTATTTTAAATAGAAAAGTTAATCTGAAGAAGAAAAGGATATAGCCCATGATTGGTAAGTGTGTAAAGTATTCTTGTATCTTTCATAAAGTTGTGTGCCTGTGTCTAGTCTATCACTCTACTCCCCTTGCCTCACGACACTAGGATGTACAGATAATATCTTGAACCTGGTGTTCTGGTCCAGGAAACCTCTTTCTTTCAAGACTCTTCTTGTGTGTAATAATTATTAGGTCTGAATGGCTGACCTCAACTTGCAGGTGCATTGTGACCTCTTCCCATGCTAGAACCATGTCTTATTCACTCTATTCACTCACGGTTGTTTTGTTTGTTTTGTTTTTTTTACCTTCACCATCAACCTCAGCCCTTTGTGGATTTTTCATTTGTTTGTTTGTTACGCTGTCCTTTCCAAAATTCTCCCTTTATTCCTCATTTCTCTACAACAAACATCCCAATTCTCTGCACCCTGTTCAGCTAAACTTTTTGTAAGTAATGCTTATTTGTATTGCCTCTAATTCTCTGATTCACTTCTAAATCCTCTTCAGTTTAGTTTCAGCACCCACCATTGCAACCAACAGGCTTGGTCAATGTTTCAATTACTTCCATATTTTAATGTCATATGTGGACTTTATTCTATTTATCTACTCTATTTACTCTACTCTAAATGCTCTATTTACCACCTTCTTTTGAAACAGTTTCCTCTACACTTTGCTTTAGAGCACAGTCATGATTCTCATCCATCTAAATTGCTTTTCTTTCTCACTCTCATTTGCTTCTTCTCCTCTCATCGGGTTTTTTTTTAGTTTTTTTGTTTTTGTTTTTTTGTTTTTTGAGGGAGTTTCCCTCTTGCTGCCCAAGCCGGAATGCAATGGTGCAATCTTGGCTCACCACAACCTCTGCCTCCTGGATTCAAGTGATTCTCCTGCTTCAGCCTACCGGGTAGCTGGGATTAGAGCAGCGCGCCACCATGCCAGGATAATCTTTTGTATTTTTAGTAGAAGCGGGGTTTCACCATGTTAGCCAGGATGGTCTCAAACTCCTGACCTCAGGTGATCCGCCTGCCTCGGCCTCCCAAAGTGCTGGGATTACAGGGATGAGCCACCGCACCCAGCCTCTCTTCAGGTTTTAAATACCAGTCCTCTTCTCTATTTTGCTTAGGTGATCTAACCCTTCTTCTCTATGTCAACAAGTCAAAATGTAACATTGTTCATCCCCCACTAGGTTGCAATCATCCTAAGGACAGTGACCTCATCTCTCTTGTTCTCATTTGTATTTTCAGTGCCTGGCTTTATTTCCTGCTGCACAGAAGAAACTCAATAAATACTGAGGATGTAGAATAAATTAATGATGATAATTAAAATTAACGAAAACAAGCCAAAACAAATAGTGCCAATATGTTTCATAGAGCTCTATCTAAATTATCTCTGATTTGCAGAGCTTCACAAATCCTACCAAAGACAAGAGAAATCTGATAACTCTTACAACTGCTTTAAATATCACACAGTTTTGTATGTATGTAAACTAAAGGCATAACATTAAAATTAAGTTGCATATAGAATAACTGATTTAAAGTAAAGCATGTAAGTTTGTGCTAAGAAAAGAAATACATATTTAACTATATAATTATAAAAATTTTAATTGTTTCTGAAATCATTGCTACATGCTTGAATATGGAAAGGTCACAACAGGATTTGAGAACATTAAGAAAAGAAGTCAGGGAAATCCATCATTGGTCTTATAGCCTATAATCAGAACATCATTACAAGCCAAATGAGTGTAATTTGTCACTTTGAAAATTCTCAGGTTGAGAATCAGGTCATTTCAAATACCTATTTTCACAGGGCAAACAGGTCATGCAGTCCACCTGTTCTGTATATTTCTCCCAAATAACTTTCAAAGTGGTTGACTCTCTATAAACTATCATTCATTGCTAAAGGGACCTCCTGACAGTTTCCCTCACATGGCCTCAATTTATAATTAGCTTTTTATACTATATCTAGAGAGAGAATTATTTGTAAAAAGCTTTTAGATGGTAGTTTGACAGTATCTAATAAATACTGTATGTAAATATACACGGCCTTTGATCTAACATTGTCAGTAACAAGATATCCAACTAACTGTAATTTATAACAATATTAGCAACAATAATTTTGTGGAACTTTACATATGCTTTACATATGCTACTTTACATATGGTAGGAATTCTGCAACTCATTTATTCCTCAAAAGAGCCTATAAGGTACATGCTATTCTTAGACTCATTTTACAGGTAAGAAAATTAAGGCACCAAGAAGATAAATAAAAGTTGTCCAAAGTCATCCTGTGAGTAAACAGTAGAGCTAAAACTTGATCCCAGGCAGGCTTGTTCTAGAGTCTCTTCTCACTTTCTGCACTAGGCTGTCTCAAATATATACATGAACTGAATTATGTCAGTGGAAGAGAACTGGGAAGATTCCTAAACCAAACTAATAGTGCATACTTAATCTCCTTCCAAGTGTATTGTTAGCACCAGCGGTAATAAATAACCAGAACACTGAAGAAGAAGACTCAGAGTCGAACCAGAAGAGCAAATTTATTTTTATCCTATTGCCACACTGAACTTACTTAGTGATGAAATTTCTTCTCTTGCCCCTGGATAAAAAGTTGGGCATTGAAGATGGGTGGGTAGATAAGAGAGGCAAAGCAACTAAGATCTTACTTGATTGGTAATGCCCAAAGATAGCTCTCGATTCTTGGAACTGGGAGATGCTTAAAACTAACTCATTTGTTCAGAGCACACATTCTGTAGGTTTTTGGAAATGTTTCCTTACTTGCACTAACACTTACAGATATTGCTTATTCACTTTTTAACAGCCAGGGATCCAGTGGTTTCTCCCCCACTTCTGCCTGGTCAGTTTTCATTGCCCAATTGCATAGAGTCTAAATCAAGTCCCTTCTTCCCCAGTGAATGCATCTCTTCTGCATAGTCCAAATTTGGTCAATGTAAACACATATGCATTCTTCTCTTGGATATAATGCAGAAATTAAGAATGATCGCAACTTAGCAGCTGCTCTCCTTTGTTCCATTACAAATACAAATAGAACCACCTTGCCCATCTATCATGGCAAGTTTCTGAGTAACTAGGCAGACACCACTTGACGGCATTGCTCTGACATTAAGAGACACATACTGGGATTTCTATGTAGACTAGTTAAAGGCTGACCAGAAAAGACTAGAGCATAAACTCACATCCTTGCCTTTGCATCAGAATGGAGTAAATTACTGGCAATTTTCCCCAAAGAAATTAATTTCAGAAAGACCCTTCTATAAACATATCCAACAAATTCATCACTTTATGATTTCTAGTGGGTGAGGATTTAAGAGCAATATAAAAATAATCAGGTTTCAGATCACTTTTGAAAATGTCAATCTTGCTTAACTTTCAATTATGGTACTTTCTAAAACTTGCTAAAATCAAGTCTGGAATTTATTTTTTTTATTTATTTTTTAAATAGAGACGAGGTCTTGCTGTGTTACCCTGGCTCATCTCAGACTCCTGAGTTCAAGGGATCCTCCTGCCTTGGCCTCCCAAAGTGCTAGGATTACAGGCAGGAGCCAACACATCTGGCCAAGTTTGGAAATTTTAACATTCACTTATTAATCCTTGACATCCTCATTTGCACAATTTTTAAATCTTATCTAGAAGCAAATGAGTTTATATTTTCAGCCATTATTAACTTCAAAGGCACCCTTTAAGAAATGACCCAGTTTTATTTTTATTTTATTATATATTAAAAACTTCACTTTCAACGTATTTGCTATTAAAATAGAGACCAACTGAACAAAACATTAAAAATAGAATGGTTTAATACCATTGATTTGGCTTCAAAATACATAGTTTCTTATTATTTTCTATGGGATTAAAGGCAAACCCCCAAACCTGATGAACTTTACTACTCATTTGTACAATACAGAAGTGAGTCTAGATAAATGCTAAAGCTTTCTTGGTTCTAACACTGTATAATTTAAAATGCACATGTGTTCTGTTGAATGCTTGGAATCCCTGGAGGGTTCTCATAAGTTTCTGGGCTGGTTTCCAAGACACCTGCCCCATTTAATCTGCCTTACTTTTATACTTTGTATATAATGGGGCCTTACATCAAATTGAACTTGAAGAAAAGGTTCTGTGCTCTGAAGGGTTTTAAAATTTATTTTTTAATTACCACTCAAGGCACATTAAATATATCTAGCTCTTTATATGCCTTTGTTTCTTAAATGGACGGAACCAGTCACATATCTTATGTATCCTGTGATCCACAAGATGCATATGATGTAATTAGCTCTATCCTTCCCTGCAATTCACTGGCATTACGTAATTTTGTCATCTACAATTTACACACATTTGAGTATCTGCTTCATGATTTAAAAATCCAAGGGCCCCTATGAAATTATTTATCAAGCACTTCTTTTAGTCCAGAGTCTTGCTTACTATTAAGGGGACATCAGTAGAATTATATCCTGCATTATGTTTAATAAGAGCTTCCTTTAGAGAATAACACAATGATAAGAGAATATTGGTGCTATTTTAACCCATAGCTAGTTATAGAAAAATTTTAGTCTTTTATAATAAATATTACTTTTTGTTTCAAAGTATATTTATTAAATAACTTTCACGGATATGTAATTATACCATAACACCATCATCAAACATGAAAAACAATACCTCCAAATTTGTTCTCACTTCCATATACTACTGAAAATTGGCAAAAATTTGTAAGTATTTATTATCTATTGCAGCTGTTAGCAGATCTTAACCTATATCTAAATAGTTATTTGCTTTAAATATTGCTATTGTTTGAATTATCTGCTTCATGCTCACTTTCCCAGTCCCTTACTTGTACTTCCTTATAGGAAATCTGCTTGTCCTACTTCAAATATATAATATGAATATTACAGAACAATAAAAGGGCAAGGCTACTTAAATTACATGTAACCAGGCTGGGTAAAATTATAAACACTTCATTTTGACCCTGTAAAACACTCAGACGTAGTCAAATAAATGAATATCCTCCATTTTTGCACAAGTACTTATTTGTGTTAACACAGTGAGAATCACATGTATCATACTCATTTAGCTTGTGATGAAATTGTCTAGAAGTACATTTTTATAATAAAGTTTGAAGTCTAGAAGTTCAGACACACTATTTAGCTGACCCTGACGACATAATTTCCCCTATAGATTTCTAGTCTCAAGACAGTTCGGTGTGTTATCTCACTAATGTGCTCACTCAGTAGTGAGTCAGGTTTAATGAATACCCAAGGCATAACAATTATACAAACTGGGATGGTGTAATCCTCAGGAAGAAATAAAGTTTTAATAACTAGCACCATTTTGTGATGATCTTCTATTTACATGGTTTATGTCATGTCATAGTTCTATTTAATTCCAAATCATTTATTTAACTGTTCCTTTAAAATGACTTCATTGAAAAACAGAAAGTAAAAGATGCTTTCTCCTTTGAAAGCCCTCCATGACCCAGAGCCTACACATTATTGGGAATAGGATGAAGTCTGATAAATGTAACTGAATGACATAGAATTTCCCTTTTTTGTTGTTGTTGTTGTTGTTGTTGATGGAGAAGTACAATATGGAGGTTGGAGGCTAAAACTCACCAGGGAAAGAAACGTTAAAAAGTATGTGGTGCAGCATGACTATGTGAACTAATAAGTATAATTTTAAAATGATGTTGTCTAGTAAAATTAAATAGTGCTATCTTTAGCTGTGGCTACTCAAATTAGTAAGTATAATACATTCAGGGTTTTTTGTTTGTTTGTTTGTTTGTTTGTTTTTAGACGGAGTTTCGCTCTGTCGCCCAGCCTGGAGTGCAGTGACGCTATCTTGGCTCACTGCAACCTCCGCCTCCCAGGTTCAAGGGATTCTCCTGCCTCCCGAGTAGCTGGGACTATGGGCACAAACCACCACACCTGGCTAATTTTTGTATTTTTAATAGAGACGGGGTTTCACCATGTTGGCCAGGCTGCTCTCGAACTGCTAACCTCAGGTGATCCACCTGCCTTGGCCTCCCAAAGTGCTGGGATTACAGGTGTAAGCCACTGCGCCCAGCCTCAGATTTTTTTAAAAAAGGATACCTACCCACTTTGTTTCCCTTTCCAAATTTTATTATCTTTTTTAAAAATCAAAAAGAAACTGATTTGTATATTTACAATCGTATTTTTGTTTTTAGGCAGAAGCTTCATAGAAAATTATTTTTCTGTTCTTTTTTCAATGTATTTTCAAAGATATATAAATAAAGCTATTCTTCATCATCATGTAGATCATCTTTTATATATGAAGGAATAAAAATTGTAGAAAATTACAAGCATAGGATCTACTCAGATAAATCATGTTTATGTCCAAATAATTCTTTTCATATTTTAACCTTTTACTAAATATAAATTATTTTAAACACTTACATGATTTAATTTCTTGAGGTTCACAGGTATTACTGTTTTGTATAGACAGGAAACAGGATTAAATTAATTATTGCCAATAACTAAACTGTTTCTTATCCATTAGCAGTGTTAGCTAGCATGGTCTTATCCATTTTTCAAAATTTTATAAAAATAAAATTATTCCCAAAATTATGAATTTAATTAGATGCCATAGAATCCATAATATCTTAGATTTTCTTTTATTTTGTTGACTTGAACTAATTTCAAATGTAAACTTGAAACATTTATTTAATAGCCATCACATTTTATAATTTTCTGGCCAAATCAAAGCACAAATTTTAAGTTCCTTAGAAAAGAGATGAAAAAAGAAGACATAAATTTGAGCTATTACACAAAAAACTATTACCCTTGTGACCTTTGAAAACTAATTTTTGATAGCTTTAACATAATTCACTTCTCTTTATAATGGGACTAGCGATAATTTGTTTTGTCTATGTCATAATGCTCCTCTAACAACAAAAAAAACCCCTCATGCATTATAAAGTTACTTCTCTATGAACTGTCACAGACTGAAAATAACTAGAATCTATGTCAAGAAAGAGAACCGCATCAGTGCTCCAGAAGCATCTCTTATGTTATTACCACTGCAATCTGCTTCCTCACTTTGACCTGGCTATCACGATCCTGTCTTCTAAAATGTTAGTTCGGGCTGCATTTTTATTGTATATTAATGGAACTATATATTACACTTTCTTCTTATTCCTTTTCTTCAATATGATATATTGAAAATTACCCACTTTTATGCATATTCCTTTAGATGTTATTTCTCATTACTGCACAGTAAATTTATGTGTGAACATGATACAATACACTCACCACTTTAATACTGATTGGCAGTCACATAGTTTCCAATTTGGGGCTATTTTTAATAGTGCTGCTATGAATATACTTTATTTCTGCTGCAAGTATATGGAAGAGTAGAACAGCTGGGTGATACTACAACACAAGCTTTGGGAGATGTGACTAAACCATTTCTCAAAGTGATCGTATGGCTGACTTTGAAAGTGAAAAGCAAATAATAAATGTTGATAATTATTTTTCCATAAAAGCTAGAAAATATAAAGGAAAAGGCAATTTTTTACAAGTAAAGTAGAAATAATTCTAGAAGGAAGATTGCAATTTCAAAAGTCATGCTAGACAGGAGTCATTACAAGAAAGTTAGCTAAAGATGAAATTGAGTACCTGAAGAAAATGGCTCATAACCACGTGCCTTAAGTTTGAAGACCTTTCAACATGAGTCTTTGCTAATCTCCAACTACTCTCAAAAGTAATGAAGTATAGAACAAAAATGACATCTACAACATATGGATGAACGTGATTTTTAGACAGGCATTCTTATTAATTTCAGCCAAAAATCTGAAAAATAAAAATAAAACCCACCTATAGTGAATATCGGTTTTTGTAAGAGTGTGTTAAATGTTAGATTTTATTTCATAACTGCAGAAGATTAAATTGTCATTTTAACTTGCTTTGAGGTACTATCAAATGTCTGGGAAATGTATCATTATTTTGCATATGCACATTACTCTCATCCTACTGAAAATACGATGTCACTTGTCCACACTGACTAAATTAGTGCTGACTCCCCTATCACCTCAGACAAATGCATCTGTAAGTGTGGTGTACAGCCATCCCTCCCACTCCAAGTCATAAACTTATTTTTAAAAATAGGCTGCAGAAGTGCTAAAATGACAGTATTTGGTGAACAACTTTCAAAATAATAAAATTCATTTTCTCTTCCTAGAAATAGCCTAGGGTTTTCAATGCTGATTCATTTCATTAGAGGTTCACTGAGAACAAGGAACAATTTCTTTCAATATTAATACTCTAGGTATTTACTAGAAGGGAAAATTGGCAAGAAACTGGGATGTGACATAGAGACACTGTTATTTGAATATTAACTCTTTCCAATAAATAACCATCCTGATTTTAATTTGCTATAGAGGTCTGGATTAGTTATTATTAACAATGGTTGTGCACTGGAATCACCTGGAGAGCTTAACAATATGTATTCATGCCCAGGTCTGCATCCTGTACCAATTAAATCCTAATCTATAAGGGGAGCCCAGGCATCAGATTTTAAAGGATCCCCAAGGTGACTGTAAGAAGCTGCCCATTCTGAGAACCATTGTATGATGCTACCAGCCTTTAAAGTACCAAAATGTACTCCACAGTTAAAACAGAGAATGTTCAACACTCTTTGAAGATATCATAAAAAGATTACTTTTTTCTTTTCTTTTTTTTTTTATTTTATAAATCCCAACTTTAAAGCACTCCCTTGGCAGGTGAAGTCACTAGCATTTCCCATGTCCTTATAGAAACTAATTCCCTGGTTGTATTCCTTCCTCCACAAATTCCCTAACCTAAATTTTATCAGAATAGCTAAATTACCTCTTTTCAAACCATCGTATATAATTCAAACAAAAATTGTACAATAATAGTAAAATTCCTCCAAAGCCCAAACACATTCCCCAAGTAATACTTGTATTACTATATAAGTATTAGAAAACGAATGTTTTTCTCCTTTGCCATTTTAATACCTAAGATAATAAACATTCTGGTAAATTCTTATTAGGAT
This sequence comes from Homo sapiens, assembly GCF_000001405.40. Taxonomy (NCBI): domain Eukaryota; kingdom Metazoa; phylum Chordata; class Mammalia; order Primates; family Hominidae; genus Homo; species Homo sapiens. The sequence goes on along the minus strand of NC_000021.9, from coordinate 21,183,982 downwards.
CATAAACTGATTAAAATGTAGTGGTCAGCATTCAATCCCATCTCTTTACATGTATCAACTGCTAGATCTTTAAAATGAAAATGTGGGATCATGAAGTTGGTCGGTTTTTCTTTTAATTTTTTTTTCGTTATTTTTCCAATGTAGCCTTACTATAATAAATTGGAGTGACACTTAGTCTTCTTGGTCAGTAACACTGAGGTGGTGTTTTAGATACTATACAGTAAGAATATAACAATGCATAGAACAAGTAGTCTGAGACTCATCTACATTATAATCATACGAATTTCTCAAAGAGATCTCTTGGGATTTCATACATTGAAATTTTAAGATTTTGCTTAGATGTCACACCTGATTAATTTACCAGTTTAACAGTACCTGTTTAGCACATTCTCTTGCCAAGTACTGCCATGGCCAGGTGGGGGAATACGACAGTGAAAAGATTAACAAGGTCTCTCCCCTTACCATTTCCTCATGTCCTTACCTCCCAAAGCTGATTTAGCTGCCCCCACTAATATGTCCCCATGGCATCTCTTACTTACTACTGCCACAAAATTCACTTCACAGTAAAGACAGATCTGCTTGTTTCTCTCTCTCATAGACACTATCCACGGTGGCTCTGTTATTCAGTTATGTGGGAGCCATCACAGCATTAGGATTAAGAGAGTTGCTTCTGAAGTCAAACCACAAGCATTTTAATTCTGGCCTCATAATGTATCAGTTATGTGACCCAGGCAAATTTTTTAACCTTGTTGTCCCTGAATTTCCTCTCCTGTAAAATGGAAATAATAAACAAACGCCTGTCTCATATGGTTGTAGTACAGACTGCAAAAAGTAATTTATATAACATTCTTAGCACCATGCCTAAGATTTAGTAACTTCTCAAAAACGGCTACTTATTCCCATACCATATTTTAGCAACAAGTCTATCACAGAATGTATGCACAGTCACTGCTGGTGGAAGGATTTATCATCTGTATTGCATTACTTAATACAAACATTATAAAAGTACACGTTCAAAATTTGGTTTTAAAAATTATCAAATTATCTTACTTTTGCTGGACTATTTATTTTGTCTCACAGAAGAGCAAATGTTCCATAGAACACTTTGAGTAAGTGACTAAAACGATTTGGATGAGGCCTACGTATATCTTAGTAGGAACAATGCTGCCCAACATGTCAAGTTGCCAAGTGCTGATCTCTGTTAAAATAATAACCACAGTATATTTTAGAAAGATATTGCCTTTCCAGTGCACTGGGGTATGATAGCAATTGCATGAGAAGTAACATTCTAAATTGAAGAGCTAAAATAAAATTGGGTTGGTGAAGATAGCTAATATAAATTTTATCAAAGCCAATTCAACTAGAGCAAAACACTGATGAAAATGATAAAACAGACACATGACAAAATTTATAGATGTTATTCAGTACCATGAATCACATTAATAGCTGGGATAATAGAGATGAATATCAAAGTTGAAGCTACTGCCTCTGCAACTTAAGACCAGAGTAAAACTGGAGGAATTCATTTCATCTGAAAACACATATTCTGGATTTAATGTGAAAATAGTAACCACACTCAACCTTAACCATTTATTAAAACATTTTTCTACTGTGCAGAGAATTCATGGTAGAGATGTTTGCCTCTTACACTGTGTGAGATGTGCCAATGAGGAAACTAATATATATTTCCAACTGCTCTTGTGGAATTTAACACTATTATAAAGTTACTAAATAATACTCTACATGAATCAACATGGGAAGGTTTATATCAATACCAGTTAAAATATATTTGTTAAATATTTCATTAATTTTAATGCTGAATTATCATTTCCTAAAAAATGATCAATTCATTTGTTCAAAATTATTACTAAGTGACTACTATGTGTTGGTAGCTATTCCAGGTGCTCGGGATACAGTAATGAGCAATATTTTTATTTGTTTTTTTTTTTTTTTTAGAGATGGTGGTCTCACCATGTTGCCCAGGCTGGTCTCAAACTCCTGGGATCAAGCAATCCTCCCACCTCAGCTTCCCAAATTGCTGGGATTATAGGCATAAGCCACCAAGGCTGGCTGTGAACAATATTAAACAAAAATTATTTCCTGTGGTAACAGAGATTACATCCTATGGGACAGGGAGACAGGCAGCAGACTGATAAATTAATACAAGATCTGTCTGATGGTGATAAATATTGTGCAGGAAAAAAAACGAAGGAAGAGGATAAGAAACATTGAAGGACTAAAGGAACGGTCACAAAGAAGAAAACATTTCAGAAAAGAACTGAGTAAGGAATGAAGAAGCTGAGTTCTGAAAGTGTCTGCAGAAAGGCTTTTCAGTAGAAGTTTCAGAAAGTGTAAAGGCCCTAAGATAGGAAAGGGTCTAATTGATGAGCAGCTGTCCTACGAAGGATGTGTGGCCATCAGTCATAGGCACATTCACAAAATTCATATTTTAAGAGAAATAAGACTTTATTTTAATTTTTGACAACGCACACGACAAGCATGCAACAAGGTTTTGGTAATTGGGTAAGCATGATAACAAATTAGTTATTGTAAACTATGTAATTCTGCTTTAACATTACTTATTTCATTCTCATACCAAATAGGTTTTCAGTTGTATAAAATGCTGAGATTATTTATGGACTACAAAATGGTAAGTCGGTAAAGAGACAGATTTAACTACCTATTTACAGAGGAAACTATTAAATATATACAGTAGCTGTATATATTAAAGATGATAAAAAATTAGAACTCAAATCAAAAGTCCTTTTCTTCCTACTGCCATATTCCCTTATTTCAGCAAATCTCAAGACAATGGAAAAATATCTAGGCAAAGGCATACAAAACTGTGCTTACATTTTTAAAAATGTAATCGAAGCAAGCCCTTTTCTAATGTGCAAATGTATAGTTTGATCAGTAGGTTAGGTTTCAGAATATAGCTTGTTTTCAGCAACATTGAAGGTAAAGTACTCATGAGAAAAGAAAATGACCCACTCATGTACTTGGCATGATCACAGAATATCATAACATTCTTTAAAATACATGTGCTACATACCACACAATTCTGAGAAATATCATGTTGATAACTTCATACTAAATTACTTTTTGTTCCTGAATTTCTCACAGCATTGGTACAGTTTGAGGCTTGAGACACTAATACAGTGTTTTCATTTCTCTACATAACTCTTCCTTCTTTCTAGAATGATGGCTTGCTTCATTTTATGGTATTGTTTTAGAGTGCTTTATCATAAACCACAATAAATACATTAACCTCTTGTGAAACAAGGCAAAAACTAATTAGTGAATGTTTGAATAGATAAAAAACTAATCTTTAATGTATAGTATTTTCTTGTATTAAATCCCTTTCATAGAAAATGTCTGCTTCTCTGGAAACATCTATATCTTCAACACAGCAATTAACATTTTTTGAATAAATAAATTATATTATTGAGTAGTTAACAGGAGGTAGATTTACCTATTTGACTATAATCTCATCTCACAAACTCAACAAATTGAATCTTGTAAGAGTGACAATTAACAAAGTGAGGAAACAATCTATAAAATGGGAGAAAATATTTGCAAACTCTTCACCTGACAAAAGATTCATAATCAAAATATATAAGGAACTCAAACAACTCAATAGCAAATAGATCTGATTAAAAATGGGTAAAATATCTAAATAGAATTTATCACATGTATCGCATAAAAGGCACAACTATTATGTATCCATAAAATTAATTTTTTTATTTAATTGTTTTATTGGAAAAATGTAACACTGTGTAACTTTGAGGTCTGGGTCTTAAGAGTTACACAGCTTTTCAGCACCCATTGGAACGTCCTTTGTTGGATGGTAGCCATCAGTCTGTGAGGAAGGCCAAGTAGTGATGAGGAGAAGCCAAGAGGAAGGACAAATGAAGTCCTGCTCAAAAGCTCCAGCTGATCTCCCAGATGGCAAGTGGCACCAACAGTCAGGCATTTCAGGGAGGCCATTTGGGACTGTCTGGCAGTCCAGCGTTCAGTTGACAATGAAAGAGAATTTTCAATCAACCAACAGAATTATGAGAAATAATGAATTGTTTTTCTGTTAAGCTACCAAGTTTAGTTTTGTTTTGTTACACATCAATAGAAAACTGAAACAACAGATGAGTACGCCCTCTGTGGATACACTGTGCTACATCCTGGGGATATGTCTGACACTGCAGTTTACACCGGAGTCAATCCATGACGTCCTACATCTGCACTTGCAAAAACTGACCTGAAAACAACTGTCTATTACCCTTGAAAATGACACATATATTAACCAGAGATGTTTACTTCTATAAGGAAGTAAATATATTTTCTAGTTTGAATAAAACAGTCCGGATACAAAATAATTAGCTGACACTACGAGGATGACTTCTTGACAAATGTCACACATAAAAGAAGACAACAGCTGTTGGGATTAATTATAGTTAACACCAATAGCATGTGGGGAGAATGTCACTTTAGAATTGACTGGAATTTCTGATTAGTGATTTCATGCCAAGAAAACAATTTCTTAAGGCAAAACAGTATATGAGGGGAGGAAAAAAAGAAATCTAGGCAAAACATTCAATTTGTTTCGGGTATACTCGACTTTGTACTGCTTTCAAATATACAGCATAAGAAATAAGTAGACTATCAGAAAATATTAATTTAATAATACAATCAGCAAATATAGTTAGTAGACATTACCAAGTAGCTGTTGAAAAAAAAATCAGGATAAAGCTGGTAATTATTACTTTGTTTAAGATATAAAGGTTCATAAGCTTAAATTCATTCATTCATTAGAATGAATCTTAAATCTTAAATTCATTAAGATATAAAGTCTCCTAACCTTAAATTCATTAGAATTCATGTCAAACCTTAATTTCGTGAAACTCTTGCATAAAAGTTCAGAGGCAGCTCTGAAAGCTCTGATAATTATTAGAATTTATGTGTTAGCCCCTCTGGCCTGAACAACATTTGAATATTATGAGCTTTCATCTCTGAATCTACCCTCAGTAATTCATGGACTTGTAAGGTAGACACCACCTTTGTGAGAAAATTTCACCGTGTACTATGCAAATATCTGATACTGATGAACTGCCAAAATGTATAGTCTCTTCAAGCCTGAAGCTCAAGCATAAGAGAACCATTTCATAGGTAGTGATAGTAATCATTTTTTAGAAAATAAATATTAAAAATATATTATTTTAAAAATGTAATTATGATACTTTTAAGTGATTTCTACTTCTGTAAAATAATATAGACTAGAATAAAAGCTTATATAATTTAATATAGGTAAAGGTATATTATTAATTCTAACATACATTAAAAATACAGATATGGAGATCTTGGACTATGAAGTTAGTAAGCATGTCTAATTCATCTCTTTCCACCTCAGTGTCTGGCTCATAGCATAAACATAATGTATAGTATATTCTTGTATTAAATTCCTTTCATAGAAAATATCTGCTTCTCTGGAAAAATAATCAGAAAATTAAGGTTTTGCTTTGCTGAGTGAACCATTTATATAAAAATTAAAAATTGTAGAGGAAAATATGAAGCAATCAGAAATTAACTTAAAAATCTGAATGTTTGGATTAAAATTAAAAGAAGGCAGTAGTGACTATATTTACCACTAGCTGAACTAGTCATTGCTCTGTCTCAAATTCTCTCTCTGCTTCTTACTTTAGCAGAAGAAAAATCAAGAGTACCAACGAAATTCAGCCTTATCACTGTTCTATAAGGAATAAAAATATAGATAAATTAATTCATCCAGATTAGTTGCTTTGATTTAAAAAATGTGAAATGTTTTTCATTGTAAGAAGAAAACAGCAATAAATTGTTTTTATTTTGTAACTAATTGTCAATACCCTTGTGTTTAAGTTAATCAGACAAAATTACTTTCAACTTAAATTATTAATTTCAATGCAATGACATTAAAACAGACCTTAATTCCTATTCCATCTAAAATCAAATATAAAAATATATAAACTGTTTTTATAAAATATGTGACAGACATTATCAAACAAAATATTCTATTTTTATTTTATAAACTTACCTATAATTAACATTGTCCCATGGCAAAAGCAGTTATGGTCAATACAACAAGGAAGATAAAGTGCAATTCATTTCATTGAGAGGAAAGTGTCCAGTTCATTGTTGGAAGGAAGAAAGGAAGGAAGAAAGAGAGGAGAGTGGGGAGGGCAGGGGATGAGAAGAGAGGGGAAGGGAAAGGAGGGAGAGAGGGAGGGAAAAAAGAGAAGGAGAGGGGAGAGAAAGAGAGTAGGTGAGAAATGGAAAGGGAAAGGAACACATGTTAACATGGCATTACTTTTTATAAAATAAGGATTTCATTAAAAATTAATGTCATACATGGCTTCCTTTCACTTTACTGACTTTAAATATATATATGTGACATGTGCTATTCATAGATGACTATGCAATAAAAACACTATAATTCACTTATAATTGGTTGTCGTTCATGGGAAATGGTGAGCATTTCAGGTGCATTTGGTAATGCTAATTAATAAATATTTCTAAAACTGTTTATAAAAACCCAATGAAGCATGTAATAGTATGTTTCTAGACATCTGCAAATGCACTTTTAAAGATATGAATAAATATGGATTTTGAGTCAGAGATATATGATGGGTGAAATCTTTAAGCAAATACATATTTAGAAAGTAGTTATAGTAAATACAAAAGAAAATAACAAACAGGGTTTAACACTGATTTATTTGTAGGATATAATTTGCTAGCACTGAATTAGTAAACATAGGATCTACACACGATTTTCATTTAAGTTTCTGCTGTATCTAAAGATTTCTTGAATAAAAAAAGTTCACTGGGAGATAACTTTCACAATTGCTCCTACAATATATTCTCTTTCTTACTTTTTAAAATGTGGCTGAAATTGCCTTTACAGAATAAATTAAGTATAGTTGATCCAATAAAGTAACTATAAATGTTCTAAGTAAATAGGCATTGATATTGAATACAGGCTAGACATTTATATTTAGGTGTAATTTTTGGTTATAATAGGTATGTCTGTTAGGAGATTTCAACTTCCAGCCTTTGTTGTTTTCTTTTTGCCTTTTTTTTTTAACTATTCCATCAACAAACAGTTCTATAATCCTGAGCCATAAGTAACTAGTACAGCAATTCTCTAGTACAGATAAATGCTGATTTAAACAAAACTTTGCTTTAATTTCCTGATTGTATTTAACATGGAAAATGAAATATATAATATTTTTATTTAGGAAATAACTTCAAACATTCCTGATGGAAAACAAAATTCAAAAAAAACACTTTTAAAATATTCTGACTTAAAAACTGTCTTAAAATGTTATTAATTTCTCCCTCAAAATATTTTGACTCTTATTTTGTTCATGTTTCAATAATCTATGTTACATTGTAATAAATGTGTCAAGTATCCATTTACATTTTCATAGAAAAACTCTAGAGTTAATATTTTGTAAAAACTAGATTGATACTAGGCAAGAATTTGTTAGAACACCAAATTAGCAATATATATGAAAGATAGATGGTTAATAAGGAAATGCAGTTATGATTATCCATCACCATTAGGAGGATATTTCAACTATATATAGATGGTTGCTATGACACTCTCATTTCTCAGTATTTATGTTTTTTTCTGAATTATTCTGATGATACTTTTGGTCCAATACATTGGAAATGGCATTGTGTTATCAATACAGGCTTATAATGTATGATTGATTTGATCTAAGAGTTCCAGTCAAGTGATTCAGAGATGGTAACACAGTAATACAAATAGCCTAGTGCTTCCAATAATTCACAGGTGTTATCTCTTAACTGAAAGAGCCCAGTTTGTCACAGTGGTATCTCAGCTACCCTAATGCTTTTCTTTCTTTTTCCTTTCTTTCTTTTTAGTTTTCTGTATTCTTGGTAACTCACAGAACATCTAATGCACTTTTTTAGAATAAATACTGGACGTTTCTGAAAGTGAAAGTTAATGCAGGCATTTCTGTTTTAAACCACATTTTCTGCAGAGAATTAGTCTTCTGGGGACAAGGAAGGAAACAAAAGGTTAAACACATAAAATTGGTTGTTTTGGGGATCAGATGGAAATGTTAGGTTATTCATTTTAGGAATCTATCCAGAAGTAATGTGTATACCTACCACAGTACAAATCAGTTTGTCACTACTGATCACTAACACTGAATTTTACTTCACAAATCTCTTCTCTCCATGGCTTCCTTCTCTGAATAAATACACTAGGTACTCTCAGCTAAAATACAGAATCAGCCTGATTCATTCTCATTTTCTATCAGACCTAACAACTAAACCCTTAACGGTTTCTACATGCCCTCCTCACTAATTCCAAAGCAAACCTTAAATTAATCCACTTCTTGCTATCTTTAATGTTACCACCCTGTTTTATTATTTTATTTTTTTTTATTTTTTTTGAGACGGAGTCTCGCTCTGTAGCCCAGGCTGGAGTGCAGTGGCACGATCTCAGCCTGCTGCAACCTCCACCTCCCAGGTTCAAGTGATTGTCCTGCCTCAGCCTCCTGAGTAGCTGGGAAGACAGGTGCATGCCACCATGCCCAGATAATTTTTGTATTTTTAGTAGAGACAGGGTTTCACCATGTTGGCCAGGATGGTCTCGATCTCTTGTCCTCATGATCTTCCTGGCTCGGCCTCCCAAACTGCTGGAATTACAGGCGTGAGCCACGGTACCCGGCCACCACCCTAGTTTTTCAAGTCTACCATCATCAGCCTTCCCCACCCACTGACCCCGGATTACTGAATTTACATCTTGACTTGTTTCCCAGTTTGTGATCTTGCTCTTCTACCATCTATTCTGTTAACCAGACTCATCTCAAAAGACATATCAAATTATGTTATTTTTCTGTTTCAAGCCATCCTTTTTCTTTTTAAAGAAAAAAAAACTTTATTACTGTGACTTGCAAGGATCTATATAATTTTTCACTATGTTCTAGAAATAATTATCCATTACGCTCCATGTCAAGTTCTTTCTTGATTTACGGTATTATTATGTATAGATTCCCACTCCTTAGAAAGCTCTTTTCTTAGCTTTGGACATGACTATCTCAGATCATTCTTTATCTTCACTCCTCAGCTCAAAACATATCCTCTCAGTTAACCCTTCCCTGGCCTTTCTATTTAAAGATAGCTCTCTTTTCTCATAACAATTTTCTTTATTTGTAATTGTATTATTGGTATTTATTTATTTTTTTTTAATTTCCTGTCTCCTAGCTAAACTTGTTTTCTCCCTAAAGGCAGTAATTTTATTTGTTCCCTGACAAGCACCTAACAGGATTTCTTATATCAAGTAGGCACTCAGCAAATATTTCCTGTTATAATTCAATTTAAAAATAAAATTTATACTTATTGCCTTCCAGAAACATAGTCTGTGGGAAATTCATTATCCCTTAGACAGCACTAGTCATGTGGCAAAAATGATGCTGATCCTTGTCTGTCCCAAGCTGTCTCACTATAGGCTTGCTAGAGAAAATACAGGATATCCAGTTCAATTTGTTTTTCAGATAAAAACTAATATTTTTTCCTAGAAATATGTTCCAAATATTGCGTGAAAGACACTTATACTGTTCAAAGAAAGCATTCATCACATATCGGAAATTTAAATTTAACTAGGCATCTTGTGTTTTATTTGTTAAATCTAGTACTCCTATCACATAATATGATCCATGCAAAGGAATGGATGGCTGACTCTTTAAAGAAAGGTTTTGTTGGCCAGGCGCAGCGGCTCACACCTGTAATCCCAGCACTTGGGGAGGCTGAAGCAGGCAGATCACGATCTGAGGTTAGTAGTTCGAGACCAGCTTGGCCAACATGGTGAAACCTCGTATCTACTAAAATACAAAAATTAGGGCGTAGTGGCGCACGCTCGTAATCACAGCTACTTGGGAGGCTGAGGCAGGAGAATCGCTTGAACTCGGGAGGCGGAGGTTGCAGTGAGCTGAGATTGCGCCACTGCACTCCAGCCTGGGTGACAAGAGCAAAACTCCATCTCAAAAAAAACAGGTTTTATTTAAACCTCTAATTTTCACACCTGTATGCCAATCCTAGGTCTTGCAACCCTTCAAGCCTCTGGGTATGCTAATTATGCCACACAGAATCTTTATGCTGTAGCCTCAATTTTCATCAAAGGTCTCATTGATAAAAAATGACATATATGACAGTTTGCAGCGCATCTGGGATGTTTATTTATCTAAGCATGCTAATCGTTATTCCAAAGATGTAGGATGATTCAGGATTTAATACAGCAGGATATGAGTGTATTTACATCCAACTGTCTATGCCTCTCTCAAAAGAGGTTTTATGGCATTTCCTTTAGAGATAAGTTCTTGCCTTACCCTAAGGAAATCTATGGAAACAACTAAATAAACTCAGTTTAGCATGTTCCATAAGAATACTCTCATGGTCATTCACTACTCTGTCTTTCAAGGTTCACTAAGTGAAGGTGCAGAAAATACATTATTTCAGACTTCACTGCTGTAGTACACTTCTAACTAAATACAAGGTTCATTGCTATTGACAACCTTATAAATGAAACGGAAAAAAAAGTCTATTAATGTGCCTCTAAGCAAGTCTGTATTACTCTGAAATGCAACTGCTCTGAAGTATAATACTATACATAACTCTTCATAACATTACTTGTCACATTTAATTCCATTGAACATTGTCCACTTTCTTTCCAATGAACACCAATGAATTAGCGACTAACTACATATAATTCCCTGGGATATCTTTCTACCATCAGTAGTTAAATTTTCTTGTGTGTTACTAAATACACAAAAAAAGGAATAATTTTTCTAATTCATTTCTACAACATTTGAATACCCTCTATGCTTCAGGCATAATGTTACATTAATTATTTACAATACTCTGCACTCTCAAAGTCCCTTGCAAGAAGTGAAGATACATTTCACACTATAACTATTAGTCAAGTCCACCCTTATTGAGTCTCATAAATAATATTACAGGGTAAATTTTTAAAGCAGTAAAAGATCAAACAGGAAAAGTGAAATAAACAAAAATATTTTATTTTCTAATTTATTTCTTTAGTAGTTCTTCTTTATAAAATATACATTTGGAAAATAAGTTGAGAAGTATATGTGAAGAGACTACAGATGTCCGTAAATTTTAAGAAAAATCTCAGCCAATAGCATGTTTGATGCAGTATATGTGTCCAATTTTCAGTTAGATATTTTAAATGTCATATATTCAATGACTAAAGTATTAATGAATCGCCTGCAGCTCTAGATAAAATTGATAGTGTCATTTAGTAAGTAAGAGAAAACACTTTATCCAGTTAAAGGCTGAAATACTTTTAAACCAATGCACTTGCTTCTCACATATAATTATGCCAAACTTTATAAATGGCAATCAAGTGATTATATAGTTATATATGACTAAAACTATGCAATATGCAATGTACATGTAAAGTATATGCTAAGAAAGAGTTATTTTAAAGTGTCATTTTACAGAACTTTTCAGACTTACAGATGGCACATGACTAGAATAAAAAGTTTAGGAAAAAAGACATTTAAAAAAATCTCCTCATGATTCAAACATGTTAGGTCAAAATGAAACACATGTCTAAGGAAGTTCATTTTATGGTTTAAAGGTTTGTAAAATCTTACAAATATTATAATATTCTTAAATAAGGGTGGTACTAGTGCATCTAAAAACTTTTTTAAAATTTTTGGCCTGAGGTTCCAGTATGTGAAAATCTGTTATTTTTTCCTCTTAATTTACCAAACTGATGATATTGTCATTCCTCTGTCAGAAAACAATTGGAAACAAATGCCCATTAAATAGGGGACTACACAGAAAAAAAAGGAAAAAAAAATACGATCTATATTTGATGAGGAAAAAAGTCAAAATGTGGAAAAGCCACAGCCCATGTGTGTTATGCTGATTTATTAAGGTTATTTGAGGATAAAAGACATAAAATTTATTTATTTTGCTTACAGTGATTAGGCTTTTTAAAACATAAGGGACTGAAGTTCTTGCAATTTGGAAATATAAATAATGTGCAAGCTATAGCACTATACTAATAAGCATAATTCCTTCCATTTAACCTACCAAGCGAAAAAAAAAATTCTGTTGATTGAATATTGACCTTTGATTCTATCCCCATTAGCATTCTCGAGTACAATAAATTTATCCTGTGTTGTAATTCAATCAACTGTACTCTACTACCTTTTAGCTACAGAAAAGATTTTCAAAATATTCCTTATTGTTTTGTTTCTTTGCCCACCAATCTTGTCAGATGCCTACTGACCTCGAAAAATGGTAGCATCAAATATTTTCTTCAAAACTCAGTGCCCTCGCTATTCCAGTCTGTGGCAGTCAAGGGTGGTTAAGAAAAACAACACAGCAAAGTGGGAACCAGTATGAGAAAATTGCTACAAGGTACACTCCAGAGGCGAGACCATTTGACACCTGACTTCAACATTTTCTGTGTGACTTAGAGCAATTTATTTACCTCTGAGTACCTCACAGTTTTCTCAATATCAGACCAAGACAAAATATACCCTACCAAATAGAGATAAAGGAAGGATTAAATAACATTATTCATGCAAATCCTCTTACTATCAGTGCCTAGCAAACATGAGTGTTCATTACAGTTTAGTTCTAACTAATTTTTTTTCTAAATTGTATATGCTTCATCTTTTACTGAACATTGCTGCATAGGCATTTGTAGTTTGGAATAGTTCCTTAAGAAAACATGCTACAAGTCCTTGTCATACCCCAGCTTAGAACCTGCTTAATAGTAATAATCCCATCATCATTTTCAAGTGTCATTTCTCAGCCAATGTTTAATGCATGGCAATTAATCATAACAGTGGCTGAAAGTATCACATTATAAATGTATTACCACACCCTTGTCTAATTGACTGTGTAATCTATTACAATATCAAATTTAAAGCTGAAAAGTGTTTCCAAAACCCTTTAAATGAAAGGCAGAAGTTCACAACTCGTAACATTTTTTTTTAGCAATCAATAAATGTGATTTTTCAGAGCTGTTTCAAGTTCACAGCAAAGCTGACAAGAAAGTGCAGAGAGTTCCCATATAGCCCTGTCCCCACACCAAGCACAGCCTTCCCCCCTCTAGGAACACCCTATGCCACAGTGATGCATTTGTTACAATTGATGAACCTACATTGATACATCAACAACATGCAAAGTCTATGGCTTACATTAAGGTTCACTCAGAATATATATTCCATGGATTTTGGTAAACATGTAATGACATGTGTTTCCACCACTTAAGTATCAAACAGAGTAATTCCACTGCCCTAAATAGCCTCTGAAGTATCAAACAGAGTAATTCCACTGCCCTAAATAGCCTCTGTGTTCCCCTTGTTCATCCTTTCCCTTGCAAACCCTGGAAACCACTGATCATTTTGCTGTCTCCAGAGTTTCGCCTTTTCTAGAGTCTCATATACTTGGAATCATATGTAGGTAGTCTTTTCAGATTGGCTTCTTTACTTGGTAATATGCACTTAAGTTTCCTCCATGACTTTTCATTATTTGACTGCTCATTTCTTTTTGGTGCTGAATAATATTCCATTATCTGGATGTATTACCATTTACTAATTAATCTACAGGACATCCTAAATAAAGTCACTATAAATGTTCACACGTAGGTTTTTGTGCAGCCACAAGTTTTTAATTAATATGGGTAATACCAAGGAGTAAAACTGCTGGATCATATATTAAGAATATGCTTAGTTTTGTAAGAAAGTCCCAAGCAGTTTTCCAAAGTGGCTGTACTATTTTCCATTCACGCCACCAATGAATGAATGTTCATCTTGTTCCACACCCTCACTAGCACTTTTTGTTGTCAAGTGTTTTGGATTTTGGCCACTATAATAAGGGTGCTGTGGTATCTCATTGTTTTAATTTATAATTCTCTAATGACATATAATGTTGAATATCTTTTCATATGCTTATTTGCTGTCTGTATATTTTATTTTATTTTTTTGAGACGGGGTCTCACTCTCACCCAGGCTTCAGTGCAGTGGCATGATCTTGGCTCACTGCAGCCTCGACTTCCCTGGGGTCAAGCGATCCTCCCACCTCAGACTCCTGAGTAGCTGGGACTAAAGGTGTGCACCACCACATCAGGCTACTTTTTATATTTTATTTTTTATTTGCAGAGAATGAATTTCACCATGTTGCCCAGGCTGGTTTCAAACTTTTGGGCTCCAGTTATCCTCCAGTCTCAGCCTCCCAAAGTGCTGGGATTACCGGCATGAGCCACCATGCCTGGCTGTCTGTATATTTTCTTTGGTGAGGTGTCTCCTCAGGGTTTTGACCATTTTTAATCAAGTTATTGATTTTCTTATTGTTGAATTTTAAGAGTTATTTGTATATTTTGGATAACAATTCTTTATCAGATGTATCTTGTGCAAATATTTTTTTCTCAGTCTGTGGCTTCACTTCTCATTCTCCTGACAGGGTCTTTCAAGAGAAATAATTTTCAATTGTAATGAAGTCCAGATTATCAAATATTTCTTTCACAGATTGTGCCTTTGGTGTACCTAAAATGTCATTATGATGCACAAGGTCATGTAGATCTTATCCTGTTATCTTCTTTCTATGAGTTTTATAGATTTACATTTTATATGTAGGGCTACGATCGATCCATTTTGAATTAATTTTTGTGAAGGATTTATGGTCGTTGTCTAGATTCAGTTTTTGCAAGTGGATATCTAGTTGCTCCCATATCATTTGTTGTAAAAACTGTATTTGTTCCAGTATATTACCTTTGCTCCTTTATCAAAGATCAGCTGACTATAATGATGTGGGTCTACTTCTGGAATCTCTACTCGGTTTCATTGATCTATTTGTGTATCCTCTTCTCAAAACAACACTGTCTGTACTGCAGATAGATAGTAAATCTTAAAGTCTAATAATGGAGTCTTCCAACTTTGTTCTTCTGCTTCAATATTGAATTGGTCATTCTGGGTCTTTTGCCTCTCCACATGAACTTTAGCTATCCATTTCTTGATAGCTACAGAGTAACTTGCTAAGATTTTATTGAGATTATGTTGAATCTATAGATAAAGTCGGAAAAAACTGGCATCCTGACAATATTCAGATTTCCTACACGTAAGCTAAGAATGTATCTGAATTTATTTAGTTCTTCTTTGATATCATTCATCATAGTTTTGTAGTTGTCTTCATATGGCTCTTAGACTTTTTTAGATTTATACTCTAATATTTCATTTTGGAAAGTATTAATATAGTAATGTGTTTTAGTTTCAAATTTTATTTGGTTATTGCTAATATGTAAGAAAGTAATTGACACACATTAACCTTATAATCTTCAACGTTGCTATAATTGCTTATTAATTCTAGAAAGCTTTTGTTGTTTCTGTTGCTGATTCTTTGGATTTTTTAAATAAACACCCCTGTCATCTGTGAAGAAAGACAGTTTTATTTATTCCTTTCCAGTCTGTATGTCTTTTCCTTTCTTCTATTTTTTTATTGCATAGCAAGGACTTCCAGTACAATGATGAAAAGCGCTAATGAGAAGGGGTATCCTGAGCTTACTCCCGAATCTTAATGGGAAGGCTCTAATTTAACACCAAGTATGGTGTTAGCTGTAGGTTTTGGTAGATGTTCTTTATCAAGCTGATGAAGTTACCCTCTATTGTTTGTTTGCTGAGAATTATTATCATGAATGGGTGTTGGATTTTATTAGATTTTTTTTCTGTATCTAGGATCCTGTGTTTTCCTTCTTTAGCCTGCTGATATGAGGAAATGTAATCATTGATTTTCAAATGTTGAACCAGACTTACACACCCGGAGTAAGTCCCACTCGGTTGTAAAGTAAAAATATTTTTATATATTGTTGGATGCTATTTGCTAATATTTTGTTGAGGATTTTTGCGTCTATGTTTATGCGCTATGTTGGACTGTAGTTTTTTTTCTTATAATATCTTCATGTAATTTAGTATTAGGGTAATGCTGACCATATATAATTAGTTAGGATGGATTCCCTCTGCTTCTATACTTTGAAAGAGATTATGGAGAATTAGTGTAATTACTTCCTTCAATGTTTGGTATAATTCACCCATGAACTTATATGGGATTGGCACTCTCTATTTTGTATTACTTACGGATTCAATTTATTTAATAAGGGCCTAGTCAGATAATCTGTTTCTTTTGTGAGTTCTGGAAGATTGTGTCATTCAAGGAATTGGTGTGTTCTGTGTAGGTTATAAAATTCGTAAGCAGATAATTTTTACAATATTCCTTTATGATTTTAATGTCCATAAGATCTGTAGTGATGCCTCCACTTTCATTCCTGATATCAATCATCTGTTTCTTTTTTCTATTTTCTGAGGAACCCTGAATGGAACGAAGTTTGTCAATCTTAGTACTCTTATCTAATCTTATTAAACATTGATTTTTCTCTCTTGATTTCCTGTTTTAAATTTCATTGATGTATTTGTTTTATTATGCTTACTTTAGGTAACTGTGCTCTTTTTTTCTGTTTCCTGAAGTTCAAGCTTATAAAATTTTAAGAAAAATATATTATAAATATCTCTTTTATGCTATTCAAACTAAAACCAAAGAGTAAACCATTATATAGAAGTAAACAGATATATTGGATTATCCTTTTTTTCTTCAAAATCTACATCTAATCATGGCTAAAATTTTTAGCGATCTGATAATAAAGCACAATAGATTTCAAGGGGAGGGTGAGAGAGAGAGAGAGAAAACTGGCAGTCCTCTCTGCAAACAACACAAGAACGTTCACTTTAATTCCCACCCACTCACCCAGTAGTAATTCCCAGATCACCCCCAAAACACAACTAAAAAAATCTAGAAAGCCATTTACATAAAGGTTAATCACATAAAAGAAAGAGAAGGGACATAAAACAACAAAACTAATAGCATAATTTGGAGATAAAGCAATACTTAGAGAAGGGTAGTCAGCAGGTTATGGTAAAATATTTAAATATTTGTATACAGGTTATCAATATAAGTTGATGAAATGGCGTTTAGTCTGAATTTTGTGACTGACCAGAAAGATTCTATTCCACCAAACTTTTTGAGAGAGATGCAATATGTTGAAAGACAAATTACTGCTTGGGAATCCATGTAGCAGGAAGAGAGTGGTTTTATTTGAACCTAGCAAATTCAAATAAAAATCTGGTAAACCTAGAGGCATCATTCTGCGTAACAATGTGGTCACACAATGTGATGATGATCTGCAATAACTTTTAATGACTGGGTGGAACTCTAGCAATGTATAATATTAAAAGTAAGTAACTTTTAATGACTGAGTGGAATTGTAGCAATTCTAGCAAGAGTCTCCTGACTCTTATTGTTCTGGTTACATCTATTGCAAATGGCCCATCAGAGAATATGATGGTATACAACTTCTGGGAAACTTATCATTGTATAAGTCTTGATGACCAGGCCAGGCGCGGTGGCTCACGCCTGTAATCCCAGCACTTTGGGAGGCTGAGGCAGATGGATCACGAGGTCAGGGGTTCGAGACCAGCTTGACCAACATGGTGAAACCCCGTCTCCACTAAAAATACAAAAATTATCTGGGCGTGGTGGTGGGCGCCTGTAATCCCGGCTACTCAGGAGGCTGAGGCAAGAGAATTGCTTGAACCTGGGAGGCGGAGGTTGCAGTGAGCTGAGATGGCGCCACTGCACTCCAGCCTGGGCGACAGAGCGAGACTCCGTCTCAAAAAATTAAATAAATAAATAATATAAGTCTTGATGACTAAATGCTTAAAGGCGCTCCAGGTTATAATGTACTAAACAGGAAGCTGTATGCCCTAAATGCCAATGTGTTCTTTGTACAAATATGTATTGCCTTGTTTTGGTGCCTGAAAAGCTATTAAGCAGACCTGAAAAATACAATAGGTTTCTCAGGGAATAAAGCAATAGGCATCACAGCGGGGGTCCCAATTCCCTTAGAGAATGGCCCCATCATTAAACAGGAAAGGTTATGGGGAGCTCTCATAGCATAGTCAAATTAAATTATAGCAATCTTAGCACAAGCCTGTGACCAAGGCACAAAGACTGCTTTGACCCCAAATGACTTATAACCCAGAGATAATGAATTGTAATGACTTATAACAATATCCTGAATATGTACAAGGGCCAATTCATTTGGGAAGGCAGGGAAAATACACCTGTAATTTTTACTGATTTGTTCTGTGATTAAATATAAATGTGATTAAAATATAAATGTTATAATAAATATAAATGCTCAGGAAAATATGATAGTTTTATTGTAAGAGAGTGTATGCCAAGGGCCAGATGGGTGGAATAGGTAAAAAATGAGCAGGCCTCGGTTACCCCAACTCTGCACATTCCAAAGAAAGAATTGGTTGACTTTTCAGAGACAACCTATTCCTTAGAATATTCTCCCTGGTAAGAGTATGCGTGGTTATGTATGCTTGAGGCCCTGGGCCACACTGTATTTATGTTGGCCACCAGTACTTGCATGCCTGAGGCCTTTGGTCAGAGTAGCAGTTGGATAAACCATGTGATTTAATGTGAACATCTGTTTTTGCTCTGGAAGGAGGCTGGAGTGAGTAGCTCAATCAGTCTAGAGGGTGCTAAATGCTTAGGTAAGGGACTCTGATAAAACTTCTGGACACCCAAGCTCAGAGGAACTACTCTAGTGGACAGCACTTTGCATGTGCTGTCATTCATCATTTAGGGGAAAATTAAGTGTGTCCTAGTGTCATTACACTGGAAAGAGACACTAAGAAATGTATGTCTGGCTTCTATTTGCCCCATCTGCCATTTCCCTTTGCCCTTTTGATCTGTATCTTTTCCCTGAATGAACAGTATCCATAAATACCACAGGCTTTCTGAGTCCTCTGAGTTTTTCTAGTGAATTGCCAAAACCAAGGATTGTTTTGGAGTAAAACAAAACTCAAACAAGGCTGTTATGAGAATTAAATACAACAGTGCATTTAAGATAGTGCCTGGTATATGATACAAATTCAATCAATTTTTGTAGTTATAGTTACCTTAAGCCCTTACATGTTGCATGTATAAAACTAACACAATTGATAGTCACTCTATTTATTTATCTGTGAACTGTCTTTTCTTCACATGAGAGTAAACCCTACATTGGTAAAGTTTTTATCTGTTTGATTCACTATTTGACCCCTAACACCAGGCATAGAGTAATCACTCAATTAACATTTCTTCAATAAGAAAATCAATTAAAAAATAAATAACAAGCATGGAAGTTGCAATAAATTAACTTAAACTTAACTAAAATTCATAATAGGTTTAAAAAATCTGAAGAAAAGTTAATTTGTAATTGCCTCGTTTGGTTTTATGATGTTTCTAAAATTAGAACCTTGTAGAGAAACAAAAAAGTTGTGAAAACACAGATTTTGACTCATTTGATAACTGCTAACTTCTGTCATCTGACCAAAGGTAGTCCAGTTAGTCTCTCGGGGTTATGTTACTCACTAGAAAGGTCAGGCAATATCAATTCTTCTTTGCAAATATCTTGCAAAGGTAATTCAGTCATTCCTTACATTTAAAATTAGTGGCTTTTCAACTTCTTTGCAAATCTAACATTTTGTTTCAAAAGGTCAAACTTCTATAGTTTTTCCAAAAAAGTATTTGTAATCATCCATGAAATTGTAATACTCTATTTTCAAGATATTTTTCAATGTCAAATAAAAATACAGAAAATTCCATCATAGCAAGACAATTGGAGTGCAAATATTTCAATTCTGTAAGTTACAGTACTGCAAAAATAAGGCTGAGTTTGCCCAGCCAAGGATGATCAGGGATGCTACTGCAGCCATCTAGTTTTAATTGAATTTAGTGCCACCTGGTGGCAGCTGTCCAGTCTTGCTAAATATAAATAGATTTTTTTTCTAGGTCCTGGGATGTTGGTTGAGACTTCCAAGTACACTTGCAGTGATTCCAGGAATCGTTATTAATTCTCATCCATTGCATTGGTCTAATCCAGACAGACTGGGCCAGGAGAAAACTGGGGCCATCAGAACCCAAACTGGTCCCACTGTACTAATTATTAGCTAGAACACAAGACTCTGGGAGTAAAAAAATAGCATTGTATTTCAGTCCCACCTTACTAAATGTGAAACTTTTGTATTTACTTAAGTTTTTCTCACTTCAATTTGTTTATCTGAAAAATAGCAGTGATGATGGTGATTTCTCTTTTAACATTTTAGTAATGATTACATAGATAACACATGTAAATTCTGAGAACGGTTCCTGACACTCAGCAAACAAATAGAAACAAAAGTACAAACAAGAAACTATTATTATCATGTCATGTTGGTAACTGTACAGAAAACTACTCTTAAAAGATCTAATTCATTAATGCTTAATTCATGTACGTTATATCAAGCAACACAGGCATAGCAAAGACAAACTGTGGCAATTCAATGTTTTGAATCTAACAATAAATAATAACCTCAGCAAAAAAAAATAAAGCAAACGAAAATGTTTTCAAGAGGGAAGAGTGCTGATTAATTAAAACATATTTAGCAAAGCAGAGAAGAAGGCCAGACAAACTAGCTGTACTCTGGATAATACTGGAGCTTTTCATCTCTCTTCTACCTTCCTACATCCCTCTAGAGCCTCCCTTCTTTCAGTAAACTGCCTTTGAAGTACCTCAACCTGCTCTCTCCTACAGGTAATCACCGACCTCTATTTTGGCTGTCAACACTGAATGTAATGCATTTATCTTTATTTTTACTGCACTGTAAGCTTCTTCAGTGGAATTGCTGAATGTATTTCCTTAGTCTGTATTCCTGACATCATTAATTCAATGCTGTACACCAAGGACAGAAATACATGATTATATGAACATCTCTTTTTGCTTCAACATTAGTATTTAGAAAAGGGGATGAAAGAATATGCTAATTGGACTCTTCATTATTTTAAGCACAAGGACTGAGTAAGCAATTGGGACTTCCCTTTTTTTATTTATTCATAAAAGCAGTTTTATCTCCTCACAGGAACTGCCAAATTTCTTCTAAGTGGCAAACTTAAACTACTGTTCATGATATCTTTTGACAGATAAAACATCAATCCGGTTTCTTCACCAATAACGGATATATTTCGGATCAGTGCTGATGTTGGCAACT
This sequence comes from Homo sapiens, assembly GCF_000001405.40. Taxonomy (NCBI): domain Eukaryota; kingdom Metazoa; phylum Chordata; class Mammalia; order Primates; family Hominidae; genus Homo; species Homo sapiens. Next base: position 21,162,815 of record NC_000021.9, on the reverse strand, counting down.
TTTAGAAATAACGATGACTTGTTTCCTAAGGTTTTGGGTAATCTGACAGGTTTTTTTTACAGGTCTTTGTCTGAACCATGATACATGCCAATCATCACCAAGAACTTCTTTTTCTTTTCCATGGCTGCAATCATTTAAGTACATATGTCAAACATAAGACTGGAATATAGTAATGCACACTTTGGACTTTTTCACTAAATGTGTGGAGACAAATTGTACGAACTTGAGAGGACCTTTCTTTTTCATACAGAATTTCTGCTGATCCAAATATACTCCATTCTCTTAACAGCCCACAGTCATATGTAAATTGTGATATATATTTTATGCTAGTAATTTGCTAAACTGGTATTTAAACAAAGTTTTAAGCACAACTGCTCATGAAAATTTACAACCTGGTGAATCAGCAAACATTCATCTTTATGTTTTATGTATATTTTTCAAACTCATGACCCATTTTATTTTTGTATTTAATAGGAAAAATATTTTTCTTAACTTGCCGGTAGAGTTGTCATTCATTCTATAAAGTGGTTTTGAAATCATATCTTAGAACTTATTTTGTGAAAATATAATTACACTTCAAGTGTGTTACAGATAAATATCTGTGTGAAGTAAATCCTTCCCTGAATTTGTTTCTGTAACTGGATGTGGCAAAATAAAGTTTTCTTTAAGTACTATGAGGTGAATTAAATATGGGAATATCAACAAAGTAATAAGTATCTCTAAATACATTATCAAATGGTTCAGTGACACACACAATAAGATCCTAGTATAGAATCCCTTTTGTCAAAAATCCTCATTTCTGAAAGCTATAATGCAGAGAGTGAATAAGAAACAAATATGAAATGAAATATTTTTAACTATTTTACAATCCATTATATCGTTGAAAGAAATTATTCCAAAATTACCTAAACTGTACCCAATAACCTACTTCTTGTCCTCATAGACATGACTACTGCAACATCTCTGCTCATTTAGCCTTCCCCTGGCCCGACTGCGTTAATTATCAATTACGTACTAAGTGCACCTTCAGCTCCCTAGCTCTTCTAATTACTCTATGGAGTTTGCATATATATTGGTCCTTCCAGTAACACTAATAGATATATATACATATATGGATATATCACATGTATATGTCACTAATAGGACAGACACAGGATATTGCATAAATATTTTTAAATACACACATATATATCCTATACATGTTATCTTGCTCTCTCTCTCTCTCTCTCTCACATACACACACACACACACACAAATGAGAGCACTGCAATCCCTCACATTTCTCAACAATTCTCAATTATGAGATTGTTGTTAAGTCCAGCTTCAGTGGGCTATCATCTGAAATAATCGTTTTGGCAATCTAGGTGTGAATATATTAAAAAACAACCCTACCACACAATTGCTTAATCTGAAATCTGGCATATAGTAAACAGTTCGTGTTTATTGAACAAATACATGAAATAATAAATAAATAAAATAAATAAATAAATAAAATGCACCAAATGCCTTACAGACATTGTATTTCTAACTTAGTCCTTTTTCCGTCTTAAAATTTTTTATCTTTTTTTCTCTATAATCATTGGTTTCCCTAATCTTCATTCTGTCTTAAGATTATTGATCTTTTTCCTATCTATTCGCAAATAATATTCATGTGTTATAAATTTTTTCAAGGATCTAACTTTTCTTGTTTAAATTAATTCACAGGACAATTTATTCCTTCATTTTGTAGCAGAGGTGTGCTAGATAGCAACAGGAAACCTAAACATACATTAATAGTCCAAAGTTCTCAATCACTATTTCAGGGACTTCTTTGTTACAGTATGGAGTGATCTTACGTATACTGAAATATTTGAACTCAATAATTTAGACTGGATGAAAAATCTCTCCAACATTATTCAGTGCTATAGGGCTCATTCAAATATAATATAGTCAAGAACAAACAATTAAATAGAATAATTAAAGCAGAATGTCATTGCATATCAAAATTATGATATTGGGTCCTTGTTTTCACATTTCATGGTGTATATGAAATGCAGATACTCCATTTAATAAAGTCATATTGTTACTGTATCTTCACATTTTATACAATGTCCTAGAAATTTTACCATACTCAGTATTGTCTTGCATACACAACACTATAGCATAGAATTTAAGTTTCCAAATGTAAATAGTAAGAAATAAAGAAATGATTTCACAGATGAGATTCATCCAATTTTACTGATATGAGACTGCAGTATAGTCCCTAAGTTGTTTCACTTTTAAAGTTTGTTAAATTAATTTTAAGCTTTTTCAAATTAAAGATTTTAGAAAATATTGTAAGACTTTAGGATATTTTGTAATAAATAAATATTACTCTTTAATAAAATAGCCATTCTCATATTTAGTTGTAATACAACACAAATACTCACTAGAAATCTAATTGGTAAAATTCTTGCCTGCAATGGCAATGTATTGAAAACAAGTATTTTATGCTACAACAATATATTTATATTAAAGAAGTATATAGATAATTATATATTATAGAAGCATATAGATCAGTGGCATTACTAAGTAAGCTACTGTTTATGCTTATTTCAAACATTCATTCATTATCTTTTGGTCTTTTTGTCCACATGATGTCCACACGCTGAAAATATTTATACTGCAAAAATTAAATAAAATATAGTAACAGTTGAGTCTGCCAGAAAATTTACACGGTACATATATTTAAAAGACTTGTTATTGAGAAATGCTAAATCAAAACTTCAGGAGTCTAACTGAGATCTACCAAGGCGCAAAATATTTGAATACGCGATGAGCATAAACTGACTTTTCTCAGGTCTTCCGTATCTCAGGCAATAACAAATTTCTATAGTTTAGGGGCTCTTTCTTTCCCAGTACGTATCTCTCACCCAGACCAATGTTGGAGTTGAATATAATTCACATATACATGTATATGTATACTCATTTTTTTTACATTATAAATGTTTAAACCACAAAAATCAAACAATACCACACACATACACAATATATGCACACAGTATACACACACAAAAACATATATATACAGAGAGAGAGGGAGAGAGAGAGTATCATGTGTTGCTTAATGACAGAGAAACTTACTGAGAAACTCATAGGCAATTTCGTCATTGTGTGAACGTCAGAGTGGACTTACACAAACCTAGATGGCATAGCCTACTACACACCTAGCCTATATGGTATAACTTATTGCTCCTAGGCTATAAACACGTATAGCATGTTAGTATACTAAATACTGGAGGCAACTGTAATACAATGGTTAATTATTTGTGTATCTAAACATACAAAAGGTCCAACAAAAATGGAATATAAAAGATAAACAATTGAACACCTGAAGAGGCCAATTACCATAAATGGAGCTTGCAGGACATGACCTCATTCAGAGTGAGTCAGTGAGTGAGTTTTGAGTGAATGAGATTGTCTAGGACTTGACTGTATATTACTGCAGACTTTATAAACATGGTAAACTTATACTACACTAAATTTATTTAAACATTTTTCTTTCTTAAATAATAGCTTACTGTAATTTATTACTATATAACTTTTTTATTTTTTAAAATTTGACTCTTTTTGTAATAATAGCTTACAACACAAACATATTATACAGCTATATGAAGATATTTTTTATTTATATCCTCACAAATTTTTCTACTTTCAATTTTTTATTTTACCTTTTATACTTAAGATTTTTTCTTAAAAACTAAGACACAAACACACATTAGCCATTAGCATAGGCCTACTGAGAGGATCATCAATATCACTGTCTTCCACCTCCACATCTTACCCCACTGAAGGGTCTTCAGGGGCAATAACATCATGGAGCTATCCTCTCCTATGATAACAAGGTCTGCTTTTGGAATACCTCCTGATGAACTTGTTTGAGGCTCTTTAATAGTTACGTTTTCTCTTTTATAAATAGAAGGAATACACTCTAAAATAACTGTAAAAAGCATACAGTAATAACTAGATAAGCCAGATATAGTCATTTATTATCATCTTCAAAGACTATGTACTATATATAAACATATGTGCTATATTTTTCTATGACTGGCAGCCCAGTAGGTTTGTTTACATCAGCGTCATCATAAACAGGTGAGTAATGCGATATGCTAAGGTGTTACAATGGCTACTTTGTCACTAAGTGATATAAATATTTCAGAACCATGATAATCTTTTTTTTTTTTTGCGGGGGCGGGGACGGTGTCTCACTCTGTCGCCAGGCTGGAAAGCAGTGGTGCGATCTCAGCCTACTGCAACCTCCACCTCTTGGGTTCAAGCGATTCTCCTGCCTCCCAAGTAGCTGGGACTACAGGCACGTGCCACAACGCCCAGCTAATTTTTGTATTTTTAGTAGAGACGGGATTTCACCATGCTGGCCAGGATGGTCTTGATTACTTGACCTCATGATCTGCCCACCTTGGTCTCCCAAAGGGCTGGGATTACAGGCCTGAGCCACTGCGCCTGGCCCCATTATAATCTTAAGGGACCATATTTGTATATGTGGTCCATATATACACACATTTAGCTGTATTCAAGTAAAACAGTGTGAATGTGCTATTTTAAAATATAATTAATCAGATTAACATAGAAGAGAATCTAAATTACATTCAGTACACACTATATTCCATAGTCTGTCTTTTTAAAATTATTTTGTTTAATTCTTAAGAGGGTAGTTTTGCCAGTATTCTATACGTATGCCTTCTGCAGTTCAACAACTATTTCAGAATAAGCAAACATAGGGAGAAACATTTAAATTTCCGAAGATTACACGGCTAATAAGTTTCAGAAGTGAGGTTCAGGCCCAGGCTGACTTCAGAGTCCAGAATCTTTCACCTACTTGGTTCCCTCATATTAAATACAAACATCTTTTGTATTAGGAGGAATGAGAAGCATAACTAGGCTCTACATTTCTGAAACTGGAGAAAGAACTTTCCAAAAAGGATGCTTGATTGGGCTAGAAATAAAACAAGAACAACAACAACAAAACTTTTTAAAGACTAACCACTTTGCCTAGAATGAATCCTTTTAAACTTCACCTGTCATGGTTCAAGCAGAAACTGTGTAGTAAAAATGTCTGTCTTGCAGCTGCAAATATAGGCAGCTGCTCTTTGCATGTTTTACGAAGTTTTTTTTTAAATGCAGATGATTCCATATAAAGGAAAATCTCACTCTGGAGATTTTATAAGAGGGAACACATTACAAAGTGTAATTAAATTAATTCCTCCCCTTCATTTATTTGACAATGTACAAAGATGATGATATATGATTACTTTCTAAAATTTTATATATGTAATTGCTTTTTGATCATAACCCTATATGGTATCTTCAAAACTACCAACTAATCGGCTTCCAAAATAATCTGTAAAAATACAAAAGCCGAATTTTCATTAATGCATAGAGTGACTGTAATCTATAATATCATGTGCCAAATATAGTTAAGACTATAACGCCATGTGCAGCAGCCAAGGAAAAATGTTCAAAGGTATTGCCTAGAGCACAGCAAAGTGTTCATTTTTATACCAAATGTGGAAGTTTATTTTAGCTCGGGTTCAAGTAGTGAATTGCTCTTCTTGCCAAAATTCAGGGAAATATATAATTCCTTTCTATTAACCCAACAATGAGTAACATATTAGTTGAGTGAAAGATACAGCCATGAGTCCACAGACAAATAGTGTAGTCACCCTTGGGGATAAGGAACACGTGGCAGGCATCTTACACAGTCTATTAGAAAAAAGTGAAAAAAAAATCTGTAGGAATACAGCTGCTGCTCTGCAATGAATTGAAAACCTGCGGGTGCAGAAACTTGAAATTTTTACCAATAATAATTGGGATTTTGTACAAAGAAGAGCTATTAGTTCAGTGAGGGAGAAAAGAGAGGTGAAAGTTAATGAATAAGAAGATATTAAGCCTTTATTAGAACACATGTCATCTTTTTAGTCAAGCCTGGATCATATTTCCTATATGGTCTTTGTTGCGAGATACATTACACATGTAATTGTAACTTTATGTTTAGGTTTATATCCATAGCTCTGTACATAATTATGATTCTGGTTTCTGGAAGAAATTACCTTATGAAGTTCAGTTACTCTCAAGTCATTTTCTCTGTTGTTTCTAAAAAATATCATTAAAGAATACCATACTGGGAATATGATACATATAACTAAAGCTATATCTACAATTATCTATCTATCTATCTATCTATCTATCTATCTATCTATAATCTATCTATTTACACTTGACTTCCATAGTAAAAACTTTGGTGTTTACTATATCCATGCAAACAAAAGACTAACATAACTTTCATAGGATTATCAAGCAATTATTTTTTTTCTGACTAGGTATACTGTATTTGTATTGTCCTATATACTCTGCATACCCAGACTAAATAGGTAGGGCAAACATTTATTATGAATGATTTGATGGCAAAACATTGTTGTTCTTCTTGAATATATTACTGTCTCATCAACAGTGTTTGAATGTGTCCAAAATAAATTTACTCCTTTGGAGTTCAAAGATGAATAATGTGGAATTCACTTTATTTTTGTTTGTTTATGTTGCTAAACAGAAACAAAAAATGCTTCATTCTTTATAATGAGACAGAAATACTACAGAACAAGCATGCTACAGTAGCAAGTCTTCTTTTATTTTGACATTCTTGTATATGAGTGCCTTAGAGAACTGGTGGAGATTGAATATGGATTAGGATTATCTCTGAATCTTTTCCAGATACTGAGTCAAGGGCAGGAAGCAGACAGTATGACTACTACAAACTCACCAGTGAACACTTAACTGAAGTAAGAAGAACCTTCCACATAGATGAAAATGAAGGGGTATGATAGTGGTTCCACATGCCAAATTAAATTAATTACAGATTAACTGGTTTTAGACTATTTTAAGGGGTTTTTCCCAAAGTATCTGCTAGTATTTTCTGCATCTTCACAGGCAATGAAAATATTTTTTAAAAACTTATTTTGAAAAACTTGCTCCCATGGTTGTATAGAGTAGAATCAGTATCTCATTTAATTTGTAAAAATACAGTCAAACTAAATTGTGCTGCAATTACACAAATTATGTTTAAATTATCTGAAACTCTTGTGTATACGCTGTATATAACCATAGTTTCTATTACATTATCAATTTAAAGATATTATTTTGAAAAGGGAGCTCATACCATATACTAAAGCCAATGTTAACTCCAAGATTACATTATAACATTAATAAGCCATTTATTTAACCAAGAATTGAACATTTTATATAAAAAGAGTAACAAGTACTATGCTAGTCATAGTGATGTGATGAATAATCATGAGTAACTAACACAAAACCAGAGTGTCAAGTATTAAGTTTAAATAAAAGGAAAAAGAAAGAATGGAATACCCACAAGACTTTGACACATATATAAATAATTTTAACATTGTAATGAGCTGCTATTAAAATGAGAAAATTTACAGGAATACAATTTTTAAACATATTTAAACCAAAACATTTCAATAGTGGAATTAAGCAGACTCAAAATTTCAGAGTGTATGAAAAGATAATGGGTTGCCACTCACCTTTGTGAGGGCTCACATGGCAAACATTTTCTGAAGTGCCTTTTCTTTAGTGTAGTATCTTACAATAAGACCAATATCCATCATAGTTCCTCCCCAGCCTACACTTCTTTCTCTGTCTGTTATTTTGGTTGATGGCATTACCATTTATCCTTCCTGTTCAGCCAAGTACAAAATCTTGTTTGCAATACTGCATTTACCCCTGTTTTTTCCTCTCAATATGAAACTGTTGCCACTTTTTGGATTTTACCAAGACAATGCTGCATCTTGCATCTTGCCTTTCTTCATAATTTTAATTTTCATTACCATAGCAAAAGCCCACTCCCTGCCACTACTACTTTTCCAGATGGTGGTACGGCTTCTTGTATGTCTAATATTTTTCCAACAACCTCAACTATTGCTGGCTCCAAGATGTCTGGTTTTGACCTTCTATTTTTATACCCTATTCTAATGGTATTTAAGACAATTTGTAACTCAGAGTATCCTACACATGCATATAAACATACACACAAATATTTAGCTTAAATCTATATACATATCTAAGAGTTTTCTGGGCAGACTCTATTTTTAATGTCACAGAAATGGCAAATATACACAGATGAAGAAAAGTGTAGCAGAAAGCATTTCCATGTACCTATCCACTCATGTTTCAAGAATAATCAAAATGTTGTCGTTTTCGTTTTGTGTCTTTCCTTTATTGTTCTTTGCTACAGTATTTTAAAGAAAATATGAGATACCATATCATTTTATCTATAAGTTCATTATGCATCTTTAACTAATATAAAACTCTTTTCTAATGGAACCACTATGAAATCCTCACAACTAATTAAGTTAAAATCCTTCTTTAATAGCATATACTATGCTATCCATATTCCATTTCCCTAAATGCTTCCAAAACATATTTATAGTTGGTTTGTGCATATCATGATTAAAGAAATTTCACATACTGCATTCTTTACCAAAGCTCATAAAACTTTTTATTCCATAACAATGTTTCTTTCCTCATATAATTGATATGCTAGATAAAATAAGTCATTTTATCTATGTAATCCCCCATATGGATTTGGCTGATTGTTTCTTTATGATGTTATCTAACTTGTTATTCTATCCCCATATATCGTGGAAACCCATAATTTAAGTGCCAAACAGACAATATACATGAACATGCAGCAGGCATCTCCAAATTTGCATGCTAAAAATAATATGACCTCTTCTCTAAAACATTTTTTTCACTTATCACATATTCTCTATCTCATTTATAAACTTAATCATATATTTAACCAAGAAAAATAAAAATTAAGAATACACTTTGAACATGCCCCTTCTCTCTCTCCCACACTTTATTTGGCTGTCATACTTTGACCTAGCTACTTTAAAAGCTGCCCAATTAAGTCTACCTCCTCTACCTTTAAAATGCTTTCAGAATGATCTAAACTCATCAGTCTCTTACTGCAAAACCCCTTAATAGATTGAATGTACTTTTCCATCATAGCTCCATCATTCAATACTCTTCACATTTTGACCCAAGTTATATTCAAACATTCACTTATATGTTTTCAAAACTGCAAATTTTGGTTCCATTGTTCGCACGGTACCCCCCACCATGACTAAAATGTGGCTCCCTCCCATTCCAAAATGCTCACATTCAACCATGTCTTACAAAAGTCATGATGTTTGCTTTTCCACTACTTAAAATGGATTTCTTTCTCCTCCAAACGTTCATTTAAATATGCACATTTATGGTACTCAATATTTCATACTTTTCTATTATATTATACATTTCTATATATTTATGTTGTGTGTAATTCAGTTATGCATATATACAAGGCAAGGGGCAAATAAACACAGCATAGTAGTGTAAGTTCACTTATGGAGAAAGCACAGAATACTGACAGCATATAAAGAAGACATTTGGACATGCAGATTCCAGGGAGCTTCATGAAAAAAAAAATGACATTTAAACTAAGATCTGAAAGAGTCAAACAAAATGATAATGGAATTGTCTTCCAGATGTAAAGGAAAGAGCTTTGTAAAGGCACCCAATTACTAATACATTATTACAAAAAAAAAAAAAATAGTGAATTTTCCATGGCTGGCCATGACGGTATAGTTGACTCCAGACAATCCCTTTCATCTAAACAACTAAAAAACAGAAATAAAAAATAAATACTGTCACATCTGGTAAACAGGCAGTAGAGAATATTAATCCCTGAGAGAAGGGGGAAAAACTAGATCACCCTGACTTTCTTCCTGGAGACACTTACCAGACACAATACTGAGGGGGAAAATGGCACAGTGGTTTCTATGTGCTATGAAGACACATACGCAACTTTACAGGAGTTAAGATGGCTAAAGTTTATGTCAGATTATTATAGAACAGGAGGCTACATAGAAGGAGCTCCAGACATCAGCATAAGTGTCCCATTGAGTCTGTAGTTGAATACTAAGCTAATCTTAGAGAGGGAAACAACAACTACTGGAGAGTGGTAAACTGGAACGCTACCAGAACTCAGGTTGCTGAGAGATTTCCAAGTTCCATTAAGGCAGAGTACAGTGATTTGTTGAGTAACTGGAATATTCAATACAGACCCCAAAAAACCCAAAACGGTGAAGTAGAACTAAGCTACTTCTAGAGTACTGGCTCCACAAAGTCTAGCCTAAAATACTTTAAAACAGGGCTTAAGCAGATCATCTTAACCCTGAAATGTTTCAATTGTTGCCACAAAGTAATACAATCTGCTTTAAAGGAAAATACCAACGTCTAGAAACTCAACAATATGATAATCACGACGACCAACATATAACAAAAAACAGTAGACTACTGAAAATTCATGGAAATGTGACCCACAAGCAGGAGAAAATATATCCACAGAAATATATATAAATGAAAAATAAAATGGAATTAGCATATATATTCGAGGATTTGAAGGAAAATATAAATCAGGATAAAGGGAAATGGAAACCATTGGGAAAAAATAAAACGGAACTTTAAAGCTATAAGTACAAAATCTAAATTAAATGCTCACTGGCTGTGCTTAACAGAAGAAAAATAGTAAACTTTAGGACATCACAATTAAAATTATCCAAACTGAAACATGGAGAGAAAAAAATAAATGAGCAAAGCATCAGTCATTGACTGTGATAAAACGTCAGCCAGTCCAACATACATGGAGTTAGAGTTCCAGAAGAGAGGGCATAAAATGACTGAAGAAATATATAGTGGAAAATTTCCACATTTTATTAAGCAATACAAACCCACAAATTCAAAGAAACTTAATAATCTCTAATTAGGATACACATAAAGAAATTATAATGAGGTATATCATAACAATATTTCTAAAAATCAAGAATTAAAATCTTGAGAGCAGCTAGAGAAAAAAGTCACTTAATGCACAAAAGAACAAATAAGAACAATGGTGACAGTGCATCAGGAATAATGCAAACAAGAAAAGAATGGAAACAGATTTAAAAACATAAGCATGTAAAAACACATCATGCAAACACTAATCATATGATGGCTGGGAAGTCTCTATTAGTATCAGGACCCAAGTTTATTACAACATGATTAGATATAACGGAGGTCATTTCAAATAATAAGAATCATTTCACAAGAAAGACATAAAAATCCTGTACGTGTATGCCACTACCAGCGCTTCCAAATACCTGAAGAACTGAAAGGAAATCCTGACAGAATTAACAGGAATCAATCAACAATTATAGGTAGAGGCTATACCATTCCACTCTGAGAAAGTAAAACAGGTAGACTAAACTAGGTCAGAATTTAGAAGATGTGAATTAGCCTATTAGCAAACTTTACCTAATAACCATTAATAATACACTACAACCAACAACTACTGAATAGTCTTTTCAAACACACATTAAATGAGGTGCAGCACACCAACATGGCACATGTTGTAACAAACATGCACGTTGTGCACATGTACCTTACAATTTGAAGTATAATGATAAAAAATACACATTAAATATTATCTAAGATACTTAATATTCTGGAACATAATTAAGTCTAAAGTGTAATATGACTAAATCCTCCAGATTATATTATCTAAACCTAAGGAATCACATTCAAAATAGGTAATAAAAATATATCTAAATTGCCAGATACAGAAGTGTTTTTTTAATTGATTTAAATAACACTGGAAAATAAAAATATAAATTTAATCATCCTAATCTCCTTGAAAGACAAAACCCACCAAAACTGACACAAGAATGGTATCAATCAAACATATCACGATTAAAAATATATATATATTTTTAAAATCTTCCCACAAAAAAAAGTTAGCCAAGATGACATAGCCCATAAATTTTGTCAACCATTTAAGAAAAAATAGCATCCAGCTTCTATAAACTTTTTCATAAAATCAACAGAGAGCACTTCCCAATTAAAATCAACAGAGAACACTTCCCAATTAATTTTATAAAAATATCATTATCTTTATACCAAATGCAGAAAAATATATTACCAGAAAACAATACCATCACTAATATAGACACAGAAATCCAAAAGAAAATATAAGAAAAATGGATCTAACAATATATACCACAGACAATATCATGATGAAGCTGGATTTATCCCAAGAATGGAAATCAAACAATGGAAGTTATCACATATATAAAATAAAAGATAAAAACCATATGATCATAAAGATAGATGCCTCCAAAATCTGACAAAATTCAACATCAATTAATAATAAAATAGCAAACTAGGAATATAAGAACATTTCCTCAATCTGATCAAGAATCTCTTTTAAAAGTCTACATTTAACCTCATATTTGATAGTGAAAATTTGCATATTTTCTCCCTGAAATCAGGAACAAGACAAGGATATCTGTTCTCATCACCTCTATTCACAATTTTTCTGGAATCCCTAGGCAGCAGACTAGGCAAGAAAACAAAGAAAAAAGTATAAATCTTGGCAAGAAGTAAAACTAATTCACAAATAATTTGTAAGCAACTCACAGAAATTACATTTTAAAAAACTATAAGAATAAGTAAATATATTTGCAAGGTACTGCTCAACATGCAATAATTAATTGTATTTCTATATCCACAAAGAAAAATACCTTTGCTATAAACACAATACCATTTACAGTAATAAAAACACAAAATATTTAGAAAAAAATTTCACATAATATATAAGGAACCTAAACACATAAAAGTAGAAGGCTGTGGAGAAATAGGGACGCTTTTACACTGTTGGTGGGACTGTAAATTAGTTCAACCGTTGTGGAAAATAGTGTGGCAATTCCTAAAGGATCTAGAACTAGAAACACCATTTGATCCAGCAATCCCATTACGGGCTATATACCCAAAGGATTATAAATCATTCTACTATAAAGAAACAGGCACATGTATGTTTATTGAAACATTATTTACAATAGCAAAGACTTGGAACCAACTCAAATGCCCCATCAATGATAGACAGGATAAAGAAAATGTGGCACATATACACCATGTAATACTATGCAGCCATAAAAAATAATGAGATCATGTCCTTTGTAAGGACATGGATGAAGCTGGAAGCCATCATTTTCAGCAAACTAACACAGGAACAAAACCAAACACCACACGTGCTCACTGATAAGTGGGAGTTGAAAAATGAGAACACATGGGCACAGGGAGGGAAACAGCACACACCGGGCCCTGTCGGGGGGTGGGGGGCAAGGGGAGGGAGAGCATTAGGATAAATACCTAATGCATGCAGGGCTTAAAACCTAGATGATGGGTTGATACGTGCAGCAAACCACCAAGGCACATGTATACCTATGTAACAAACCTGCACATTCTGCACATGTATCCCAGAACTTAAGGTAAAATAAAAAATCAAAAAGTAGACAAAGTTCCTGAAGTTAAAAGAGATCTAAATAAATTGAGAAATATTCCATGACCTTGAATTGGAAAAATCTATATTACTAATATATCAATTATCTCCAAGTTGACCTATAGATTCAATGTAATTCTCCAAAAATGAACTGCAGACTTTTTTTGAGAAAATTGCCAAGAAGGTTTTAAATTTATATGGAAAAGGAAGACCTCAAATAGCCAAAATATTTTTCCAATAAAGAACAAAGACAGTGTGCATTACCTTATTTCAAGATTTTATACAAACTTACAGATATCCAGACAATTTAGTGCTGGAATAATGATAGAAATACAGATTCATGGAACATAACAGAGTCCAGAAATAGAACCACATATATACAGTATTTTTATTTGAACTAAGGTCCTATAATCATTAAATTTGAAAAGGGACATTAGTAATCGTCATTGAAAGAGCTGGATATTCTTTTGGAAATACACTGTGGCTTATGCATGCCTTACCAGCAAAATAAATAATTTTAGTAAATATGGTATGAGATATACAACTTTAGACTGACACTATTTCTACTGTAAGAATAATTCCCAGATTATAATTATTTTCTAATTCTGTTAATTTCCTAATTCTCCTTCAGGTCAACTTCTCTGCAAAGATTTGAACATCAACTGAATATACTGGGAAATCTAAGGGAAATTCTCAGAACTATTAATAACTATGACAACTTAAGTACTTATGAATACTTCTTACTGCAGTTCCTAAAAAAGCGTCTCTCAAAAAAAGCTTCAGGCCTAGGATTCTTATCTACTTTTGAAGATTCTAAAGGAAAATTTAAAATGAAGATGTCTGTTCTTAAGGTTTTTGGTGTTGAACACTGTATATCTGCACACTTTAGGTTTATTTTAAAATCTCCACTTTAACAGTATCTTCTTCTCCCTACAAGGACAAATAAATTTTTCCAGAGAGGCTGTTTGATGACAAAGCAGTCAAAGAGACGTGCCCCTACCTGTGAAGTATCTTCCAGTAGAAACTATCACCAGTTATTTGCATTTTTGCTTAGGCATGCTGTGTATCCCTGCTTGTTCCACAGTATTAAAGTTAGAGAAAGCCTTCATTTATGAGGTCAAAATAATTAAGTACACATCCTCTGTGATGATTAATTTTATGTGTTAACTTGACTGAACACAGGCTGCCCAGATATCTGATCAAACATAATTTCTGAGTATGTTTATACAGTTGTTTCTTAAAAAGATTAGCATTTGAATTGGTGTGCTGAGTAAATAAAGCACATGGCCCTTCCCAATGTGGCTGAACAGCATAGGATACATTGAGAGCCTGAATAGGAGAAAATGGGAGGAAGGTAGGATTGGCACTCTCTCTGCCTCAATGCCTGAGCTGGAACATCCATCTTATCCTGCCCTCAGTGCCCCCGGTTCTCAGGTCTTCAGATTCAGACTGGAATCACAGCACTGGCTTTTCACTTTATATATATCCTATATGTTATTCATCCTATTATTATCCTATATATTATATAGAGAATGAAAAATTATCCTAATTTAAATATCCTATATAAATAGGGTATTTTATAAACATATCAACAGATATATATATTCAATAAATTTATATATATACACACCAGTGCATATGCACACACATCAAAAACATGTACGCTTTTATATTACTATATATTATATATAGTATATAATATGTATGTTTTTGATGTATGTGTGCATATGCGCTAGTGTGTATATATATAAATTTATTAAATATATATCTGTTGATACTTATTAGTGTATGTATATATACATATATATACAGTGTATGTATACTGAGGCTGCAGTGAGTCATGAGTATACCACGGCATGTATGTATACTGTGGCTGCATTATTAGTGTATATATATATTAGTGTATGTATATTGAGGCTACAGTGAGTCATGAGTATACCACGGCACTCCAGCCTAGGGGACAGGGCAAGACCCTGTCTCAAAAAATAAAAAATTAAATGAAATCAGAGTGAAGTGACTGAGTCACTCCAAAATTTTCCTTCTACTCTAAATTTCAACTGATTCTAGCCCCTTCTTTCAACATTCAACAAATAAATTGTCTTTTTTTTAGCATGTTGTAGTAATTCTCATTCAGTGACACATCTCTGAATATTTACATTTTTGTTGAAATGCCGGGTACGGACTAAGAACTGCGGAGGCAGAGTTCCATGTGCTGAAGTAGAAGGCAGCGGTACCAGCTCCGGTGTGGGACAGGGCGCGAGATTTCAGGAAGTCCACTAGTGCTGGCTTAGAAGGCAAAGGGTATGAGTTCCGGAGTAGAAGGCAAAGGGTATCAGTTCCGGAGTAGAAGGCAGCCGTATGAGTTCCGGAGTGGGACAGGGCGCGAGATTTCAGGAAGTCCACTGGTGCTGGAGTAGAAGGCAGCGGTCTGAGTTCCGGAGTAGAAGGCAGCGGTCTGAGTTCCGGAGTAGAAGGCAGCGGTATGAGTTCCGGAGTGGGACAGGGCGCGAGATTTCAGCAAGTCCACTGGTACTGGAGTAGTTCCACATTGCCTTTATTTTGTTTAACCTGTCTTTGTGTCAAAATGATAGTTCATGTTCCTCATGTTAAAACATGCAGTTTGAGTACCATGTTTTTGGTGTTATCCAAGGAAAATTTAAAACCCGTAGCATGAATAATGTATGTTTTTCACTTGAAATCTTGCGAAGGTATTAAATGTATTGCTGTTAAGAAACTGTGAATTTAAGTTTTTTTTAAAGCTGTTCTTTAATACGTTAAATGGCTCTGAGTAAAGGAAAAACACACACACACATACACGTATTTTATATAATCCATATATATATATATATACATATATATATCCTGTAAGTATTTTATATAATCACATATACACACACACATACACATATATATTCTATTGAGTATATATTGGTTCTGTTTCTCTGGAAAATGCTGCCTAGTACACCCAAGTAATTTCAGTCCCTATAGATTATTTAAGTATCACTGTAGAAGACCTAAACATATGATCAGAAGAATCAGATCAAAATTCATGTCAGAAAGACAATTTTCCCTCTATAACATTTTATAATCCATGAAAAAACAAAACAAAACAAAAAACCCTGGATATAAAATAAAAACTAAGGCTGTGATAACACCAATGGAAATAGTGTATTTTCTTAAAGTGTATTTGTATGAACTATAATATTTTAAAATATTTTACTCAGTAACCAATATTATAAGTATTTTATATAATCACATATTCTAAAATCTTACCTTTTAAAATTTTTACAATGGCATATTGTGATAGAAATTATTAAATTCATATTCTCACTTTAGCCATTGTTACTTGTAAAAACTGTCAAAAAACGTGTTTCTCTGTTGCAAAAGTTTCCAGGCAGAACTGCTATTTAAAGACATTGCCATTTTTGCTGTCTATGTGCCAGCTCTTCTGTGAAGGCTTCCTGGCCTTTCTTCTTCCTTCGGGCAAATTAAATCACAATCGTCAATATTTTACCAAGCTCCTTAAGTACAGTAGTATTGTTAAATCTATCACACTCTACCTGAGTTACTATCTTCCCTATAAGACTATTAAATCCATGGATTATAAATAATCATCTTATTTATTTATCGTTTTGTACTCAGTGTCCTGAATTGTACCATGCATACTGGGTATTCTAAATCTCTTCTGAATACATCTTTAATTTATACCTTCTCTTGTGTTGGTTATACTATACTATCCATAGCTTCCTTTTGCAATAATCCTCTTACCCACTTCTTTTTGGCTTCATTTTATTGTTTGTAACATACAGATTTATAGACTACTTAAAAATTTTGCAGAACAGCAAGGAACTAAAGGTTTTATTATATAAAAAGTATGCCTATTTATCTGTAATGTTTTGATCAACATTTAATTTGTTATAAGACATATTGCATACTTTGATGGACAAAAGAATTTTTATGAAGATTGTTATCATCATTGTGGTGACACATAAATTGCAGTAAGTTGTTCTTGGTTTATACTCAATTTCAAATTAGCTATTCAATTTTAAAACATCTAAGTAATGCTCAAGACGGTGAAGGACATTATGCATAATCAAAAGCAAGTAAGCACAATTTAAAATATTTTTGTTTTTGTTGTTTTTCTTGTTATAGTGAATGAATCTATTATAAAAATAATTTGTAATTCATATTAGCATGGGCTTCAAAACCCTTCACTCTATTGTTGTTTCATTATTGTCAGAGGTTTTCTTGTTTTTAAATGGTAAGAAACCATGAAAAATTTGGTGGAGTAATCAAAAAAATAAAATGCTTTGATGTAGCAACCTGCAGTGGATATCAACTTGAATCTCTATTAGGGATTCATTTTAGTATAAAGTAATATTGCTTGAAGAATATTCATATCAGTGCCAGTAACATTTTTAAATTCTTCATGATCATTATTTCTTTCAGCGTCCTATATTAATTTGCTTTTCACAACACGGCGACCCCTGACATTTCAAAGATCAGTTGTACTAGTGTTGACATGCTTTTATGCCTTTGTTTCTCTACATTTTCCTATATTCCATTTCTTAAGCATTTCATTAAACAAGATGCATCTAGCAAGACTAGATTTCCTAGTCTTGCTTTGTCTGTAGTTAAATCTATGAATGTAAGTGGAAGAAAGAAGAAATAAATGAAGGAAGATGTGTCAGATATTTGGGAACAGAGGTGTTTGACTTAAAGTGGTGAGGATTTCTCTTGTATTTCAAGGGGAATTCAAAGATGTCAAAAGAATGGAAATATTAACTTTAAGAAAAAAAAAGACAGACATTTCGATTGAATGAAATGTGTAGATCGATTTTAGGAAATTGAGACCTTGACATATGTTGATTCTTCTGATCTATGATCACCATGTGTCTCTCCATGTATCTGAATTTCATTGGCTTTCTCTCAGCAATGATTTTGGTTTGGAGTGTATAATCTTGAACTAATTTGGCAAGGATATTATCTTTTAAGTTATTTTGAATGCCATTTTATCATTTTGTTTTGTAATTTGAAATGTTGATTTTTTTTTTTTTCTTTTTGAGATGGAGTCTTGCTCTGTCTCCCTGGAGTGCAGTGGCACAATCTTGGCTCACTGCAATCTCCACCTCCTGGGTTCAAGCAATTTTCTGGTCTCAGCCTCCTGAGTAGCAGGGATTACAGGCATGCACCACCACACCTGGCTAATTTTTTATATTTTTAGTGGAGATGGGGTTTCACCATGTTAGCCAGGATGGTCTCAATTTCCTGACCTCATGATCCGCCCACCTCGGCCTCCCAAAGTGCTGGGATTACAGGTGTGAGTCACCGTGCCCAGCCAAAAGGTTGATTTTTAATTGTATGATGTTGGTACATAATACACAATTTAACTTGGGATTTTTTAAAAGATGAAAGGTATGAAAATAGACAAAAAACGTTGTGAAACAAATAACACATTGAGTTTTCTACTAACTAATTTCAGGATTGACAGCAATGCCAATATGATCACAATTCTTATTTCCCCTGAATTGCAAGAATATGAGTAGAAAGTTATCTTAAAAAACAAATAAATACAAATAACTGCTGGAAAAAAAAAAAAAAAACTTCCTAAAAAAAAAATGAGCAAAAAGGAGAAAAGGCCTACAAGACACCAAACATATTTTAAATAATGCGTTTTTGGTGCATGAAGAGATGGAAAAACCAAGGCGCCAAAATAGAAAAACAGCATAGTAGAACAGTGAGGGAAAAAAATACTTAAATAAAAAGATACAATATTAAAAAGATAAAATTGGGTGAATTCATCATATTGTGCATCAGGGTAAATTCCAAAAGGACCAGACTGAAATGTGAAAGTATAAAACTATACACAGAGGAAAATCTGGTCAACTTTTCTACAAGTGGGAGAGGGAAAACCTTTTAAAACTGTAACTCAAAATCCAGACGCAATGAGAAATTAGGTACATTTGATTACATTAAAAATTCACAGGGCAAAGGACACCACAAGTAAACAGTCAAGCTAAAACAAATCAAAACTGAAGAATCAGAGTTAATATGTTTAATAAAGAACACCTAAAATAGATAAAATTTTCAATAACCCTATAAAAATAGATGCGTTGACACACACTTCATATAAAATGAAATGAAAATAATAAAGAAACAAAAATACCATTTTCTCACATCTTCCAATGGAAAAAAACCCAAAAGCCTAACCACATAGTCTGCTAAGCAGGGGTTGGCTAAATAGGAACCTTCACACCTTTGCAGTGAGACAAAAAAATGTTAAAATCCCGATGAACAGTAACTTGGTATGTGTGACCAAATAACTTAATCATTACCCTTCGACCAAGCAGTATAACTTCTTTGAATATAACAAAAATGGACAACGGCAAAAATATTTTTATAAAGATGTATGACCAGGGCTAATAATTGTGACATTCTATAAGATAGAGGGAGATCCCTCGAAATCTAATAACAACCAAAATTGCTGTCTACAAAAATACAGTTTAATAAAATACGCTACACCTACAAAAATCATAGCTCTGAAAATGAATGAATGAGGAATACTTTACATTTAATTATGGTTTTTATAACCATGTACTATAAGGGAAAAAATAAAAGTGCATATAATACAGATGTGTGTTAATATACAACTTTATTATATGCACTTTGCTTTTTGACCCAGAAACCACAAAAAACATTTTACATAATTACAATAAAAATAATGGTCAAGGCTGGGCGCAGTGGCTCACGCCTGTAATCCCAGCACTTTGGGAGGCCTAGGCGGGCGGATCACGAGGTCAGGAGATCAAGACCATCCTGGCTAACATGGTGAAACCCCGTCTCTTTCAAAAATACAAAAAAATTAGCCAGGCCTGGTGGCGGACGCCTGTAGTCCCAGCTACTCCGGAGTCTGAGGCAGGAGAATGGCGTGAACCCAGAAGGCGGAGCTTGCAGTGAGCCGAGATTGCGCCACTGCACTCCAGCCTGGACGACAGGGTGAGACTCTATCTCAAAAAAAAAAAAAAAAAAACATAAAAAAAAACGGTCAAATAATTTAAAAAGTGAAGTTAAACATATATTTGTAGTTATTAAATATGCACATGTGCACAAACATAAACTATCCAAGTGCCTTTCAGTCACAGTAATTTGACTGTATTTTTACAGCAAGATATACTCTATGGACAGGAAAAACTACCCAAAAAAGTCACAAATGTTTATAGTATTCATATTAGTTGTTTTCGCTATTGCTAACTGAGAATGCTTTATGTGCATCATGGAATAAAGCAAATGTTACTTTAATTATTCCCAGTGTTATAAACCAGAAGAAAGGAGATCAAGATGTAACATGACCGATTATGCAAAAATCCCTTAAAGGCTGAATTTGAATTAAAACACTCAGATGAACTTTCTACTTATTTCATCCATTTATCTCTATCTATCATCTTTCATGTATCTATTATTTTTCTGGCTCTGCTTTCTAAAATGTCTGGAAGCAAAGATCAATACAGTACTAATGAGCATACCTTGAACCCAATTTATGGTGTTCAGATACAATTTCCCACTAAAAGTAATCAGTTAATCAGTTCACTTCAGACAAATGCCTGATTCCTGGTCCAGGGCAGTAGATATACAGCCTAGGCCTGGGACACCTTGTCATGCCAGATAGTGTGGAGGCTCTCCAAAAGACTACCAGAGCAGTGTCAAAAGAACTTTGCTAAATTTAAGAGCCTTCCATGAGTAAAGGAGGAGAAAATTTGAGCACGAATGAGACCATCTTGAGTGGAATGAAATCTATCAAATATGCTCTCATATCTAACTGTCAATAATTATGTTTATTAAAACTACTAATTACTAATAAAGGTGTGAGGAATGCAAAACTTTATTTTAGAATATAGTAATTGATAGGAAAAATCCAACATTTATTCTGCCTTTCTGGTATCACTGGTAACCATATCATTGATAAGAGGATTTTTTATAAAAATATCTGCTAATAAATGAGAAAAGAATTGTGGCATTAAAACAGAACCATTTCCAACTGCCAGTGAATTAATGGATCTAGCAAAGATCATCAATAGCTGCTAACATCATTAAAGGAGACACCAGACAACAAATATGTGCCTCCTGATAGAAGAACAATCTAAGGAAATAAGGAGAAGTTTGTTGTTTCATCATATCAAGTTTGTTTACACGTACCTGTAGCAACTTTACAAAATTTCTAGCGAAAAACTTGAAAACCATTTTTACAAAAGTGTTATACGTTTTGAAATTATGAAGTGTTATGTCTTCTAATTTTATCATGATAGAAAAATCAAGGTTACAAAAATGTACAATGCTGGGAAGGTATGTATTGTTTAGGATACTACTGCTTCCTGAATGGAGAGTCTTTGCCTCCTGGACCATAGATAAATAGCCCATTTTTAAAATATAGAGTCCTTCACAGCAGGGTACATGTTAAATCAGGGTTAATTTAAGAAATTACCTTTTCTCTGTTGTTTCTGCACACTGTAAGCCTTCTTAGAGTAACTGCTACACTCTGGCCTCATAGCAATGTTCAGAGATTTTTATCAATGAATTAATTTGACTCCTCAAATTTCACTAGTGTTCATTTTTGAAAAGTAGCATGCAGATTCAGGAATTGTAACATATTAAATTGTTGAAAAATAAAGTGATTTTCCAGGACTTTCTTCATGGTGGTCTGAACAAAAGTGACAGAAGAGAAAACCAAAGAATAAGCTCTTCATGAGCACTTCTGAATAAAATAACAGCTGTAAATCAGGGTATGAGATTCTGGACCCTGGTGGTCCTACTAAGAGAAATAGCTGATGAGGCTTAGACTGGAGAAATGGCAATCTCAGATGATTTTTAAGATTTATATTTATTTCATATTTTATAATATACTTCATTTGTTAGCATCGGTAGGATGATTTATTAAAGCCCAAAAGGAAAAGATTATCATTATTTCTGCTAATGGTTTTATTTTCACCAAGAATTATTTATTGAAGGTATGGCTTACAGGAAGTGTTTGCTCTGCCCAGAGACCCTGATGTGCATTTTCAGATGCTCTAGCCAACATTACCAAAATAGAAATGTTTAGCTTCAATGCCTAGAAGGATGCAATTATTTGTCTTTATATCCCACCAAACTGTGTTTAAATTTCCAGTGTCACTTATTTTTCAAGCTGTCTTGTTCCTTATACTTATTACTCTATGGTGTATACAATTAATACAAAGCAATAACATGATACCAATTGTAATGACTTAAAAATGGATCTTAATTTTATTTTAATCACTTTCTAAAGAGTAACCTGAAAACTTATTCTAGCCATAAAAAATACTCTTGAAACAGAAACTCTGGATAAATCTTAGAACCCACCATGACAATTTGATGTCCTAAATTCTTGGAGACACCATCATCATTAGTGAGCAAATTATACAATTGTTCATGATGAATGTTTTCTTATCATAGAAATTACCAGAATATTTCCAACAAGGCAAATATGTGTAAGACGTGAACTTGTGAATATTTTAGATTTATTTTTAATAAAGGAGTAAATTTTAATAATTAAGGAATTGAGTTTAATAAATAATGGTATTAAGTATTTTTCACACATAGAACTATTCATACATTGATGTTTAAAATATTTTCACATAAGTATGTGTATGTACATATGCATAGCCATTTTTATATATTTATTTTATATACTTCTGCACACATATTTTCAAACAATTTAATCTTCCCCTTAGAATGTAAAAATTCCAAAAATGTGAATTAAAAAACTACCTGAATATTTATCCTACATCACATGTGAACAGACAGAAAGCGAGATAAAATATCTATAGACTGTTACAATTAGATGTTTTTCCTGGTTAGTTTGTATATTAATTTTCTCCTTGTATTCTATAAAGAAAACAAAATGCATCAAGGTTGTTTGTGAAAAGTCGTGCTTAATCTTCAGAAACAGATGCCAAGAACTAGAGACATTAACACATCTGTATTCATTTTCTGAAGATTTCAAACTAAATTACCACAAACCTGATGGCTTAAAACAACAAAAATGTATTTTCTCACAGCTCTTCAGGCTGGAAGTCCAAATTTTAGCAGGGACACATTCCCTCTGAAGCTTTAGGGGTGAATCTGTTCTTTGCCTCTTACAGCTTCTGGTGGCCTTCGCCAAGCCTTGATTTGTGGCTGCCTCACTCCAGCTCTGTCTCTGTAGTTCCACTGCCTCCTTCACTTCTGTCTGTCTCAAATCCCCCTCTGCCTTTTTCTTATAAAGACACTTGTCTGAATTTAGAGCCCACCCAGAGAATCCGGGATTCTCTCTACATATCAAGATGTTAAATTACATAAGCGAAGATCCTTTTTCAAAGTAAGAAAACTTTTATTCACAGGTTCAGGGAATCCAGATGTGGCCATATCTTCTGGGGTGACCACCATTCACCTGACTGCATTATATAACTATTATTTATCATTAAAATACCATAACCTGAACAAAATGATGAATATGTATGACAAAAAATTACTTCAATGACTACATTAAAGGGTTATTTTACCTTACCTTACCTAAGTTGGCTTCCACAGTGTCAAAGAAAGTGTCAGTCGTATATTGAAGCAAAAAATATATATATCTATTTTGGTATCAGAATGTTTAGCTATAAAACTCAGTTTTAATTATTAAGTCTATTTTTCAAATCAAAATACACTAATTATTTATTATAAATATGTCACTGCTAAAATCAGTTACCTGTTAGAGCATAATGGAGGTATATATGGGTCGCTGTCTGTTTACAATATTGCTGGAGATGTGAGAGGATGGCAATAATGTTAAAAAAAGATGCATCCCTTATATTCATGTAGTTCACAATATGGAGAGGGAAATACCAGTCAACTCTTCCAGTTATCATTGATTCCTACTGTGTAGTAGGCAAATAAATACACTAGAGATGTAGCTTAAGATTGGGGAACTACGACTACTGTAATCATCTTCAATTTACAGATAATGAAAATGATGTGGAGAAACGACAGGTCAAACACATCTATCTGTCTCTGAAACCCCTGGCTTTGTCTTGTTTTTACTATCACACCAAGGTTTAAAAAGTACTGCAATGCTGGTTTGCAGAATGAACTGGAGAGATTGGAACGTCTGGGGCAGATCAAGGCATACTAGTAAGGACGTTTTTCTTCCACCTTCAGCCTTACAATCAGTGAAGACATCTGTGCTTGCTCACACTTAGGGAATGTGAACTGCAGCTGTTCCCAAGATAAGGAACTAGCACAAGCCAGAAATTGCTTTTTGATATGCCCTGATCAGAGCTTGGAAATAGGACAAAAGGTAGGACAAAAGACATGAGTTTCTCTGTTCCTCAGATATAAATGCTAGAGGAGATGGTAATAAGCTGGTATCTGGGGTGAACTGAGTCTAATGAAACACCGTTACAAAGGTTCTCCCCAAGTCCATCAACACAAATCCAGTGTCACCTTCCTGCTAATATCCTACACTCATTATGGAAAGGACAAAAGTCATACAAGGAACACAAAGAAGAATCACAACACAGAAAAAAAAAATGAAGTGACGACTGCTTTCAAAAGATATCCTCTGGATTTGGAAGCAACTAAAAAAAAATCACTCTTACACTTTCAACATTTTTTTTAATGGAGTTTCGCTCTTCTTGCCTAGGCTTGAGTGCAATGGCACGATCTCGGCTCACTGCAACCTCTGCCTCCTCGGTTCAAGCGATTCTCCTGTCTTAGCCTCCCAAGTAACTGGGATTACAGGCATCCACCACCATGCCCAGCTAGTTTTGTATTTTTAGTAGAGACAGGGTTTCTCCATGTTGGTCACCTCAGGTGATCCGCCTGCCTCAGCCTCCCAAAGTGCTGGGATTACAGGCGTGAGCCACAGCACCCGGCCAACATTTTTTATAAATCATATTGAATGCTACACCCGGCCAACATTTTTTATAAATCATATTGAAGTCTCTCACCTGATTTAGAATACTTTATAGGAACATGTTTAAGTATCAATTATTTTTAAGTGTGCTGTATTGTGAAATGCCACAATATGTAAATACATACTTCTTGGAAAAGTTCTAATTTGTAAATAATTTCTTTTAAGTAACAGAACTTTGTATGATATTCTGACATAAGCAGTCATATTTTAGTATAATAATGGCAGTGTATTTTTCTAATTTTTAATTTTGACAATATCGGCACCATGTGTTAAACACATTTTATAATATGTTCAAACAAACTTTATTAATTGTGGCTGGGCGCAGTGGCTCACACCTGTAATCCCAGCACTTTGGGAGTCTGAGGTGGGTGGATCCTTGAGGCCAGGAGTCCCTGAACAGCCTGGCCAACATGGTGAAACCTGCCTCTACTAAAAATTGTAACCAGAAACCAAGCAACTCTAAGTCATAAAGTGGCACTCGCCAGTATTAACTCTTGGCAGTAATAACAATTCTTAAAAATTATAGCTTTTTTGTCCTTAAACCAAAAAAAAAAAATCAATTATTTACTATTAACATTCAAAATTTCTTTTGAGGAACAGTTGTTTAACTTTCCCTTTGCTTTGCATGGTGTCTGCAACCGGAAGGATTTCATTGCATGTCGTCTTTTGTAGAAAGAGAATTAGAAAGAGATAAAATGGGCCGGGCTCATGCTTGTAATCCTAGCACTTTGAGGGACTGAGGCGGGCAGACTGTCTGAGCTCAGGAGTTCGAGACCAGCCTGGGCAGAACGGTGAAACCCCATCTCTACTAAAAATAAAAAAAAAAACAAAAAACAGGCGTGGTGGCCTGCACCTATAATCCCAGCTACTCCAGAGGCTAAGGCAGGAGAATTGCTTGAACCCAGGAGGTGGAGGTTGCAGTGAGTGGAGATCGCACCACTGCACTCCAGCATGAGTGACAGAATGAGACTCCGTCTCCAAAAAAAAAAAAAAGAGATAAATTGAGTAGAGTACAATTTAGCATGTGGGTATCCCATATTTAGATAAATCCATCAGAAAGATTTTTCAATGCTGTTATCATTTGTGGTGTTCTATAGTGTTGCTCACCAGTGTTTCTGGTTGTTTTCCCTTCTGGATACATGGCTGAATCGTATTCCCCTTCACCCTTAAAGTTAGTTATGGCTATATGACTTCCTCTAGCTATTTACATGCAAATGGTAGCAAACTGTATCAGAAGAAAATGGTAAAGAATAGTGAGGAGTCTCCATTTCCTTTATTTTCCTTCACCAGAGTGACCCCTAATGTTGCAGATAAGTGTCTGTTCAAATAGTCTGGGTCCAGATGTAAAGAAAGAGAAAGGCCCCAGGTAACCCATGATGGATATATAAACAGAGCGATAAATAAACAATTCTTGTAAGTCACTAAGCCTTCAAAATTGTTTGTAACTGCAGGATAACATGGTCCATCACACCAGAAATTGGTAACTAGAAGTCAAATGATGTCATAACAATTTTTTTTAAATACATGGGACACTGACTTAGGATCTGTGGACTTTAAGGCAAGGAAACTCCTAGGAAGGGCTGGGAACATGGAATCCATGACACATGTTCTGAACTATTAGGTACAATTGCCACCTGTAATAACTTGGAAGAAAAATGTATATACTTAATGAACTTGGAGTCCCAGTGGAAAAGGTTGAAAAAAGCACAGGTTGGTTCCTAGGAGTTGAATTTGGCAAACTGTCACAAGAAACAGATCAGATCAGAAAACAGTGAGTTAGGACACGGAAATAGTGGAGATAGTGAGAGTACAAGCATTCCAAGGACTGTCATGGTTAGAAGATGCAACCGCTAATCAAGGCCAACGGCATATAAAACTGAGAAGAGCTTCGAGTGACAAGAACAATTGAACTCAGACTTGAAGCAGGGATAAAATAAATGCTAAGACTGTCACATTCACTGTTAAGTAACTTCAGTTCTATCGAGGTGTTTCAGAGCAAAAACTCGAATAATATTATTTGGCACCTACCGAATCCTTTCTACTGAGCAATATGCCACAAGATAAAAGGGACTTAACTTGTGGCTCTCTCACTAAAGGCACAAAAATGAAATACAACTGGCAAGGTATGGTGGCTCATGCTTGTAGTCCCAGCATTTTGGGAGGCCAGAGTGGAGGACTGATTGAGTTCAGAAGTTTTTTTTTTTTTTTTTTTGAGATGGAGTCTCACTCTGTAGCCCAGACTGGAGTGCAGTGGCGCAATCTTGGCTCACTGCAAACTCCGCCTCCCTGGTTCACACCATTCTCCTGCCTCAGCCTCCAGAGTAGCTGGGACTACAGGTGCCCGGCACCACGCCCAGCTAATTTTTTTTTTTTTTTTTGTATTTTTAGTAGAGACGGGGTTTCACCGTGTTAGCCAGGATTGGTCTTGATCTCCTGACCTCGTGATCTGCCCGCCTCGGCCTCCCAAAGTGCTGGGATTACAGGCGTGAGCCGCCGCGCCCAGCGAGTTCAGAAGTTTTAAACCAGTCTGGATAACATAGTGAGACCATGTCTGTACAAAAAAATAAAAATAAAAAAATAGCCAGGTGTGGTGGCACGTGGCTGTAGCTCCAGCTGCTGAGGAGGCTGAGGTGGGAGGATCCCTTGAGCCCAGGAGCTTGAGACTGCAGCGAGTTGTGATCACTGCACCACCGCATTCCAGTCTGGGAAACAGAGTGAGACCATAACTCAGGAAAAAAAAAAAAAAAGGCTGCAATATAACCATAATTCAACTGGAAGTAAGTGAAATGAAAAATTAAAAAACAAAAAATATGGTAAATCTAAAGACTATATCTCATTTTCTATTAGCACATTAAAAAGTTTTAATGAAAATGATAGACAGTTTTAGGACACTTTATTTTGTAAAAGAAAGCATTATCCAGGACTAAAGTGTCTGTAGATATTCAGAGTTTAATGGACCATTAGGCTCTTTAACTCCTATAGACAAAAACCAATCCTACAAAGCCACCCAGAACCCATGAAGGCCTACACTCCTGGTCTCCACTGTCTTCTTCTGAGGTAGTTAAGAAGCAAATAGAAGAGCAGTGCTGGCCAGGCACAGTGGCTCATGCCTGTAGACCCAGCACTTTGGGAGGCCGAGGTGCGCAGATCACGAGGTCAGGAGTTCAAGACCAGCCTAACCAACATGGTGAAACCCTGTCTTTACTAAAGATACAAAAAAAATTAGCCAGGCATGGTGGCGTGCACTTGTAATCCCAGCTACTCAGGAGGCTGACGCAGGAGAATCTCCTGGACCCGGGAGGCGGAGGTTGCAGTGAGCCAAGATTGCACCATTGCACTCCAGCCTGGGTGACAGAGCGAGACATCATCTCAGGGGAAAAAAAAAAAAAAAAAGAGAGGAAGTGCCACCCAAAGTGTGAAGATAAGGGCCACAGAGACCAGGGCTAGGGAGAAATTCAAAGGAACCAGAAATGAGGTCTGATCAAGGAATATACTGCACCATTAAGATTTGGAATATCCACAACCATCTACCCAGTGTTACTTCAGCATCAATATGTACCAGTGAGATCTCAACTTTCTCCCCTTTCTGATGGATTGTTTTCTCTATGGGTATCCTGTTCCTATTCCTCCAGTGAAAGTTGGTTGGGTAAGGGATGGGGATGTGGGTAAGTTAATACCTTTTTAATTTCATGAGTTTCCAGATCAGGGTCGAGGCAGCAACAACTGTGCATTATGCACTGATGATGAAAATACTGCACATCATTCTGGTATCTTGCACTTTGAGAATAATTCTATGAGATCTTTTTTGGATTGACTCCATCATGGAGGGTGAGTGCCTTTTGTGGGCAAAAAGGACAGTGGATTGAATATGTGATGACTAATTAATACCACAGTTGTTGAACTGGTCAGTGCAATTTGCCATATATTTACAGGTCTTTTCCCATTTGGTACTCCTCTGCCTCCTTGAAATCAGATATGGGCATGTGACTTACAGTGGCTAATGAATTAGGAGTGGACGTGAACTGTGTCAGTTTGTGGCAGAAGCTTTAAAAGACAGAACACGATCAGCCCATGTGCTCATTCCCTTTGCCACAGAACATGTCAATATCCCAGATATGGCTGCTACTTCCGAGTGTTAGTGTAAACTCCATGTTGAGTAGACTAGTGAGGTATGTGTAGAGAGACAAGTCAAGGAGTTTGGAGATTGTTGCCACAGCATATTCTAATCAATTCTGAATGTTTTCTTCATTGTTAGTATTATCATTGTATCTTACTATTTGTTTGTACTGTAGCTTACTGTTACTAAAATGATTGCATAATAAATTAAAGCAATGGAATGTTGTATAAAAATTGAAATAATCCAAAGTCACATACAAAAAGATAGATGGATCTTAAAATATAATTTGAGCAAAGAAAATAACTGTCATAATATAGGTAAAATGAATTGATTTATATTATAAAAACACGTATGATTATATTGTTTAAGGATCTATGTATAAGTGATAAATGTTATCAAGAAAATGATTCTCAGAAGATAGAAAAGTGGTTATGTCTAACGGTTTTACCCTGGAAGTGGCACACAAAGGATTCTAGAGTGCTGGGTTCTATTCTTGCCTTGTGCAGTGGTTATGTGGTTATTCATTTTAAAAAATATTCATTATGTTGCAAGTTTAAGCTTATGTTCTTGTCTCTCTTGGTTTTATATTCCATAATAAAAATGTGTTCATAAAAATAAAGTGAGATTTATCTATGCTGATAATACAAAACCAGGATCTATGTTTATTTTGGAGCATGAGGAACTTTACTTTAAAGTCTTTAGTAAGGCTTATGGAATTTAGTAATAAGTTATTTTAATGTGTGTAGGGACTGTGCTACAATCTGAAATTAGAATACTGAGGTGCTTTTTCTCCCATTCAGTATGTACACATACATAATTAAATACAAGCTGTAATAAAAATGCAGATATACTGACAATGGTAGACAGAGCAATCCCTCTTCCCTCAAAGTATTCCCTTTATAATCCCTGGAACCTGTGAATATGTTGAATTATATGAAAAAAAAAAGACTTTACAGATGTGATTAAGTACAGGATCTTGAGATGAAATGGGAAAATTATCCTGAATTATCCTAGTGGCACTATTGTAGTCACAAGGGTTCTTATAAGGAAAAGAGGGTGGGAGTCAGGGAAGGCTATGTAACCACAGAAGCAGAAGTCAGAGAGAAAGAGAAAGCAAAAGCAAGAGTGAGAGTAAAAAAGAGTGAGAGCAAGAAAGAGGGAGAGATAGGGAGATGAATTTAAAGATGCTAAGCAGGTGCCTTTGAAGATGGAAGAAGAGGCCATGAGCAAATGCATGCGGGAAACTCCTAGAACCTGGAAAAGATTAGGAAAAGGATTCTTCACCTCAGCTTTGAGAAGTAACAGATGCTAACACCCAGATTTTAGCCCTGTATGATTCATTTCAAATTTCTGATCCACAGAAGTGTAAAATAATATATTTGTGTGGTTTTTAAGCTTTGTGACAATTTGTTACAATATCAATAGGAAATTAAGCCACTTAGCTATTTATATAAATACACACTTTCTATTATTCACTTTTCTGTATACAGAATCTTTTCTAGTATCTTGGCCATAACAGAAGTTCAATACATACTGGGAAACAATTTAAGTTAAAACCTTTTGAATAAAATATATGCATAAAATTGAGAAGCATACAATTTTCATACAGCACTATTATATAGGTAGTGTCATATATATAGCTATATATAAAATTGTAGTAATTGACGTATATTTTAAAAAATACAATATTATTCTACACACATGTAAGTCAATACATAATTTTAAAAGTAAAGTATGAAGGCTAATTTGTATATATAAATTATACCCCAGCCAGGAGTGGTGGCTCATGCCTGTAATCCCAACACTTTGGGAGGCCAAGGCGGGTGGATCACCTGAGGTTGGGAGTTTGAGACCAGCCTGACCAACAAGGAGAAACCCCATCTCTACTAAAAATACAAAATTAGCCCAGTGTGGTGGCGCATGCCTGTAATCCCAGCTACTAGGGAGGCTGAGACAGGAGACTCCCTTGAACCCAGGAGGTGGAGGTTGCAGTGAGCTGAGATCATGCCATTGGACTTCAGCCTGGGCACCAAGAGCTGAAAAAAATTAAAGCCCCCCCCCAGAAAAATTAAACCCTAGAAATAAAGTAACTTATCTGATATTGGTTGTAGATATGGTTATTGAATGGTGATAACTCTGCCTCTATCACAAACCCCACCATTTATCCAATGATCAGTTAGAAATGTCTATATTAGCTGTGATTTTCATAAGTGTTAACACACCTTGACATATTTAGATGAGGATTTCAAACTTATTTAAATGGTCTATTCCTTTTCATTCTCACATGATTACGTTTTTGCACATATGGATCACAGAGGAAACAAAAAAAATCTAATGAATTCCACAAAAGAATTTAAAACATATCACTCTGTTTTTTAGTTTAGTATCAATAACGTTGATCACGTTATACCTGAAACATTCAGTTAAACTAAATATCATTGTTTTTGCTTGGCCAATTTAGAAAAATGTGAACTAAAATGGTAATAAATTACCAGCTTATATTTTTGGACATATGTTTTGCCATTTTAAATATTCACCCAGAAACATATTTTCAACTGGTTTTTATTTAATAAGTTAATACCACTGTTAAAAACACCAAAAAAAAATTGGTAATTTACATAGAGGCAAAAGTTATGGCACAGAGTAAGCAAAAATTAAAGCATTTCCTCAGATATGAATGTTGACATTTGGCAAAGATGTTTTAAAATGTCAAATTAAGTTAATATAAACATAGTAATTCATCCCTACTGACTATCCCCAACAGATTACCAATAATCTATCGGAATTAGTGTAATTATATATACTTCTTTGTTATACAATATATTTAGGCTTTTACATTCGGGAAAATGTTATTGGAAGCACAGTTACACAGTCAAATAAAAGTTTGGGAGATTGATGCACGTACCATTATATATTATTCAACATCTTTGAGGACTGCCAGTATTGACTAAAAATTCCTTAAAAAAGAAATGTTCCACTAAATATTTTATTAACTACATTTAATAAAATCCTATTGACAATATTAATTTCCCCAGATGAACAAGATAACCTTTGCATGATTTCCAGTTGTACAAAGCCTTGTATTACCAACTGCTAGATGATGTCAAATTATAATGTTAACACTATTCCACAGTGCATAAAATTGTAACCAACAATTCAAAAGACATTTCACACAAAATTTTATTTAAAATATATTTAGATAATATTCCTAGTTAGCCTTTGTTTTATACATTTATTTTTTTCTCATTGTTCCTTATTTAAAATTTAACTGACAACACTATTTAGAGTAAGAAGAGAGGTCCATATCTAGCACAATATATTAGTTCTTCCCAGAACATGAGTTCTGTATTCTTATTTAAATAAAATGATGCTACTTTAAGTAATATCCCAGGCAAAAAATAATGTATTCTTATTCAATAGGTGCATTTTCTAAGTCCAAAATTCACCTTGCATTTTCTAACATTACATATCACCAGAAGCTGCATAAGCAGATCCTCGTGAAAATATACAGATTCATCATACAATGAATTTACCATACTTAAGATCATTACTTACACTGAACTATTGCTATGGACTGAATGCTTGCGCTCCTCTAAAATTCATATATTGAAACCTAATCCCCCACATGATAGTATTAAAAGGTGGCAACAGCGACAAAAGAGGCGACAGTGAGCTAGCTAGCACCAACTACGTGAAGAAAAAGTGAGAATGCCATCTAAAAACCAAATCGCCAGCCCTCACCAGACGCTGAATCTACTGGTGCCTTGATGATGAATTTTCCAGTCTCCAGGAGACTGGAGATAAATTTCTGTTGTATATAACCCATCCAGTTTGCAGCATTTTTGATATAGAAGCCCACGTGATATAGCAGCTGGCAGTAGAAAATAGACAATATTCTACAACAGAATTTGCAAGCAACTTAAAAATCTAGTAAGACTAGTTGAGTCATTACTTTAACCTTCTTTTATTTGCTATAATTAAATTAATAAGACATTTGGATGTGTTGACTGTGGTAATCATAATACAATGATTAAATCATTAAGTTCTAACACTTCAAATATAGTCAATCTTCATTTGTGAATTAAATACATTTTTAAAAGTAAAAGAAGTGTTTGATAAAGGTAAGTCTGTACAGTATCTGATATAAATTTTCAGTCTATTTTTAAAGACTTAAAAGTTTTCACATTATAAAGACTAATATGATCAATAAACTTGCCACAGTATCTACATGCAAATTTATACGTTTTAAAATTTGTTTACCTGAAAACTTAATGATAGCTCTTAATAAGCAGTTCATAAAATAATTTAAAATTTGATAATATTTGTTGTTCTTGGCTGTCAAATTTGTTTGCTGTCGTTTTAACTCATTTCTGCTCATTCATTCTTTGGATGTTTTTACATTGGTCCCCACAATATCTTCTAATAAACTGGCTTTAATCCCTCTAAGATTATTTTCTGATGTCTTCTAATGTTTCTGCTACAATTCTGATTTGATTTTGTATAGTAATAATTATATTTTTGCCATTTCCAAGGTAGATTTAATTTAAGCATTGATCTTTTGTTTTATTATCTGACGTCAAATAATTTCTTAACTCTTCACATATGCTTTTCAACTCATTTTTCTTTTCTTGCCTTACAAAGCCCAATTATTTTATATTTTATTTGTAGATTTTACTTTATATTTCACTCAGAATCAAATTAAATGACTTACACAGAAGATCAATAAATCATTATTCGACACTACTTTTACTTTGTTTCTACAGGATCTATAAATTCCAACTTTTGGGCACAGTAATATAAAATGCTCAATTATGATTTTTGCTCTTTTTCATTAGTTGTCTTAATTCTCAATTAAGGAAAGATCTTAATCTTTTCAGTACAAGCAAAATGCAGAGTTCACTACATCAGTCACCCTCTCTGCTCATTTGTATGCCAATAAAGTTCTCCTATCAGATGCTAAGTTGAAAGTCAAGGTGACATGTACAACCCTTAGACAAATTTCCTGTGAATACCAGGCATGCATCCATTTTAATACCAAAGTAAAGAGAGACTTTATCTTATTCCAGTGATGCTTTGCTTAAAAGAAAAAAAAAAAACCCTCACAAATCTCATTCACTCTATATTTGTTCTTTGACCAACTAACAACCACCACAAACAAGCTAACACAATATGAACTACAGTCCCCTACCTAGAGTATATTTTCTGTTGGATTGCACCTTCCTTAAAATTCACACCCAGATGTAATATGTAATATTTCCTTTCCTACATACAGTTCTTGCTTTTTATTGATTTATTCTTTAAAAAAAAATACAAAGGGAAAATGGTAGGTAGTAACAATGGGTGGCAAGTGTGACATGCTGGCCATCACAAACTGCAGGTCTCATCAATGAGCTGGGCGTCAGCCAGGTTTCTAGTTAATATAATTGTGTGTTATTTAAGGAAGCTAAACGTATATTTAAATTTAAATGTATATATTTAGAGACATAAATATAGAAAAAATAGTTTGTGTATATACGTATATATACACAATGAAATATTCGTCATAAAAATAAAACCTGTCATTTGCAGCAACATAGATGGAACTAGAAGACGTTGTGTTCAATGAAATATGCCAAGCACAGCAACACAAATATCACATCATCTTACTCATATGTAGAATCTAAAAAATGTTGATTTCATAAAGGTAGAGAGTAGAATAGTGATTATCAGAGGCTGAGAAGGTGAGGGAGGCAGAATGAAGAGAGGTTGGTTAATGAGTATAAAAATATTAATATATTTACATAAAACAAGTTCTAGTGTTCGATAGCACAATAAGGCTACTATAGTTACAGAGAAATTATAGTAGATTTCAAAACAGCTAGAAGAGAAGATCTGGAATATTCCCAAAACAAATAAATAAATAATGTTTGAGATGATAGATAACCAGTTACTCTGGTTTGATCGTTACACATTTTATGCATGTATCAAAATATCAATGTACTGCATAAGTACGTACAATTATTTCGTATCAAAAAATAAAATAAATAAATTTATTGACTATACTTGCAAATGTTCCATTTCAGTTTTTCGTTTCAGAGAAAAACTGAAATGTAATGTATCAAGAAATACATTTGGAAATGTATTTCTTGATATTTAGTTTCTAAATATATATTACAGTGTTCATTTTATGCTTAAATAATGTATTTAAGGATTATCTAAAAAACTACTTACAAATAAAACCGTCATGTAAATAGAATAAATTTAATATAGTTACATTATGACAGATTCTTATTCTTTTTTAATAGTGAAAAATATAATGAAATAACATGGTAAAATGTATATGCATCAGTTATTTCTGAAAGTTCTTATGAGGGAAGTAGATGAGAGAGTAAAATTTAGATGCAGTTTTTTT
Organism: Homo sapiens; assembly: GCF_000001405.40. Lineage (NCBI taxonomy): Eukaryota > Metazoa > Chordata > Mammalia > Primates > Hominidae > Homo > Homo sapiens. The sequence continues at coordinate 21,126,949 of NC_000021.9, read as the reverse complement.
AACTTCTACCTTTTTCTCCTAGAAGGTAAAAGCGTCACTTTGCTGTGTAGTTTATCTACTTAGCATCAACGTTTTTTAACTTACAAAAAAATGACAATGACCTTTCATAATACACACGTATGACAGTTTCAGAAGTATAACTGTGTATGAGAAATTATCTTGGATTTTTTCAACATTACAGCTAATCAAACACACTGATATTTTATTTGATTATCAGTTTCTGTGTTTGAGGTCATTACTTTTCACAAAACATAAGATTAGCTCCTCTTTTCACAGAAGCTTCTGTTGAAATTTCACTTGCATTATTAGATTTTATTAAGTGTGCTTCAACAAATATATCAAATATATGATATTTCACAATCTGCACACACATACAATTAGAATACACACAAACACAAATAGGTAGAGAAATGGGGTTGGTATTCAAAATAATTAATAATATGTTGATACTATGGTTATTATGTTACAGTGACAGGAATATAAACAAATACATCAAAAGTTAGAAGACATTTTCTCTATCTAAACTGAATGTACATACCTGTGCATATGTATGGATGTGTATGTTTAGCTTTACCAAAAAAAAATTTGTTTGGATGTATTTCACCATGTTACAAAATCTGAGAAGTGGACCATACTAATTTAAAAAATGTTTTCACTAGGTTACGCTAATTCAAATACACTTTTTCTGCGATTTTTTTTTTTTTTTTTTTTTTATGTTCCATGATAGTATCGGAAATGGAAGTCAGATCTGGTCTCATGGCTCCTACCCCGGAAATGATCCCTCACTAAACTCTGTCAAAAGCAAGTATTTATTTATGTTTCTAAGAAGAACAACTTGAGAAATAAGACTAATAGAGCATCTTTACTAGGAAACATTACTGGATGTAGCCAGTTTTCATGCGCGTGTTAGACAAACATTACAAAATTTGAACAGGCTTAGTAATTCTCTGGCTTAAATGGAATAAATACTAAAGCAACAGTTTTGCAGATAATTTTGGTTGGTTAAATTACATACACTAGTGAAGAAAGGAATGAGTTATTTGCTTAACTTTCCATCATTTCTTCCCATGAAATCTGAAAATGAATGGAAAATGAAGTTCATTCAGTTTCAATTCAGAGACTATTGTGCTGCATTAAATCCATTCAATTTTAACAATTTTGAAAAGTAGGTTTGTTTGAAAAAAAAGAATATGTGGTTTCTACTTTTCCTGGAAAACCTCAATCTCTCTCTCTCTATATATATATATGTAAAATATTATTACATATATATCTCTATATATAGATATATATATCTCTACATATACACGTAAAATATTATATATTATATATAACATATTATATATTTATATATTTAATAAATATGTATATTATATGTTTTATATGCATATTATATATGTATATATGTAATATATATTTTATATATTACATATTATATATGTAAAATATTACATATTACATATATATCTATATATAGATATATATATCTGTCTCTATATATGTAATACATTATATATTACATATGTATGAATATATGTAAAATATTATATATTACATATATATGTAAAATATTATATATTACATATATATGTAAAATATTATCTCCCCACCCTGAAATTTCAAAACTGTTTCCAAGAAGCAGTTAGATGAACTAGATCTCACATCAGGGGTATGATACAGTTGAATAAATATTCTTTACGAAGAAATGATGAGTATTCATTTGGAAAAAATTTCATGATAGTTCTCACACAAAAATGGCACACCAGCCACTAATGTGACATTACTGAATGTGGTATTCAAAAAATGCACAGTAATACGGAGTTACATAGTATTTCTATCATATGCAGACATGTACAATAGACATAAGACAACTACAGAATATAGGTAATAGTATATGTAATAAAACACTTAGAAACTGGTGAGTTTTGAGCATTTATTACCTTTGCTTTTAATTTAGCTTATATTTCTGGCTTATATAATTTAATTTTTAGTAATGGCTGTGTTTAACAATCAGCTTACAAAATTTCAGAAAATGTAACAATGAGTTTTTCTAAAATGATACAATCAGGCTCCAGCATAGCCCTGCCTTCTAGTTTTACATATCCTGCCATTTGTAAAAATGGTAACATACATGTCTCATTGAGACTCTTCATAAGAGAAGCAGAAGCAAGTTTTATTCTTAGTTGTTTTAGGATGGTGATAGCACTAGGGTGAGAATTGGAGGTGTGCTATCACAGACTAAAGAAAAGGAGCCTAGGAGAAGAAAAAAAGGTACTTAAACTTTCTATGGCATGACTCAGTTTTAAACGACTTCTTAGGTTTGGTTCATGATTCAGAAACTGAACACAATGAGTTTTGCTCAAGTTTCAAAGTTTTCCTGAGCATAAGTTTTTACCCTGATTCCATGTCTCCACAATAGTTCCTGCTTTCCATTGTTACTATTTCAATTAGCAAATGTAGCCCTCGAAAGCTGACCTAAGTTTACTATTTTAGAGGCCTACTCCAGCTTCTGAAAATCCTAAACTGTTTCAGGTGATGAAAAAATGCTCTTGATATTTCTTTGTTATGTTAAACAGGCAAAACTCAAGTTGTGTGATCATTGCAATACACACAGGCACTTGCACATAATGTTACATTCTAAATATAAGAATGAATTATAATTTTATTGTAAATAATTTAAAAATATTATGGAAAACAGCAAGAGTTTGGTCAGCATTACCTTGTCTGCCACCATGTTGATTAATTTTTGAAATGGCCCTTACATTTGTCAAAGATAATCTACTTGAATGTTATTAGAAAGCAATCAGGACGGGCGCGGTGGCTCACGCCTGTAAGCTCAGCATTATGGGACGCCGAGGTGGGCCGGATCATGAGGTCAAGAGATCGATACCATCCTGGCCAACATGGTGAAACCCCGTCTCTACTAAAAATACAAAAATTAGCTGGGCGTGCTGGCGGGCGCCTACAGTCCCAGCTACTCGGGAGGCTGAGGCAGGAGAATGGTCTTGAATCCGGAAGGTGGAGCTTGCAGTGAGCCAAGATCATGCCACTGCACTGTAGCCTGGCGACAGAGTGAGACTCCGTCTCAAAAAAAAAAAAAAAAAGCAATCAAGAATGAATTCAAATGTGCACTATTTTTCTGTACCTCCACTTCATCATCTGTAAAATGAGGATAACAGTAACACCTAAATCATAAGGTTGTTATAAAGAAAAGTTTGGGTTATTAATATAAATACCTAATTTATATTACCTCCTCTAATTTACTAGCTCATCAAATTCCTAAAGCAAAATATATTAATTGCAATGCGCATCAGACATATTTGTTAAAGAAATAAGGCAGAAGAGGAACGTATTTCAAGACATTTGTAGCATCTTACAACATTGCAGGTTGATCTCGGGAACCAGTGTGTTACAATTCCTCACCACGGGGGTGGGATTAGACTGAGGAAAGGTAGATAATATCGAATGGGTATTAACAGACGACAATTGTAGACATAATTTACTGTGTTTTTAAAAATCTGCATTTCACATAGCAAAACTTTTTTTTTTTTTTGAGAGGGAGTCTCTTCGCTCTGTCTCCCAGGCTAGAGTGCAGTGGCGCGATCTTGACTCACTGCAAGCTCCGCCTCCCCCCGGGTTCACGCCATTCTCCTGCCTCAGCCTCCCGAGTAGCTGGGACTCAGGTGCGTGCCACCACGCCCGGCTGATTTTTTGTATTTTTAGTACAGACCGGGTTTCACCGTGTCAGCCAGGATGGTCTCGACCTGCTGACCTCATGATCCGGCCCACATCAGCCTTCCAAAGTGCTGGGATTACAGGCATGAGCACCCCCTGCCCAGACACAAAATTTTCAAATCATATGTTCTCACTAAATATTTTGAAATTTAATTATATTTGTTTAATTATATTACCAAGGAAAATACACAGACTGCAATGAGATGTGTTTACTTGAAATTGAGTTGCTGTTTCAATAAGGAAGAAGTCAGCTGAGGAAGGTTCATTCGGGACAATCACCTTGCTGGATTTGTTTCTCACAAGTGTACACGAGACTGCAATAGATAGTTTGCACCACAGCTCTGCCAACCTCCTGTCAAGAGTTGTAGCTTATTTCTCTCTGAACTCTGGATGACTGTTAACTTGCCTAGGCTAGTAGAATGCAGCCAAAGTCACAATGGCTCAGTTCTGATGGACACAGCAGGTTTTGCATGCTTCCAAAAACTCTTTGACCCCTGCCTTGGATATAAAAACACAGGGCTACCTTGGTGAAAGACGTAAGCCATAGGAAACAGAACTGAATAGGTCCATCCATGGCCCAGCCAGCTTCCAGTCAACCCACCAACTAACTGGAGATGGCTGAGCAAACCCAGCCCACATTAGACAATACGGGCTCAGATGAAAAGAAATCACCCCGCCAACCCAAAGAATTGTGAGAAATAATAAATAGTTGTTGTTTTATGGCAGTAATTATTAAGACAGCTTTTGTACAGCATTATTGTGGAAATTCACAATGAATATAATGAGACAATGCATCATGGGAAAAAGTATTCAAAACTATCTTCTTCCTGTTACTAAATTAGGGCTCTAGATTGTTTCATAAAACTCAGGCTTTATACAGTATATGGAGTGCCTGGAACACTTTTTCCATATTTAACCATGTGCCATTCTAAGTAATCACCTTACCAGATTATATTAAGAGGTTAAATTAATAATGAAATATGGCATCATATATTAAAATATTAAGTTATCAAATTATGCATGGACAATCAAGAACAAAATTCCTCGGTTAAAAGGTTGACTTTAGTTTCTTTTCCTAATCTAACAGTATTTGCTGCCTTTGATATCTAACTTCATAGTTTTTAGGCATTTCCAAACCTCTAGTAATAACATTAATCGATTTTTGTTCTCTCTAAAACCAGCAGTCCAAATCCTCATCAGAATGCACTGCTCATTCGGAAGCTCATACTGTCACATTTAACAGTTGTTCTTGGAAACAGGTAGAATAACTCTTTTGGATTCAGCTCAATGAATTGTCCTTTTCACTTTACCCTGTCTCATCACTTTTGAAGAAATGTAGATCTAGAGCCTTCGGCTGTGGTATCAGCTTCCTGATTTATCATATACCCAATCGTAACACAGGCAGCAGATCGATCCATGGGCCACTTCAACGGCATGATTCTGGCAGGAATTCCTGAAGGCTCAGCCTATATATAGCCTTTTCCATCAGACTTCCAAACGTTTTAGTGAGCAAGCTATAATTCATGATATATCCTTTTTTGCTTCAACTGGCTAGAGTGAATCCTTCTATCTTTAAATAAGGATTCTGAACCTCAAAGAAGGATCATGAATATTTTGTATCCTTGATCATGTCTAGCCACATATTAGTTGATTAACAGACACAGAAGGAAGAATAAACCCTTATAGCTTTACCTTCATAATTAGAGCCCAATTCAAAGTCATTCATACATTCAGCTATGATAGGCATCTGAATCTAAAATTACGGTGCAAAATTTCTTCAATTATTTGGAGTTTATATCAAATAGTAAATATCAAGTAAGACCACTGATTTCATCCTGTCCCTCCTTGACATCAGTTAATGTACTCAGAGATTATGGTACTGTCTTATTAAATACATTTTGAAGAGCAATTCTTAAGGAAGAGTTTAAAGACAAAAAGAAGTGAAGGACAAAGAAAAGAAGGAATGATCTGTGTTATTCACTATACTAATAAGAAGCTATTGAAATTAACATGTCAGAATGCAATCACTCATACTTTCATAAAGATAATCTTCTGAGATATTTTATATGAAAATCTGCAACACTAAAAATATACTATAAATAATGATCATGTGAAGTAGTACACTACTGAGAAATCCAACAGAGATATAAAGAACAATATAAACTCAGTAAAGACATTTGCAGTGTACAAATAAACATCCATGGCCGGGCGCGGTGGCTCACGCCTGTAATCCCAACATTTCGGGAGGCTGAGGCGGGTGGATCATGAGGTCAGGAGTTCAAGACCAGCCTGGTCAAGATGCTGAAACCCCATCTCTACTAAAAATAAAAAATCAGCCAGGCTTGGTGGCACCCACCTGTAATCCCAGCTACTCGGGAGGCTGAGGCAGGAGAATCGACTGAACCCGGGAGGCAGAGGTTGCAGTGAGCCGAGATTGCGCCACTGCACTCCAGCCTGGTGACAGAGAGAGACTCCATCTCAAAGAAAAAAAAAAAAAACCCACAAAAAAATAAATAAACATCAATTTTTTTAAACTTTAATTGCCTTTAAAAATACCACAGTAATCTTCCTCTCTGTGTTGAACCAAGCTGGACTCATCCTCATTCTTGAAAACAAACAGGCTCCTTTTTCATTTCAGGGGCTCTGCCGAAGCAGCGTCCCCCGCCTGTGAACACGCAGGCTTAATCAGTCACCTATTCGAATCTACCCCATGCTGCCAGTATCAGTTTAAAATCGTCCTCAGGAAGAAACACAAAGATAGACACATACATACACTAACTCACCTACAGTGCCACTAAAGGAATCAGTTTCCTATCCCAAAATTAACATTATTTCCTTCTTCATTGAAAATCACTTGATTTGTTTTTTAAGTCATGATATAACAACTGCCAACAGTTAAGTGGAATCATCTTGTTTTTCAACTTCTTATTTTAAAGAAAATGTTGGGACTCCGAATTTATCTGTGTCATTATCCTTGCAAATCATTAATAAAGCTGTTAATTCCAACGAATACCCATATACTTAGAAAATGCATTATCCTTCTACCTAACAAACTAATAAAACTTGCAAAGTCTTTCATTCTCTACAGCATACAAGGAACAAACGTAACTGGGAAACCTTTCCAACGAAATAAGCAGCAGATTAAAGCAATTATCAAACAATGGTGGAGCTTTACTATGAACATGACTAACTGCACAAGAAGTCAAGCACTGAGGTAATGGAGAAGTATCAGTGCTTAGGGACCAATGTGGGTTCAGGTCACAATGGGATTTTACAAAAACTGAAAACAAAGTAGAAAGGTTATGCTTGAACACAAACAATAGAGTTTATTTAAACATTCACACTTATCTATTAATGTTTCAAGATTCAAAATTTTCAGTGCAATAAACATAAAAATACTAATTTCTGTTTTCATAAGCTTCATTTAGAATTACTTATTTTTCCTAAAAGTTTAGAAGTACTATTAATAAGATATCTCCAGATAATTTGTTTTTCTTTTGTTCCTAGATAATATTATCAAAGGAAAAAAAGACTTCATAAACAAATCTTCTTAAAGCTCCTTAAGAAATCTGCATTATTTCCTAAATTGGCTTATTAAACAGAATAATAATCAAGTAAAAGTTATTTTAAGACACATATAATTAGTTGATACATTTTCTGCCATTTTATAAACTATGAGTGATTCTAGCAATAACAAAAATATATTAGCTGCAGAGCAATTACTGCTTCCCATAAACTTAAGGCCAAGAAACAATACTACAATTCTTTTAAAATCAAATACCTTAGAGAATAGCAAAAAATCCTTCATTAAAACACTAATTTATTCTTATTGATGGGGAAATGGAATAGCTGTATGACTACCATAACCACCAGAAATCTGAGCTCATAGTCGGCTAATTTAAGAAACAAGATATGAAATTAGTACCCTTGGGCTGAAAACAAGCACTTAGAATTGAGATGTGACATTAATTAAAGTAACGAAAGGACTATAATATTACTGTGAAGTAATCATTATGCTAAGGAGAACATGTAAAAGAGAATTAGAACTAAAAGAAAATGCCTAATTATCTAGACTCTGAATGAATTTCAAATGCATTATCATGATCTCCCAAATGAAAAATGACAGTTGAACTTCTGAAAAGTAATGCACAGTATGATCAAAACAAAATAAAACGTAAAACAGACAAACAACAAAGAAACCATAAAACAAAAAGAGGAGGTGACAAGAATAACTATAGATATATTTACATTCGTGCTCACTAGTCTAAAAAGCTAGAAATGAACATAAAATTAAGAACCTTAACATTAAACATAATTTTGTACTTTTGTTCTTGCCAACACAGTCACCTGAAAACACTGGGGAGAGGGAGGTTTATCTTCTTATATTAGAAACTAAGAAGTGTGTGTTGGGGCCAAGTAAGGGAGCTGTCAAACATCCTAACTCCGATAATGTAAAATAATATGTGTGTTGAGGATGGATGTGGGTGAGAAATATTGGGAAGGAAAGGATAGCAATAGGACAGAAACAGAAAAAGAGTAGAAGAAAAGTGAAATTAGAAGGAAGTAAGGGGAAGTAGAAGAAAGAAATGAAAGAGAAAGAAAAACAAAGCAATACCCTTTGTTTAAGAGTTACGGTAATTAACATGGCTGCTGATCAGTTCCAAGACCATAAAGTAGATGAATTTAGAGCATTCTTCCTTACTGCTTTCTCTCAACCTACAAGGTCCCTCACCCCTTCCTTTTAGCTTGTCTGAACTGGCTAAGCCTTCAGAGTGCAGTTCAGATCATCTTGCAGAAAGACAGAATGATCTCCTCTCTCCTTCCTGAACTACTAAGGCACTTGTTCCTAAGCTTATTTTGAGATTTAATCATAGCCTGCCCCCCCGCTGCATCTTTGGGTTGTTTGTAATAAATAACTCGTTAGGACAGGCATGTATTATAGTGACTTGTACGCCTATGCCTAGCTTCTTGCTGATGGTCTATATAATTAATCACAGCTATTGAACAAGAAAAAGGTGATGCATTCTCATTTTGAAGAGCATCAAGGTTACCAAATAACTTCATTAGAAGAACATATTCTGTATTTGTTGCTGAGAGTCTAGGTAGGTGCTTGAGCAAGTGAACATTTAACAGGGAAATATTGGAAAATTTTCTTCAATTTAGCATTCACCAAGAGATTTTCCATTAGGATTTGAAAAGTTATCCCTAACTAAATGGAAAGTTATTTCTAGCACTATTAATATATTTAAAAGTCATAAATATCAGGCAACTTAGTTTAATAAATCCACTTATTAGTTCAATCATTATATAGAATTAGATAAACTTTTTAGTATACCCTAATACTAAGCCATATCCTTGTTTAAATTGGTGACCAAATGAGAGAAGTCTCTGTCTTCACAGAACTTGAAATCAAGTAAAGGAGACCACGATTAATCAAGGAAAGATACACATAAGTGCAGAATCACGAACAAAGATATATGCTTTGAAGAAAAAAGACTAGGTCCAATAATCCTCAATAAGACTTCACAGGCTGAGTGAAATAATGAAAGAGTAGAATCTGTAATGTCAAAGAATAATATTGGCTTATTTTACTTAGCATGATTTTCTCCAGGTTCATTAATGTTATTGCAAATTGTAGTATTTCCTACTTTTTTATTGCTGTTACATTTCATTGCATTATCATATATATGAAACATAAATATATTCACAATTTCTTTATTCATCTGTTGATCAATACAAGTTGTTTTCATATTTTAGCTGTTGTGCATAATGCTGCAATAAACAAGGAGGTGCAGAAACCTCTACAAGATATTTATTTCACCAAGAGATGGAAATGCTGGATTGTATGATAGTTTTATTTTCATTTCTCTAGGAAACTGTAAAGTTTTCCACAATGAATATACCGATAGTGTATGATCTCACTTATATATAGAATCTTACAAAGTCAAACTCATAGAAACAGAGAGTAGAAAAGTGATTGCCAAGCTGTGAGCATGAGGGAGGTAGGGAAATGTTGATCAAAAGGTATAAACTTTCAGATATAAGATTAATAAGTTGTGGGGATCCAATATATAGCATGAGTGGTGCTGGATATATTAATTTGATTGTGATGCTCATTATATGTAGATGTATATATCACAATGTCGATATATATCAAATCATCATATTGTACACTGAATATACATAATCCTTTTTCTTCAAATAAATATTTTAAAATTTAAAAACACAAGAATTTTGGTGACATTGTTTTTTTCCCCAAAAATTATCGCCTTAAAATTTTAATTCTTTTTGAGCTTTCTTCGTTTATTCAAGTATTTGTAAAGTCCAATGGTGAGTATTTCTTTTCTTTTTTTTTTTTCTTTTGAGACGGAGTCTGGCTCTGTCGCCCAGGCTGGAGTGCAGTGGCACGATCTCGGCTCACTGCAAGCTCCGCCTCCTGGGTTCACACCATTCTCCTGGCTCAGCCTCCTGAGTAGGTGGGACTACAGGTGCCTGCCACCGCACCCAGCTATTTTTTTTGGTATTTTTAGTAGAGACAGGGTTTCACGTGTTAGCCAGAATGGTCTCAATCTCCTGACCTCGTGATCCACCTGCCTCGGCCTCCCAAAGTGCTGGGATTACAGGCGTGAGCCGCTGCGCCCGGACACATTGGTGAGTATTTCTTGAGTACCTACTATGCTAAATGGACCAAGCAGGTGTTAAGATAGCCCGCCTAACTGGTAAGGCCTTAAACTAAACAGGCCGTCCTATCAAGGTGAAAGACACTTCGTCAGCCATATCTACTTGTGGTATATCAGAGTTATTCATATGCTACATATATATTTAACTCTCTGTAAACTATAAAGCACTTAAGAGCAGGTTTTCCACATTATATTTAATTTATATAATCTCTCATGGGATCTAGCAATGTGTAGTAGTCAAGTATTTTTCCCTTCAACACTCCACTGGTCAGAGTGGTGTTTTCATTGAAACAATTATGCTAATCCCTTCACACATGGCATGTGGTTCACTTCTCGTCAAGCACATGTCCGCTGGGAGCATCTTAAAAATAATAAATGGATCCTAAACTAATAAACGCAAGAAAATACATTTTATTTTCCTGAATATGATGTCTGGAACTGTACATCTATGTGCAAACAAGGTGACTTAGAAAAAACCCTTCTCATGAAAGACACACACACACACACACACACACACACACAATCTCAGCATGAAAGACAGACAGACACACACACACACACACACACACACACACACACAAAATCTCAGAGAAGCGGACCTGAAGCCCTGAACTCTAGTCCTACCCATGAACTTCTTATTTCCAAAAATTCATTTCAGTATTTGGGATCCAATTTGAATTGATTTTCTTTCTTTAAATACAAGACATTGCAAATTCTACACACAGACACACGCACAATATCCCCACTGTTTTGAACTTATAATTAAACTTTCCCAGGAAAATAATGTAGAATGATTCTGAAGGAGGTTTGTGTAATTATGATTACTGAAGGAAGAAGACAATTATGTCAGAGTATAGAAGTATATAAAATAGCTACCAGGAAGTTATTTTAGAGAAATTTTTCTTAAAAGACTGTAATCAGAAACAAAGACAATTAATGCAGGGACATTCCATGAACTTATTCACAAAAGCTGGTAACAGGACTTAATAATCTTTGAAAGCTGCATTTCCAAACATTGACCTAACCATTAGGACCAAGATGGACCTAATATTCTAATTACCAAGAAGAGAGTGGTGATGAATTAAGTGGGGAGAGAAACTGAGTGTAAACTGGTAGATTTTAATGTTTTATTTAACTTAACTAATTCTGGTAGAATTTTTTACTTTGAAACTCTATTTTATGGTAATTTAACAATAAGGATTCTAAATGGTGGCTTAGCATTCAGGGCTGAGAAAGACACTGAAGGGTAATGCCACAAGGAGAGGCTGGATAAAGCTCTAATAAAATTATTTCTTTTATGCTACTTACTAGCAGTAAACATATCCCCAAGCAAATATAACATTGACCTGAAGGACTCACTAGCCAGGACTTCATTTTTTTCACTCAGGAAAATTGCATCTTTAAATGAAATTAATATGGCCGGGTGCGGTGGCTCATGCCTGTAATTCCAGCACTTTGGGAGGCTGAGGCAGGCAGATTACCTAAGGTCAGGAGTTCGAGACCAGCCTGGCCAACATGGTGAAACCCCGTCTCTACTAAAAATACAAAACTTAGCTGGGCGTGGTGGCAGGCGCCTGTAATCCCAGCTACTATGGAGACTGAGGCAGAAGAATCACTTGAACCCAGGAGGCAGAGCTTACAGTGAGCCAAGATCATGCCACTGCATTCCAGCCTGGGCGACAAGAGCGAAACTTCAAAAAAAAAAAAAAAAGTCAGAATTTAATAGACATAATGAGCGAATCAGGTTTGTTTTGTTTTGTTTAATAAAAGCAGAATTACTCATGTTAAAGGGGAAGAAGCTCTGGGAAGCCCTGAAGTGTGTTTGGTCTGTTATTCTGTTCCCCACAGGGCCCCAAAAAGATACTGATCAGTGGTTTATTACAACAGCTGTTGGGAACCACTTTTGTAGTACCATTGGCATCATTAAAGTAGCTCAAGCTCTTTGTTCTGCCATGCTCTTTAGACTTAAGAAACAGCTTTTGGCAAAGATGACATCTCCACTCTTGTTACTAAGCTTTTCCTATGGCAGAACATTAACACCGACCCTTGTAAACTAAGGAGTATATCCCAGGAGGTCTATTAGTACATAATTCCCAAACAATTTTAGAAACACATTCATGCAAGACCAACTGCAATTTACAAATGATATTTTTAAACAGACAATAGGAAAATGAAACATTGCTTATAATAGCCCACATTTCTGTTTAAAGAATACAATTTTTGTAGAGAGCAAAGGGCTTTAAAAAATAAAATACCAGATATTTTATCTTTCTTTTAGATTTGCATATGCCTGGAGAGTCTCATGAGAAGCCTGCCACATCTTTCTGCTAAAACTTGTGTGATATATCAGGATATTTGAGAGTTAGGTTAAAAAGCATACTCAAAATGCTTATTATTTTTCTAATAAATACTGTAGAAAATAATTTTTTTCTTTGTTCACAAGTATTCACAGACTATTGAGAACATATACATTCACACACTAAAAGGGAGAGAGAAATGATGGCTACACAAGCTACAGCAAAATTGATTATGACTCATGATTGATTATAACTCAATGTTAGTTAGAGAATTATATGGAACTTTTGGACCTTCTTAACTCCCGAATAAAGCAATTAGTATAAAGCTGAGGTCATACAAATAGAAATAAAGACTATCTAACAATATAAATATCCATAGTAAAAACCCAGAATTGGTATTAAATTATCATGAGGCCAATCAAAAAAAAGAGGCATTGCTTTAAGCCTTATAATCTTAAATAACTTGAGAAAATACACATTAAACATTTACAATACAAAATAGTTCTATTTAGGATAAACTGATTAAAATACAAATTTTGTCAACGTTAAGAGTTGATAACAATTCCTAGTACTTCCCTGAATTGACAAACACACTTTGTGCGTTTTTGGAAAACAAAATCTGCTAAATACCTCAGTCTTAATAATCATAGTTTCCCAGTCATCTTTTTTTTTTCAGTAATAGGCCATGTGTGTAAAAGAAACAAAAAGCAACTAGTTTGTCTCACAACTCAAATAATCCACACTTACTTCTTCCTCAAGATAATTATTGTATCTGTTTGCCACAGAAAATGGCTAATATGCAGTTACAATTTTGTCCAATAGTGCACCGTTAAGTGCTTAGATATAAAACATTAGTATATTTTACTGCCTCTTGACGGACATTCTTAAATGAAATTGGCTTTTCCCCTCCTGTGATTGTGTGACAGTGAAGAATAAAATGATTACTAAAACAATTTTGTGCCACCGTGATTCCTGCTAAGGAGCAGCAGTTTTGTCCACCATTGCTTTTGCCTACTAGCGCAAAGGTCAAGAAGTTGAAAAATCGCACCTACTGTGTGAGCATTATCATGAAAATAGTTTTGTTTGGTTTGGTTTTTAACCTCACAGAACCCCGAAAGCTATATTCCATGAATCTGGTGGATATTGTCACTTTGAGAACCACTGGTATATGTCTTAAATTCTAAAAACCACAATACCCCTAATATAAAGAGAACTTAATGCTAACACCTGGAAAAGACGAAGTTTTGTGAAAAAAGAATGCTGTTCAGAAAAGCAACACATGCACCCCACGTTCAGCATCACGTGCAGGAGAGCAAAAGAACACATCCCATTCTTACCAATCCTACGAAGCCAGTGCTGCATGGAAGTAGTTTAAGGAAGCCTCAAAGATATGCTTTTACTATAATACTTGTTATTGACTTGAGAGTGCAAAGATGAATCCTGTGCAACTTGTTTCATCTTGCTGACTAATCTCCTATAATAATCTGCTATGGGGCATTCTTTATGATCTGCACTGTTCTTTTAGCTTGACCACTTGCTTGTGGGTGATAAGGCCTGATGGTGACAGACCGATAAAAGTTTTCTCTTCATAGGATTCTTAAATGGAGTTATCAGGACTGATACCATCCAGCAATCAGTGTGTCAAAAAATAACTTCCAGAGTAGTGGCTGCAGCCTTTGACGGATGAGAAGGACCTGAAACATTTCAGTTCATTTTGAGGTGTATTTAAAGTATGTCCAGGCACCAGATATGGTTCAACTTTATTTCAAATAGAAAGCCAACACTGTTGATAGAAGTTGTAATAGAAACAGGCAAGCAAGCGGGAAAAAATGAGAAGGATAGGCCAGGTCTTTATAAAAATAGCTACTTTTTTCACACTGCTTCTCTGTTGTCCAGAGATGAAAAATATTTCTCTAAGCGAAAATCAGAATTCAGAGCAGAATGCAAACTGAAAAAGAAGCAAAATATGTCTCAGAGAAAAAGGAAAATAGGAGAGAAAGTGTGAGGGAGGATAGGGGCTGGGTAAAAACAAAACACAATGAATCACTATAGAATATTATGCCGTTTTAAAAAGGAAAAGAAAGCAAAAGCTATTTTAAATGTTAAAAACACAGTATTTTTAACAGAGAAGAGGAAAACTAAAATGTTGTATGAAAGAATTATCATAATTAAAATAAGAGAATGTCTACAGTCATTTAAAGTTGGGCAACATTCAACATGTTAACAACACAGGCTTTAATGCAATAATTATGTGATTCTTTAAGTGAATGTCTCAGTAATTTACACAATAAACATTAATCTACTATGCCAGAAACCATCTATGAAACTTTATATCTAATGAATATAATACTGAAAAATTCACAGACCAATGAGAGGATAGAAATTCTCCCTTGTCCATTTGAGCTCCTAGTCTTTTAGTGGAGTGGAATGTTCCATGTCTTCTCCCACTTTCCTCAAACCTGAAACGACCCCCGCTACCTCCTCCCATTCAAAAAATAAATGTGCCTCTAATTTTGTTGGGAAGAAAAAAGAAATAAAAGAGAACTTTAACCTTTCCCCTTCCACCAAATCTACCAAGCATCTTGCTTCTGTTACCATCTACTGTGCTTTCTTCTCGTTCCTGTGAATGGATTATCCCTGCTCTGTATCAGATCTTCCTTAATCCGTAGCATGTGTCACAGTGGGCTTCTCTCTCCTTGCACTGCCTGCATTCGGCTTCTGGAGCCCTGCCCTCTTGGTTCTCCCTCCATCTCAGTCTTCGATCTTCTTGTGGGATTAACCTCATCTTCCAGACCTCCGCATTGTGGGTGTCCCAGAGCTTAGCCTGATATCACTTCTGCCAACCCATTTCCATGCCTCCGGGCTCAAAACCAATCCCATAGTATTAAATAACATCTCTGTGCTTTCAATCCTCAATGCACAACTCTAGTACTCATCCCTTCTGAATACAGACTTACATTTTAAAAGAGAAGTAACGTATGAATAGCAAAATAAAATAGAATAATCAAAACTTGTTACAATATGGCTACTGTGATTTATTATTGAATTGGAGTTTCTTAGAAATATAGATTATAAAATAAAATACAATAGATTTTTTATTTCCTTCTCATAAGTAAAAGTAAACATACTGTTTGGTTTGGAGAATAATCTTTTTGCCTGAAACTGTACTCTAAGAAGAATTAATTTTATTGCCTTTTTAACAAAAATAGTACACAACAAATATACTTTTCCTGAAACATATGCATGATGATTTCTTTTTGTGTAAGCAGAACTTTAATGTATCCCCTTATTCAATTATTGTTATTAAAAAACACACCATGTCCAGGAGCCCTTTTTCCTCTTACATTACCATTTTGATATTCTCACTGACTCTGTGTTATAATCTGTATTTAATTGAATTAAAAGCCAAAGTTACTAGTTTAAGGAACTAAGTTCAGTTCCTCGATAAGTGGTAGAACCAATTCAGTCACATATCCTTTGCCTTCTCATAAAGGACAATGTCTACTGGTAGTTTTGTGGTAGAGAAAGATGCAATCTCCAAATAATTGTTTTAATAAAATCAAAATATACAGGTTTTTCCAAAAAAATAACTCATACAAGGCATTCCCTGGTAGTCTCATGAAAAGATCCATGAAACTACCAGGGAATGCCTTGTATGAGTTATTTTTTGTTCATATTTTGTTGCATTAATCTGGTATACCCTAGACTTTATTAAACACAGAGGAAATTGTATCTTTATATGTAGAGTCCCCAGTGTCCCCTATTTTCTTTCTTTGTCCTTACCTAGAAAGTCAGAGTGCCTTTAGTGCTCAGTGACCCAGCCAGCTTCATGTTTTTCCCTGCAGGCTTAAACCCAAACTGGGGAAACTGGGGCCTGGAAGGTATCAAGGAGTACTCCAAGGCCCACAGGAAGTTGTTTAGGTGGTTTTCCCAAGCCCTGAAATATCAAGCATGCTGCCAAACACATAGAATCTAGCAACGGCCTGGGCCAAATTCCTGACACTCTTATATAAACTACATAGGGTGACACTCTGGTTAAGGACATACTTGGGTAGAACGTATTTTTTTCTGTCATGAGGACGCTGAAGCCCTCTGTATGTAAGTTCCCCTAATGCTGCAAATGCTTTGGACTCATCACCCCGGCTTTTAGTGTTTCCTTCTTTGTAATCCCAACTGGCCCCTTCATGGAATGGTTTGAAGCAGTCCCTTGAAGGAACTCCCCCTACAACGGCTTTGGAGGCAACTCCAGCAAGACAAAACACATTACATACTCGAATTAAGAAAATAATTATGAGCCTGTGCTATTTAACATTTAGCTTGAATTATACACAGAAAATACATACCCTGTGCCTCCTTTACATTATATGACTGGCATTTTCTGTTAAAGGTTCTTATCTTTAAATAGTAAATGAGTTGTTAACCCATGCCAAATCTTGTGTTAACAGCTAGAGGAAAGAGGGATGAATTAGACACTCTTACTATCGTCAAACAGTTAACAGTTGAGAAACAGAAAATACTATTGTAATTGAATCACAGTTTGACTATATATTTACAAGAAAGCATGATTGACAAATATTTTAGAGGTTCAACACATTGTCAAAGTCTTACAGCAATGTAAAAAATGAAAGAAAAAACTGGTGGAAATGGCATTTCCACTGAACTTTAATGAACATTTAAAATATTTCATTAATAATTGAATGAAATGAAGAAAAACACAAGAAATAAAATTAGAAATACTTTTAGAAAAAAGAGCTATTGCAATTTGCCACATGAAGCAAAAAAGTTTACTTTTTTATTTTTGATTTTGGTGGGTACATAGTATGTGTATATATTTGTGGGGTACATGAGATGTTGATAATCATATCCTGTGAAAGCTAATTCATGGATTTAGCTACCTTTTATATTTAAAATATATAAGATGTGCATATAAAACAATGCAATTCAAATATCTGAAGTTCATTTTTCAAGAGTTTCCAGTCAGTACAGACCCATATTTAACTGGTCATTCATATTATTAATCTTAACAATGGAATCACACCTTACAACTGGCTTATCTTTACAAAGGCATTTTAAAGCCAAGATTTTTTTCCCCAGTGACATCTAAAAGTATATTCCAACCACTGCACAAATTATGACTGATCTTTTCACAGTAGCAGTGACCCCAGCAGCTAAATAACTTTCACAAATGTGATATGTTATGCTATTTTCACAATTAGTTAGACATCAGAAGGAAAAATATTTGTGTAAAACTAGAAACCATTATCATAACTGTAGTCAATGAAAATATGGACTCCTGCCCACAGAACAGCCTATGGTGATACCCGAGAGTTAGCAAATAGTGGGGTTGATTTACCCTATAAGTTTTTAGATGTATGATCTGACTTATAAACAAATACTTATGATTTATCAGTTGATTACAAATTCCTGAAATGCTAACATTTTGTGTGCTGGATAGTTTTTCCAATACAATAAGTAGGGAGGAGATTCATGAGCTATGCTAGTAAGGAATTTTGAATCCTGGTAGAAATGTCCTTATTCTAAAAATCCTAAACCAAGGAATGCAAGAAAATACAGCTCTTCTCTTCTGCTGAACATTATTATTCACAACAAATTAGAATTTGAAAAATCCATCTAATGTAGGATTTTCAAATTATAGCCTGCCCTTACAATTTGATAAATTCAATTCACCTTAAAATCCATGTTTTATATAGTGTTCTTATCTATGCTTGATAAAACTGCAACACTTAACTTCATAGCCAGAGCTTTTCAATTAGCATACTCATTTTTGACAGTAATTTGGATGGTAGTGTGACAGCTTCAGTACAGCTTCAAAATTGAAAGTGCCGTCAATGGCCAAATGTATTCTAGATTGCTATTTTTCAACTTTTACAAGAGAAATTAAACCGTGAATGAAATCCAGTTGTATGAAAATCTGGCCTCACTCTGCAGAATTCTTGGGTGAGACTTAAAGCCTGGCACACAGTACATTTTAATAAGTGTTTATTAAAAAAAAAAGTCTTTATGAGTCAAATTACATTTTTCAAATATTTAGTTATGGTTGGGTTGAACAATTTGGTTTTTCAGATGTAAAGACTTTGGTGACATAATACACACAAAAACTATAAACAAAATTAAAGTACAGGATTTAAAGAATTAAATTACATGTTTAGTTATATATTGCAGCTGCTTTTACTTTAGAGGAAATATATACCTGCTTATCGTGTGAAATTTTGGTACTCTAATCCCTACAACGTACACCAAGAATATTCAAATACATATTAATAAATTGTAGAACAAAACTAGATAATATCCAACTGGTACTTTATAAATAAGCTTCTGAAGGGTACAGGATTAAACAAGAAAAATATATAATTCTTCTCCCACTAGATATAAATTAAGTATTGGCAGTGACACCGTGGTTGAAGCAAAGTCAGCTCATATCCACTGGGTAGTGTCAAACAGATAAGAATCAAGTCAATAACAAATGCATTTGATTACCAGTTGCTCTTTCTTACTGTCCAACATTTTCTATAAAATAGTTTGTGTCCTGAGTTACCACAGTAAGCCCCTTTAGGATTAGAGTCTTCCCTTAATGCTAACGTGCAGTAAATAAAATATGTTGAAAGTTTTTAGAAGTTATTTTTAATATAATTAAGATCACAATTATATTTAAATCAAAAATTAAGTAGGAAATTTGGCAACTAAGATAGTTAATATGTAGAGGGAAAAATACAGGCTGGGAAACGGGGGTGGAATGACACTTTTCAGAAAAAACTGACCTGTCCCTATTCAATAGTGAAACCAAAGGAAACATTTTGGAAGCTGTGTGACTATGTCTATTAACCTTGCATGGAAAAAAACATCAGATATAGTTTTTGAGGAAATGATTTCATTGTGGGCTCTGGTATTATTTTTTTGCACCACCATTTACTAGATCTATAGTGCTGGACAGGTCATGTAATCTTTCTGAGCTTCAGTTGTCTTATTTTGCAAGTGAAAACCATTAATCAAAGCTACTCCATGTTGTGATAATGATAAAATAAAATAATACATGTGAAATGTAAACAGGATTAATAATTACATAAGTAACACACTATTATTATGGCTGTTATTACCAGACGTTTTAAGAACTCCAATAAACCCTAAACGAGATGGACTGGTATCAAATAAATATGAAAAGCAGAAATTTCTTACTGATTTTAGATTTGATCTTTGGTCTCTCTCTAAAAAGGCAAATATAAAGCAGTATTTTAATGGATAAGATATTTCTTATCACAAGTACCTCATACTTTGAATAAACTAAAATTCAGTGGGAGAATAATTTTTGAGAAATAGTTTTTATACAACTAAACTGTTTTTCAAAGATTGACTCAGAACAAAAATATCATGTTAACAATTTTTAAAACATTTGTGACTAGCCTATGGTTTATTTGAAAACCATAGAAACTGATAACTCTACTAAATCTGTAGCGGTTATCTTTATTCTTTTTTCTTTCCTACATGTCCTGATTTTTTTTTATTAATGATCAGTGTAGTTTTACTTTTTCCCATCATTCTCATGATTTTTTCTTCTGTTCTAATTAATACCAATAGATAAAAATAATGTTTTCTAAAGACCTAAAGATGTAAGCATAAAGACTACAAAGGATCTAAAATTATTACTATAAAGAAAATATTTGGAGAAAATGACAAATGTAATGAAATTAACTTTGTAATATTTCTTATAATAGAAAGTCATAATATAGGTAATGTTTTAGCTTTTTTATATTTTACATTTTTGTCAACAGTTTTGGATTATTTTTATATTTAAAAATAATGTTGGCACAAAGAATCTCTAAATAAAGAAAAATCTAAAGAAAGAAACATCATATTTAAATATATTGCCCAGAAATAATCATATTTGGCTGTTCCTTTTTTTTTTTTTTTGCTTTTGAGACATGTCTCTCATTCTGTTGCACAGGCTGGAGTGCAGAGGTGCAAACACAGCTCGCTGCAGCCTGGAACACCTGGGCTCAGGTGATCTTCCCAGTTCAGCCTCCTGAGTAGCTGGGACTACAGAAGCATGCCACCACACCCAACTAAGTTTTTAAATTTTTTGTAGAGACTGTGTCTTGCTTTGTTGCTCAGGCTGGTCTCAAATTCCTGGCTTCAAGCTACTGTCCTTTTTTTGGTAAATACTGCCTTTTTACATACACACGTACACATACCATGAAATATAACATGGACATATATAGTTTTACACTTATATATATAGATTAATGATAAACATACCCTCTTGGAACATGTATTTTATATATTATGCCATAAGCAAGATTAATTATATACGATATGATGAGCCTATGAGGTGCTTCCAAGTATCCACTATTATAAATGGTCTTACAATGAACAATGAGTGTTCATTAATATTGCAAACATTTCCTTGGGAAAAATTCCGTGAAATTCACTCCCTAGAAGAAAGCGTATGGACTTTGCAGATTGGCTTTAGAGACTCTATATCAATTTAGTGTCTTATCTACAATAAATGAAAGTGAATAATTTTCCAGTCTTGCCAATGAAGAGTTTTATTAGTCTTTTTAATTTCTCAGGATGAAAAATATGCCATTATTATTAATGTTTTTGCCAATACTAATGAAATTGAGCATCTTTAAAACACATTTTTTTTGCCATTAGTAAATTCATTATTTACTTGCCTTGTATTTTTCTTGTTGATTGCAAGCAATCATGTATATGAAGGATACCCATATTTATGGCCAGTTCTGTCTTCCATTGCATCGCAGAACTCTCAACTTGCTTCCATTTTGGCTGTTCTACTCTAATCAATGTCTCATATCTACCTGGACAACTCCTTTTAGCTTGACATCCTGATTCATTCTATGCCCCTTCAAACACTGTGTACTCCATAATTGATTCATTTTTATTTAAAACAAAGTCAAATAATGTTACATGGACCCTTCATAATTTCAGATTACTACCCATTAATTTAAACAGCATTCAAATCCTACTATTGTCTATGAAGTCCTACTTCATGTCATTTCATTTCTAACCTCTCTGTTTTGTGTTCATTATCTATTTCTGTAAACATGCTACCTCAAAAATTTGTGTTTACAACAATAAACATTTATTGCTCCATTTTTTTTGAGGGTCAGAAATCTGGAAGAAATTTAGCTAAGCATTTCCGTCTCAGGATGGTTAATGAACTTGCTGTTGGCTAGGGTAGCAACCTCTGAAGACTTGTTTGAGACTGGGGGATTTGTTCTAAGCTCACACACAGGGTTGTTGGCAGAGATTTCAGTTTTTCTCCTTGTAAACCTCCCCACTGGGCTGCTCCCAACATGATTTCTCCCAGAGGAAGTGATCAAAGAGTAAGAAAAAACAGCAACAATGAGAGAAGCTACCATTTCTTTTATAGCCTCCATCTCAGAAGTAACAGACCATCAATTCTGCCATATTGTATTGATCACGCAAATCAATCCTGGTACAATGAAAGAACAGACTACCCAAGGCAGAGATTACTAAAGACTCTTAGTAGCTTGTTACCACACCTTGCTAATGCACCCCACCGACAGGCCCTTCTTTCTATTTCTTGCATATTCCAAGCTCATTCTTGTCTTAGGAACTTTGCATTAGCTTAAATGCACCCTCTTCGAAAAAAAATTAACCCCTCTAATTCTGTTTACTGACTAACTGTCTCATTCTCTCTTCTTTACTAAAATATATGCTTCACAAGAGCAAAGAATATTTACATTGTTCACTGTCGTGCATGAAACAAATGCTTGGCAGATAACAAGTATGAAGTAGAAGTTATCGATGTGTTAGCATCTCTATCCATGAGAAAAAAAATAGGTACTAGAAAACCTTTTTAAAACATGTATGGCAAATACTTCTTTGTTCCTATTTTTCCATCCTATGTATTTTGCATTTGACATGCAGATATATACAATACACTAATGTACTAATAAATACATGTAAATATCCGATTATAACTTGAAAACAACTTACGTCTCTACGGTGAGGAGGAGGAGAAGGGAGGACAACATTTACTGAAAAGATAACATGTCATAAATTCGGAAACTTTATAAAACTATTTTGAGATTATCATAACATATGTATTTTTCACTTGTGGAAATTGAGTTTCAAAAAAGTTAATTAATGTCTCCAAAGGCAAAGAAATAATACTGAAAAGGAATCAACTTTTGACCTATAGCCACTGGATATCAAAGACACCCTTCTTTGTTCTTCTACTCTGTAGTGGTAAGCCTGAGTCAATACACTGAAAATTCCACAACCACGATTATTTTCTCATTTGGCATTTTTGTTGTCAGATAAATGGTACTAACATGTTTCATTTTCCATCTTTAAACTCTGCATGTTTCTCATCAAGATGTATCGATAATAAATAAGTCATTAACACACAAAAACAAAATGACTAACTTTAGGCAAGTTTCACCTAATTACAAAAACTCTATTTGTTTCATGACAGCAAGTGCATGCCTACCTTTCATAGTAGCATGATAGTGTAAAACACAGACGTATTTCTAAAAGCAATATTCCATTGTACTTCTCTTAGCATCCAAAAGACAACATAACCAACAAACTGAGCATGCAACACACATATAAAAGTACAGAAGCATTATGGATTTTTTTCCCTCGATAGCAATTTTGAAGTTCATTTAGTGCAAACTCTTAATTTCATGGAGATAATGTGGCTATTTCATGTATTGTTAATTTTTACACTTTATATTTTAGAATACATATTTCTTCCAGTACATATATACATTCCTCTTAATTAATTGCTATTATACTGCCTAATAAATTATTCTGTGTGTGCTTTCTGGATTTGTATTTTTTCAGTGTTTGTTTGATGACCATTCCCTTCAAATAATCAGCCTTTTGTTAAGTTTCCTGAGTTTAATTGCAGTTCCACTCAGATCAAGAAATGAAAAGTGTCCAGATCTGGGTTTTGCTGATTTTTTTCTGCTCACTAACAAATGACTAACCTAAATACTATTAAAGTATTTCTTATTCCATGTTTAAAAATAAGGTGAGATTGCAGGAATCCATCCTTGGGAGATTTCACCCCCAATAATAGCTGTTTTGTAAAACTTGGACTTTCTACAGCTGCTGAATTTTTGAGTTTCCTAGGAGACTGTAAGCTAGCGTCACTTTCTTAAAAACGATGAAAGCTCTCTTAGTCTGGGTCTATGCCTTGTTGATTCACAAGAATGAATCCTTTCATAAAAAGACTAGACAAGAATGCATGCATTAGGTGATGGGACTTAAAACTATGACAGATTTTACACAGAATTATAAAATCATAAAGCATAATAAGAGATTAGGATATATTACATAATTATAGAGGAGAGTTTTTTTTCATTTTGCCTTAACACCTTTCAGGAAAATAACATACAGAGAATGGTGCCTGTCTTTCTGTTTTCTTTCTTTCTAAATAAGTAAATAAATTCTAAAACCAAAAGTAGGTTGATTCACAGAGTGGCTTTTTCAAACTGTTTCAGAATACATTAATGATATTTTCCACTGGATTTTTTATAACTGAGCATCATTAATTTTAAAAAATCATATGTTAACAACTCAAGTATTTTCCTTTCTTTTTCCCCCCTCAAAACTTATCACAGAGCTTTACGCATAGTTAACTAGTGAAAAGTGTTCCTGAACTTCATTGATTTTTGACTGCAATTGTTTTGGTTTATATCCATGAGTTATTAGTTAAGTGCCAAAAAATTTTATGAATGATCAATTCACCTTCCCCAAATATACTTGTATGCGCCCAAAACCTTAATAAAATCTATACCATATATTAAATATAACCTGAGAAATCCTGTATTGTGAGGAGTTAAAAAAATTAAACTACATTAAATTATCAAGTTGTCACACCCCTTTAAATTAAAAAATATAAGTAAAAATCGTGTTTCTAGTAAAAATTGTACTTTTTTTACAATTTTAAAAGTAAACTATAATACAAATATATGCAGTGATTCACAATCTACATAAGCATTCCAATAGTCAGGTTTGTTGAGGCTATGACGCAGTAACCTACAATCCTGAAGAGTCATGTTTTAACACAAGTGTGCATATTTTACTCTTGCTTCATCTCTGGTTAAGGTCAGCAGGGGGCTCTCTCATCATGGCACTCAGACACTCAGGAAGACAGACCTTCACTTTAACTAGTGCTTCCACAACATCAATGTTGCACAAAGGGCTTCAGACAAGAGGTGACACAAGCTACTCCTACACTTCATTGGCCAAAGCTTGCCACATGCTAGACCCAACAGAAACAGGTTAGCACATATCCAAAGACAGTGAGAGCTGGAAATGCTTGTTAAACACTATTTATAATTGTCAAAGCTATGATTTTCAAGTAGTAGTCTTTTATAAAATCAACAGATGAAAGCATGATTGAGAGACAAAATGATTTTAACTTTACTTATTTTGTTCATTTATTTTTTTGTGTATAGGTCTTAAGGAATTGTTTCCCTCCTCTTTTATTCTTCTGGTTACCTCAAATATCAGCAAAGAACACATGACTGTGACCTTTTTGAGAAATGGTTACATTTAAATCCATTATTTATCAATATTAGCTAGTGAATCACAGAAAACTTGCTGTTTTTATCTGTACGGCCACTGTGCCATGTTTACTAAATCAGAATGACAGATTTGAAATAAAAGAAAGCTTTAAAGTTACAGCTAGTATGTAGTGAAGGTGGAATTTATACATGGGCAGAAAACCAGTTACTTATGTTGACTCTACCTTGATTCTTATGAGAGTATGCATGAGTCCATATCAATAAGGTAGTGTGCACCATTATGCTTCCAAAAGTAAAAAGTAGTATCTTAAGTTATCAAAATCACAGAATCAAAAACATAAATGAAATGTAATATAGTTTCTATTTTACATTTAGCTATGATTATGTGTTTGCTGTATTTTTACATTTTTCCATGTTTTATCAACATATATTTATTTTCTATTATGTTTACAGCTTATGGATATGTTATTTCTGCATATTAATATCTTAAGGAAAACAGAGATATCATTTACAATTTATTTGCATAAATCTAAGGTGAAAATTAGGTAATGCACATGAAAACACTGCATAAGGAGTAAATATAATAGCCTCCCATGAATTAAATATTATTCTCTTCTTTGTAATACCTCACAAAATAGACAATATGATACATTACATACACAGGTGTGTCCTCAAATACCACATTATTTAGATTTCATTTGGGGAATACAATTGGGAACATTTAGGCAGAGTCAATAAGTCAATGTAACAGATCAAATTCATTAGAATCTAAGCCTCTAGAAACTGGATACTAGGAAAGTGCATCTATTTGTAACATTCAGAGAGATGAAATGGCACAGAGCTTCCTGAAAGAAGGGTGCTCCCAAGAGAACAGCTATGTGTCTATGCGTACAGGTCTTGCATGGGCAAGGAAGAGGACAAGAGCAAAATTACTGGGAGAAGTCATAGGCCAGACACCTAAACAGAAAGGGGGTTAAAGGGCAGTTTAAGCACAATGAAAGGCCAACTACACCCACAAGCCATATTCAGTGGAAGTAGACTCAAGTGTTAGAAATTTAAAACCGCTTTCTACTACTGAAGTAATTGTCTTTTATAAGATTTCCTTCTGCATTATAACAGGAAATGTAACATAGGGAAATATAGGTAAACTCAGTCGCTTTTAGCTATTCTATTCTATTTACAATGTCATGCTCCTTTCTCCCCGTTTCTACACGGCATCATGTTTTCTGGGGCAACCACCACCTTGTACTTCTGGCTTTGTCTTTCATTACCAGCATCCACAAAGATATGCCTTATCTTGGCCTTGGCTTTTGGGGGGTCACTGACATCTACTCTGGTTGGCCTCCACTGACATTCATATAGCTCCTTTACAGGCTCTCGTCTTCAGTAAATGGAATTTGTAAATCCTTGGTCCCTCTTGATATAATCTCTTTAACCTCATGCATAGATTTCTTTGGGGCTTCTCTTTTTTTTGGTCAAATACCAAATGCATGAACTTTACCTTCCTAAAAAGGATGGTCTTCATAACTCAAACATTTTTTAAACTGTGGTTTCTGCCACGAATTTTGAAAAATCAATTTTAGACTTGAAAACTAACAATTTGACATTTTCTTTGCTGTTTTTGGCTATGTAGGCCTTTTCCTGAAGCAAAACCATGGTCAGTTGGAAAGGTAGAAAGGTTAGAAAGGAAGGAAAAAGACACACTAGAAATAAACACCACAATAATAAACAAACACATAATTTAATTCCTTGATCTGTGCTGATCAATAGAAAGCAAAAGTTAAAAAAGTAAAAAATGGCAATAAACCCAAGTGTCATGAGTAAGGTACGGTCAGTAGTGTAGAAGTAAAGATGACATAACAGGCAGGGTGGGTTAGGTGAACTGGGATCGCTAATATAAATTTTAGGTTCACGAGAAAAAGGCAAAAGCAGGAATACTGGCAATACTGCTGTTGACACTTGGAAACTAGCTAAAGCTAACAACCTTCACCATTTTCTTAAAGCCTGATATAAGGTTTGGCTGCGTCCCCACCCAAATCTCATCTTGAAAGGTAGCTCCCACAATCCCCACATGTCATGGAAGGGAGCCTGTGAGAGGTAATTGAATTATGGGGTCTGTTACCCTCATGCTGTTCTCATGATAGTGAGTGAGTTTTCACCAGATCTGATGGTTTTATAAGGAGCTTCCCTCCACCCTTTGCTTAGCACTTCTCTCTCTTGCTGCCCTGTGAAGAGGGGCCTTCCATCATGATTGTATTTTTCCTGAGGTCTCCCCAGTCATGCAGAACTGTGAGCCAATTAAACCTCTCTTCCTTATAAATTACCTAGTCTCAGGCAGTTCTTTATAGCAGCGTGAGAATGAACTAATACAAAGCCCATCTCATTTATTTGTACCTTTAGTGTAGCTTGCCTGAGCCAGGTGACACCAAAACCAATAATCAGTAAAGGCAAAATGTATAAACCTCAGTACCATTTAAGGCATGATCCAGCATCTACTTTTCTATGTTCTAAAACTGATTATTGATCCTTTGTTTTGCCTTTTTCACTTACTGACTCATTCATTTTGTTTCATTTTATTTTTTCACCCACTTTGGACCCGTGGATAATGTCTAACACTTTGAAGGACACTAGCTCATTAACAGAGGTCCACTGACACACAAGTGAATAAATTAATCCACTGATGGTCATATCACCTGGACTTGGTTTCCTCATTTGATTCTTAGCTTTTTATAAGTGCTTTCACCAAAACTCATCCCAATCTCATCGCGTGCCTGGCCATTTCAGGCAGGAAAATTTCCCTTTATCAGGCTTTGGCAATTGCTTGCTGAAAATTGTGGCCTGCATGACACCTTGACTCTGAACAAAACTGAATTTTTTAAAAAAAATTGCTGCCATCAGGATATGTACTTAAAAAATGCATCTTTTTTTGTCCATCTTCACATATCATACTAGTACAGTTAATAAACATTCAGATAAAGTTATGAAGAACAGGCCTTCACATTGCCACGCACATCTTAGAAAATACTTCAGCTTTAGAATTAAGTCAAACTAATTTCACTGCTTAATATATTGAGCCTCAGTTTACTTGTCTATAAAATGGGGATAATACCTCCCTAATAGAGAAGATGTGAACACTAAATATGATATGCATGAAGTGTTTAGTCCACTACCTGACATACCATAAAAAATTCAAGAATTAACTGTGTTCCTTCTGGAATGTATTTGGATATGTTTAATATAATATGAGGTTTCAGTAAGAATAATAAAAGTGATTCTCTGAAGATTCACACAAAAACTGCATCACGTAACAAAACTATTCTATTATGAAGATACAGAAAAAAGGTCTAATAGGCTTTTACAGTTGAGAGATACAGTGACATTAAAATTTTGACATTATATATCTTTAAATTTGGGTTTACATAGTAATACCAAGGCACATTTTTATAAATATTAGGTTTCCAAAGGTTAACTTCTGAAACATCAAAGCCCCAAATATCAAAATGAAATAAATGTATTCATCCAATAATAATTAACTAACAATAGTTTAAAACTATATAATATGTGTACCTTCAATTTTGTAAAACTAAATTCCATATATATGTGTAGTACATTCAACTTCATAAAACTAAATTCTCAGATGTGCCTATCTGAAAGAGATATTCGACTAGCTAAATTCTTTTCATTGTATTTCGCCATAATAATAAGAAAAACCTACAGTGATTTAACACTGCCTTGTCATTTACTCACATTTTTACTCTTGATTCAAGCCCTTCAAATCATCAGCTGAAGACAGAACTGGGGTTCCTATTTGGGAAAGCATGTCCTATAAACCAACCACAGAACGTTTGTTCAATTCTGGGTTATATTTGTGATTGTCAATTCAAAATTTTTATCCAGCTTATCAATTGCTTTCTTGCTCTTTTGATTAGAATAAAACAATCTCAGAAGGTCTGGTAAACAATGAGTGTCCTGATGTAACAGTGTTTCTGGACCTACAAAGCTGCAGACACTTTCTTGCACAAAACAGCCTTGGTGGATCTGAAACAGCCAGCTTGTTTTTTCTGCTCATTCAGCAGATATCTGTTATGTATACAAGTTTGTGCAGTGTAAATAGGACCATTTATTGAAATTTTTATGCAGTTATAAAATATAGCAAGTCTATATTTAAAATAGTAAGCATATAAAAAATGTATCTCTGTTAAAAAAATATGTAGTTTTACATTTGTCCACATATAATAAAATGACCAATATCCATAACCAATAATAAAAACAGTCCTCAATTTTGCAGTTCTAAAATGCATGAAACTCGTTTCCACTGTTTAGTGAAATAATACCTGCTTCCCATAACACATTTCAACTTTCAGTTACTATGGTATATTGACTATACTGGCATAAAGTATAAACTTCACTGCTAACTCTTCAGCACATGGATTATTATGTAAATAACAGATGCTTATCATGACCGATGACCAATCACCTCACTTCTTCATAGTCTGTTTTTGATTGGCTGCTGAGCATGTATTCAATTCACGTGCAGAAGGGAAAGCCTGTGGTTGCCTTACCTCTTTGTTTCCCAGTGAAAAACCCACGTGATGTTTACCAAAAACGTATAATGAAAGAAGGAATTGGCCGACAAAAATAAAAGTTCAAGGGAGAAACTAAAATGATGATGCTGTAAGTGAAATTGAAATCAAAGGTAAATGGAGTTATGGAAGAAATAACTGGCTTAGGGATGTTGACACTGTCTCCATTACAGAGGCTTTAAGATAGAAAGTCAGAGAAAATTGGTTAAGGCTGACATTGGCATAAATGAGAAATCCGGTTGTAACAAATAAAGATATAGACATTCCAGATGAAGTAACGCCAACAAAAAAACTAAACATTAAATAAACACTTGCAAATAAAGACGTAAACATTCCAGATGAAGTAACACCAACACACACACACACAAAAACATTAAATAAACGCTTGCAGATATTCCATGATATTAAAAGAGTAAAGAATAAAATGTTGGAAGCTGATCCAAACTTAGAAAGATACATAACCATCGAACAAGGCATAGAAAAGATTCTTGCTTGTGGTACCAATAATAAATGATACTAGGAGAAGGAAAACACTACTTCAACTATTATTGATAAGAATTTTACAGAGAAAAAAACATTTTAATTCTCAATATTTCTAATGTTTTAGAGTATTAAATACATATTTGTTTTTTATCTTTCTACACATTTCTAAGAGGAATAAATGTTTTAATGCTTTGATACGAATTTTAAATGTCACAGAACAATTGTAAGTTTTCAAATGATTTGTTTACACAGTTTTAATTTGCACTGCCACTTTAACAATCCACTACTGTGCAAAGTGAGGGCTGTCTGTATGCACTTTCAGAGATCGTTAATATCTAGTGAAAATGTAATAAATTCACATATGCAAATAAAGCACTTTGGAAATTAAAAAAATATATATATAGCATTTAAAGTCAACAACTTATCTTTTCCAAAATAAAGAAAACTGGAAGAACCTAGCAAGGTTACCCTTGCTCACAAGAATGTGTGGCATTATCCGAAGTATTAATTGAAATTAACAATAATAGTTAAGAGGTTTTCTGAAAGACAAAGACAAAATAAATGAAGGCTCTCCATGGATAGTCCCATAGGGTAATTGAGGTCTTTCCTGTTTCTCATAAACAGATGTTCTGTTCTTATTACTTTTGATACATATCTGACTCAATAGTTTCTTCTTTCTTATCTCTCATTCGCAATTCACTTAAAATGATACATATAGTAATATTCAACAGCCAACCCTTAACGGTTCCTCTGCATCAGGTACTGGGCTAGATTCATAATATAAAGGGAGATAAATAAAACACAGCTCACTGAAAGACACTTCATGAAAGCTAGTAGTTCTGAGAAATATGAAAGTAAAAGTTGATATGCAATTTTTCCAAAATAGGTGATAATCAAATACTCAGTATTTTCCGAATTTACTGTTTTTATTATATTCACAGGTCCTTGCTTCTAGTTATTTTTTCTGAGGTATTCAATATCTTTATTCCTTATAAAAATAAGCATATATTTAAAGTATCTTATCATCTTTTCTTCCTTAAAGAACTTATTTAGCCTCACTTACTTATTTTTCCTCCATACTTACTTTTTGGACATGCAGTTCATCTGTATTCCTCCAAGATGTTTTTTCCTGCTTTTTTTTTTAAAAAGGTAAAATTATCTGTGTCTTTAGATAGAAAGATAGGTAGCTAGCTAGATAGATAGACAGAAAGATGACAGATCAAGATGTAACTTTAAATCACTTTTACAATATTACATACATTTACCATAATCAATAATCAATTACACTAGCACTTCAGTTTTATTATCAACAGTCTCTGGTATGTATGTGTATAAATTTTTTCCTTGGATTTCTTCCTTGGATTAAGGTCACCTGTGATTTGCGTTGAAAATGTGTCCACAAATGAAAATTAAACTGGAGCACATATGCATTGAAGGAATCAATTTGCTGATTTATACTATTTAACAATTAAGCTGAACTCTATTTTAGAACTGATACATAATTTACTACTTAAAAACATAAGCCATAACCTGACTTGACTTCACATTTCTTGAAGACACTGTAAGACAGCAGCACCACTTCTGGGAATATTTATAATACTTGACTAATCAACTATTAACTAATCTATATATAGAGAAAGCTAACTAATTAACTCCAGTTTAGTGAACATCAATGTTCAGAGGAACTTAAAACTCTTTTAAAAGTCAACAATTATGCTTTTAATATATACCAATATTCTTCATTATGCACTGATTGTGATTAATGTCCCCATGGAATTTTTTCAATTAGAAATGTTTAATTCAAATTTTCTTAAATCTTCATAGGTAATCTACCTTTTGAGTATTAAGTCTTTAAATATGACCCACTTACATCGTTATGTAAGCCTTCCTATAATGTCATGTCTAAAATCCTTGCAGAAAGTTATCCCTGTAAATATACATGATTTTTACAGTTCAAAACACTACATACATTTATTCTGAGAACGTATTTAGAAATGTTGACATAACTGAAATTCATAAAATCACATTAAATGCTTTACTCCAGTAAAATTTCAATTTATTGAATTACACATGCAATTCTAAATAACAGTTTATCTAGAAGATAAATCATAGTTTAAACTAGATAAATAGTTTATCTTCTAGATAAACTATTATTATACTCAATGTCTGAGTATATTGTTTAGCTTTTAGGTAACCAAAAATGCTCAAAGATTAACTGTCCTTATATCACCTTTTTTGAAGGATGTTTTAGGGCATACTATTTCCATCTTTTTCCTGGTACATTTCCTTCTTGAACTATCCAGTTGATAATGTATTTTCTATGTTGTTTGCATGTCTTTCAAACAATTTGATTTCTCTTTCATTTCCAATGGATATTTGTGTATATAAGACTGACAAACATTTGAATTTTGTTTTCATTCATCAACAAATTTTAATTTTCAAGTTCTGATTTTTTTCAATATTCAGCATGTACAGCCTGGTATTCAACTGCAGTTCCCTAGCATCGAGTGTATCAAATATATAATCAAGATTAAGTACACAATTTGTGTCAAAATGAGACACTGGATCTCCTCTCATGGACATGAACATATCCCTGGAAACAAAATAAATATAAATTTGCAATTACCAATTTGACGAGAATTCTTAGAAAAGAGGCATTTGACCCACTCAGAGAAATTTACTTGAGGAAAATGTTTCCTTGAGAAAATTACACTTTAGATAAAATGTAAACAAAAGAAGGAAAGTGTGAGCATTCTAGGCAAAGAAGCACAAATGAAAAAACTAAAGGACTGGAAAAAAGGGCAGTAATTTAGAGCCTAGACTCCAATGTCAGTAACAAAGAGAAAGATGCTGCTGGGTTTGGAGGCAGAAATGAGGCACTGCAGACAAAGAACATCAAGGGAATTACTGTTACATTAAGATGCTTATGACTTCACCCCAAGACTAATGAGAAGTCACTATTTTTTTAAGCAGAAAAAATCTGGTATAATCACACCTGCAATTCTAGAATGGATGTGGACAGTTACAAGGTTACTACAGCATGGTGGCTTACCCTGTGATGCAAGTTTTAAAGATGGAAAAATAGTGAATGGTAACCAAAGACAATTTTCTTTAACAGGTCAAATCTGCCTGATTTGTTAATACATTTTTTGAGTAGGTGATGTCAAGGATAATGCCAAGATGTCAATTTGGACAACGGATGAATGGACTCGCTGTTCACAGACATAAATGTTAGAAGACGAGAGGTTTGAGGATGGCAGTGAATTGCACATGCTCGCTCTTGGATTAATGACAATGTCCAATAGCATCTGTAACTGGGATCCCTAATGAGACAAGATAAAGGGACAGTTCCCTGAAGAAGAGGTAGTCTATTTCCAGGAGGCAGAAAAGGGTGAAGAGACAAAAGACGTCTCCACACAGGAGACAGTTGGCAGACTCTCTGTCTGCCTTCCTGTCATTCACATCCTTTGCCTGTTCTTAAGCATCACCTTATTCAAACCTTGACCCAATTTATTATTCTTATTAAATAATTTACCGGGACATAACAAATTGTCTTCTTGATCTTCCTCTGATCCCTATATTTACTGATCTCTTTGGGGTTTGACGAAAGTTTATGAAAGCTCATGAGAAAATTTAAAAAGACTCAGGCAATGTCAGGTTACTGATATTCCACTCATTGTTGCAAAAATTCTGTAGAACATTTGAAAACTTACATTGTTAGCTTTGTTCTAATATTTTGTATAATTATTAATAAAATTTTGCTTAACAAATGACATTCACAGAAAAATATTTATAAAAGAGATATAAATACATTATTATTTTATATTATATACTAATTGAGCTATGTAGCATTTCAACATCTTTGAAACACGTCTACGGTATGTAATTATGTATCACATTTATATATATGTCTGAGCTAGGAATCAAGACACTCAAGTTCTTGTCCTAGATTTTTCTAGCGTATTTCACTCCTTTGTCTTCATATTTTGTTTTCCACTTAGAAATATTTTGTCAACAATTTGATATTCAGTTGACATAATATTAGTATTCAGAAAAATGTAACTCACTTGTGTGGCTTCTACTAGTATCAAAGCAGGTAGTTTCTATGAGTCACCATTGTTTAAAATAAAAATAATTATTCATGCTAATAAATATTCATGTGTATAACTGACAGATAAAATTAATAATATTATTCATTCAGTAAATTCTTCTAAACTAGCCATAGAATTTGTATTATATAAAGATAAAATAAATATGCATAATTATTTTTAATATTTAAATTTATACTCCACCCAAATGAAAATATTATAAGAAGTCTACTTAAATTCATAAATCATTAGAGTAGATTAATGATATTTCAGAGTTTTCCTCCCTTTGAAGTTTTGTATCTACCACATAAAACTGTTTAACAAAGCTGAGGAGAGTATATTTTAAGTAACTCTTAGTCAAGAGTTCCAACCATTCACCTATTTCATTTCAATAAACAGACCCTTGTGATCACAGGCAATTTCTTCATGTATCACGGAGAACTTTGTACAAGGTCTATCCATTCCATACACAAATAAATATTTCTAACAGAAATTCACTCATTGATTCATTCATTTGTTTATTTTCAAATATTTATTAAGCACCAACTTTGTCAGGCCCTCTTTTAAGTACTAAAAACAGAGGTATCTAAAACCGAGCCCCTACTTAATGTAGAGTACAAAAATGAATATTAGCTTTCAAGATGTCGCTGTGAACATTTTCACAGCATTTTATTTAAAAAAAGTCAAAGGAAGAGTATTTTTTAAAAAAACTATTTTCTAATATTGAAACTTAATTACAGGAATAAATTACATTCTATATTTTAAGATATATGATTGCTCTATTTTGGTTTCAGGTAATTATGAGGCTAATTAGTATACTTGAAAGTATTGTACAGTTTCAAATCTCTTTCTTAGATTAATAACTGAGTAGAACCTGGAATCATATTTGTTATCCTCAGTAAAGGATCCATGTAATCCTTATCCATGTAAGACAGGCCTTGCTCCTCCTTGCCTTCTGCCATGATTCTGAGGCCTTCCCAGCCACATGGAACTGTAAGTCCAATTAAACCTTTTTTGTGAATTGCCCAGTCTTGGGTTTGTCTTATCAGCATCGTGAAAACATACTAATACATATGTATTAAAAAATCACTATGTACTTTAATGAACATCGACAATTTTTGTGTGTCAATTAAAAAAATTGAAAAAAAGATTTGCTACAGGCACATTTGGACGTGAGCAATAGGGATGAAAAATTTCCAAGATGGCAGAAAAATAAATAACCCAGAAGTAGGTTGTGTATCTAATGCATAAAATAAAAAAAGACTGTAATAATAAGCTACAGCAGAACTATATAATTACATAATAAAATCACCTTCAATTATGTACTACTAATAAAAACAAACAAAAACCTCAGTGAGCAGTGTCATGTAGTTTTTAAGCTTGGATATCATTCATTCATGCAACACACAGTATTGAGAACCAATTATGTATGTGCCAAGCATCGAACTCAGATTGGGGAAACAACATGAACAAGAGACCAGAGGTCTCTTCTTTCAAATAACTAACATTCTGGTGGCAAAAGACTTCAAGTAAACAAATAAATCAGTGAAATAACTTACAGACATCCAATGGTAGTGAATGCTCTGAAGAAAAGCATTAATGAGGAGAATTTAGGGGTGGGGTTGTGGTCTATTGATTTATGGTTTTCATCAGGGAAGCTCAGATTCTTAAAATGACATTTGAGAAACAGATTGGGATAGGTAAGACAGCAAGCCTGGCACATATCTGAGGCGAGAATACTGAGGCAGAGTTTGTCTAGAGGGTTGAAGCAATTGCAAGCTTGCAGGGGTGGCTGGACATACATTTCCAAAAGAACAACTAAGTGAGGTGCTCTCAAATAGCTTGTAAGGTACTGGCTTTTATTCCTGAGTAGGAAAGAGAGAAGCCACTGGAGAAACGAATCGTTTCAACTTAAGTTTTAAATGAGACACTCTAGCTGCTGTATAGATATACACACTGGGGGCAGAGTGGTGAAGGCAGGCAGCATTATAGCTAAAATAGGCAAGGGATATTTCTTGAAAAGGAAGTAAGATATATCTACTGATGGCAATGCTTGCTTTTTTATCATCAAGAGTTTTGTTTAGATGTCACTATTCCCAGAAAATAACAAGAATAAAACTGTCCATATTCATATTCACTCTTTGACATGCAGATTTTTAAAACTAATGGGCCCCTAGGCCTATTGACATTTTCAGTATGTTTTAGTGTTCCCAGAAAGTATTTAAAAAAAAGCTGAATTAGACAATGTTTTTAAAATTAAGACCTTCTCCATTAAAAACCTGCATATTTTTAATATTTTAAAAAGTCAGCATATCTGACAACAATAGATAAGAGAAAAGCAGTGCTTCTTAACCTTGAATGTGCACACACATTACTAGGAAGATTGTGAAAGGCTGATTCTGATTCAGTGATTCTGGGGTGGGGCCTGAGATTCTGCATTTCCATCAATGTCCAGTTGCTGCCGATGCTACAGGTCCTAGGTCCATGCTTTGAGTAGAAAGTCGTTGCAGGGTAGTTGTGGTTTCCATTTCCCACCCCCAGTCCTTGCATCCCTACCTATTTGTTGTTGGTGTGGCTGGGTGACTGTGTTGGTGTTCGTTGGCTTTTGAGTTTGTATTCCCTGCTTTTACGATATGGTCTCTTGGATAAAATAAGTAAATAGAGTGGCCATTTTTAAACCAGGAATTGCTGTTCCATGCACACAAGCCATATACGTATAAACTCAGAAGAAATAATATTATCATGTTTTTTACCATTCATACATCGGTAGCTGATTTTCAGAAACACGTGGCCAGACACCTTAAATGCACTTGGTAAAGAGTCATGGTAGATCTCAGTGCAGGATGCAATGAAGGAGGGGCAGGTGGCACAATCACTGAACCATATAAACATAGAGAAAACAGAAGAGAAAGCAGAGAGCAGTTGCTTTAGATGTCAGGCACACACAGGCTCAAATCCCAGATAAAGTCATTCTGGCACAGGCATTTAGTTTCAATTTGAAATAGATGTTCAGAGAAATATTCAGCCTTGCCACATCAATATTTGTAGTGACAGAGCTCAGGGAACTAACAGGAAAAAAGTGTGGTTTTTTAAAATTTGATTTTTTGTATTGTGGGTTTGATTGCCACTAATAGCCAGCAGATGGTATAGACATATTAGGGAGAGAAAATTCTCATAGGTTTTGGGCCAAAATAATCACTTATACTTTAAATTGCATCATAACTTTGAGAACAGCAAAATTCTTTTCGATGAAATTTTTCAATAATAAAAATAATTTTAAAGGCAGTTTTATTTACTAGCAATAACTGTTCCCAAATATTTCTATTGGGGTAATTTTTTAATCATATTTTCAAACACAGAATCTATTTTCTTACAAAGTATAACTTCTCCGAAGTAATCCTTGTATTCAGTGGAAGTATGGCCAGATTTGCTAAAAACAAAAACAGAACAAACAAAAAACAACTAAAAAAAATGATTGACATAATTTAGCTAAATACCAAAATTGTAAACCTATGATCCCTGAAGCCTGAAAAACAGTACCTAAGAATGTGGATGTCTCTTCTTTTTTTTTTTTGAGACAGAGTTTCGCTCTGTCGCCCAGGCTGGAGTGCAGTGGCGCAATCTAGCTCACTGCAAGCTCCGCCTCCCGAGTTCAAGCCATTCTCCTGCCTCAGCCTCCCGAGTAGCTGGGACTACAGGCGCCCGCCACCACGCCCGGCTAATTTTTTTTTGTATTTTTAGTAGAGACACGGTCTCGATCTCCTGACCTCGTGATCCGCCTGCCTCGGCCTCCCAAAGTGCTGGGATTACAGGCGTGAGCCACCGCTCCTAGCCCCAAGAATGTCTCTTCTTAAGACTGGAAAGGCTCAACTAAGTTTGCCAAGCCCTGAATGTCAAAGTCAACAACCCCCTATATTTTATCCTGAAGAAAGAAATCATAAACACAAAATCTGGAATGCACGTCTATATGAAATTTGTCTGCATGCAACATTATAGATCATGGAGGTTGTTATATGTGGTTTGAACTTTTCCTTTATGTGAAAATTTGAGGAAACAAAATTGGCATCATGTTTTTAATTCATTCTCACTAGATGTAATGAATCCCAACCCAGCATATTTTCTTAAAAACCTACGGCCATATACACAATTACATATAATTTAAATACAGTTATTGAAGATGTTTAATTTGATGTTAAGAATAGTAGTATATTAAACAATTCTATTAATATATGAATTACAATTATGGCATAACCTAATATCTGGCTTTGCATTATTTCAATTTTTATTAACAAATGCTTGGCTTAAAAAGGATATGATGCTCGCCCTAAAGTGATCTAGATTTAGCATATTTTCTTTACATTTGGATTGATTATTAATGCAGTTTATATTTAACTGTTTGAAAGCTATTAATTGTATACACAAATTTAAAGCATTTTATCATTATTTAATATAGCATCATATACTAGCCATATGCAATTACAGTTCTACACCATTCTGTAAGATTCCAATATATAAAACACATGAGAAAATATTTATTTCAAGGTGAATTTACAGAGCTTATGTGTATTTGAATGGTGATATTCAGATAGTATGGATAAAGGCAATGACATGACTTACTCCTGACATATGAATATGACTCTTATATCGATTCCCTGTGTGATCACACAGCAATTGATCATACCCAGTACCAGATTTGCCAGAGATTATGTTAAGCAGACCTTCATTATTTCAGCCTTCCAGGGGCCAAAGAAAGAGCCAAACAGAAGACTGGTCTGAATTGCAAGACCAGGATCTAAATGAGACGCATCCTTAGTACCTTATGCAATAAGCCACCATTTCCTCTCTCCTTGCATGCCCATTCCTGTCTGTGACCCAGAGTGCTATATCTCCCAGTGGTCCCAACAAGAAACAGATGGCACACTCAAATTAAGATAACACCTTATTTACAAAGGGACTAATTACAGAGTTTTGGGCAAGCTACAGAAGAACCACAAGGGAGAGGTCAGGGACCAGAGATAGCACTAGAAAAGCTGTTGCGACCCCTTAGTCCAAAGGACCAATAGGAGAACAGGTTATCAGAACCCAGGAGGATAAAGAGCTGTGTGGACTGTGCTCTGAAGAGGGGAGCAGCGACAGTAGATGAGGACACAACCTCAAACAGGGAGCTAGGAGAAAAATACTCAGACCTTTTTCTTCTCCTCGGTCTCATGACTTGGCTCACCATTGGCCAATCTCAATTGGCAAAAGTACAAGTCAGTTTCGTGAAGCAAGTGCATAGTACAGAAGACAACAGAC
Source organism: Homo sapiens (assembly GCF_000001405.40). Classification (NCBI taxonomy): domain Eukaryota; kingdom Metazoa; phylum Chordata; class Mammalia; order Primates; family Hominidae; genus Homo; species Homo sapiens. Next base: position 21,087,249 of record NC_000021.9, on the reverse strand, counting down.
GAAATCCAAAGGGGCAAACAGAAAATAGACAACATAACATAAATCCTAGGCAGAATGTGGAGATTATCTTTGACTGTTTTTACAAACTGACATTTCTTTTCTAATGCTAGTGATTACCATGAAAGGACTTAAGGGAAAATATACAACACACAACACACACACACACACACGCACACACACACATAATCTTAACATAAACTTTCATGTCATTCTTGTCACCTTTCTGGGAAGACAGGTTACAATGTTAGATATGTCTACAAAACGATCAATATCCCTATCAAAAGGATAGAGTTATTTCTGTATTTGTAAAAAAAAAAAGATGAAATTCAATTTGAAAAAATCCTAGCAAGACATAATAAGTACACTGAATAAAATTGTGAAGATTAAGAATAGGAAGAAAATCACACACACACACACACCCTTGCATTTAAACTGAAATCTCTTAAACCATAATCTTTGCAGTTTTCACACAAATACAAGTTTGGCCTGCCACACACGTTCTAGTTAAATTAACTGTCCATTTCATTTAGGACGCACATTTCAGTACCCCAAAACCATTCTTTTTTAAAAATACTTCAAAAAGTCTAATTACCGTTTGTGGTGATGTTACATTTTGCTACACTGAAAAATATTTCATTTCTCTTGATGGTTCTAATCTCTGAAGTACCCTAAAGTCAACTCTCTATGTATGTTAGGCCTCATTTTACACAAATAAAATGGTGTCAGAGATAAACTTTCTCTGACCATGTATGCTATAGCATATATTTTGAACAGATGTCTTCTGTATGCATGTGATTCTGCCAATCATATAGTCCCTTTCATGTAAATACAAATGTAAACGTAAAATGTGTAAAGGGTTATGAATAGACTCTCATGTCTGCAAAACGAGCTGTTGAATCCAAGGATAAAATGCCCTTCATTTAAATTGTCCTTCTTTGGTTTTTCCTCTGTGTCACCAAAGTCGTCTTCTGTTTCAAGATTGTCTTTTATATTTCATGGTCATGCAAAGCATCCATTGCTATCTCAGCATCAGTGATATTAGGTGACACATCACCTTCCTGATTTCCCTCACTTTTTATCTCTTTTACAGGAAATGTGTGGATTGATTACAAAGAACATTCTATCTCATGTAAAGAATGTGTCCCATATTACACTTGAGTCACATGGGAAAGCCTTCAATGTATTCCTATAACAAGGTTATACTGCAAGTGAAATATTAGAATCCCTTAATACTTTCCTTTAAATAAATCTGAGCACATTAAGTTAAATCTGAAAGACTTACATAGTTTCTGCAGTGCTTAATAAATTTATTTCCTCCTATGATTTTCTCTAATATACAATAAGAAACTTAAAAATCATACACACTTAAAAATCATACTTGCTGTTTGACTCTACTTATGTAACATTTTTGAAATAACAAAATTTTTTAAATAGTAGGCAGATAATATGCTGAATAATATTTGCTCCCAGATTGAAAGCAGTGAGGTGATATTAACTTTCAAGAAAATAGCAATAAACAACTGGAAACTAATCTTTACTCATTGTTGGAAGAGTCTTTAAAGATGTCTTCACATGCCTTTAAAAAGCTGTAATCACTCACACCCTAGCAGAAAGGGCGCATAGTGTTCTGCATCCTAGGGCCCCATGTCTCCAACCACGACAGCTAGAATGGTGGTGAAAATTTGAAGAGAAAGAAGCCCATCCAGAGATTGAACAGCAGCCTTTGGCTCATGAGCCCAGCTGGACAAGTGAGAAGTCAAGCAAAACGAGCATGAGACAGCAACATGGCTGGAACTGAAATATAAGAGGCCAGTGTAAGCTGAGGAACCCAGCCAGTGGAGAGATAATCGGAGCAGATGTGCAGAGGGCAAAGTTCCATGACAGAAAGGGCAGGGAGGGGTAGAGGGAAGAGAGTGCCCACTCTGGCAAGTTGCCATGCACTAAGCTCTTTACCCAGGTTCCTGAGTGCATGCATCCTTTCAAGAAACTCCCTTTTTGAAGGAAGTTAAATTAAGAAACTCTCCATTCTTTATAATTAAAAAAAAAAACCCCAACTAGACACAAATAATGGTTAATTACAATAACAACATTAACAACAATAACTTTGCAAGATTTTTGTACAGGCTTTAACTTAATCAAGTATATTTTGAATAAAGAGATTCAATTTCAGGTTTTCATAATCCTGTGTTAATGGAAGAAGTTGACCCATTGACTGAAGATGATAACTGTGGAGCAGAAGCGGCGATAGAAGGAAGGGTGCATCGGTTTCTCTAGTTCCTGTAAAATCACACCAGCACAGTGACTATTGAAGCCCAACATTCAAGCATTGTATTTATATTTATTTAACATGAGCAAGACTTTCAAGTACAAAAAGGTACTATTTTTACTATAAGCCCTAAGTATAAAGCTCTATAATTTTAACTCCTATATTCATCCATATAAACAAATATTTATTGAATGCTAATTACATTATCAGTGCCTTACAAGACAATTGGGAAACAAAAGACTTGAGGGGAAAAAATAACATTCCCTACCTCCATGGCATGAAGAGGAAGTGTCCAAATACAACACTTTCTTAATCCATATATATGACATGCAAAAATGAAAGTGAATTTCTAATGTTTTATTACATTATTGTTTACAGCAATCTCAAATTGGAAGAAACTTAAACATCATACATACTTAAAAATCATACTTGCTGTTTGACTCTACTTATATAACATTTTTGAAATGACAAAATTTTTTAAATAGTAGGCAGATAAGTAATTGTCAGGAGTTAGAAACTGAAGCAAGGGTTAGGAAGGAGACAAATGAGTGTGGTTATAAAAGAACAACATGAAAAACACTTGTGACATTGTAACTATTCAGTATCTTGACAACGGTGGTTAACAGGAATCTAAACAGATGATAAAACTGTTTAGAACTTATCACCAGTTATGGTATGAATGTTTGTGTCCCCTCAAAATCCACATGTTGAAATCCTAAACCCTAAGGTAAGGGTGTTAGGAGGAGGGGCCTTTGGAGGTTATTAGGTCATGAAGGCAGAACCCTCATGAATGAGATGAGCACTCTTTTTTGAAAAGAGAGTCCAGAGAGCCTCCTGGCCCCTCTGCCATGTAAGGACACAGCAAAACAACGGCCTTCTACAAACCAGGAAGTGAGCCCTCAACAGACATCAAATTGGCTGCTTTTTGATCTAGGTCTTCCCAGCCTCCAGAACTGTAAGAAATAAATTTCTGTTGTTTAAGCCACCCAATTTATGGTGTTTTTGTTATGGCAGGCCTAATGGCCTAAGACACCATCCACTCTCCCCAACATATACACAAACGAATACAAGTAAAGTTGGGGTAAATTTAAATAAGATAGGTATAATTTATCAATGTCAATATCCTAGTTATGATATTACATTACCATTTTCCAAAATGCTGTCATTGGGAGAAACTGGGCAAAGTATATAAAAACATCTTGGCATAATTTCTCACAGCTATCTGTGAATCCATAATTATCTCAAAAAATAGAATTTTAAAAAAGATGAGGCTGGGGGTGGTGGCTCACATCTGTAATCCCAGCAATTTGGGATGCCGGGGTGGGCAAATTGTTTGAAGCCAGAAGTTCAAGACCAGCCTGGGCAACATAGTGAAATCTCATCTCTACTAAAAATATGAAAGATTAGTTGGGTGTGGTGACATGCATCTGCAGTCCCAGCTACTTGGGAGGCTGAGAAGGGAGGATCACGGGGAGGCAGAGGTTGCAGTGAGCTGAGATCACACCACTGCACTCCAGCCTGGGCAACCAGAGTGAGACCCTGTCTCAAAAAAAAAAAAAAGATGATTTATAGTGTTCAGCTTGGGTCTAGATTCCAAGTTCGGCTTGGATATCTATAAAAAACTAGTTCCAACAATTTGAACTTCAGTTTTCTCCCCTGTTACATGGAAATAATAATTACCAGCAAAGTAATAATAAAATGGAGTAATAAGTACCACCAAATACCAAAGATACAACTTTATTCATTCATTCAGTCATCTATCCAAATATCAGGCACAGACCAGGTTCCATGTACCACGTTAAGAAGCTGGGAATATAAATGTTACTACTACTGTACTGCCATTATTACTACTCTTGCTGTTGTTACTACTACTATTACTGATTATAATAGAGCTTCCTTACCTCAAAAATGCATAAGCCAGCAAGAGAGACAAATTTACAGAGATATTCTGTTCTGACAAATGCTTTGATAGAAGCAAAGGCTGCTCAAGGAGCAAACAGTAGACCTCTAACTCAGATTTCTAAAAAGAGAAACTAGGAAGCTTTCCAGAGTACAGGATGTTTGGATATTTGACCTCAATTCTGAAAGTTACATAGGTGTCCCGCAGAGTGGAAGAGCTCCTCAGGGAGAGGAAACAGAAGTACGAAGGTTCAAATACCTAAGAGAGATGGTGAATTTGTGAAAATCTAAGGCAGGCACTACAGCTAGAACAAAAAGATGGAGAGGAGAAAACGGCAGTTCTAATACATAAAAACACATGACATAAAGATGAACATAATAAATCAGCCCAGTAAAACCTTCAGTTGGCATCAAAGCCTCAGGTTACCTCCAAAGTACCCTCTACATGCATAGCAAATATAAAACATTTTAGGTATTGGAAGTAATGATATAATGATGTAATAGCAGTGGTAAAAATAGCATAGGTGGTAGTAATAATCAGTGTAACTTTTACAGAAGACTTTATTTAAATGAAACCTAATTTTTATTGACCTAGCTACTTTTAAAACTAAATTTAATTATCGTGGTAGAGAATTTAGTCTACGAAACAGGACACTTAAGGCAAATGCCACCTATGGCAATGGTCATAAGATGACCAAAACTTTTTTTTTTAATTAGAAATTACTGAGCAATTATTCAATGCATACAGCACTTCTGTACTTACTGCAATCAATAAGGTGTTTTTGTTTTGTTTTTTTTTTTTTGTTTTGAGCTCTGATAGGTACAAAGCATGAGAGAATTCTTTTTTTTTTTTTTTTTTAAAGGATTCTCACTCTGTCGCCCAGGCTGGAGTGCACTGGCACAATCTCAGCTCACTGCAACCTCTGCCTCCCGGGTTCAAGCGATTCTCCTGTCTCAGCCTCCCGAGTAGTTGGGACTACATGCGCCTGCCACCACGCCCGGCTAATTTTTGTATTTTTAGTAGAGATGGGGTTTCATCTTGTTGGTCAGGCTGGTCTCGAACTCCTGATCCACCCGCCTCTGCCTCCCAAGGTGCTGGGATTACAGCCGTGAGCCACCGCGCCCGGCCCAAAACTTTTTTTAAATTAGAAATTACTGAGCAATTATTGAATGCGTAGAGCACTTCTATACTTATTGCAATCAATAAAGTGTTTGTTTGTTTTTTAGCTCTGATAGGTATAAAGGCATGAGATAATTTTTTTTTCTTTTTTTTTCTTTTTCTTTGAGAGGGAGTCTCATTCTGCCACCCTGGCTGGAGTGCAGTGGCAAGATCTCGGCTCACTGCAACCTCCACCTCCTGGGTTCAAGCAATTCTCCTACTTCAGCCTCCCTAGTAACTGAGATTACAGGCACGCACCGCCACGCCTGGCTACGTTTTGTAGTTTTGGTAGAGATGGGGTTTCACCATGTTGGCCAGGCTGGTCTCGAATTCCGGACCTAATGTGATCTGTTTGTCTCAGCCTCCCAAAGTGCTGGGATTACAGGCGTGAGCCACCATGCCCAGTTGAGAATTCTTAATAAGTAATACATTGTCTTTTTTGTTACAGTAGGTAGCTAGTCAGGAATAGGCAGGACAGATGGTTCCACCTCAACACACACCAGGAATGTCAGGCAACCATCAGGTGATGGTCAGGTGGTTGTTAACTGTCTCTCTAAAATAATACTTGGTGACAGCCGGCATCAGGGAAAGGCACTCTCCCAATAGATAGAAAACACCTGAAACTCAGTAGCTTCCCGACAAGATCTCAGGAGTTGGGTGAGTGAGCTCCAGCATGTGCATTAAGAAGCAAAATGGCAGAATTTAACTGGTAAATGACCTCCTAGGAGCATTCAGCCGGTAAGGGAAGAACGCCTAAGTGAGCATGCGTACAACTCTAGTAAACACACTGTGCATGCTCCCCTCCCAAGCGCAAGCAGGCCACTGTGCACGTGGACAGCCCACCCCAATGGAAGAACCAGGGTGAAGTAACGCAAGATCCTGGAAGTAAGCCATCATATAAAACTCCAAGTCAAAAGGTCAAACCGTGCACTTGATCTCTCAAGTCGCCTGCTTGGCCCTCTTCTAAGTGTAATTTACTTCATTTCATTCCTGTTCTAAAGCGTTTTAATAAACTTTCATTCCTGCTCTAAAACTTGCCTCAATCTCCCTTTCTGCCTTATACCCATTGGTCGAACATTTTCTTCTGAGGAGGCAAGAACTGAGGTTTGCTGAAGACAGTATGAATCTGCCTCTAGTAACACTTTAAGCTCCAGGAGCTCACGGATAGTCACAACAGAAATTTACCCGAATAATTCTACAATAATTTAGAGAGTAATAAATGTTAGGGGTATGAATCAATGTTGGTTTTTTTTTTTTTTTTTTTTTTTTGAGATCTTATCAATTCCAACTTAGGAAGTCTTTTTTTTTTTTGACAGAGTTTTGCTCTTGTTGCCCAGGCTGGAGTGCAATGGCCCAATCTCAGCTCACTACAACCTCCACATCCCAGGTTCAAGCGATTCTCTTGCCTCAGCTTCCCAAGTAGCTGGGATTACAGACATGTGTCACCACACCTGAATAATTTTGTATTTTTAGTGGAGATGGGGTTTCTCCATGTTGGTCAGGCTGGTCCTGAACTCCCTACCTCAGGTGACCTGCCTACCTCGGCCTCCCAAAATGCTGGGATTACAGGTTTGAGCCACCATGCCCCACCAGGAAGTCTTTAATTGGGGTAAAGGCGAAATGTTAATGTCTTTAGGGGTTTTTTGGACATTTTATCTGTTTATAATAGCTTTAATGTGATGTAATCATTACACAAAAATACTGCACAAGTTTAATGTATACAATTTGATGGGACTGAGCAAATACATACACCCATAAAACCATCATTACTATTACGGCAATCAACATATCCATCACCTCCAAAAGTTTCCTTTGCCCTTTTGTTTTTGTTTTGTTTGGGAAGCTCATTTGCATGTATAAGAACACTTGAGATCTACCCTCTTAACAAAATTTTAAGTTCATAATACACTATTGTTAACTATAGGCATTATTTTGTTCATTAGTAGCATCTTTAAATAAAAGCATGATTGTTCCAGGCAGGAGCAGCAAGCAAAGGATGTTTTAAGGACAAGGAACAGAAAATGGATAAAGTTAGAAAACAGATGTTTCATGTAGGTAACAGTTATAGCACTGAGTATTTGAAAAATGTGACAGGCACAGTGTTGCCCAGATGGTGAACAGACTCTTAGAGTAAGCTGGCTAGATAGTCTTAATGTCATAGAGATGGGAATTTATCAATATTTTTAAGGAGATGAGTCTTTTAGAAGACAATCCAGTGATAATGTGAAGGAGAGAGTATCTGGGTAGGGGGCAGAAACAAAGGGGAAGTGGAAGAAGTTATAACAATAACACAAGAGTGTCATAGTGATGGCCTGAATAAGAAAAGAATGCAGTGGCTAAAAAAAAAGGGGGCAAGAGAATTTTCACTAAAACAGAATTTAGAAAACATGATATTCATTTCCTTACCAATTACTGTAATACATTGTTTACCCCTTTAAAATATTTTATTATAAGAAATCCTTTTAGCACAATTTTCATGAAGTCTTATTTTCCCCCTAGATATAAATTCCTGAGGTCAGAAATGTGTTTTCATCTTTGACATTTCTACAAATTCTGTCATAGCTTCTCACTCATAGAGGTGTCTTATTAAAAGTTTATTGAATGAATGAAATTATCTCTTAAGAAAGATAAAAGCAAAAATCATCTCTAAGATGAAACAGGAATTCAGAGTAAGAAGTTCATATGCAACTGAATTCAAAAGAAACGTTTTGTTTGTTTGTTTTTTATTTTACTTTAAGTTCCGGGATACATGTCCAGAACATGCAGGTTTGTTACATAGATATACCTGTGCCATGGTGTTTTGCTGCACCTGTCAACCCTTCAGCGAGGTTTTAAGCCCTGCATGTATTAGCTATTTGTCCTGATGCTCTCCCTTCCCTTACCCCCATCACCAACAGGCCCTGGTGTGTGTTCTTCCCCTCTCTGTTTCCATATGGTCTCACTGTTCAACTCCCACTTATGAGTGAGAACATGCAGTGTTTGGTTTTCTGTTTCTGTGTTAGTTTGCTAAGGATGATAGCTTCCAGCTTCATCCATATCCCTGCAAAAGACATGATCTCCGTCTGTTTTATGGCTGCATAGTATTCCATGGCATATATGTATCATATTTTCTTTATCTAATCTATCATTGATGGGTATTTGGGTTGGTTCTATGTGTTTGTTATTGTAAACAGTGCTGCAATAAACATACATGTGCATGTATCTTTATAATATAATGATTTATATTCCTTTGGGTATATACCCAGTGATGGGATTGCTGGGTCAAATGGTATTGCTGGTCTAGATCCCAGAGGAATCACCACACTGTCTTCCACAATGGTTGAACTACTTTATATTCCCACCAACAGTGTAAAAGCGTTCCCATTTCTCCACAGTCTCGCCAGCATCTGTTGTTTCTTGACTTTTTAACAATTGCCATTTTGACTGGCATGCAATGGTATTGCATTGTGGTTTTGATTTGCAAGACATGACATTTTTTACACATCTGAATTATATAAAGCTTTGTTTCATTCTACAGCCAAAGGAACATCACCAATAAATAAAGAGGTGTTTGTGAATATTACAATCTTCTTCACCTTTGGCTACATCTGCACAAAGCAGGATGGCAAGATAATTAATAAAATGAACTAATTTATCTTTTTAACAATTATAATTTTTACATGATTAAAGCACACATATACCTGAGCACTCTAATACATGAATGCACTATATTTTTCCCTAATAAAAATGGCTGAGAATAAGCTAGAGGTAATAATATTAATGCTTCTATTTTGTTATAGGTTAGCATAAAACAAAATCAAATAAACTCCCCTTATAAGTGAGACAGTATCTTTTACTTATAAGTAAGCTATATCCACAGTATAATATACATTAGAATTTTACTGATTTTAATTTTACTATCACTAAGATTATTTTGGTACTATTTCTATTACCTAAAAAACAAAATTTGCTTGTAAGGTTCTATAAATAAAGTAACCTCCAAAATTTACTGGTACACCTCACCAATACTTTATTTTAAAAATGTTAGATGAGACTTGGCCAGTAAAAGTTACATATCAATTTTTTCCCTGAGAGAGTATTGAGTAAATGTGTAAAATAATGTGCCAATAAATGAATATACTTATGTGATATAAAATGTTTACCTATAAATAATCTATTTTTAAAAACAGTTAAAATACATCTGAAACTGTTTCTAATGGAGCCAATGAAAGTTCATTTCAAATTCATCTTAAAATTTTGAGTTACTGCCTCTATTTGTTTAGACTATTTTATTTACTCTTCCAGGAGAAACATAATATTTATTTTGTACTTCTCTTTAGTTTTTACTTATAAAATTTGCATTGCTAACATGAAAGCAAAGGTCCTGGTTTTTTAGAGCACATAAAATTTGTTACATATGGGCATTCTCATTTACGAAATGTTACACTGTGGGCCTCATTAATCTGAAATCAAGAAACAGATGGAGTAACAGAGGTCTATTGTTTTTATTTCTGTACAATGACCAGTAGATGCTTCTTTCTCAATAATCCTTCAATTATCCTTCAAGGTTTATCAAGGATCTATCCTACCAATAATCACTAAAATGAAGTTATAATAGAAGGCACAATGTTTTCTCTTTTAGGCTTAAATCATTTAATGTGAAGATACTGGGATGAAGTAAAATGTTAATTCCAAAGCCACACATAATTTACATTAAATAATCACCATGTCAGTTGCAAATTACAGAATAAATAATCTCTGACGGGCACCTCATCTAAACGATGTTGCCATAAAGTTTTCTTGGAAACAGGAAAAGCTTCCTTAATAAAAATCTAAGAACAAGAGAAGCTGAGTAACTTGCTCAAGATCACAGATGATATGTGTGGTAGAAAATGATTCAAAACCTCACTTTTCTGACCTCTCCACTCCACCCACTGCCTCTTTTTCTCTTATGACCAAACTCTGATAATGGAAAGAAATCAGCCTCAACAATTGGGCCAAGGTTGCAGTCACCTCAGACTCTATGTCAATGTACTCATTCTGCAAAGGACAGTCCTCCAATTCTACTACCCTTCCTGGTTCAATGAAAGAAGAAAACTGAGAAAGAAGCTATGTACATAAATGGCTTATTGGATTCTTCCCATTTTGCTCCAAGACAAAAGACCAGCTGAAGCCAAAAATGTTATTTTCACTGAGCATTTTTTTTAAAAAGCCGATTACAACACTGTACAGTTTTATATCTTCATACAGTTAGTTGTGAGTATGCTACAAACTAAACTTCGTGACTTATATGTACTAGTGAATATCAGGAAGATTCTTTATTGTGAAATCTACAACTGTTAGGAAATAAGAAAAGTGAGATCAAATAGACTGACCCAGTTTTAAAACAAATGACGATTAGAGAAAAAACAAAGGACGGAAGAGGGAATGGCATGTTTCAAACCTAACTGACAGAACTATAAAGATCTTTAAAAGGGAAAACTAGACAAAGCAAAATGTGCACAAAAGAACATAGTTAAAAAAATTAAATGGCTCTAATTTTCTAACAAATTTTTGCAAGTATAAGCCCAAAATAATTACCTAGCAAAGCATTCAAAGAGATCACAACAGAAACTGAAGAACATGCTTTTTGTTTAAGTTTATTTTTTAGTAAATTATAAGGGACCAAGTTTCATTATGTGCTGTATTAAATGCACAGTCAGCTTAAACAAATCCCATAAAAGTACTAGAGAAGAAAGTTTTCAGCTCATTTCCCTTATAATATAAATTATACTTTTATTGAACTTTTGAAAATGCTGATTTTTATGGTCATATTCTTTTTTTTTTTTTTGAGATGGGGTCTCACTCTGTCGCTCAGGCTCGAGTGCAGTGGCATGATCTAGCCTCACTTCAACCTCCTCCTCTTGGGTGCAAGCAATTCTCCTACCTCAGCCTTCTGAGTGGCTGGGACTACAGGCAGATGCCACCATGCCTGGCTAATTTTTGTATTTTTAGTCGAGACGGGGTTTCACTATGTTGGCCAAACTGTTCTTGAACTCCTGACCTCAGGTGATCCACCAGCCTCAGCCTCCCAAAGTGCTGGGATTACAGGCGTGAGCCACCACACCCGGCCAATCATATTCTTAAGCTACATCATTTTAAACATGAAGATTTTTATTTATTTTTCTTAAAGGAGAAAAACTATATGTTTATTTCGACATACCCAGGAAATAAATGTACTTGATAAAATTCAATACCCATTTATGATAAAAATAAAACAAAACATGATAAAACAACAACAAAACCCACAAATTCTTTGCAAACCAGGAATAAAAGGAAATTTCCTCATTTTAATAAAAGGTATCTGTGAAAACTCTACAGGTAACAACATAATTAATGGTGAAATATTGAACACTTTCCTCCTAGGATGAAGAACACGGCAAATACATCTGTCCTCGCCATTTCTATTCAATGTTGCACTAAAGCCAAGAAAAATTTAAAAACATACATACTAAAAAAAGAAGAGTATCTTTATCATGCACAGCATTAATAAATCAAATCAGCTTTGTTGCAGGACAATATCAATATAAGAAAATGAACTGTATTTCTTTGTTTTTCCTTTTTTAAAAAAATTATACTTTAAGTTCTGGGATACATGTTCAGAATGTGCAGGTTTTTTACAGAGGTATACACATACCATGGTGGTTTGCTGCATCCATCAACCCGTCATCTACATCAGGTATTTCTCCTGATGTTATCCCTTACATAGCTCCACACCCATCAACAAGCCCCGGTGTGTGATGCTCCCCTCCCTGTGTCCATGTATTCTCATTGTTCAACTCCCACTTATGAGTGAGAACATGCAGTATTTGGTTTTCTGTCCCTGTGTTAGTTTGCTGAGAATGATGGTTTCCAGCTTCATCTATGTCCCTGCAAAGGACATGAACTCATCCTTTTTTATGGCTGCATAGTATTTCATGGTGTACATGTGCCACATTTTCTTTATCCTCTTTATCACTGATGGGCATTTGGGTTAGTTCCAAGTCTTTGCTATTGTGAATAGTGCCGTAATAAACATACATGTGCATGTCTTTATAGAATGATGAAGAGTTTCACACACATAAAACCATCACCACCATCAACAGAGACATGACCTTCATAGTTTCCCTGCATTGATTCTGTCACAAAAATCTAATTTGATTTTATTAAAATCAGACCAGACAAGAAGAAAAGATAGAGGAAGCAAGAAAGAACGAGTGTTAGCTTGACCCATCTAATTGTAGGGATGGCTCTAGATTCTGCGGAAGCAAAACAGTGCTTCTCACCTTCTCCACCTGCCAAACCCGACTCCCATAATGAAATCCAGTTCCTGGTCCATCTAGAAGAGTCCAGCACATTGACGTGGGGTCTAAGATTAGGTCAGAGGAGATCCCTTTCCACCTGATCCTGAATTTGAAAGTAAACCTTCATGGTGACTTTACACTTAACATGTGTCATACACATTCATTTTATCAAATCAAATTTATGTAAAATAAATGTAATTAATGTAAAATAAATGTAAATTAATAAGTAAATGTAAAATAAATTAAATGTTAATCAATAAATGTAATAAATGTAATAAATGCTAATAAATAAATGTAAATTAATGTAAAATAAATGTAATTAATGTAAAATAAATGTAAAATTTATTTTATATTCATCAAAATCGTTTAAATTATATTATACATCATAATTTTCTAAGACTAAATTGATATTAAATTACAATTCTTTATGTACTATATGACGGACAGAAATATAGCATACTTGGAAATTTTTCTAAAGGGATATTAAATGTGATTTTCACAGTGACAATTTTATTACATAATTATGGATGTGTAATTATATCAAATGAATGTTAAGCAAACAAACTTGTAATAAAAACAATATAATATTAGGAACTACCAAGAGCACTGTGTTGTAGAAAGAGCTAAGGGAGGAAATCAGAAGGTCCCAATTTTTCTCCTGGCTCTGAAGAAAAGTTTTTGACCCTCTGCTAGTCACTTTAAATCCTCAATCAGAGTCTCAGGTTCGTCTTCTGTAACATATGGAAGATAAACCTGCCTAACATATATTCTGGTTACTAGGACTGGAAACGAGCATATATTAGAATTTCTTGTCATGTTATGTGACCTAAAATGCCTGCACTTGACAGGCTAGGGGAATTGTTGATTGACTGTTTCTAAAACTGGACTGGACAATGTGGTTGTATGGAGTGGGCTTCATACCTCCAGATATTAATTACTTAATTACTCGGTCTGAGGTATGTTAAAGGTACAGTGAAAATCAGAGACACAGCTCCTCTGTTGTACATGTCATAGCATGTGCAGGGTCTTAGAGAAATGCTAGGTTAATTGCTCACTGAAATTTTGCAGGATGCACTGAATGTGTTATGAGTGAGGCATAATACATTAGATATAACACAGGATGCAATGTATTTTCAGTGAAGTTTAAACTTTAGAGTCATATATGCCTTTATAAATGGCCATCTCCAAGTAACATGCTGAAAAAAATACTTGATTAAATATTGTGATCTGTATCTTACATTTGCAACTCTTTTTTAGACACAGATTAATAATAGTATACTATAAACTATAAAACTTAATTACCAGAAAATCTTAACAATTAGTGTTTTCAGTGGTAGAACTAAAAATTTTATGGAATTTTAAAAGGAAGTCTTGGTGAATAGCATTTATAAGTGTGTCCATCAATAGATAAATGGACAAATAAAATGTGATATATGCATACAATGGAATATAATTCAGCCTTAAAAAGAAAATAAATTTTGACATATGCTGCATATGAATGAACCCTCAAGTCATTAGGCTAAGTGAAATAATCCAATCACAAAAAACAAATATTGCATTATTCCACTTACATCAAGTACACAGAGCAGCCAAATTCAGAGAGACATAAAGTACACTGGAGATAGGGACTGGAGGTAGGAGGGAATTGAAAGTTATTGCTTAATGGGTATGAAGTTTCAGTTTGAGAAGTTGAAACAGTTCTGGAGATGGACGGTGGGATGGTCACACAACATTGTGAATATACTCACTGCCACTGAACTACACACTTCAAAATGCCTAAAGGATAAATTGTATATTATGTATATTTTACCACGAGAGAAAGTTATAAATAAATCTTTAAAAAATTGTAAATATATATTTATTAAAATTAAATAGAAGTCAGAATACTAAAATAAATAGGGCAGCAGTAAATTTTAGGCAAGTTACACTAATAATGGGCACTCAACAATTTGTATTCTTTTAGTAATACAAGCAGAATTTCCATGTTTGAAAGTTTCAATGAAACGTTTTCAGATCCATTTCCCTTTGTAGATGGTAATATCCCTACCAGCAAAAAGTCTAATTTATTTATCTGGTCCTCTATAAAACTTTTTAATGATATTTTACATTGTCATACAATGCCACTGAACATTTTTCCTTCCATTCCTCTATGTTATAATAGTTTGATTTTAACTTTAGAAATTTTGTAAGTTTTCTATAAGTATTTCTTAAATGAAGATCTTAGATTTGTCCTTGAGATCTTAGCTAATTTTTGATGTAAGAGAAACATTTTAGAGGCAACCAGTATGTACATGGTCACTCTTTCCTTACAATATATTACTGAGAAAGAAGCCAACATGGGTTATGTGGATTCTGATAATTCCATTTCCATTTAAACATGTCATATTCGCTACCCTCAAAAATATTACAAATAGGCCAGGTGCTGTGGCTCATGCCTGTAACCCCAGCACTTTGGGAGGCCGAAACGGGAGGATCGCAAGGTCAGGAGATCGAGACCATCCTGGCTAACACGGTGAACTCCCATCTCTACTAAAAATACAAAAAATTAGCCAGGCGTGGTGGCGGGTGCCTGTAGTCCCAGCTACTCGGGAGGCTGAGGCAGGAGAATGGCGTGAACCCGGGAGGCGGAGCTTGCAGTGAGCCGAGATCGCGCCACTGCACTCCAGCCTGGGCAACAGAGCAACACTCCGTCTCAAAAAAATATAGATAGATAGATAGATAGATAGATAGATAGATAGATAGATAGATAGATAGGCAGACATGACAAATAATTGGGCAGTATACACTTTATTATGTAGCTAACATTTACTGAATCTTTTTTCCATTTCCCTTTTTTCCGCAGATATTTAAACATTTGCTTATTAAAATGCCATTTTAATTATTCCATCTTAGAATAATTATACTTCGTCAATTTCCACAACTTTTTGAAAAACCAGAGGAAAAAAATATTAAAACCAAGTTAATATTATGACGGATGGCATAAATTATTTTCACTTCTAACTTTATTTTTCAATTTAACTTCTAACTCTATACGTCAATGCTATAGCTGCATAAACCTTTTTCAATGCAATGCCTGCAACTTCACTTTAAAGGCATGAAAATCTTAAATATCAAGTGTTATCTTCTCAAACACAAAATCAAATGCTTTTTTTTTAGCTTGAGCTCTGCACTCTGGACTTGCTTTCTCCACATTTGTTTTACCATCTCCCAGAACATTTTATTTTGAAAAATTCCCAATTTACAAAGAAGCTTAGAGTTTGGGTCATCAATAACCCCATAAAATTCGCCAATGTTTACCAATTTGCTTCACCAACTCTAAGTTGATAGCAGGCACATGTTTCTCATTTGTTCCCTTCATTCCTCATGTTCCTTCCTTTTCTTTCAAATGTCTATTCCCTAAGATTGAACAACATGTCCTAAGTTCTTCAATTTTTACATTCTCTTTCTTGAAGATCTCATTTACTCATAGGAATTAGTATATCAGTTTTTCGTGAAAACACTGAAACCTTTATCTCATTTTGTGACTGCTCAGAAGCTTTGATTATGTGTTTGTAATCAGCTGGCTCAAATTTCCTCTTTAATAACCCTCAATTTAATTCACTAAGTTTAGAAACGTACTCTCAAAACTTTATTTCCCATTTGCCTTCTTTTCCTTCTGTTTAATGTTACTGTCATCCTACCAATTTTACAAGCTCCCTAGAGGCATTTCAAATTATTAATTTTTCTTCAAATGTAATATCTAACTACTTTCCATTTTCCTCTCACAATATTTATTGGATAGCCCATTCCTAGCTAGACTGACTACTTACCAACAGGATGTAGGTTACTACCAATTCATCAACAGAGGTGGGAAAGGCTATTTGAATATCCATAATCCTTGCCATCTTTAGTTAATCAGGCACATTTATGCATTCTGCTCACCCAGCAACTCTACACTGACCACCTAATCTCCCTATTTAAAAGTAGTCAATGACTTCTTTACCTATAATATGAAGAACACAGTTACTACCACAACATGTTAGACCCAAACTTGGTGCAACTTCCCTTTTAGCCTCCAACTACTCACTTTAAATAAATACTCATGTTTTCCTTACTTTCTTGCCTTCATTTCACCCCCCTCTTCCTCTGTTCAATTCCACTGCCCTCTGTCTACCCTTTTATCACTGCTGATTACTCCTCCTTCATTAGTTTCTGTTTGTTATATTAGTGCATCCATCTAATTATATGGCATTTTGACAGAGAAAGACTTTTTGTATTGTCATTTAACAATTTATTTTTTCTATCTTCTATTTGTGCCATGATTTTCCATAAATTGATAACATATTTACATATTAGATTATATATATATATATATATACACTATGTACATATATCAGGTTATATAGGTGTGTGTACTTTTATAAATGGGTTGTTCATTTTTTGTTTTATTGTTTGATATTTTGGCCTCCATAGTAATATGTCTGGAGCTTGATCTTTATAAGTTTCTCCTGGTTCTGTGAAATCTATTATCACCAAATTTTCACGAACCAGGCAATGACATTACTATTTATTTTGTAGGTTGAAACATTTTTTAGCATGCAAGGAACTTATTCAGCGTGCATGCATACACATGCACAAAAACACATTAAATTGCCGGTGTTCACAGTGCATGTGAAGGTAATTGCAAGAAAATATGTTTTAAAAGCAACAATAGAAAGATAAGAAAAGTACAGGACACTATTAAAAAAGGGTGATGAACTCTGTCTTGGGATGTCACAGAAGGTCCCCAGAGGATATTTCACTGCAGTTGAATGCTTAAAGATTGGAAAGGTTTCCAGGTAGACATCGAGAGGAGTTGGAAATAAGAAACGTAAAATTCAGTCTGGGTTTCCTTCTTTTTTAGCTTTGTACCTCTACCCCTAGGAAATGTCTCATTTTACCACTTATCACTTCCCTGCCTTCAAAAGTACAGGCATCATGGTATTAACCTAGTCCCACAATTTGTGTCATACATTTTATTTCTGGAATTCCTCAAAACATCTTTTAAAGGAAGGGTAGGTCGAAAAGTGTTTGAGTGGGTACACAGTTGGGGAATCATCACCAGGTATTAGAACTTACCTGTGGCAAAGAGGTATTACTATACTATGGGTAGTCTATGACAGAAAACATTTTCTGTGCTATCAGAAAGATAATTAAACCTTTTTGGTTTGCAATTACTACTCTGGGAAAATAGTCAAGTTAAGGAAGGAGATGATGTTGATAGCTAACGCATTTTTAACCTAAAGGGTCTCTTCTGCAATTTTAAAGGTTAAATAAAAATATTATTCATATATAATTTACATTCTCTCTGCTCCTAGAAAATGAACTGATATATACAATGAAAGACACTTCAGCATTAAGTACATATTAATAAATCACCTATATTTCTTCTTAGATAAGAATTAGTGAATTCAACTAGCTTCAGTCGAATTTTTACATGGGGACATAACACACAATGTATGAAAAACTCTCCAGAGTTTCCATGAGTTTCTGAATATTCTCCATAGTGAATATAATTACAATTGGATTTTAATCATATGCAAATTAGCTAGAGTACATTATCTTATAAAATCAGTTTTTAAAGTCACATGAAATTGCATCCCTTTGGAAACTAGAAAGTATCAACTTAGCAGAGTGATTCCAGGAAAGCATTTGGCCATGGAAATATGACAGTACTTTTACATTTTAGTATGAGCTACAAGGTTGAACTAGCAGTGAAAAAAGCAATAATGGGTGGTATGAAAATTTTAGATATATATAAAGTGACTTCACAAACTGGAATATTAACAACTTGGAAAAAGTGTGTAGCACCCGTTACGCAGATAATAATACAAAAGAGGAGCGTAATAACGATAAGTCATTGGTCATTGCATACAAATGCAATACCTTGGGAGACCGAGGTGGGCAGATCACAAGGTCAAGAGTTCGAGACCAGCCTGACCAACATGGTGAAACCCCTTATCTACTAAAAATACAAAAATTAGCCAGGCATGGTGGCACATGCTGGTAATCCCAGCTACTCAGGAGGCTGAGGCAGAAGAATCGCGTGAACCTGGGAGGCGGAGGTTGCAGTGAGCCGAGATTGCGCCACTGCACTCCAGCCTGGGCTACACAGCTAGATTCCATCTCAAAAAAAAAAAAAAAAAAATGCAATACCATGACTACCACAGGACACTGTTGTGTGGTGGCTCAGGCCTGTAATCCCAGCACTTAGGGAGGCCAAGGCAGGCGGATCACCTGAGGTCAGGAGTTCCAGAACAGCCTGGCCAACATGGTGAAGCCCAGTCTGTACTAAAAATACAAAAAATTAGCCAGGCACGGTGGTGGGTGCCTATAATCCCAGCAACTCTAGAGGATGAGGCAGGAGAACCTCTTGAGTCCTGGAGGCAGAGGTTGCAGTGAGCCAAGCGCCACTGTACTCCAGCCTAGGCGACAGAGCAAGACTCCGTCTCAAAAAAAAAAAAAAAAAAAGAAAAAAAAGTCATTATTTTAGTAGTACATAATTAATTAGTCTTTATTTGGTTATGTACATCTTTCACAAAAAGTTAAATGAACACCTTACATACATGAAAACCAAGTTCCTCAATCAGAAAGTTATTTCTTTCATCAAGAAACTGAGCTTTAAAAATATAGCACTTTTTGGAAGACAAGAAGACAAGAAATTCAGTTTTTTTAATGTATCCTGACCCAATTCCTCTGCCCCAATATACATCATCCATCTCTATTATAACCCACATAAAAGGGTCAATGGGCTATATTCCATAATTCCCTTGATTATATAACTATATGCAAAGAAAACATATACTGATTCTAATTTATCAACAGAGAAATAGATCTGGCCCTGCCAGTTTATTTTTTCTCTCATGTTCTTAGAATAATTTATGCAAGTCTACTTTTTTCTTTCTTCATAGGAATTTAAAACAATTGTATGTAATTAATATAAGTAGAATGATTATGTTAGATTTATACAAAGGTCTTACCAGTGTTTAAAGAGGGGTCTGTGAAAAGTAGGATGATGCAAGAAAGACTATAGAATGTATTGCATAATATCAGAGTGTGCATTCTCCCAAAGTTTTCAATACATATTGAGAAGAACTGAGTGAAATGTTGGAAAATGCACATTCATATGGTAATTCATATTATTCCTATATAAAAGAGGTAGCCCATGTTTTAAGATCAATATTCCATTATTTGTCTATATATGTCAGTAGCATATTGTAAAATTTATACTTGTAATATTCATTAACATAGTTCTCATGTTTTATTACAAACGTGGTACACAATTCCCCTCTTCATACTTGTTTATGAAGTTTATTTTTTCTAGAAAAGAGCACTTTTTAGTAACGCATTTTTAATTGAAGTAATATTCTCTCTCTCATGCCAGCTTTAAAGATAGATTGTTACAATCAATTAAGTTTTGCCTTTAAATTTACTGTGTAATACATTTTGCTATATTTAAATATAATTTTATAATAAATATATGTATTTTTAAACATTAAGTATATTAGCAATAATTTAAAAAAGTGTTTATGCATACAGCTCCTTTCTTAATATTTATACTCCATATCTGCATAAACCTACTTAAACAGACGCATATATTTTTAATGATTTCCAGTAGCAATATAACATTTAGTTAACATTAAGGTAATACCCCCAGTGGAATGAGTATCTCTAACACACGCTACAGTTATGCTGTAGTTCTCTCCATTGCTAAGATCAAATGATCACTTCCTATCAATAACACAGTAATTCAGTTATTTCCATAGAAACATTAAGAAAACTGACTTCATCTAATAATGCTTTGGGTACATTAAACACCTGTAAACAAATTTTAGCTTGCTATAGGCTTAAAAGTATATATATTTATAATATTTCAAATGTAAATCTGGTTCCAAAATCATTCTAAATTTCCTTTGGATTTTAAAGTAAAAGACGAAACAACAAAAAAGCCAACAACCTAAAATACATCATTGGAAAATTAATTTTACAATTTTACTTTATACTTATATTGAACTTTCTTGCGCATAGAGGCATCAATAGTAGCATGTCAAAAGATCAAGCAGTGTTTCCACAGCTACATCATTTTTTAGCTGTGTCCCATAATGCCAATAACAATAGCAGAAGCAACAGTAAAACAATTACGGTTTGAATTAAATGCCTTAAAGGTGTATATCTGTGTGTGTGTGTGTATATGTTATAAAAAACTGCATTTAGAGTCATACATTCTATATATGGAATAATTCAAATCAAATCAGGTGTCATTTTTAAATGTGCTAATATACAAAAATTAACTTAAAACACCAATCTCCATTGTCTGGCAAAGCAAAGGTATGGTAACAAAAAACTGTATTCAAAGACGAAACTCTGACCATAAAATCAAGTATCTATTCATTTGTAAGAAAATGATAAATTCATCAGCAAAAGATGAATCTCTTTTACATTTCAAATTCTACCAAACTGCAGAGAGAACTGAACAGAGAAATATCCAAATTACATAGAATATCCCATGAAGAAGTATCGTCCTTGTGTCTCCAATTTGAAATTCATTCACTGATCATAGGGGCACTTAACAAGGACACTCCCTGCTCAGTAAATCTGGAGACAGGTCATAGAGGCATCTGTTCTGCATATACCTATTTAATGAGGTCATTTGGTACACATACCATGCATTGGGGAGTGCTTAATTTTTAGTAGGACCATTAATCTAGCTAAGAGTTAGTGAATTAAAATTATCTTTGAATTGAAATAGAACACTCCCTTGTCTAATTTGCTCAAATTTATTGACATAAAACTCTTACATATAAACCGTTTTGTAAATGGCTAAGGATAAATATAGTAGTCATAGTACACACTCCCATCAAAATAACGAAGCACTTCTATGACCTTGAAGATAATTAGAACTCAACGAATTTTAAACAATGAATATTGAATTTGTCTTGAAATAGCCATCCTCAATGAATTGGGACTCTAGAAACCCTGCGGTATATTGATTATAGAATAATTTTTCAAGGCGTCATTTTTAATGACGAGATACTTACATGATTAAAAACACAACGTAAAGAAGATTCACCTATTCAAAAATGAGGAGAATAAAAAGTATTCATTCAGTGCCACATCACTTACAGTTTATGATGCTTAGACTGTGGGTTATGTAAAGTATTTGTTGTTTTTGTTTTTGTCGTTGTATTAGGTAGTTTTTGTTGTCCACAGATCAGATATAAGTACAAGCAATAAAGCTTAAGACTCATGTAAATCAAGTGGGAAAAAAAAGACCCAGATGACTTAGGGTTTTAATATAATTGCTTGTTAAATGGGATTAAAGGAAAGGAAGTATTATTGGCTTATGACTTCTATAATTTTCTCTTATTTGGAAGTAAGTTTTTTTTGTTTTGTTTTGTTTTTTTGTTTTTTGTTTTTTGTTTTTTTTGAGAGAGAGTCTTACTCTGTCGCACAGGCTGGAGTGCAGTGGTGTGATCTCGGCTCACTGCAACCTCCGCCTCCCCGGTTCAAGCGATTCTCCTGCCTCAGGCTCCTGAATAGCTGGTATTATAGGCTTGCACTATCAGGCCTGGCTAATTTTTGTATTTTTAGTAGAGACGGGGTTTCACCATGTTGGTCAGGCTGCTCTTGAACTCCTGACCTCAGGTGATCCACCTGCCTCAGGCTTCCAAAGTGCTGGGATTACAGGTGTGAGCCACTGCGCCCACCCTTGGAAGTGAGACTTTTAACCCTAGAAAAGAAATGAGCACAGAGTAATCATGTTGCCCGTTGATCAAGTTCTTAACTCATTTGACATCTAGGTTTACACACTGAAAAATATAGTAGCAGTCCCATATGTAAACAGTTATAATAAGCTAAAACCCATTTCCTGAGGCCTTGAGATTAATGTTTCTCAGTTTTCTGTAGCATGATTCAGGATTTTATTACCAGAAACTGTCCACATGAATTTCTACTGAAAAAGCCAAATTGATTTTAAAAAATGACACATCTCAGAGTGATGAACCCTGAGGGGCAAGAGAACACTTCTTCCCACAGCAATTCCTAGAATGACTAACCTAGCTGGTGACCACCTGCAGGTGGAAGACAATGCTTTCAGTGGAGAAAAGACAATAAATGACAGAAACCATAATAGTGGGACCTCAGCAAGACATCAATAATACGATATAGTACAATTCTTAATGAGTTATGTGATTGAGAAATTTTGGAGCCAAGATATTTAAAGAAGCCTTCTGCCCAGCACATTCCATAGAAGTTCTAGGCCAGCCCTTTTTATGAATGCCAGAATGAAGATTAACATTGTTCTTTAAGATAGCTAGACTGAGTCTCCTTTTATTATACTCTAAAGTTAGAGGGTTTTGTACTTGGATTGAAGTCACAATTCTTAGCACGCCCTCAGTGGCTGGCATGAACCTTGCCCCCACCAATATCTCCAGCCTCAAAGCCTCCACATTCAATGCTGTAGCCACACTGACCTAATTTTGTTTCCAACATGCACTAAAATCTCACAACTCAGGGCCTTCACACACTCTGCTCCTTCTACTTAAGATCTGTATCCCCCTAATTCTTTGGCAAGAATCACCCAGTATCCCTCAGGTCTAAGACAACAAGCCACTTCCTGGATGTCCAAATCCAAACAAATTAACTTTGCTTTCTCCTTGGCTGTTATCAAGAAATCATTATGTGTGCAAATATCACATGCCCATGGCCAGAACAGAAATATAATTGATGTAAGAAACTTTATACAAATTTTTTAACATTTTATCCCAGAGCTTAGTAATATGACTAATAAACAATAAGCTCTTAATACACATAGAGAAAAAAAATCAAGTATAAAATAATTGTAACGTAAACCAGTAATAAATACCAAAGAAACCACTGATATTAGTGTATTAAATATTCAAGTTATTGAATGATTTTGATTTTTGTTTTGTTTTGCTTTATTTTTCCTTCTTTTCTTTCGAAAGTTCTACACACATACTAAGGTAAGGATTTTAACAACTAGAAAATTTATTTTTTTTTGACACTTTCTATATTCATTTTTAATCTTCCCCATTATACATTTCATTTGGCATTAAGAATGTAACGTGTCCAGGCACGGTGGCTCATGCCTGTAATCCCAGCACTTTGGGAGGCTGAGGCGGGTGGATCACTTGAGGCCAGGAGCTCAAGACCAGCCTGGCCAACATGGTGAAACTCCATCTCTACTAAAAATACAAAAATTAGCCAGGCGTGCTGGCGCATGCCTGTAGACCCAGCTACTCAGGAGGCTGAGAGGCAAGAGAATCACTTGAACCCAGGAGGCAGAGGTTGCAGTGAGCCCAGGTCACCTCTGCACTCCAGCCTGGGTGACAGAGTGAGACTCCGGCTCAAAAAAAAAAAAAAAAAAAAAAAAAAAAGAATGTAAAGATAAACAGTGCTATGACTTGAGGGACCAGGGTAAAATTTAGGACTGATTCAAAGATATTTTAAGGCTATTTACCTATGCTACAGAACTGGTTTTGCCAGCATTAGGTGCAAATTTAAAAAGTAAGGTAAGATGGACTTTGTACTAGCAGAAAACTACTCAGATTTTTTGTTTTGTGTTAATGTTCATTTTCTCTTTTAGAAGAACTTTTATCCAGCATGAATTGCATTATGATACAACATAACACTAACACTGCAAAGATACTTGGAATGTAAATGCTTTATATTTTGAGAACCAAAATCAAGTATTTCAATTACTTCATCTGCATATGAGTTATGATCACCTTTCTCTGCATATGACACAATGTTTTTAAATGCTGATAAACTTAGGAATTTTTTTCTGAAAATGTTTACATTGTATGATTATTTTCAATCACAGATATGAGGCATAATTGACCTCTTTATCACTATAAAAATTAAAAACAAACAATACATTTTGTCTTTCAAAAAAACTGACCTACTAGTTGGTGCATTCGTTTGCTAGGACTGCCATTACAAAGTACCACAAACTAGGCGGCTTAAACAACAAAAATTTATCTCAAAGTTCTTGAGACTACAAGTCTGAGATCAAGATATCGGTAGCGTTAGCTCCTTATGAGGGCAAGTCCTAAAGGGCAAGCTTCCTGTTCCCTGAGTGCCTAACACATGGCTCTGAATAGATGCCCAACATTTGCTGAATGTGTAACTCACTGGGATTTGTGAAAATACGTATAAGTTATGATTTACCAGTCAAATATCACTTTCATGATTGTATTACTGTGATTGGAATTGAAATACTATGCTTCTAACTTTATGGATGGGGATGATGATTTCTGTATACTTAGGCGAAAAAAAAGCAAAATAAAAACGACTACAAAATACTTTGAGATATTTCTGTAAATCAGCATTTTGCAGATGGAAGTAATTTTAAATATATCCCACTATCCTTCAACTTTGTTTATACTTACGTATATGCCAATATTTAAAACCAGAAACAAACCCTCTCTTTTTCAAGATATTTTACTCACTTAAAGCTCCTCTCCTTTCAAATTAATATTAAAACTTTACATTATACCACTTCTAAATATTAAGGAAATATAGGAGTGATACCTCCCTTTATCATTTAAGTGAGGAGAGATGGTGTATCTTGGTTAAAGGTGTCTAGACAATCTACATATTTTAAAGTCAATTCTATGCTACCCTCTCCATTACGGCTGCTTTCCAACATAAAAAACACAAAGTGATGACAACAATTATTGCATTGAAATACTGGTAATATTCCTGTGATGTTATGGTGATTGAAAATCACAACACTGTAAGTGAATACATAATTTTTAAAACCTATGATGAATATTTAATAGATTAATATAACTAAGTAAAATAACAGTAAAAGCCCCTATAAAGGATGGTAAGTAGGCATACTGTTAAGACATATCTATGTGTTAAAATAAGTTTATATTTTAAAATATTCAATCAATTTCAAAACATTCAAACGACTTGATTTCTATTATTTTGTCATAGTACTTACTTCATAAGAAAAGATTCAAAAAGAATAGGCTGTATGATTCCAACATAATTAGTATCTTCTGTTTAACTCATCTCTGAACAGATTAATTAAATATTTCCAATCAGGTTATCAATCAAAGGGGCTTCATACTTTTTATGTGGTAAGTTCTATCAACTTAAACCTAGATAAGAAAGGTATCATGAATGTTCATCAAGACTGATAGTATAAAATGCATCTAAATCTAAATTATGTGATTATCATTAAAACAGGAACAAACTAAAGCATACCACCTGATGACAGAAAATATGTGTTCAGCATCTACAACTGTGATTGTTTATAGCAGCCACGTTGTAATTAAGCCAAGCCCCAGCAATAACTTTAAATGACACTTAGACTATATTCAAGAACACTTTGAAAGAAAATATTGAACACAGGTCTTTAACTCTTTTAGAACGGAAATATCAAATTATCTGCAGATGATGTGGATTGATGCTATTTAGCTGAACTCTTCAGACTATCACTTAATACCTACAGCTGTTTTCACTGCTATAAATTGCTACTCTGAAACGTCACATATTTTCACACCTTATACAATCCTTACTCCTTTTCCTCTCAGCAAACTTATACCTTAAAGAGAGAGGAAAAAAAGATGGCATCTGAAAATCTTCCTCACATACAATCTTCATTTTAGGCCCACCTTTCCTTGGCTTCTTCCTTTCTTCTTAGCATTTTTAGTTGCATGCCTATTATCCTAGAATAATAATCTCTTTACCTGGGCCCTGGATGACTTGCCCTGCATTCAAGGACATTCACCATCAACCAAGACTTTTCTCTTTTAAATCTTCCACTTCTTCCACTGTACCTGCTCTAAGCTCAATTAAAATAAGCCAACAAATAGGTTAAAAATGGGCTCTTCAAATAAAACTATATGTGTGGGTAAATGTCTGTGTGTGTCTATGCTACTCACATCCCCACCACACCATATTAAAAGGAAACACTGCAGTATTCCAATTTTGTCATTTTTTACTCCTGCTTAATAGGGTGTGATAGATTTATATTCCATCATAATAGACAATTTTAATTAGCATTAAGTATTATTAATGTTCCCATATGTCTTGAAAACTTGTTTCTGATAATGTTTTGATTTCTAAAATTGTCTGCTTAAGACAACATTTTAAATATATGGAAAGAAAATTAAACATATATCCACAGACTTTGGATAAATAGATAAAATAGTTTTTCTAAAAAATATCTACCAGAATCTGGAAGATTTAGACTAAAAAATACACAGAACCCATACACAGATATGCTTGTGCATTTAAAACATAATATGTTTGCATATTATTGAATGCTAAAATTAATATAATTTGATTATTGTGACTATTTTCACATATGGTATAATCATTTTACTGTTTTTTAGTGATGTGGTAAGCTGAAACACATCAAAATACTACCTTTTTCAATTGGCATTATGCATAATAAATCCAATTAAATTTAACAGCAGTGGAGTAAATACACTGTGATAAGTATAGCTATAATGGCCACTCACAAATACATGTCAAGCATGTACAAACGCAATCCTCACCTTATTATCAGATTAGTTCAGACATGTGAATGGCTGACATGTGAAATTATATTTCACATCATTAATTATAATGATAGTAAATCCACAGGGTTAGACATTTCCATATCGGAGCTAACATATTATCAAATAATTGCTCCAACATTACAGCCCTTTAACTTCTAGACCAGAATTTCTCTGTCTGGACACTATTAATATTTTGCACTTCGTTGAGGGTGGAGGTGCTTTCCCTGTAGCATATTTAGCAGCTTCCTTGGTCTCTATCTGCTACATACTATTGGCACCCCAACACCCATGTGCAGTGTGGCAACCAAAAATGTCTCTAGACATTGGCTAATGTGTTCTGTGGGATAAAACATCCTCATTGAGAACCACTATTTTAGAGAACGAGAATGTCTGTTCATCTAAAATCAAAGAGGATACTGTGCAAAACCATTTTTAACTTGTCAATAAAATGTGGCTTGTATGAGAAATGCTATGTAAAAGATGAAGTCTAGATTAATATGTACAAGAAACTATTATATTCCAAATATAAAAAGGTTCTTATGTTAGGTTCCCTAAATAGTATGGCCATTTAGTCCACTGTGGCTATTTATAAAACAGTCTTGGCATATACAACTCAGCAGCCACAAAGTCTAGAGTTAAATATTAATTTTATTTAAATTAAGCTAACCAAAGTTGCATTATCTGAAGTTCTGAAATGCTCTATCTCTGCTGCACTATTTTCTTCCAATACCCTCTCTCAATGTCCCCAAGTCTCTGACTTATTTACCTTAAAAATGTGGTTTTAAAATTCTCTTCTGGATCAAATGACATTGCAGAAAGCTTTTTTCCTGGCTTGGATCTAGTCCTCTCCCTGCCTTTATACATACTTCTCTTATATCTCAAATACTGTACACTGAATCAAAAAATAAAGAAATGCAAAGAAGATGGCATATATAAATTATATAAGAGGTAGTCACAAAATGAGTCAAACATGTGACATGATAGATTAATAAAGAGTTAATATAAACTTGTTGCTTTAAAAGAAAAATGTCTATTTCATATTAAACAAGACAGAGATATGCAGTCAAGGAAATATCTGGGATATTAAATTCAGCTATGAATGCCATACTTTAAGTAGCTATTGGAAACTGATGATCGTGGATAGTCCTTCGAAAAAAGCACTAGAATGTCCAAAAACAGTCTAATAGAAATTCACATGGAGGTATTTGTATTAGTAAGCAATAGTAAGAAATACAATGAAGAATGGAAAAGCAAAAATGCAGTGAATAATAAAATGTTCTGAAAGAGAAAACTCTTCTTTTTCTTCGTTTTTCCATATGGAAATGTATGCAAAATAACATGTATTTCTACATGACTCAATGGGTCAATGTAGAAGTACAATGAATAAAAAAAAAAAAAAATCCTGTGTGAATTTTAATGCAAGTCTGCTTCCACAAACACCTGAATCCATGGCTGACAAAACAAAAGCATTCAAAACACTTCACATAGGTTTACACAGGTAAATAAAATACTTGAGGCAACATATTTCTGCCTCTGTAGCAAATAGCTACATGTTTCTTTTTATTTTTCCTTGAGAGTATAGACATATTTGGTAATAATCTTTAACACAAATTAACACATATTTAATGCATATTCACAAAATAAAATATCATTTGCTTTATCACAAAGTAGACAATATTCAAAGTGACCCCAACAGATAAATGTGAAACTAGGTTTAGGAATTCATATGTGCAATGAAATAATGTCATACAACAAGCACACATACATATGCACACACACATAGCAAGTGGGTCCCAGTATTTCGAACTTTAATCAAGTGAAAGTGGGAGCAAACTGCTGTTTTATATCTTGTTTTTTTTCTTTGCCCTTTGGTTTTAAGTGTGGAAGCTAGTTTGTTTTTTGGGTTTTTTTTTTTTTTTTTTTTTGAAGAGACTTAGGGCCCACTTTGGCACATTCTTTTTGTTCATTATATATAATCAATTCACCCAGAGTTACTGGGCATTAGTGATCTCTGGAGCAGATGGCTGTTGATTAAGGACAAAGCATTATGTTCAATCATATAGAAGTCATTTTCATTGGGAGCAGGAAATTCTTCGGAGACATCATCATATCATGCTCCTCTCTTGCCACTGGCTAGGCCTAAAGGAGACAGGTATTGGAGTCTCCATAAGGGGTAGGGAAAGTTAACGTGAGGGATATCCCATAGAGAAGGTCAGAATTTGAAGAAATAGCTGTTAAAGGACTCACAGGGAAAGAGAGAGGCCTGAAGCTTTTAGGAGCACAGGTAGATGATATCCCGTTTTAGCTAGTCAATAGCGTAATTTCATTTTATTATCCTCAGCCCTTAGGAAAGTCTTTCTTAAATGACAACTTTAAAAATGCTTTTGTTAAATATGTAAGAATGGCAATTGCATGGAGAAGGGCCCAAAAGCAGTCGTGATGGGGAAAAGTTATGAGCACAGATTAGATGAAGGATGACAAGTAACGATCAGGAAGGATTTGTCGGGTGCATGAGGACTTTGTCCCAGCAGGAAGCACTTATCCTTGTGGAATATAAGTGCTCCGACACTGTACAATGAAAGTATGAGTTACCTCTCTGAAGTCTGGAAACCTTGAGAGTATTAAGGTTACATGCATAAAATCTTTAAAATGGAAGTGTCATTACATGGTAAACCAATTCAAATTAAAAATAATCTCATGCTGTGAAAGCAAAATATATAACTGGTTTACCCATTCATAGGTAATTGCACGTCTTTGTTACATCTCAATAGTTTCTTTGTATTTGTTGCAATCACCCTCCTTCTTCTCAACACTCTTTTCTACCTCCATGTAACTGCTGTTGTGAATTCTTTATAATATTCTCATCAATGTTTAAAGATGAAGTTTAAAGTGCTTACAAAGGAAGCATTTTAACTCCTCTTAGAACTGAGCCTTTAAATTTGGTTTTAGACACCCTAGGTCTTTCTTTCAATCTTTCAATACTATAGTGGTTAGCCTCTTTATATTTTGGGGGGAAAGTATTTATATATGAAACACTCTTTAAGAGAACATGTTAAAGACGAGTAGGATTTTTTATAATAAAACAAAAATAAAATATTTCAGTCCAGTCTATAATTAAAGAGGGTATATAATATCAGATAAATAAATGGGGAGAAAGCAAAGACTATGAAGGCTCAAGAGTTTAGTTTCTTAACTGTTACATGATTCTCGCTCCAATTATGAAAGAGCACCCTGAAATCTCCAGGCTTCCCGTGACCTTCTCATCATGATATTATCTATCTATATTTATTTGCAATTTTAAAATGTTTAAACCAAACTATACTAAGACTTTCTATGAGTAGCAACAATTTCATGGTTGTACTCCATGATGGAAGAATTTCGACTCTTCCTGTCTTTCAGATCAGTTTGACTTCTGGAGAGCCATGTCACACCTCTGTTTTTTCTTTAGGAGAAGTAATCGTCTTTGTGATTGAAAAGATTCTCTCTCTCTCACTATCTCTCTCTCTCACTCTCTCTCTCTCTCCTCTCTCTCCCCCTCTCTCATGCACACACACACACACACACACACACACACACACAGACATATCTCTGTCACTTGCTCTAAACTGTCAATTACCCATTTATATTAGTGTTATCTGGAAGAATTTTTGCAACTTGATAACTGAGTCAGATGAATGGGCAATATTACCAATGTAAATTAAAATTACGCTATTGGGGGAAAAAAAGAAAGTCAAATATAATCTATTTGCTCATTTATTCCAATAGGAATTCCACAGTTTTTCCTCAAGATTATATTCAATACACACTGTTAATCAAAGGGAAAGCTACTGGAAAGTTTAATGAATAAATATGACTCCCTGATTCCATGTTTAGATCTTAAAGTGCATCATTTCAGTACTATGTAGCATTTCTAATATATAAAGACACAGGCTTTTTTTCCTCCAATTATTTTATTGCTATGCGTAAAGATAGTAGTTAATACAGTGCAAATAAAAAATGCTTAAGCCAGAATTTCTTTACCTAGAGAGAGAACAGTTTATTGACTATAAAAATATTGCTAGCAAAATGAGGTACCTTAAGAAGAGTGTACTGTTTTTATCTTTTATTCATCCTGATGGATTTTTAGTCCCATAATATTTAGGGATGTGTAAGTGTCATAATAATGGTGACAAGAGCTACTAATTACCGAACATGGATTATGCCAGCATTGTATTTACATGTTTCCTCTTTCACTTCACACATCAAATCTACGAGTTAGGCTCGATTATTACTGATTTTACAAATGGGGAAAGTAAGGTTTAGGAAGTGTAAATAACAGCTACTAAGTGATGAGACACTTAGTCTAATCCCAAATCTCAAGTGGGGTGTCCCTGAGCCTTCTCCTAACTGCTAACCTTGAACACCAGTTCCCCAGTGATCTCCATTTTGTGTTGAGATGAGCTTTAGTTTTTACATATTACTAAGAAGCTGTTTTTCCTCCTTAGAGTTCATTATAATTCAAACAAATTAAGAAGTTAGATTGAGAAGAAAATAGGTAAGCAGGTCTGCTCTCAGAGCTGTTCATGTTCCCTATCATTACCCTACACCTAAAAAGTCTCCTATTAATACATTAAAACTGTCATTATTTTAGTAAAGGAATAGTCAATGTAGTTTTCTGTTTGTTATTTACTGGATAATAAGTTGTTGGATCACAAGAGATAATAAGGTTATTTTTAAAGCATCTTTAAAGGTGCCCAGTGGGCATAATCACACAGACACATACAAATTATCTGAATGATTTCACAGGATAATCACTTAATCATTCTTTAAGTGTTTTGGAGACAATTTATATGACTTCATGTGGCTTCTTGGTTTTATTATTATTATTATACTTTAAGTTCTAGGGTAAGCTTCTTGGTTTTAATCACCTTTCTGAATTTACACAGCACTATCAAAAATATACCAATACTTAACAGATAAGAAAGGTTGTCTGAAAATTAAGAGATGTTACAAAAAGAAATAGCATGTTTATATTTCTCTCTTGTAGCTAATATTTTTAAGTTTCATTTTCCTTAAGGGTGTTTGTGAGATACATTCTTTCCTATGGATCTCAAAGCTAAAGAAAATATTCCCAACTTAGGGTCTTAAGCCAACTTCGTTTCTACATATAAGAAAACTTCATTCTAAGGAAGTATTTAAAAATTTATGAGGCAGAAACAGTATCCTGGACTTTTCTGCAGGACTGAGAGAAAAGAATCTAAAACAGTTAAAGGCTAGTTTTAAGCAGCACACTGTTCAGATTTTGTCAGTTTTCCTATACTCATAGTTCTCTTTGAGACAAATTTTCAAAATCTAATTTAACAGAGAGACTTGAATTAATTTTGGCAAAAAGTATGTTATGTCAAACTTTTAATTCATTTCTTTTCTAGCAATTTAAAATAGACATCGGTATCACATCTTTTGGAATCAATTTACATGTGTTTTAAATCACTGTATATATTGATTTCATATGCCTGTGTGTTAACACTTGGGTAATTACTCTGGCAATACATCTTGATAGATATTATCGAGTCTATGGTTATAAACCATGCCTTTAAATTTTGTTCTAATTATCATGAGCTAGTATTTGAGTATGTAAGGAGTATATCTTCATGTACTAAATCACAGTTACAACCTTAACATTTTACGCTGATCTGTTAGACCACAGGAGTACGTTAGCAGTAAGATTTACAAACTGAAGTAAATGAGTTCAAACACATTTTTAAAAATAACCCATCTGTTTGAATATCTGAAATACTGTACTGTGTGGTGACAACCAATATTCACCAACAAATTTGTACTTACGCCTAGGTTCCTAATATGTAACATTATTGAAAAAATTTCTAATTCAGATTATTCAATCACAAAGTCATGAAAAGCTTCGGCAATGACTGTTGACTGGGTAGGCACAATTTATAGTTTATAATGTTTATTTTATAAAAAGTAGAGTTTCTAATTCTGAAGTCAAACCAATGAAAATGTCAAGTGATCTTTTGGATGTTGGTATGGAGTAAATAATTGGTGTTTCCAAGGATCACCTTCCAAACTTACACGGAAATCATAACACATACCAAATTATATAAAGATGTAGAGTTGAAAAAAAAAAAGAATAGCTTAATCCTAAACCTATAGGAACAGGTATGTACTCATAGTAATGTTCAAAATAGTAAAAGTTTTATTATTAAAAATACCATATATGAATGTATATATGTATGTATATACATATAAGTAAGTAGAAAAAGAACAACAATATAAACCAAGAAAAATTTAGGAGGGGAATTAAGATGGATAAAAGATGAATTTACCATAACAAAACGCAAAATGACAGAAAAGGAGTAAATAAAAATAAAACTGGTTTCTTAAATATACTCATGACAAAAAAAATGAAAAAATGAGAGGGAAAAAATGATAGCGCATTAGAAATGATATAAAGGGGCATATGCATATATGTAGAAAATAATATTATAATATATATGTAAATAAATGGCAAAAATTAAAACAATTAATTTTTAAAAATAACACATAGTCTACAAAGTTGACCTTCAGAGTTCCAAAAAACCAAAACAAAGACAACACACAAAAAAGAATTTAAAATTAATTAAACTAGTTAAAATGGTAACTGGTCCACATGCTTCACAGGTTAGTTTCATCAGTATTGGTAATAAAAAATTTTGTAATATACACAAGTAAGGAATAACATGTCATATTCACTTAAGAAGATGGATGCAATGAAAATATTGGAATTAGAGAAAACCTAAGAGTGAGAAAAAGCTATTAACCATATTCTGATGTCGCCACAAATTTTTATAATGCAAACCATTTGTCCTTTTGACATTAAAATGCACAATCATTATATAAATATTTACTCAGAAGCAAATTTTAAATGCTACTTTGAGCCTATTACCATAATACTTAATTCCATAGAATTATAATAACTATTTAATATCTTCACAATGAAATACCAGCAATTAATTGTTTTTGCTTTTTTTTTCAACTATTCAATAAGAAGTTTGTCCGCTGTAAGTAAAATAAATTTATACATGCTCTTAAAGCATAAACAAGTGGTAAGAAATGGTAAGGAGAATAAGCAAGCAAAGCAAAATACAAAAACAAACAAACCCTTAGAAATGAGTATATGAGGCTTATGAATACTTTATTTACTCTAAATTTTTTAAGAGGACACAAATTTTGTGCTGACTGGTTGAATATTATCTACTTCTATTTTCACTTTGGAAAAAAAGAGAGTAAATAGGTACTACGCAATAATTGATTTTTTAACTATAGTAGAAACCCCAGATGGAGCCTAAATTTAGTCCATTACAGTGTTTCTAATCTGTCTAAACTTTGTTTGCTTGGTAGGATTACAGGCCACCAGAGGTCTATTTGCCCAGGGGATGAGATATTTCTGGGGAAAGAATTCATTCCAAGAAATCAACTGTTTGGGTCTAAAGAAAGAGATGATTTTGAATGTTCAGTATTGTGGACAATTCCTCAGATTTTTTTTTTCTGTCCAGCCTAAGATTTGGGGAATCTTTACTATATGCTAGAGAGACATATAGAAGTCACACCTGAAATAGAATATGGACTAAAATACCTGGAAAACATTTAAGAAATGGACATCTACCTTGAGAGGCTGAGGTGGGTGAATCACCTGAGATCAGGAGTTCTATACCAGCCTGTTCAATATGGTGAAACCCCATCTCTATTAAAAACACAAAAAATTAGCCAGGCGTGGTGGCGGGCGCCTGTAGTCCCAGCTCCTCAGGAGGCTGAGGCAGGAGAATGGTGTGAACCCGGGAGGCGGAGCTTGCAGTGGGCCGAGATGTTGCCAGTGCCAGTGTACTCCAGCCTGGGCGACAGAGCGAGACTCCGTCTCAAAAAAAAAAAAAAAAAAAAAAAAATGGCCATCATGAGTTTGAGTTCTCATGATACAGCTTACGAAAATCCTGGTTAAAAAATTCTGTACTGTGCACACTGCCTGGGTGATGAATTCGTTCATACTCCAAACCTCAGCATCATGCAATTTACCTTTGTTAAAAAAAATCCTGCATATATACTCTGACTCTAAAATGAAAGTTGAATAAAAAAAGGAATTCTGTTCTTCCCTGGAGAACTTAGCATGATAGCAACAGTAATAACTGTGGAAAAAGGTTTTTGCAGTCGCTTATCTGTGCCACTGTTATTACCACATCAGAAATATCAGTTACAGAGAGCCACAAAAAGGGAAGTTATTAATTGTCTTGAAGTGACAGAGATGAAGAAGTTCCTACAATTGTATGAGACTCCAGAAAGTAAATTTGGAAAAGAAACAGGCAACAGAGGTTGTAAACCAGCAAATGTGGCCAAATTTACAGAAATGTCTGCTTTTCTTGCAAGCAACACTGTTTGCCATGAGCCTATTATGGCACAAGATACTGTGCTGGGTTCAGAAGCTGTAATGCTAAGTCAAAACACTTATTATTACTAATTTTATCCCCAGCCTAACACAGCCTAAGAAACCTGAGTTGCAAACAATTTGCATTCTGAAAATGAAGTTTGTTTCATATTTTGTTCTTCAGCGCAATTTGATATCCATTTAATTAAGCATCCACTACATGAAAAGTTATAACTCTATGTGAGTATCCCAGACTGGGTTTCCTGGATACAAACTGAGCTGGTTTAGCTTGAAGGATGTTTATAAGAAGTGTCCTTGGGATCAACACATGTGAAAAGGGGAAGCGAAGATGCAGAATTGGGAAGGAGAAGTCAAACTGCAACAGAAACCCAATGACACTCTTGGCTAGCTAGCTTCATGGGGACTTCCATAGCTTGAAGCATGCTTTAGAATTTTTTCTGAGATGGTCAGGTTTTTATATTCTGCCTTGCTGGCTGTGAAAAAAACCATAAAAAGGATATTACCTCGGACATGGGACCATCTAGAGCTAAAGCAATTCTTGAAGAGATTAAAATCTGCTGTTGACATCCCTCCCTTCAACTGGGACAAACACTTCTTTTATTGAAGGGTTATTTGCACCACATATCACGGTGGACACCAAGTGGCATTGGGTCCAGATATTTTGGTCTGAAAAATAACAACTTTAAAGTATCTTGATAAGAGGAAATCAAATGTATCATGCTGTTCCCAAATAAATATTTAACTATTTCCACAGCCAAATTCATTTTGATATTGTAATCATGTTTCCTACAACCTCGAGAAAGAATACTAATGATAACTAAAATAGTTCACATTTGTAGTGTCTACGTATGGCAAGTACTGACTCATTTAAATCTTATAATCACGCAGGCGTATAGGCATGGTGCTCATTTTCATTTCCCAGATCGGGAGATTAAGGCACTGAGAAGGCAACACTTCTAACACTAAAACATCTTTCAGGTTCCTTGTTAGATCTCCAATATCAGACCCCCAATGACAGGTGTTGTTGGGAATCCGAAGATGAATAAAGAACAGTGGTTGATGCTAACATCTTCCATTCTGGCAGGACAAACAAAAATGATACACATCTAAAACTGAAGTGCTAGGCTAAGTAGGGTTGGCATCACTGAGTTGGAATACGAAAGAAGGAAAAAAAATGGGTCAACAAGGAACACAGAAAGCAGTATCAATCAATGTGCCTTCTTTACTTTGACCAAAATGGTGGCACCTGACTTACCAGAGTTCTGTTAACACTCATAAACCATCCCCAAAAATAATCATATGAATGGTACATAATCCCTGACTTAACTCCTACTAAAATCAGGTTTTGGCATACTTGAACTACATGGGTTCTAAAATGATAGTTTCTCCAGTGCATCCTTAAGAAAGTTAATCCTTTCACTTTTTTAGGTCTGGTACAAATTAAGGGAGTGTGTGAAATGCAAATCGAGGAGTACATCAGATTAAAACAGAGTCTAAAGAGAAAAACCTTTTTTTTTTTTGCACTTTACAGTGCTTAATGTGAAATGAAAAAAACATTCAAATTTTGCAAAGTCTAGTTAGTCAACTTGAGAAGTCATTTGATCAGTCACCTGATCTGATGCATACTGTAGAATAATAATTGTGTGTCCATTAACCTAAGGAAATGAATCAAGCTATCTTCAAATGCTCCTAACCCAACAATAACATTTCCACTTTATACTATTTACATCTTCAAAAACCCATTTATATGCATAATGATGTAATATTAACAATTTTTTTTTTTTTGAGATGGAGTTTCACTCTTTTTGCCCAGGCTGGAGTGCAATGGCGCAATCTTGGCTCACTGCAACCTCCGCCTCCCAGGTTCAAGCAATTCTCCTGCCTCAGCCTCCTGAGTAGCTGGGATTACTGGCATGCATCACCATGACTGGCTAATTTTGTATTTTTAGTAGAGACAGGGTTTCTCCATGTTGGTCAGGCTGGTCTTGAACTCCTGACCTCAGGTAATCTGCCCACCTAGGCCTCCCAAAGTGCTGGGATTATAGGTGTGAGCCCCCACGCCTGGCTAACAACAATATTAAAAGGAAATGGAAGACTTCTAAATTCCTTATAGTAACATTTAAAAAAAAAAAGTAGTCAGTGTGATAGTCAGTGGCTGACTCTAATTTTTCATGCTCTTTTTATTAGGCAATTCAGAAGGGTCTATGCCATCAATTATTGAATCTATTAAAAAGAATCAAACATGTAATTAGAAGCCTAATGTAGTGGTGTTTTATGGGCATGAAAAATTATGTTAGAATTTGATCATTATAGGGTATTTAATCAGTATAGTTTAATTGTATCAGCATATAAATTATATACAAAAATAAAGGAAATATGCGAGGCCGAGGCGGGTGGATCATGAGGTCAGGAGATCGAGACTATCCTGGCTAACAAGGTGAAACCCCGTCTCTACTAAAAATACAAAAAATTAGCCGGGCGCGGTGGCGGGCGCCTGTAGTCCCAGCCTACTCGGGAGGCTGAGGCAGGAGAATGGCGTGAACCCGGGAAGCGGAGCTTGCAGTGAGCCGAGATTGCGCCACTGCAGTCCGCAGTCCAGCCTGGGCGACAGAGCGAGACTCCGTCTCAAAAAAAAAAAAAAAATTAATAGTAAATATAAATAGTAAATAGAAAGTATATAAAATTTCCTAATACTTTTTGTTTTTTGGTTCTTTGTGATTATCTTATGAGAGCTACAAACTGTATGAGAAATCTAAGGTCAGGAGAATTAAACCCAACAAAGAAGAATGCATGATACACAGATCTAAAAAATGTTGACGAAAAGAGTCAAACTCTGTAAAATATTTTTAGAGATTTATTCTGAGCCAAATATGAGAGACCATGGCCTGTGACACAGCCCTCAGGAAGTCCTGAGAACATGTGCCCCAGGTGGTTGGAGTACAGCTTGGTTGTATATATTTTAGGGAGGCATGAGACATTAATCAAATACATTCAAGGAATACATCAGGCCAGGTGGTAGCTCACGCCTGTAATCCCAGCACTTTGGGAGGCCGAGGCGGGTGGATCACGAGGTCAGGAGATCAATGCCAACCTGGCTAACACAGTGAAACCCTGTCTCTACTAAAAATAGAAAAAAATTAGCCGGGCGTGTGGCGGGCACCTGTAGTCCCAGCTAACTCTGGAGGCTGAGGCAGGAGAATGGCGTGAACCCTGGAGGCAGAGCTTGCAGCGAGCAGAGATTGCGCCACTGTACTCCAGTCTGGGTGACAGAGCCAGACTCCGTCTCAAAAAAAAAAATACATCGGGTTGGTTCAGAAAGGGGGGACAACTTAAAGGGGGTCTTCCAGGCTATGGGTAAATTTAAACACTTTCTGATTGACAACTAGTTGAGTTTATCTGAAGACCTGGGATTAATAGAAATGAAATGTTTAGGTTAAGATAAAGGATTGTGGAGACCAAGTTTTATTGTACAGAGGAAGCTCTCAGATAGCAGACTTCAGAGAGAGCAGGTTGTAAAATGTTTCTTATTGGACTTAAAAGGGTGCCTGGCTCTTAGTTGATTTATCTCCTGGATTTGGAAAGGAAAGAAGGAAAACAAAGGGGAAAGGGGATTCTTTATAGAATGTGGATTTTTCCCACAAGAGACATTGCAGGACAATTTCATTGTATGCCAAGGAAATATATTTTGGGGTAAAACATTTTGATTTCTTCCTGGTTATACCAGAGTCAGATTGGAAATTAAGTTATGACATACAGTGTTAAATAAAATCCATGTGATGAGAATTTATGATTTGTAGGACATGACTTCCCAGACCTCTTAAGGAGGAATTTGGGCAAGATGAAAAAAATCAGAGCTTAGTTCTCAAAAGCAAACAGAACAAAAATCCACACAGCTTCTTACCCCTGAAAATAAGCAGTAAAATGGCCATTAGCAAGTTAATGAGTTATGAAAGAAAAAAACAATGCATAATGTATTGAATATGAGTTGATTACATTTCTTTCAATAAGTTTAACTATTAGTGCTCTTTGTGTATTAGTTTTATTTATCCCTACAGTTGTAGAAATATTTTTCTGAAGTTTTAATGCAAGCTTCCACACCATATTCAATTCTATTACTAGAACATCTTTCCTTAAGTCTCATCAAGTTGAATACTTTCTTGTTTTTCTTTTTTGTTTGTTTCATCAACATATCTGTACCTTTAGTCTGTCTGAAATAAACAAGCAAAAAAACCTGTCAATTCATTTCTGTTGCTCATTAAACATCTGCTCATTAGCCACCTCCTGGTTAATGAATACTTAGAATCTAAATAGCAACCCATTAGCAAAACCAGTTTTGCTTTCTGGCATATTTTTCTATTTTCAAATAATTGTTGTTTTTAAAAATATGTGTTTAGCCAAAATTCACTAAATTATATCAAAGAAATCATTGAACACTTACAAGCATTGTCTTAAATACCCCAGTAAAAACAGAAACATCCTTAGAGTGTTTCCAAGTAAAATCTTTATCATTTAAAGCAAACTTAATAAAACTATTTCACTAGTAATTGCATAGCTTCTCTAACTCGTACACAACACAAGTGATGTCACACACCCCTCTCAAAAAAAAGGAAAATAAGCTGTTTCATAAAGCAGCTATAAACACTTAGGCAGATTCTCTTATTTAATACAATAAAGGAGATGTACCAATTAGGGAGAATAAAATAACTGAAAAATATCACTTAGAGAAAAAGTTTTCATTCTGACAAAACAATTATCAAATTTTCTTAGATATTTTGCTATTATTGTTTGGTTTGGTGCTTGTCTGCTTTTTTCTCATACTATTTTGTCAAGCAGCAGGACTAGATTTTTGTTTCTTTACTTTTGCTCATGTCCTTTCAGACATTATCTCTTATTAAACTAAAAACAAAACAAAACAAAACAAACCAGTAAGAATTAAGTTTCCCTGAACTGCAGTACCAATGCAGTCACATAACTGAGAAATAAGCTACAGGAGTTTTTGGTGCTGGCAAGAAAACCTGAACCAAGAGGTGACGCCAAAATGGTGAAGCAAAAATAGAAAGAAAAAACTGTAAAATAACAGTTTGGAGTATGACAGTAAGTGTTGGTTGGAAGTGTTGGTTGAAAAGGACATATTTGAAAAGCTGTTTTAAAAGAAAAACAAATGTTATATGGGGGAAATTTGAGATTTAAATGTTTAAATGCTTGTATTTTGAACAGATAATCCAATAGAATCTTGAACAAAATTTAGTACTGGTCATTGAGGTCACATATTCGACCTCAATTTGACATTATAATACCTATGAAACTGCAGGAACCACTTTTAAAATTAAGTCTAACAACAACTCAAATGCTAATCCCCTGCCATTTGCATGACACTGAGATAAACTTTCAATACAAAAAGATAAGTAACAACAGTTTCCTTGCTGCCAACAAGTTCACAGTGTCCTGCTGAATACAGATGAAGAAACTTGTATCATGAGACACTGCTATATAAAAAACATGGGTAACAGCTATAGAGATCAGAGTTTTTCGGAGTGCTTTACATATATCACTTCACTTAGCCTGCATGCCCATACTTGGATTTAAGCATCATTATGATCATAAGCCTTTTACTAGGCAAGAAAACTGAGCCACAGAGGAGATAAGTAACTTGCTCAAAGTCAGAAACTTGGCAAGAGGTGCTATCAAAATTTGAATCCAGGCAGTGTGGCTCCAGAAGTTGTAAAGATACATATCTGATACAAATTTGCTCTACAGCTGGTTTATCAGATATGTCAGAGAGAATAGTCTTGAAAGACAGCAACACTTCCCAAGATATCTAAGATAGAAGGGAATATGGCTAACATCATGTGACATATTTTATGACGTTGAATTTAAGGAAGCTGAAGGTTCAGATAATTATTTCCCATTTAAATAGACCTACTTTAATATTCAATGCCAGGGTATCAGATGACAGAACATTGACTCATGTGCTCCACTAACATCTGGTTCCTTTTTTTTCTTTTCTGAGACAGGGTCTTGCTTTGTCACCCAGGCTGGAGTGCAGTTTGTGTGATCACAGCTCACTGTATTCTTGGGCTCCTGGGCTCAAGTGACCCTCCTGCCTCAGTTTTCCGAGTAGGTGAGACGACAGGTGTGGGCCATCATCCCCATATATTGTTTTATAAATTTTGTTGTAGAGATGGGGGTCTCACTATGTTGCCCAGATTGGTCTCTAATTCCTGAGCTCAAGCAATCCTCCCACCTTGGCCTCCCAAAGTGCTGGAATTACAGGCATGAGCTTCCATAACCCCAGCCTAGTTTCTATCTATTCTGAGGCAGGAATTGCATATCAACTTTCTTGAGGAAAAAATCCTATGATATTTGTATTTTATTTATTTATTTATTTGCCTTGTCTGTGTTTCACTTTTAACAGCAGACTGAAGTGACATCAGGAGTGGACTGGAGTGGGCTTGAATTTCTCCACTATGATAATCTTTTAAAGTTTCTGTATGTTTTTTGTTAATGTCTGTTAACAGTTTTAAGTATCAAAATATGTACATTCTAGAAATGCACTATAAAATACATCAAACTGGATGATTTTTATTCTTGACATTTACAACACCCTTTCAGGATGCACACACACATATTTTTATATATCTGTGTTTTTATATATAGATATATATGTATTTTCATTCACACACATATATATTTGTATCTGTGTGTGTATACATATATACATACACATACATACAAACATGCATATTTTAAGACAGGGTCTCTCTCTGGGCTCAAGGGATCCTCCTTACCTCAGCCTCCTAAGTAGCCAGAACCACAGATGCACGCCACCATGCCCAACAAATTTTTTTATTTTTGTAGAGACAGCATCTCCCTGTGTTGCCCAGGCTGGTCTCAAGCTCCTGGGCTCAAGCAATCTTCCCACCTTGGCCTCCCAAAATGTTAGGATTACAGGCATGAGCTGCCATATCTGGCCATATCCTTTCAGGATTTTTAAAAAACAATAGTATGGTCACACATTTACAGAACATAATTCTTTTATTTTTATTCTTTAAAAATGAATCATTTTTATTTGGTTTTAATATATCTAAAAATCTTAATTGTCTGGGCAGAAAGACTTTAAATATGAAGCCAGACTAGTTATTTATACAATATAAAGATTTAATTAGCATTCTGAATTATAATAATGAACCATAGTTACCATTCTTAAATGCAATACTGAAATATTAAATATTGCAGCAAAGAGGAACCATTTATTAAAAACCCTACTCTTCTGTTGCTCTTCAAGATCTTCCACAGTCTTGAAAAGGAAGATTAACTCTTGAGCACAAATCTGCTATAAGACCATACTTTTCAAGATCATCGAAGCTATGAAACACACCCTTACAAACCCTGCTCTTCTGTTGCTCTTCAAGATCTTCCATAGACTTGAAAAGATCAACTCCTTTGAACACAAACCTGCAATAAGATACTTTTAAAGATCTTCAAAGCTATGAAATACATACCCTTAGGATATATTGACTGAAATTCATATTTTGGTAGGTAAAATGTATTAGTATGTTTTGCAGTAACTGCTCTCATTAATAATCTCTTTCTTTCTCTCTCTGCCACACACACACACACAAAGTCTTCAAATAAAATGATTTCTACAGCTAAAATGATTAAAAAACCAATTTTCAAATATCCTTGATTTGGAGTATTCCAGTAAAGTCTGTTTAAAATTTCATAATCTACATTTTTAAATTATTTTAATATTTGCAAAGAAAGATTCACATATCTACTTTCTTTTTTCTTTTTTTTTTTTTTTTTGACGGAGTCTCACAAGTCACCCAGGCTGGAGTGCAGTGGCACGAACTCGGCTCACTGTAAGCTCCGCCTCCCGGGTTCACGCCACTCTCCTGTCACGCCTACCGAGTAGCTGGGACTACAGGCGCCCGCCACCACGCCCAGCTAATTTTTTTTTGTATTTTTAGTAGATTCGCGGTTTCACTGTGTTAGCCAGGATGGTCTTGATCTCCTGACCTTGTGACCCGCCCACCTATACTTTCCTTTTTAAATGAAAACATAATTTGATAACATCATCTAACAAAAATAAAAATTACTAACATTGTATATAATATTATTTCTTCAAAAATAATTTTTGTCTTTAAAACAAAAGCTACCTTCTGAATTCCATGCCAGTTGAAAAAAGAATAAAAGGGTAATATAAAAGCAACAACTCCTTATTAGGTGCCATATGTGCGGCTATCCAATTTATATACATTATCTCATCTAATTCTCAAAATAACCCCATGAGATATTATTATAACAATTCTTATTTTACATATGATTAAATTAC
Organism: Homo sapiens; assembly: GCF_000001405.40. Lineage (NCBI taxonomy): Eukaryota > Metazoa > Chordata > Mammalia > Primates > Hominidae > Homo > Homo sapiens. The sequence continues at coordinate 21,043,321 of NC_000021.9, read as the reverse complement.
TCATCCTAGATTCTGACCTGTGTTACTATAATTCCATATTAGTTATACTGAGTCCAGAGCCCTGGTTCTTAGCCACTGAGTTAAATTTCCTATATAAACTCAATTACTATGTTTTTGATAATGGCACGAACTTTAACAGAAAGACCTTTATAGAGGGCATGGGGCAGGACTAAAGGAATAAGCAGTTCCCCTAAATCTTATAGTGGCTTGATATGTAAATGCTTAACCAGATAAAATTTGCACTTGTAAATTAGCTGAAATTTGACATTTTGAAAAGAATGCCTTCCATTTCATTAGTCTAATAATTTAGAAAACATAAATGCTTGAGTAAGTTATATTGACAGTACATGTTACAACAAAATTGAATGATGATATTGATATTTGGATTTCACACATTTTCTTTTCTTTTCCTTGCCTTTTATAAAGCTTTCAAACAGATAAAGTACAGTAATATGTTCTCTGAGATAAATAAATTATGTTGTTATTTAAGCCTATTAATCAAGGACAGTTCTTGCAGAAAATAAGATTTACACAACTCTTGCATTCTGTTTACTTAGCCACACCAATTCTTCCTTATTTTAGAACCTCTAGCCCATTTCAGGTGCTTAACATAAACACTGTATAACAGATGCTCTGGGAAATGAAGGGCCTGAGGGGAGCAGTTCAGACCTCATTTTTTAGTTGGCAACATTCCTCATTTAGAGATGGCAAGATTAAAGCTCAAAGAATTTAAGATATCTGAAAAGAAAAATCCCTGAGATTTTTGTACATTAATATTTACCTCTAAATTCAGAAAAATGAGGCTTATATCTGTTAAATTAATTTCTCAAAATATGAAGGTCAGGCGCAGTGGTTCACACCTGTAATCCCAGCACTTTGGGAGGCCGAGGCGGGTGGATCACCTGAGGTCAGGAGTTTGAGACCAGCCTGACCAACATAGAGAAACCCCATCTCTACTAAAAATACAAAATTAGCTGGGTGTGGTGGTGCATGCCCGTAATACCAGCTACTCGGGAGGCTGACGCAGGAGAATCGTGTGAACCTGGGAGGCAGAGGTTGTGGTGAGCCGAGACAGTGCCATTGCACTCCAGCTTGGGCAAAAATGAGCAAAAGAAAGAAACCCTCACTCACCCCAGAAAGCAAGTAGAGATATTTCTATTTATTCCACAGAGCAGTCTATTGATGTAGAGTCAGATTGACCCATCTTCCAAACTTTATATTCTTTATAGATAGTATAATCCCTGCCTTTGTATATGTGTTATAGTTTGAGAAGAAACATGAAAATATGTTAGGAAGGGTTCTACTGCACTTAAAATTAACGAAAGTTGGCATCGTCATTCAACCTGTTACAAATTGGTTATTGTGTCCATATTTCTCCATCTTAGCCACAAGATAAGCTGATTCAATGCTGGTCTCATATTCTTGATATACCAGGTATATGGAATTTCCCTAATTATTTGTCTGATGACTAACAAGGAAGTCAACCAAGATCAGAATAATCATCTATCCCCTGTCTTTCAGGACAAGTGTTTGTGAATAGACACACACATACACTTTTCTCTTGCTTTCTCTCTCTGTTACTATATAATATATTCTGACGTCTTTCCCTGAAGCAAAGTCAAATTCACAAATCTACAATTTGCTGCATCTACTTTGTGAAAAACTCAAAATATTCATATCCTTACACCACCACCACGATGTTCTAGCTACTTCAAAGCCTGCATAATAAAATGTTCCCACCAGGTTCAGGCACTACTCTTTAATGTAACCTGTTGAGATAAGGAAGCTGAGAAGCACTTATACGAGGTAATGGTTTAAAGACTCCTCACCTAATTCCACTTTTAATGCTCTTGTACCATCTCTTCTTAAAATCACTCTCAAAGAAGTTAAAGAGAATTGTCTGCCCACCTTCTGTCACCAGCACCCTATATAGTTGCTTTATTTAAAATCAGCTACTTATACAATTAATGAGTGAAAAAATTCTGTTGAGAGCATAACACGGCTTCCCCAAGTGGCTTTTTATTGTTGTCAACACCGTCCAAAAGACTTACCTTATGCTAGACTGTACTAATTCTGTAATATTCTTACAGAGAAATGATCTTATTTTGTATTCATCATAGGTTCTATGTTTCTTATATGACCCTTTGTAAATGTGAATTTACCAGAAAAACCCTTTTCAATTGATAGCTCTTTCTTTTCTTTGTGTTTCTGTTTTGTTGTTGTTTTTCAGTCTTTTCTTTCTTATAATTATTTTTAAATGGCACATAATAATTGTCCATATTTATGGGCAATGGAGTGATATTTTGATACATGCATACAACACGTAATGATGAAATAAGGGTTATTTGCATATCCACCCCCTCAAACATTTGGCATTGATTTTTATTTGGAATATTCAAAATCCTCTCTTCTTGCTATCTGAAGATACACAATAAATTCTTGTTAACTAGAGTCACCGACAGTGCCATAGAACACTAGAACTTATTCTTCCTAACTAGCTGTAATTTTGTAGCCATTAGCCAACTTTTCCCTATCACCCCACCCACCTACATTTCCCAGCCTCTAGTTCTACTCTCTACTTCTAAGATAAACTTTTTAGCTTCCATATATGAATGAGAACATGCAATATTTGTCTTTCTGTGCCTGACTTATTTTACTTAACATAATATCCTCCAGACTCATTCATGTTGCTGTGAATGACAAGATTTCTTTTTTTTTTAAGACTGAACGGTATTCCATTGTGTATATATACCATATTTTCTGTTCATCTACTGATGGACATGTAGGTTTGTCCTATATCCTTGTGAGCACTTACTATAGAATATTGCATCATTTCTATAGTGGACGTTTCCATTGGTTTAATACTGTAATGCAAACCAGTACAGTAAGACTGGAAAAGATATATATATTCATATATCTAAATAATTATACACACCCACGCACACACATAAAGTCATGGTTCATTCAGTCAGAGAGAATGAGTAGGACACCAGAACTCAAACTGGCAGTGAGGAGTCAGTTGCGTAATGGTAAGAAAGTGAGTTAAACATCTTCTCTCGGCCAAAGCTTCATGAGTCTTTAATAATAAAAAGGCATCAGTATCTTCAAAAGGAAACTAAAGATTCAGTAAGATATCCTCTACAGTTTTTTCCCTCTTTCTAAAATTCTATAACTCTATAAAAATCTTCATGGCTGGCAGCTGTTAGCCTAGTAAGAGGAGTAAATAACGTTGTGGTATGACAGAAATTAAAATAGAGGACTGTAGAGAGAATTACAATGTGCTAGCGAAGGTTGCCCTTAACAGTAATAACTGGCAATGTGTATCCTCCTCACTGGTATGAAATATCCGCAGCTACTCATCACAGAGTCCCCTCTCTGGGAAGCTGTCAGAATAAAAAACACTCCTAACTGTTTTGAAATATAATAACTCTAGTTAATATGCTTCCCTGATCTGACAAGTGCTGATTTATGATGTTGACTGAGGATTAGGTATCAACAAGCAATCCTAACACTTAGTGCTGTACTTGAGAGAGAATCACATAAGTGACCCTCCGGCAACTTCAGTGATTTGCATATGTCTACGGCAAAAAAGTTATGAGTTTCCTGGAAAAATGTTCTCATTTCCATTTGTAATGTTTTCACACACGAAAAATCCAAATGATTATTTAAATATTAATTCAAAATATGCACACATTTGAATATAGTCCTTTTGCCCTGAAGTTACATTTTTTACTGATACAAATATTTATTTGCATATATTTATGGGGTACATGTGATATTGTATTACATGTATAGACTGTGTAATAATCAATTCAGGGCATTTGTGGTGTTCATCACCTGGAGCATTTATCATTTTTATGTGTTGGGAACATTTCATGTTCTTTCTTCTAGCTATTTTGAAATATATAATGCGTTGATGTTAATATTAGTCACCCAACTCTACTACTGAACATTAGAACTTATTCTTTCCCAATGGTGGATTATTAAGGGATATCTTTTTCGAGGGAACTGCAAATCTTGTAAAAATAATAACACATGCTTTCACTCATATGTGAAAGATTAAAAACTTGATCTCATGAAGGTAGACCATAGAATGATAGGTACTAGACGCTGGGAGGGTGTATGGGTAGTGGAAGGATAAAGAGAGGTTGGTTAATGGGTGCAAACATATAGTTAGAAGAAATAAGTTTATAAAAATGGGCCTGTTACATGTACTTTCTTAATTAACTACATGTCATATAGTCTACATAACAAGTGAGAGAAATATATTTCTTTATGGGGATTATTAATAGAATAAACAAATCTTATAGTTTTAAGTCTTAGTTTCTCTGATCAAGAAATATACCCTTTAGTGATATTGTTGGAAAGGTGATTCAAACGGTTACAATTCTAAGATTATACATATCAAAAGAAGGTCTTCCTGTAGAAGAAAGAGGTTCTGCCATGTTTTAGCGGCCTTCGTATTCCTCACACAGAGCCATGCTAATTGAAACCTGGGGATCACAAACACTGAGTTTGCATTTGGTCTACAGTCAAATGGGATTTGATGAATCAGTATATTTCAGAAGTGTATTGGTCTGTTCTCACACTGCTATGAAGAAATTCCTGAGACTGGTAATTTATAAAGGAAAGTGGTTTAACTGACTTACAGTTCCGCAGGGCTGGGGAGGCCTTAGGAAGCTTATAACCTTGGTGGAAGGAGAAGCAAACACATCCTTCTTCACTTGGCAGCAGCAAGGAAAAGTACTGAGCAAAAGGGGATTAAGGCCTCTTATAAAACCATCAGATCTCATAAGAACTCACTCACTATCACAACAACAGCATGAGGGTAACTGCCCCCATGATTCAATTACCTCACACCGGTCCCTTCCACAACACATGGGGGTTATGGGAATTACAGTTCAAGAAGAGATTTATGTGGGGACACAGCCAAACCATATCAAAGAGTGACAGTAGAAAGCCAGGATTTGCATTTTCTAAACAACAAATATGTTTTTTCTTTCATAGAATAAAACATTTTAAAGTATCTAATTAGTAAGTATACATTTTCTTTTATATACAAAATTTCAGCTGAAATAATATTTCTATATATCTGTATCATTCTTATGTGGAAATAAATGTCAACCTTGTCAGTTATTTAAATGAATTTAGATTTAGATCATGCTAATTGGTAAGTTAACAGTAGCAGCAGAAAAATTCCCAAGAGATTTGTGAACAGAAGCAACTCAAGGTAAACCATGGGTTATGGCTAGAACAGAGGAGGGATCATATCCAATATATTTTCTTCCCATTTTTCATAATGTCATGTGCAAAGCATGTGCAAAGCAGAATAAATTAACTTAATCAGCTATTACAAGACAAAATGTTGAGATTGTCTACATTAATATATCCTTAAAATGGGAATTCTGTTTGTGAGGTAGAGAATGTTCTGCTTCAACACTATCAAAAAATTAAACCATTCTTCCATGTATGTTCCAATTTTACTCAAGTAAATCTAAAATTCCAACTTCAAGTATGTAGTATATAAAGGATCTGTCAAAATGAATCAGTCCACTCAAACTAACATTATACACCCATTCTACTCTTAAACTTAAATTTTTAACTGACAAAATCCAAATTCCAGTAATATGTCTACAGTGTACTTTTATGCTTTGGTTTATGGTAATCCTGATGCCTTAACAATTAGGCTGAAAATTAGAAAATTAGTGTTTATCTGTTGTCTCTTATTGAACACATACTAACATAGAGCCTACAAATAAATGCCTGCCATTTCTTATTACTAAGAATTATATCAAACTGAAACTACTTTTAAGTGAATAATCAACTAAAAATCATTTAATCTCTCTCATTTGAAGACTTTGAATAGCATCCATAAATTCATTTGTCTTCTTAAAACTGTTAACTGGCTTAGTAGTTTTTAAGTAGAATAACAACATATAACATAACAGGAAAACATGGAAAACTATGGGTATAAAATTATATTTTATAACCAATATCATTCCATATGTAAGAAAGACATGAATATTTTTTGATACCATGACCTTAGCTATAGTCACTTGCTATTAATAATAAAAGAAAACAAGCCTCAGCAACATGGGGAAAACCTGTCTACAAAAAATACAAACAATAGCCAGGCGTGGTGGCGCAGGCCTGTAGTTCCAGCTATTAGGGAGACTGATGGAAAGATTCATTGAGCCCGGGAAGTCCAGGCTGGAGTGAGCTGTGGGTGTGCCATTGCACTCCAGCCTAGGTGACAGAGTGAGACCATCTCAAAAAAAAGCATTTCACCCCAAAATATAGGTACTTGACATCTATTGCTATTTAGTGGGCCTAAAGAGAGGAATAACCCTGAAAAGCTGCCATTTGTGCAGGAGATTTGCTTCTGTAGAGAAAAACCTATATTAGTGAAATAAACAGCCAGGATTTATCTCTTGGGCCCTCTCTTGGCCCTTCTCTTCTCTGGAACTAGGAAAGATTAGCTCAACTTCAGGCTACCATCTATTCTTTCTGAGGGCAGCTTTGAAATTATCTGAAATACTATCGTCTGCATAACAAGCCTTTGCTTCATGTGATTTGCTTCCTTCTCTGTCCTATAACCTATGATGCCACCCACCTCCAGGGAAACTTGGTCCCAAGGCCATTGTTCTTTGGCTTCATTCATTTCCCCTGAAAATCATTTACTCCTACACCTCCTAATCTACACTTTCCCCAACGAACTGAGTATTTTAGTGTCAACCATCTGGTCCTTCTTTGAGTTTTCATATTTCATATGACTTCTGTGCCCATAAGCATATTAATAAATATGTATGGTTTTTTCTTGTTAATCTATTATCAATTTGTTTTATAGACAGAAATTATCAAAGTTTCAGGGAAAAACTTAAACTTCCCTACCATTTTGGTGTCATAAGAGATAAGAAAATATTTTTGCTCATTTTTGGGCAAACTGCAGGAAAGGTAAATGATGGGAGAGAAAGAGAATCAGATTTTGTGTGCCTCCTGCTGTGTTTATTAAGTCCTTGAGTTATTCAGAAACTGAGACTTTTGTCTGTCAAAGAGCAAAGGACTTCACTTTCTGAAATCTTTTAGTTATCAATTTGGCAAAGTCAATGACTATTATTTCACAGTGAGTGGGGATCATATTTTGATCAAGTGCTTTAAATCCATGACATATTTGACAAGCTTCCCAAAATCAAGTTTCAAATTCTAAATTCAATCTTTTTACTACAAACTAACTTTGGAGCGCTATCGAGGGCCCTTAATGCTCCAAAAAGAAAGAGAATAAAAAGCTTATTTCATATGTTAAATTATGTGGGAAGCACTCACTGTCAAATAAAAATGTTTAACTTTCTTTGAGTTATATTTGTATGGATAGGTTATTAGTATGTGCTCCAAATCTGATATGTTAAATTGCTATAGGCCACAGAAAATAAATAAGTTGATTTGTCAATTGTGTCTTTAACCATGGTTATTTTAAGTCTTGTCCAAGGTAAACTGCTTTATACTGATGCTTTCTTTTTTCTTCCAAAAGCTCTTTGCAAATCCTAAAGTGTGTGTTCAAGCAGGTTTATGGAAAACACTCTTATCAAATACTCTTATCAAACACTCTTATCAAATACTCTTAAATACAGTTTCTGACAAGTTTGAGATCATATAATTGAGCTGGGTAAGAATTTCAAGAAATTCAATGGAAAAAAAACTGGACACATAATATTGCTAACCTAACATCATGAGATTTAACACCAAATTGAACAAGAATTAATTACACAGCACTAAACTAATGAAGGACTGAAATGATTTTTATGACTGTTTTGTTTAAAACATTGATTATTTTTATGTTTTGTTTTCTAGAGTTAGGCTTTTCTTTTAAGCTATTTATAGTTTATAGCAATTGGGTAAAGTATGTTTTTGAGAGCAAAATTGAAACATTTACCTTTCTCTCTACCTGATTTATCTAGGATTCAATAACTATCCATGAGTATTCTTATTTTATGGCAGTATAGTTATTTGCATAAGTTCAATAGAATCTGTTTTCTTCTGTAACAAACACAATTGGAAATACCAGTTATTTTATTAAGGCTTTGACTGGGATGTGCTATTTTCAGATATATCCAGATTGCTTTGAGTGACTGAGGTTGATTTATGGAGCCAATAAATAGTCCTTTGGAAAGATTAACCTGGTCCCTTGTTTATACAATTCCCTTATAAAGTCCCTGACCTTGTGTTAAATTAAAAAATGCTACTTTTTGACAGGTCTGAGAACCTCAAGATATTTTAGAGACCTTGAGAAGAGAGGAATTTACCCAATTCATACAGTTGTTACAGACAAGTTTGAGGGTGTGGCAAATCCTCCTCCTGGTTTCCTAACCTAGAGACTCTTTTAGAAGTCCAGTCTGAGATTTCTTATGAAAAGTTCCAGCAAGGTAACTTTTAAAAACCCTATATGGTAAATCACTGTTTCTACTATACTTCTGCAAATAATTAGGCCAAGTTAATGAAACTAAACTTGTTTCACAAATAAATTGAACTTGCCATAAATATGTTTTGTAGATGAGGGACTGGAGAGAAAAAAAATACATTTCAGAAGAAATCTAAGGTGTACCAGTTAATAGATTCTAGCCCTATCCATTGTTTTTCAGTTTTTTATTAACTCAACTAAATTCTAAAACTTAAGTTTCTTTCAATACCTGACTGTAACTTTCCAAATGAGTAGTTGAAATTTTTCTTCCATTTTTCTGATTTAAAATCATTAGAAATTAAAACTGTCCTCTTGTTGAAGGCCTACAAACTGAAGGAAGACACCTTGATGTAAACCTCTGTGGAAATCACTACAGAAACTGAGTATCAGCCTTTGTGCCTGTTGATGTATGGACGACCGAGAAAGTTCACTGGAATACCTGATTCAAAGTGCAACCCAGGAAAATCTGTCAGATTGCCACCGCTTGCCAGTTCCAACTGAAGATGCTTCAGAGTTTCTAGAAAAACTAGCTTAAAATACTCCAAACATCAACCTTTTTTTGTATGCTCCTACAGAAAAATCTCTTGTGAAATCTCTTGTGAAATATGGTGTATGCTTACACCATATAGAGACGATTATGCCATACAGAGACTTAACCTTGATGGGAGCCAATCTGCAATGCCAACTCCAAGAATGAGACATAGCTGTTTAACAAACTGACCTATTCTCAGGACTAGGAGATTGAAGAATGTATAAACTAGGGTACTCAAACTTGTTTTTATCTGCTTATCTCAATCTTTGTTTCCCCCCCCCCTTTGCCTATCTCTTATCTCACAACCTCTAGCCTAAATCTCTCCAAAGGTACCAATCCCACTTTAATATGTAAAACTTCCTGAAAATAAAGTTTCGAATGGGGGACTAAAGAAAACAAACAAAAAAACCAAAATATATTACTTTGACATACTTTCGGATGACTATTAACAGGGCCTGCAGATGGGGATAGTTCAGAAAAGCTGCCTTCTGTGAAAGAGATTTGCATCTATAGAGAAAAATCTATATTTGTGAAATAAACAGCCAGGCTTTCTCTGTGGCTCCTCTCTTGTCCAGATCCAGGAAAGATTAACTCTATGTCAGGCTACCATCTATTCTTTCTGAGGGCAGCTCTGAGATAATCTGAGACATTTTAATCCGCTTAATAAGCCACCCTTTGCTTCACATACTTACCTCCCCTTACTGTCCCTGACCCTGTGATGCCATCCCTAAGCCCAGAGAAACTTGGTCTCACGCCATTGTTTTGGGGGGGAGGTCATTTATTTCACCTGAAAAAAAATTTACTCCCACTCTTTGTCATCTCCACTCTCCTCAGTGAAGAGGATATTTAAGCGTCCACCATCTGGACCTTCTTTGAGCTTATATATATTGTATGACTCCTGTGACTATATATGCAAGCTAATAAATTTGTATGCCTTTTTTTCCTGTTAATCTTCTATCAGTTTGTTTTATAGACTTAAATTATCAAAGTTTCAGGGGACAAATTTAAACTTTCCCATGCCAACTTATCCCATGTGCCTGAAAACAATATGGCACACATGTTCGTCTTGTATGAAACCAAGAAACCGGCCAGGTGCAGTGGCTCATGCCTGTAATCCCAGCACTTTGGGAGGCCAAGGTGGGTGGATCACCTCAGCTCAGGAGTTTGACACCAGCCTGGCACCTGGTGAAACCCCGTCTCTACTAAAAACACAAAAATTAGCTGGGTGTGGCGGTGGGTGCCTGTAATCCCAGCTACAGCTACTTGGGAGGCAGAGGCAGGAGAAACCTTTGAACCCAGGAGGCGGAGGTTGCAGTTAGCCGAGATCATACCATTGCACTCCAGCCTGGGCAACAAGAGTGAAACTCTGTCTCAAAAAAAAAAAAAAAAAGAAAGAAAGAAAGAAACCATGTGCTGTTAGCAATTAAATTTGCTACCAGAAACAAAACAGAGTATTTTGCTAAAGTATGTAGACAAAGTTTTAAATACATTTTATGAAAATGAGGGATTCAGGTCACACAAAAATACTGATGAGCTTGTTCCTAGGTACCAATAACCATTAATGTACCTTAACAAATAAGATAATTATTATGTTTCTGACTATTCTATTGTTTGAGTAAATTGGTATTTGAAATAACAATTCCTTATAGTTTCATAATGCACTGTAATTATACTCTTTAAAAAAACTAAGAACTAATCTATATTTTATAACTAAGGCAAATGAAGAATTTAGATGTGAAATATGGAAAGGTTTATTTTGATTTGCTTAGTCAACACATATTTTTCTTTTCAAACTGATGTAATGTTGACATTAGTATTACTTTGCTGATGGTGCTTCTGGCAATTACAATAACATTTGCTGGTGCTAATGCATAGGTACCCTGTAATTTACAGACTAATGCCAGTGGTTTCTAGAAGAAAGATCATAGAGACTTATTAGCCTACATTATAAGGGAAATCTCATGATGAAGTTTAAATTTTTAAAATAGCCATTTTATATATTAGGCTAAAGAAAACATAACTTACAATTTAATTTACTTACTAAATAATAAATAAAAAACATATTTGCATTAGATTTATTTCCATTTTCATAATCACTGGTTATTGCATGCCACCACCAGCTAAAGATGATTTTCTAAGAAAATATTATTTATAGAGTTATTTAGAGTGTAACCAATACTTTTCTAAATAACTAATTAAAAAGGCTCAAGAACAGCTAGATTTCTTTTCCTAAATTCGTACGCTCACCATTGCATTGAGATGGCATAATAGTGGTGCCTGATAAACTTTGATTAGATTAAAATATATCTAATCAATGATAAAACCTATCAAGCCACATGTGCCTTAATGTTCCTGTATGTAGCATGCTCCCTGTTAAGATCTCTACAAGAGATTTACAAAAACACAAACAAAAACCAAAAATCTGCCTAAGTCACAGAAATAATATAAAACATTTAACTTTTACTTTTACAAATAAAGACATTGCACAAGCACACGTGTGTGTGAGTGTGTGTGTGTGTGTGTGTATAAGAGTGTGAGTGAGATTGAGAGAGAGAGATATATCGAGAGAGACAAAATTTATTTAGTAAATGTTAAGGTAAAAAATGTTCAGTTCATTTGGAAAAGGCTTACAGCATAGTATTAAATATTGCTTTAATTTGCTTGTCAAATCAACGTCCATCACTGCCTACTTGCATATTGGAGACATACTTTACAGCTTTATAAGATGTAAATTTCCTCTTCCAAAACCAAACCAAGATGGTGTAGATCACACCAACAGACAACTATTTATTGCCAATTAGTATATTACACACATGAACCTGCACAGGCAATAAAATCAGAAGGCCAATAGCTCACTAATCTCTATCTTAGATTTGGGAGGTGGTTGGGCCCAACAGTAACCACTTTAGACTGATGTCCAGTGAACCAAGTAGCAGGTGAAGCTCTATTACTAATCAGTTGTGTGACTCTGAGGAATTTGCTAAGGCTCTTCATGTCTCGATTTAAGGTATTTTATTTATTGGGATTAATACCTCATCTAGTCTTTACAAATATTAGAGCAGGTTATAAAACAACTCAATATAAAATGGCAAACTTGAAATTTAAAATGGCCAAAACATAAACAGTAAAACAATGCATGTTAGCTTCCAGACCTCAACAGAGATAATTATTTATAAAGTAGTTTTAAGAGCCTCCAGTTCTATTAACTCCAAGATTATTTAAAAATCAAAAGGAATCATAGATTAGAAAATTTTTCAAAAAGAATAAAGTACTATGCAGTTCAAGTATTTCTTAATGTAAGGGCTTTCTCATTCTGCAGAAAATAAAACATTTAAAATGAAAAATTTTATCTATTCACCTGAGCCCTTGTCATTATCTTTTTTATTTTAAATTCATAACTATATTAATATTTATCAGTTAGAATTATGGTGATGAATTCCTTGCCATACAACGTATGCAGCTTTTTAAAGTCCTTTATATTTTTTATTTCTGTATAATCTAACTTTTAAACAAAGTCAGTTGCTGTGTTTAAATGGTATTACTATTTATCTGACTAATCAATTAATACTGAATCATCGCTTTGGAGCTCTTCACAGATGAGAGTAGTAATACATTCTCCAACTTACCTCCCTTAATACCACTCATTTTAAAAGGAAGGCACTGTCAAAAGTCAGTATAATAATCGTGATAGGCAGAATGACTCCCCTGGAGATGCCCACTTCCAAATCCCTGGAGCATGTGAATGTTGCCTAACTCAACATGGCAAAAAGACTTTGCAGGAGTGATTAAGATACGAATCGTGAGATGGGGAGATCATCTTGAATGATCTGGGTGAGTTTAAAACAATCCCAAGAGCCCTTAAAAAGGCAGGTCATTCAGATGAAGACGTGATGACAGAAGAGGAGGGAAACTTCTGACCTATAGAACAGTAAGATAAAGTTTGTATCATTTATGCCTCTAAGTTCATGGTAATTTGTGACAACAGCAGTAGAAAATTAATATCGTGGTAGTCAAGGACCTGCCCTTTGAAATCAGGCTACCTTGTCTTCAAACTAAGTCACAAAATTTCTGAGAATTGCTTTCATCATCTGTAAAATGTGTTAGTAAAAGTATTTACCTTAAAAGATTATGTTTAGGCTTAAGTGAAATAATACATGGCTAATGCTTAGGATAGTATTCTGGCATAGTAAATGTTCAAGAAATAGGAAAGAAAACCAGATAACAAGTGCTTTTCAATGTTGCTGTCTTTCACCCCCAGCTACAGAGCAGGAATTTTTAGACATTTGAATACCATGAATAATTATAAGAATGTAATATGATTTCAACATATTTAATTAAATCAAGTTTACATGAAATTTATTGCAGATTTACATGAACAGCATAGGGCAGTTTAAAACAATAACTGTGGCTGGCTGTGGTGGCTCACACCACAATCCCAGCACTTTGGGAGGCTCAGGCGGGCGAATCACGAGGTCAGGAGATTGAGACCATCCTGGCCAACGTGGTGAAACCCCGTCTCTACTAAAAATACAAAAAATTAGCTGGGCATGGCGGTGTGCACTTGCAGCCCCAGCTACTCGGGAGGCTAAGGCAGGGGGATCACTTGAACCCAGGAGGCAGAGGATGCAGTGAGCCAAGATCGCGCCACTGTACTCCAGCCTGGCAACAGAGCGAGACTCCATCTCAAAAAAATAAAAAATAAATAAACAATAATAAAAAAATAAATATAATGCTCAGCAAAGGTTAAGTTTATGAAGATAACTATTTGTTTTCTAATTCTGAAAGGCAATGCTATTGTGACATATGCATTAACTACAAATCCACTGTCCTAAGTTCTCCTGCTCCTAAATTTGTCTCCAACTGACAACCTCAAAAGTTAACCGCAGACATAGGTTTGGCAGGCATCCCAGCACAGAAAAAAGGACGTATGGATTAAAACTACTTGCCATTCTGGTCACAAATAGCACACTAGCAACATGACAACCAAGAATTTTACATCAGAAAGAATCTATTGTTCTCTGAATTGCACTAAATGCTTGTGATTAAGTCAGAGTACACCTTGACCACTGTCACAGATTTCATCTGAAAAATAAGATAATTGAAATTTGGGACAATGTAGGAAGTCAAACAGAAGAAGAAAGAAGATCATTGTAAATATTTGTGTAAAAGCATATCTTTGTTAATGAACAGTTTATATGTTTTTTAAAACAAAGATTGTGGGTTTCTGTTTATCAATTACCACATAACCTTGTTACCTACACTAAAACATGTTACTCATTTCATTCTAAGTCCACATTTCAAGATAGTTTAAAAACGGCTCTGTTTGCATTCAAATACTGTCAAAAATTATAACAGTTTTCCATGCTGAATTTTAACACTAAATGTAAATTTATATACTCAGACTTATGAAAAAAGGATTACATACCTATGATGATAGCTTACATAATTTTTAAATGTTTATTATAATATTAAACACACACCCCAAATACACTTGTTTTGTTTCCCTCTCCCCAACAGAATGTTAAATACGACCAGGTGTCTTTGATTCTTCATATGGAAACACTGATTTTTACAGAAGAGTATTAGAATATAATAGACAAATCATATCTATGTTATTGCACAAATAAAAGACTATTAGGGCATTTTGTGTGCCAATTTCATATTTTTGTCTTGCGTAATTCTGCATATTGCATTGCACTGTCTCATTTTAATTCAGTTAAGGTGGCCTATGCTGCAGTTTTCTGTCCCTGATTATATGCAGGCTGCACACCAAAGTTTTCTGGCAATAACGAAGAGATGCTGAGAAGATGAACAACAAACAACAACAAAGTGACCTCACATATGATCCAAGTTCATTTAGATTGAAGGTCTGTTTATGAAGTGTGAATCACTGTGTTTGGTTTTCTCTCGAAAGAGCTGGTCAGGCCTCATTAAAGAATCTTATAAGTAAATATGCTTCACACAACATAAATTTTTGAATCGGATTATGATTTTAACATTATTTGTTCAATAACAAGATGACTGGAATTGGGAATCTTGCATCATTGCTAATGAGAACCAAAACAACAAATTTGGTACATGTGAAAATGTCAAAATTGTAAAAACAACAATCCAATGAGCATAAGAGATCTTTTAGCAAAGACTTTGTCCACTCTTAAAACTTAAGAAACAAGGCTGGGCACGGTGGCTCATGCCTGTAATCCCAGCAGTTTGGGAGGCCGAGGCGGGCAGATCACCTGAGGTCGGGAGTTCCAGACCAGCCTGACTAACATGAAGGAATCCCATCTCTACTAAAAATACAAAATTAGCTGGGTGTGGTGGAGCCTGCCTGTAATCCCAGCTGCTCAGGACTTGGGAGGCTGAGGCAGGAGAATCGCTTGAACCCAGGAGGCGGAGGTTGCAGCGAGCCGAGATCGTGCCACCGCACTCCAGCCTGGGCAACAAGAGAGAAACGACGTCTCAAAAAAAAAAAAAAACTTAAGAAACAATTATAATTCAGAGGAAAGGGCAATTACATATTCAGGACTCAATTTTGACATATTATAAATTACTGAAGTAACTACAAAATAATGTATATTAACGCATAATGGGCTCTGTAATTAAAAGGAAGTGTAGAAGGATCAAATGACGTATCCAGGCTAAACACCTGTAATGTAAACTCCCTGTAGGTGTTAAGCCCATAGAAGTATTTTTATTCATAGTTCTTCCTTTGAGATCAAACATGCTTGAAATTAAGCTATAGTCTAATATTTTATCATTGAAGAAATCACTATAAATTGAAAGCAGACTAGTCAAATAATATAACGAAGTGCTGTATTAGTATTACCTCATGTTTACAAATTATTTCCAAATGTGAGAGTATGGTTATAATTAGAAATTGTATTGGAACAATCTGCATAAGTAACTTCTCTGAATGAAACTTATAGTTCCTGGCAGGAAAAGACAGTGTTTTATTCATCTCTATGAACCAAATTTCTATCATAATGCTACCATAATGACTGGTAAACAGTTGACTCTCCAAAGATGTTTTAAAATAAATAAATACATGAATGAGCTCACCTTACCTAGCAATGGAAAATATAAATAAATTAATACCCCAGATAGCCTGGGTCAAATAAATAAATTAATACTGCATGTAGTCAATTAAAAAATTATAACTCAGAAAATAAAAGTTTTGGGCCGGGCACGGCGGCTCACGCCTGTAATCCCAGCACTTTGGGAGGCTGAGGCAGGTGAATCATTTAAGGTCAGGAGTTGAAGACCGGCCTGGCCAACATGGTGACACCACGTCTCTACTAAAAATACAAAAATTGGTCGGGTGGCAATGGAGCACGCCTGCAATCCCAGCTACTCAGGAGGCTGAGGCAGAAGAATCACTTGAGCCTGGGAGGTGGAGGTTGTGGTGAGCCAAGACTGCACCACTGCACTCCAGTCTGGGCAACAGAATGAGATGCTGTCTCAAAAAAAAAAAAAAAAAAAGAAGAAGAAGAAAAGAAAACATTTGCCATGGTTAAAAATCTCATATAGGATTAAGAAAATGGTGAAAATAAAAATATAGATATTTTCTCCACAAAATGAGAAAAAACAAATGCCACAGAAGTGCACAAATACATCACTACAGGTTATGTTATCAAACAGAATTTCTTAGGAATAGAGAAACTACGTGATATCCAGGAAAGATACTAAATTTGAAAAATTTTTTTTTTTTTGAGACGGAGTTTCACTCGTATTGCCCAGGCTGGAGTGCAGGGGTGCCATCTCAGCTCACTGCAACCTCCGCCTCCTGAGTTCAAGCGATTCTCCTGCCTCAAGTTCCTGAGTAGCTGGGATGACAGAAGCCTGCCACCACGCCCAGCTAATTTTTATATTTTTAGTCTCGAACTCCCGACCTCAGGTGATCCACCCGCCTCGGCCTCCCAAAGTGCTGGGATTACAGGCGTGAGCCACCGCGCCTGGCCTAACTTTGAAATTTTTAAGTAAGTTTTCATGGAGATAATCTCAAGTATTTTTGACTTGGAAGATTTTTCATTGTAGGCATTTAAACTCAAACTTTAAAACACTTAGACCTTCTTTTCTAACCTCTTCCTTTTCTCAAATAAACCCTAGTTAATTGCCTTCTTTTATTAACCTTTACCACAATGCTAGAAGATGCTGAGCCCGGCTCTTGCTTCCTTCCAAGGTTCATGTCAGTTTCTCTCTTCACCACCATCATCACACCTCTAGAACAAATCCACGTCACACTGATACTTCCCAAGTTCTCAGCACTCATCAAACTTATTTCTCGCCTTGAGCCTTTTAAATGACTTTAGATAAAACAAGCTTTAGGTTATTCTCCACCTGACTCCTGTTGTCATTCACAATTCAATTAAAAATATTGACCCTCCCTGAACTCACTAAACTCTATCTTCACATCAATTGCCCAAAGGCATTATCAATTTGCTAACCAATTTTCAGCCAAGACTTCTCATATACTTGTGGGTATACTTGCCAATCAGTTAATCTGAGTCCAGTCTCTCATTCAAAGACACAACAGCTCACAGCTCCAGTATGTATAGCCAGTTCACCAATTATTAGCTCCATCTCAGCAATACCATATCCTTTGCCCAGGAAGTAGTACTAGTTATTTCCATTATTTTTCTTATAAAATGCCTCCTCTTTGTGAAAAAAATGAATATTGATATAAGAGAACAAATTCCTGGGTACATAGGAGAATAAATTCCTGGGACACAAAAAAATATAGTGGTTTGACTCCAAGTAAAATTAATACATTTTGTTCATATTCAGTAAAGACTCTTACCATTAATAACAGTAATTTCTACATTTAAAATGACAGACATTGAATTCCTCTAATCATAAAATATTAAACAGTGGGACACTCACTATCTTAGAAATGACGTCTCTCATACACAGAAACCGCCAGTCCTGGGGAGATAGAACATCATTTAAAAATGGCCGGGCGCAGTGGCTCTCGCCTGTAATCCCAGGACTTTGGGAGGCCTAGGTGGGCAGGCCACGAGGTCAGGAGATTGAGACCATCCTGGCTAACACGGTGAAACCCCGTCTCTACTAAAAATACAAACAATTAGCCGGGCATGGTGGCAGGCACCTGTAATCCCAGCTACTCAAGAGGCTGACGCAGGAGAATGGCATGAACCCGGGAGGCGGAGCTTGCAGTGAGCCGAGATTGCACCACTGCACTCCAGCCTGGGCTACAGTGCGAGACTCCATCTCAAAAAAAAAAAAAGTTATAGTCCTTAATTTTTAAATCCTTTTCCTTTGTAATAAAAGACCATAGTGTGTATTTAGAGGAAAGAATGCAAACAATAATCTAGCACATTCAAAATAACTTTTAAAGCACATAAAATTCTGACCTGAAAGTAGTTTTTAATGAAAACAAAACAAAACAAAACCTTTTTTTCGTACTGTACACTTTTTTTTTTTTTTCTTTGAGACGGAGTCACCCTCTCTGGCCCAGGCTGGAGTGAAGTGGTGTGATCTCAGCTCACTGCAGTCTCCGCCTCCTGGGTTCCAGCAACTCTCCTGCCTCAGCTTCCCAGCTAGCTGGGATTACAGGCATGCGCCACCATGCCTGGCTAATTTTTTTTCTTTTTCTGTATTTTTAGTAGAGACGGGGTTTCGCCATGTTGGCCAGGCTGGTCTCGAACTGCTGACCTGAGGTTATCATCCGCCTCGGCCTCCCAAAGTGCTAGGATTACAGGCATGAGCCACCGCGCCCAGCCCCCAATGTACATTTTTTAAAGTTTTTTTCTACTTAAGTTGGACAACTGATTGAGGATCAAGCCATTCTCTGTGCTGGCTGTGGATAATTGAAGTCATTTATACCTTTAAGGGATTTCTTTTCTCTTTATTTGTAAAATCAGGATGTTGTATTAAAATAGTTTGCATGTTTTATAAATAAATACTTCAATTTTCTCTGTTTTTTCCCCCCCCAGGATTTCTTGGAGAACACAAAACCTAACCATCTCCTTTGTTCCAGGGGAAAACTGCATGTGCAAAAGCAAGGTGTGTGTCTGCTCCCAGAAATAGTGGTATCATAAAGGAACTGATATCCTGTAGGTGTCAGAACAAAACTGGTTGATTTTATAGTTCTTCCTGAGTGAGAGACTCATTTTGACTGCGTTGTTTCAATCAGATTGTCAGCATTCATGCACACACATACAATCAAATAGCATTCGCAGGCTGACATCACATTTCATCACTTATATGGAATATCACATATTCTTTGTATTATTGCTTTGGGAACAAGTGTATTATTACCGATGCTTGGATGGTAAATCCCTTGAGAAAATGATCCAGGGTTTATACATCTTTTTATTACCCACAGGGCTCAGTGGTTTCACAAAGCTAGGATTTGACAAATAGAAATGAGTATACGACATTAAAGCCAAAATCCTCAGAAACATATTTGTGAAAATTGTTTTATTATTCATCACTTTAAATTACATTTTAACTTGTTGCTTTAATGTAAAAAATTAGATATGAATGACATATCTAAATATATATACAATAAATGCTAAACAATAATGCTCCTTTCTTTGTGACAAATATATCCATATTTATAATATGCATACATGTATGCATATATGAGTAAATTAGATTATAGGCAAATACAATCCACTAAGCTCCAGGCTGTTTCCATGGCTAATTTAAAATAATACTATTAAAAAGGTTTTGGATCTTTTCTAAAACCAGTTTGGGAGACATCATCTATTAAGCTGTTTAAAGTTATCTAACTTGAAGAACCACACAATAAATTAATTTCAATATTCCTTCTTCTTCTTTTTTTTTTTTTAATGGAGTCTCACTCTGTCACCCAGACTGGAGTGCAGTGGCACAACGTTGGCTCACTGCAACCTCCGCCTCCCAGATTCAAGTGATTCTCCCGCCTCAGCCTACAGAGTGGCTGGGATTACAGGTGACCACCACCACGCCTGGCTAATTTTTGCACTTTTAGTAGAGACGGGATTCCACCATGTTGGTCAGGCTGGTTTCAAACTCCTGACCTCAAGTGATCTGTCCACCTCGGCCTCCCAAAGTGCTGAGATTACAGGCGTGAGCCACCGCACCCAGCCTTAATATTCCTTCTTAATAACTAGTACAGTTACCTCATTTCATAATAAGAATTATAGTATATCCCATCTTATTCCTTTCTCAGTCAACTCAAAATTAAATGCAACTTTCAATGGAGTAAAACAGCCAGTTTGGATTTTTGTGCTAGTTATCTTTCTTACTTCCCATGTTCTTATTTAGGTATAAAGCTTACTGTTGTATATATGTCTTTCAGACTATGACCATATATGTATTTTCACATTTTTAGACTATAAATATTAACTCATTTTAAAGTAAATATTTTATGTAAAATCAAATACATGTTTACAATGGTTGACTTCTTCTACTCTAACTTTTATTATGCTATGCCTCTGTTATTGCTGCTTTTGTTATTTAATTATTGTAAGATCTACATGTCTATGACAATCACTTCTTGACATCCTCACCTTTTCCCGGTTAAAACTAAATTTCCCACAACTGCAAACAGATTATAAAGTTTTAACATTCATTTCATCAAAGTGAAACATTAAAAAAACTCATTATTATTACTGTATATTACATGAAAACAAATGGACTATTGAAATGAAATTATGTTAAAATAATTTGCAATTGTATTAATAAATAGTAACCTATGTTTTAATCTATTCTTTAGATACAGAGGGTGGTCACAAAGAATTAGCCTGTGTGTAAGTATAACTAGTATAACAGTTTTAGCAGTAAAATAATTCAAATATTGTTTACCTGAATAGTAATACTTGAAAATCCACTCCCTATTTTTATAACTGAAATCAATTCTACTATAGAACATTTAAAGCCATGCAAAAATTAAAATAATTTAGTTAGGCAGGACATGAAAATAACTAAATTATATACACAAAGTCTTCTAGGAGTTTGACTATTACCTTTATTTGCTGTCTTCTCTAACAATCTGGAAGTAAAGTATTGAGAAGGAAAGTGTTGTATATATTCTTCATTAAGTTTCCAATAAACTACTAAGTTAATCTAAATAAAGAAGGAAAAACACATGAGTTTAATTTTTTAAGTATGTATTTTTTTAAAACACTTGGATACAACTTATTTTACTTTTATTTTCAACTAAACTATTCTAATTAGATAAAAGGGCACGCTTATCTTTAAAGTCTTTCAAGACTACATTCTATGACATTTATCAGTACAATATGTTCATTTATAAAAGCCATCACAGCCAGATATTTATTTAACTTTATATAAACCAAATTTCTTGTGTTACTGTTTTCAATCTCTTCTTTTATTCTAAGTATAAATAACAATATCAGAGCATCATCCATTTATTTTTTCAAAAACTATTTACTGAACATCTACTATGTGCATGACATAAAACTTCTGTGTATAAAAAGCTTAGAATGTAAGAAGCTTAGAATAAAATTTAGAGGACGAGATTAACAAAATTAAAAAACTCTAACACTGGATTATATGAGATTACATGTTCAAATGAGCGGTACTAATCTTTGTACTAGTCGTTCATAAGAGATGGAGAAATATGGTTTAAAATGACTAAGAAGTGTTTTTAAAAATTAAGTATGGCTTGAGCTTGGGTTTATAAGATAAATTGGGATAAATGAATAGATTAAAAAATACCAGCTTGTGAAAGATTAAAAAAGCTACCCCTGGAAAATTGTTCTAGAATTGCAAGTTGGGAATCAAATCAATCCTTCTAGTTTTTATAAACATAACAATCACCGTTGACTCAATTTTATCTCCTACTGTTTGTTTCTATTTCATTCTTACATGTCTATGTATTGAGTCTTTCTCACTCTCTAAACAAGTTCTCTAAGGCTTGTTTCTCCAGGCTTTACACGGAAGTGAACTAAGCCACCCATTGCTTGATGAGGTCTGCAAAAGCTGAGAACCAAAAAAGTCATCATCAACTTTGCTTTTCACAGCACACTTTAAAATAGAGCATGGCAGAATGGATGGCCTTGAATGCTGGGGTTTTAAAGCCCAAATCCATGTGCTTCAAAGAGATGAATGTTTTCTTAATAAGGACCCCTTTAAATATCAATAACTAAATGGCCCATAACAAAGAATTTACAAAAAAAAAATGATCCATAGAAAAAGAATGCATTTGCTTAAGTATAGTTTCCCATTTCCTTAAAGAGAAGAATGCAATAAATTGCTGGGAAGGATGAAAGCAGAAGATCATCAAATGTCTCTTGGCATACTATGTTTTCCTTTCCTGTGTTGTAATTCTCTGTGGGACCCAGGAGACACCTGGCCAACCTACCTTACCAACCCTACTGCCACAATCTTTACTATAACCACCACAGAAAGATTTGAGGGATAAACGGACTTTGTCTTTGCAACAAGCATGGACGGTACTCTAGAATGACTGCCTTCCAGAGGGTATAAAGATAGGGAAGTCTACTAGGCCACAGTGAGTCCAAGTTTTCCCTCTCCCCTATGTCTTTACTGCTCTACTATAATGTGGAAGATATTTAAAAAGTGTTCCTATAATACCTTTAATAGGATGAATACATTAGAAGAGAATATATTGTTACCGAACTAGCTGGGGGTATCACTAGAGCTCGAATCAGGAAACCTGGTAACACAGGTTATGGGAGGAACTCCACCAGCCAAGTCCCGAGGGAGAGCATGCTGAGCCTCTGGGCACGACTGGATCAGTGGGAGCTGAGGTGGAGCCTTACTTAGAATTGCGGAAACATCTGTGCTTGTGCTGTGGTCACGCTGTGAAATGCTGCTAGTACAGACACTGCACAAAGTGGAGGCACAACCAAGGTCTACAGGTGAGTTACAGATGAAGAGAAGTGGAGAAAAATAACAACAATAAGCTTCCACCAGAGCCCAGACAACAGTTCGAGTAATGTCAGGGAAGAAAGGGAAAGTCCTTGAGAGTGGAGGACAGCCCTGAGAGGGAAACTGAATGTTGGTCACCCGGGTGCAGTGGCTCACGCCTGTAAGCCCAGCTCTTTGGGAGGCCGAGGCGGGCGGATTACCTGAGGTCAGGAGTTTGAGACCAGCCTGGCCAACACGGTGAAACCCCATCTCTTCTAAAAATACAAAAATTAGCCAGGCTTGGTGGTGGGCACCTGTAATCCAGGCAACTCGGGAGGCTGAGGCAGGAGAATTACTTGAACCCGGAGGCAGAGGTAGCAGTGAACTTAGATCACGCCACTGCACTCCAGCCCAGGCAGCAGTGCGAGACAGCATCTCAAAAAGAATAAATAAATAAAAATAGGAAAAGAAAAAAGAAAAGAAACTGAAGTTTGTACTGGATTCAGGATTTATGCAGTTAGTCAGTTAATAAACTGAGTAATTACCCTCAATTCCACATTCTGACTCATCTATGAAGCCCTGCACCACGACAGCACCCAGCTAACACAGAGAAGCAGAAAGGATCTAGACACCATAAAGCCCACAAAAGCTAAACTTATCAGCTGCCCTAGGCACTTAGCGAAGTATGCGAAAACTGAATAGAATGTATTCAGTGGCAGAGTGGTAATGTAACTTTGCAAAGCTAATAACTACCTCAAGATAAACATTCTGACATTTTACTGGAACATCATTTTTGATATATCCAAATTTTCTTTGAATATTTTTTAAAGGAGGCTTGGAAAATAAATAATAAAAAAAATAATTATAAATTGGCTCTATTGTAATACTAAGGAAAAGAGCTAATATTAATTGGATACTTTGTGAATAGCACTAATATTATTATCCTCATTCTATGGATGAAAATATTAAGGAACACTCTTAATATTCTTTTCTTAAGAAAAGCATTGAATGACTTGCAGAAGACCTCACATCCAGCAAGTGGATGAGCAAGATTTATATGCAAATCTGCCAGATCTCAAACTCCGTGCTGTTTAATCATCATAAAACCTATGGCATGGAAGAATATTTTGAAGTTTGCATGTCTACAAATAAAAATAAATTTTGAAGTGTGCATCTCTACAAATAAAAATAAAATTTTTGCAGGTATAATTATCAAAAAGTTTGCTTTGAAGCTAAAGGGAAAAATACTTAGATATTTAAGTATACAGAGCGAGGCTTCACTGAGCATGGAACAGAACTGGGAACAAAACACAGACACTGAATTATCTGCTGAAGAAATTATTTAGGCCACAGGATCCAAATTTATTCACAGGAAACCACCAGCAACTTGTGCATGGGAAAGTGTTTCACCCCAGCACTAAGCAGTCATTGGCCTCAATGCCTGGAACTGCCATGTGCTGGCAGGAATCCATTTAGCATCCAACCATTCAGCCAGAATACTTCAATGACCAACCACGTGATGTGAATTCTGAAAACCTCAGAAACAATTTTGACTGGTGTCACCAATCTGTAAGAAGTAAAAGTAAATCAAAGAATTGTTTTAAAATAGAACCATTCAATGCTAGTTATAGAAAAAGGAAAGCTCTCTAAATATTTTTATTTCCATAAAACCATAAACCTGCTAGCAATAAAGTTACTACAAACTCTCTAATTTGAACATTCTTATTTTGCTGCAAATAAGTGCACTTAGTTGACCTGAGTACCTGAAAATATGGAAATGCTTTATATGAAAAACAGAACCAACATACCTCACAAAAGCTCTTTACACAAATGAAATCTGTTCTCTGTCAACAGAAATAGAAGCAGATAATCTATTTAGTAATTCTCAAAAGGGACACGATGATAGACCACTGAAATATAAGAGAATATGCATCTATAATTTTATGATCCAATACTTATTGTGATATTACAAATATGTTAAATTTGTTCAGCAGCACTGTAACAAGAAGTGTGATAATTCAGTTGTGCAGTCCAATGTAAAACAGAGTATAACACCATCAGAAACTTAGCAGCCTTCATCTCTTTAATTACAAACTGGAGAAACTGAAATGAAGAATTCAAGTCTGCGCATGCAGTTCAATTACAGTCCCTGAGCTGGAACCAAAACATTCATACTCCAAATGCCGAT
This sequence comes from Homo sapiens, assembly GCF_000001405.40. NCBI lineage: Eukaryota > Metazoa > Chordata > Mammalia > Primates > Hominidae > Homo > Homo sapiens. Next base: position 21,018,304 of record NC_000021.9, on the reverse strand, counting down.
TTTATCTATATTCACTGACTATGTTTTGATGGAAAACATCATCAATTATGGATACTTGTGTGTTGGGAGTTTCTTTGAAAAAATAGTGGGGAGAGGTGTTTAGCTCTTCGTTTTGTGTAACAAGGAGACAGCAGATATTGTTTTGTAGTCTTGAGAAATTAAACACTGGCTAATTAGTCTTCAGTTATACGAAGTGTGAATAATGAGTCCAATGTTTTAGAATGAAGTACATTTGCTTCTTAGAAGCAAAAATCAGCAAAGAACTAATAACGTAAAATATTCATGAATTTCAGTACTAATGAAACTAATGAAACAAATAAAGCAAACATTTTGATAGAGCATTGAAAGAATTTGATACAGCATAGAATGGTTTCCCCAAGCTTCTGTATGCATATATATGTAATATCTGTATGTGTATAAGTATATACACACACACAAATATATATACACAGACCTATACAAACAAATATATATGTTACATAAATTTTAAAAATATATTTTACATAAAATTTTATAGATTTGGCTATTTTGCACAGTGTTAATGCAAGTGCCTGGCAAAGAAAAAGCATAGCTATCCTAAAAAGAAATTATGGAGCGCGTGCATAGTTTCATACACCAAGTGCTTCAAACCATGATTTTGTATTACCCTAACTTTTGATTCACTGTGCAGCTTTTGGAAGAAATCATAAGCGAGGAATAGTATAGCTCACTTTGGTCGAGGCATGCACCCGGATTAGTGAGTCTGCATAATCGCCCGTGCTTCGATATATAACTTGCCTCATCGGTCCATTTCAAATCACCACTCTTAGTTACAACTTCTCCCTCTATAGAAGACTCTGGTTCCCGTTTCTATTTCTTTTTTTTTTTTTTTTTTTTTTTTGAGACAGAGTCTCACTCTGTTGCCAGGCTGGAGTGCAGTGGCGTGATATCTGTTCAATGCAACCTCCACCTCCTGGGTTCAAGTGATTCTCCTGCCTCAGCCTCCCAAGTAGCTGGGACAACAGGCATGTACCACCACGCCCAGCTAATTTTTTGTATTTTTAGTAGAGACGGGTTTTCACCATGTTGGCCAGGATGGTCTAGATCTCTCTAACCTAGTGATATGCCCACCTCGGCTTCCCAAAGTGCTGGGATTATAGGCGTGAGCCATGGCACCCAGCCCCATTTCTATTGTTTAACCAATTCTTCCTCTTCCAGAAACAATATGAATATTTTCCTAAGCCTCCTTACACTTGAAAATGTTATTCTCCTACATACTCTTGAAAAGAATGTAAAAACAATAAAAATATTTACCTTGAAAAATGTTAGCTTCTTTTATATCATAAGCTTTTGGAGGACTAGACAAGGGTATGCATTTTGGTTTATTCCAAATCTATTACCCTTCTCCTGCCATATATTGACTATAGTCCCCAAGCACTGTGTAGTGGGAGGCACCCAGGTCTTCAAAGGCAAAGCAAGCCTGAGTTCAAACTCCACCTTGGTCACTTCATAGCTACGTGACCTGCGGCAAATTACTTATCACTCTGTCCCATAATTTCCTTATTTGTAAAACCTTTTTAAATAATAATAATATATAAGCAGATATAGGTATTAAAGAAGCTCAAGCATAACAGCTTTTTTTTTGGAAAGTGCCCAGAACATAGCCTGTTCACAAAGCAAGTTAATAGCCTTACCTTATCATTCTTACACTTAACAAGAGTAAAACTATGCACAATGCATAGTTTTCTTTTATGGCAACTTGGCTGGTAGAAGACAACTCTTTTTGCCCATCAGACTGAGTTCAAATCCCAACTTTGCCACTGACAGTGTTGTCAGTTAGGCAAGTCATCTAAACTCTTTAAAATCTCATTACCTCATTTATAAAAGATAATTAATCTCAAAAGTTTGGAGAATCATATGAGATCACACATACGAAGCGCATAAATATGGTACACTGTAAGAACTTTATAAACGTTGGCTTTGATATTGTTTGCATTCTTTGTCAAAAATGGTCTTTTCAACATTCCTGCGGCAGACATATTTGACTACAATATTCTCGATCCTTCATTCTTCCTTGCAAGATGGACACGTCATTTGATTGGCCAGTCATGTACTTCGAGGGAGGCAGATCTTCCCATCAGCAAAAGGGAGTTGATTCGGGAAAGGAAATCATGTTAATGTCATTCTCCTCACCACCAATTAATTTAGGAGTGATCATATGAAATGATTATAGCCAATGAGTATTGAGGGAAGTTGGCTAGACAACACAGGGTAAGGGGATTTTTCCTCCAAAGAAAATCAACTAAAGAAATACAGGCGACTGGGCATTGTGGCTCACGTCTGTAATGCCAGCATTTTGGGAGGCCGAAGTGGGCGGATTACCTGAGGTCAGGAGTTCAAGACCAGCTGGCCAACATGGTGAAACCCTGTCTCTACTAAAAATACAAAAAAAAAATTAGCCAGGCATGGTGGCAGGCGCCTGTAATCCCAGCTACTCAGGAGGCTACGGCAGGAGAATTGCTTGAACGCGAGAGGCGGAGGTTGCAGTGAGCCGAGATCGTGCCATTGCGCTCCAGCCTGGGGGACAAGAGCGAGACTTTGTCTCAAAAAAAACCAAAAACAAACAAACAAACAAAACAGAAATACAGGCATACCTTGGAGATATCGCCAGTTTGAGTCCAGAATACAATAAAGCATATATCACAATAAACTAAGTAACACAATTTTTTTTGGTTTTCCAGGGCATGTAAAAGTTGTATTTATACTAGTCTATTAAGTGTGCAACAGAATGATGTCTAAAAATGTCCATACATTAATTTAAAAATGTTTTATTGCTAAAAAAGAGTGAAGGATCATCTAAGCCTTCAGTGGGTCCTAATCCTTTAGCTGGTAGAGGGTCTTGCCTCCATGTAAATGGTTACTTCCTGATCAGGGTAGGGGTTTGCTCAAGGTTGAAGTGACTGTGGCAATTTCTCAAAATAACACAACAATGATGTCCGGTGTTTTCAATCGGCTCTTCCTTTCCTAACGTACTTCTCTGTAGCATGCAATATTGTTTGATCGTGTTTGACCTACAATAGAATGCTTTTCAAAATTGAAGTCAGTCTTCTCAAACCCTCTGACTGTTTTATTAACTAAGTGTATGTAATATTCTAAATAATGTTTATATTTCAATAAGGTTCAGAACATCTTCACCAGAATTAGATTCCATCTCAAGAAATCACTTTCCTTGCTTACCCATAAGAAGCTAATAACTTCTCATCCATTCAAGTTTTGTCATGAGATTGCAGAATTTCAGTCCCATCTGCAAGCTCCACTTCTAATCTATTTCTCTTCCTCTTTCCATCAGATCTGCAGTTACTACTTCTGCCGAAGTCTTGAACCTCGGCCATCCATGAGGATGGAGAAATACGAGGAATAACTTCCAAACTCCTATTAATGTTGACATGTGACCTCCTCCCATGAACCACAAATGTTCTTAATGGCATCTAGAATGGTGAATTTCCAGAAGGTTTTCAATTGACTTTGCCCAGATCCATTAGAGGAATCATTACCGATGGCAGCTATAGCCTTATGAAATATATTTCTTAAAGAATAAGAGCAAGAGTCAAAATTACTCCTTGATCCCTGAGCTACAGAATGAATGTTGTGTTAGTAGGCATAAAAACAATGTTGATCTTTTTGTAAATCTCCACGACAGCTCTTGATTGAGCAGAGGCATTGTCAATTAGCAGTAATATTTTGAAGGGAACTTTTTTCTTTTCTGAGAAGTAGGTCCCTACAGTGAGCTTACAATATTCAGTAAATCATGTTGTAAACAGATGTGCTGTCATCCCAGCTTTTTGTTTCATTTGTAGAGCACAGTCAGAATAGATTTGGCATAATTTTTTTTTTTTTTTTTTGAGATGGAGTCTCACTCCATTGCCCAGGCTGGAGTGCAATAGCACGATCTCGGCCTACTGCAACCTCCGCCTCCCAGGTTCAAGCTATTCTTCTGCCTCAGCCTCCAGAGTAGCTGGAACTACAGGTGTGCACCACCACGTCCAGCTAATTTTTGTATTTTTAGTAGAGATGGGGTTTCATCATGTTGGCCAGGATGGTCTCGATCTCTTGACCTCATGATCTGCCTTCCTCGGCCTCCCAAAGTGCTGGGATTACGACTTAGCGTAATTCTTAAGGACGCTAGGACTATAAGAATAGCAAATGGGCATTGCCTTCAGCTTAGTCACCAGCTGTATTATTCCCTAAGAAGAAAGCCAGCCTGTCCTTTGCAACTTTGAAGCCAAGCATTGACTTCTCTTCTCTAGCTAAGAAACTTCTAGATAGTATCATCTGACAATAGAAGGCTGTTTCTTCTATATTAAAATTCTGTTGTTTAGTGTAGTCCTGCCTTCATCAACTATGTTAACTAGAATTTCTGAATAACTTGCTGTAGCTTCTCCATCAGCATCTGCTGCTTCACCTTGCACTTTTATGTTATGGAGATGGCTTCTTTCTTTAAACCTCATGAACCAATTTCTTTTTTATTTTCTTTTTTTTTTTTTGAGATGCAGTTTCACTCTTTTTGCCCAGACTAGAGTGCAATGGCACAATCCCAGCTCACTGCAACCTCCGCCTCCAGGTTTCAAGCAATTCTCCTGCCTCAGCCTCCCAAGTAGCTGGGATTACAGGCATGCACCACCATGCTCCACTAATTTTGTATTTTTAGTAGAGGCGGGGTTTCACCATGTTGGTCAGGCTGGTCTCGAACTCCTGACCTCAAATGATCTGCCCACTTCAGCCTCCAAAAGTGCTGAAATTACAGGTGTGAGCCACCACGTCCGGCCCTCGTGAACTAATTTATGCTTGCTTCCAACTTTTCTTCTGTAGCTTCCTCACCTGTCTCGCCTCACCTCTCCAATTCAGCCTCCACAGAACTGGAGTATTAGGACCTTTCTCTGGATTACGCTTTGGTTTAAGAGAATATTGTGGCTAGTTTGCTCTTCTATCCAAACCAGTAAAACTTTCTCCATATAAGCAATAAGGTTGCTTTGCTTTCTTATTTGTGTATTCACTGGAGTGGCTTTTTTAATTTCCTTCAGTAATTGTGTTTTCTGCATTCATAATTTGGTTAACCGGCACAGGAGGCCTAGCTTTTGGCCTATTTTGGCTTTCAATATGCCTTCCTCACTAAACTTAATTATTTCTAACTTTTGATTTTAAGGGAGAGACCTGTGACCCGTCTTTTGACTTGAATATTTAGGGGCCATTGTAGGGTTAATTTATTGGCCTAATTTCAATATTGTTGTGTCTCAGGGAATGGAAGGTCTGAAGAGAGGGACAAATACCAGGAAACAGCCAGTCAGTGGAGCAGTCAGAGTATACACGACACTTATAAATTGATTAAGTTTGTCATTATGTGGGTATGCTTTGAGGTACCCTAAGATAATTACAATTGTAACATCAACGATCAATGATAACAGATCACCATAAAGACATAATAATAATAAAATGTTTGAAATATTGCCAGTTACCTAAATGTGACACAGAGACCCAAGGAGAGCATATGCTATCAGAAAAATGAGGCCGATAGATTTGCTTGACACAGGGGGGCCACAGACATTCGAGTTGTAAAAAAAATGCAGTATCTGTGAAATGCAATAAAAGGAAACACAATAAAATAAACTGCGCCTATATTTCTTTATTTCCCAACTTCAGGTAAGTGCATAAGTATGTGATGCTTTGAGTTGCTGAAGACAAGTTTCTTCCACAAAGCCAAGTAAAAACAGCAAAACCAGGAGTAGAAATATGAAATTAAAACCTACCTCTATATGGCCTTTCCTGTGCTATAATAGATTATTTTTAAGCCATTTTGAATTTGTCCTTCTCTTCTTTGCCCCTAAAAGCATCCTAAACTGATGTAATTTCACTATGATAATATTCAGTAAGTCATCCACAGACTGACGGCTTACTAAATTATTGATCATTGTAGTGATTCACAATAAGAAAAGCCATTTAAAGATACAGCTCATATTTAAATATTAATGTTATGTAGTTCTTAATGAATTACACTAATCTAAACAATCGAGTTTCCCCACCTTACAACCACTCTAAACCCCACCCTATTATCTCTAAATCCTGCTAGTTCTCCATGCTTATTAATATTTTAAGTCTCTAAAAGAGTTACTCGTTTACCAACTGGCAGTCACTAACCTGGATTTGGCCATTCAAAAGCAATGAACCAATGATATGGCATTTCCATTTTTTCATTTTTATGGAACCTCCATACTATTTGCCATAATGTCTGTACTAATTTCTATTCCCCAAAACAATGCACGAAGCTTCTCTGTTCTCCTCACCAACATTAGATTTTGTCTTTTTTATAACAGACAATCTACCAGGTGTGAGGTGATATCTCCTTATGGTTTTTAATTTGCATTTCCTTGAAAACCAATGTTGAGCATTTTTTTGTATGCCTTTGACCATATATATGTCAGCTTCTAGAAGATATCTACTCAGTTGTTTGGCCCCCTTTTTTTAAATTGGGTTATTTGTTTTCTTGATATTGAGTTATCTGAACTACTTATATATTTTGGATGTTAACCCCTTATCAGAGGTATAGTTTACAAATATATTCTCCCATTCCATAGTTAGTCTTTTCATTCTGTTGAATAAGTTCTGAAGATGTACTGCATGGCACGGTGACTATAGTTAAAAATGTATTGTATACCTGGACATTGCTAAGAGACTAGATCTTAGATGTTCTAACAACAACAGAAATAACTATATAAGGCGATAGATACTTAGCTTGATATAATAATTTCACAATACATACGTACGTCAAAAAATCATGCCATATACTGTAAATATATGTATTATACAGCTGGGTGGGAGGCGGGGGGAGAATTGGCCAGAAAAAAATGATAAAAACCTGAAGCTAGAGCTACTCCTAGTGCTTGTCTTTTTCCTTCTGCAACTCCTCGTTTCTTCAAGGGACTATGTTTCCATCAGTGAAATGAGCATCATTTTAGAATCAGATATTCCTGAATTTGAATATCAGATCCTTCCCTTATTAGATGCTACATATCTTTTATGAAAATCAGTTCCCTCATCTCTAAAATAATAGTTCAGATGTCCTACATGCTTTGAATTTAAAAATGATGTAATCCCTATGGAAAAAAAGAAAAAAAAACCCTGCAGAGTAAATGGCAGGTTTCCTTCTTTCATTCAATTAATTCACCAAATACTTAAAACTACACACTGATCATTAAGGAAACAAGGCTGCCTATAATCATTCTATACATTCTGGGTATCTTTTTCTCCCCTGTATGCATGAAACTATATTAGATTTTATCCAAGCTCTTCGCCCTTCTAACACAACCACCCACATTCCCATTCCCCTTTAGGTGATGAATTATCCTCCCTGAAACAAAACAGTGATTAGTCTTTGAGTATTCACTTCCCTTTATCATTCAACCTCAGCTCCCTGCATGCGTTTCTACTGGGAGGTTAGAATGTGTTTCGGAGTTCTAATTAGTAATGACACTTTACACTTATAAAGATTTATCTTCTTCCATCACACATCCACATCCATGTCCATCACCTGAGACTTAGAGACTTTAAAATGAGGTAAAAGGCATGGGAGTGAGAGGCAGCTGAGCAGGAAAGCTCAAGTGAAACTTGACTAATCACAAAGTCCTCTTTCCTCCCATAGTCAATAGTTTAATCCTTTGATTTTCCTAGTAAGAAAGAGGTATTTCCTGATTAAAGAAGTCACTGTTCATCAAACAATCGCTGTATTAATGCACAGTGTAGGAAGGAGGCTATTTTTCATAAAATGTTTCATTAAAATAAAAATGATACAGGGACTTGAAAGCAAAAATACATTAACAACTTAGGGTATTGCATAATAGCTCTTAATTGTGTACTAAGAAGTGTTATTTTAATAACACGAGCACAGTAAAGTTGAACATTTCATATCCATTTTGGATGTGGTGGTGAAGGTTTTTATAAAGCACATAGGCCTTCATAAGCCATTGAACAACCTAGGTTAAGTTTTGTTCTTAAATTGCAAACCACCTGCAATCCACACAGAGGTAAAATGCATTAACATAGCGTGTATGAGGGGGCTTTGAAATAAAATAACTCATCTAGATTACCAATTAAAGTGATTATATGTAAACTTTAGGAGGGAGATAAAAGTAAAAATAGATAAATCAGAAGCACTAGTAATTTCTTTAATTGCAAACTGTGTTTCCAGTTAAAAGCATCATATATAATAATGGTAACATTAATAGATAAATGGCAGGCACACAGATAAATAGGTGATAAAGATTTTCTGGGGTATCCAAAAATGTACTCCGTCCAATAAACTTAAATGCTTTTATCACTGAAGTTGGACCTAGAGAACACCACAAAAATCATTAAAACACACACACACACACACACACACACACACACACAGCTATCAGAGGCCAAAGGAGGATTTTTGAGGTTAAATGAAATTTCATCTTTTTAAAACAGAGAAAACATTAAAGTATCTCTTAAAAACTAAGATAAAACAAGTATTTTCTCACTTCTCTTACCATACATACAGTTCAGAATTGGTTTCCAATAACAATAGAATGAATAATCAACTTTTAATTAACTATGGGGGATTATCTTGATTTTGAGGACATTAAATACTTGCTTTATCGACACAGCAGACATTTACTATTGACCATATCTAATCTAGTTAATTATACCTTTATCAAGATATTATATCCCCCTCATTTATTTATATATTTCAATATATATATTGAACAGTTTTGAGACCCCAACTGTATAACCATCTCCTATGCCTCAGATAAGGCTTCAAAAGAACAAATCTTACAGAACGATTTCAGTTTTCTCTATTCCAAGCCTAATTAATTTTCAGTGAGGACATAAGACCAGGGATAAGGTGATTCATCCTTGTTATTCCTCCTGAATTAGATAATAACTATGACTTTATTATTTTATAGACGTTCATATATTTATGGAAGATCTCCTATATGCATGTCAGTGATGTAAACAAAACGTGTGAAATAAACACACAGGCCAACATATCATGTATTTTCAACAAAACAAATCATTATACAAAGGCAAAAGTAAATATGCTTTTTAAAATCAGTCAATTTGGCTTCTGCCGGGTAATATTTAAATATGCATTCAGCACATATTTGCCGGGCTTCTACCATGTTCTAGGAATACACATATGAATTTACAGAAAACTCTCTATTCTCTCTATTCAAGTACATTGCATTTAATGGGACACTAGCAGGGAAAGGCATTCTTGCTCCCATGGAGTTCACATGGAAGGTCACAGTAAAGTACCGTAAGTTTGAAGTGCAGAATTCAGGTATATTATCTCATCTTTGATTGGCTCCTCAAAGCCTTTAACAATGACTGATACAAATTAACGAATATTTGTTGAATGAACTGGTGTGCACAGTAATGAGCAATGAGGCTGAGAGAATAGGATTGTTCAATGAATACAAGGCAAAAGTATTAACAGTTCTAAGTCAAACACTCCCAAATATTTCAAACAAAAGGTAGATCTCCAATTAAAATTAATGGCATCTTATAAACCCAGTCCAAAAGTAAACTCTGAAGAACATAATGATATTAAATATGTTTCATACCAAGAAGTAATTTTTGGTAACTGCTTCATGGATGTGAGTAAAACAAACCTTTAAGTAAAACCAGAAACATAACAGGAATATATGCTGTATCTAAAGTAAAATATTTATATCAAGTCTGGCCCTACCATTTTTTAAAGCATTCTATTTGGGCAAGTAATTTCACCTTTTTGAAGTTTATTATCCTATTCTAAATCAGAAATACTATCTACCTTTCAGGATAACTGTGGGGCTTCATTAGATAAATTAAAATGGACTATAAGTGTTTTGTCAATTAATATGTCCCACAACATATCGTATATACATTCAAAAATATTACCATAGTATAATTCTTACCCTTTGATGATTCACAAGTTTTACCTGGTGTAAAGATTAGTGTGTAATCTATAGAATAAGTAGCATGAAGCCAGTTTTTCTATGCTAAATAGTATGATAAAGAGCGAACAAGATTAAAAATGTGCTTAATTTCAGCTTGTATCAGAAAGTTATAAGTGATTTATCTAAGTAAGTAATTTTTTTAATCAAAAGCACGTAAATGTCATTGATCAAAGTATATGGGACATACCTCACTGTATATATTAATCTTCACATAATCTGTTCTTGGCATTTCTCTCATGCATGATACTTACAAAGTTACTGCTAGAACATAGAAACTCAACTGCTCTCTTCAGGCAGTGATTAGTAGAGAATGATAATCAGAGAAAAATTAAGTGAGAGAATGGATATAAAAATAATCAGAAAGCCTAGTATTAGAAACGTCAGAGGCGTCTGAATCACAGCAACTCCATCTTGAATAGCATCTGGGTAAAATAAGGCCAAGACCTACGGGACTGCATTCCCAGATGATTAGGCATTCTAAGTCACAGGATGAGATAGGAGGTTGGCACGAGATACAGGTCATAAAGACCTTGCTGATAAAACAGGCTGCAGTAGAGAACCCGGCCAAAACCTACCAAAACCAAGATGGCCACAAGAGTGACCTCTGGTCATCCTCACAGCTCATAGTACCTTAGTTACAACGCATTCACATGCTAAAAGACACTCCCACCAGCACCATAATAGTTTACAGATGTCATGGAAACTTGTGGAAGTTACCTTATATCATCTAAAAAGGAGAGGCACCTTCAGTTTCAGGAATTGCCCACCCCTTTCCCAGAAAATTCATGAATGATCCACCACTCGTTTAGCATATAATGAAGAACAAAAAATGGGCAACCAGCAGACCTCAGGGTTGCTCTGCCTATGAAGTAGCCATTCTTTTATTCCTTTACTTTCCTAATAAAGTTGCTTTCACTTTACTCTATGGACTTGCCCTGAATTCTTTCTTGTGCAAGATCCAAGAATCCTCTCTCAGGTTCTGGACTGGGACCCCTTTCTGGTAACAGAGGTACCAAAAAAAAGCGCTGGGAATGAACAAGTTACAATAATAGAAAAAATGTCCCCAAGTCCTCTCATTAATATTGAGAACAAACTACAAGTGAGCTTATTTTCTTACATTGGGACCTATTCATATTATACTATAGGTTTTAGTCAGTACATTGGCTGATTTTACAAGTAAAGACATGCATTTCTGATATCACACCATATTTGCATCCCTGAAAATCTCTGGGGTCTGAAAACTTGTGCAGTAAAAAATATCATACTTTATGGGAAAAGACAGGATTAGGAGGCAGAACATTCAAAACCTGCAGAAATCTGTAAACAAGCACCAGCAAAAACCATAAAAGTCTTAATTACAATACTAGCATAGTTAAATCTCTGCTGGTATTTGCACCTAGCTTTTGCACCCTCTATCAGGATGCAAGACCTGAAGGGCATTCACTTTAAAATGCAAACTATGATCCACAGTGTAGCCTTTAAAAAATAAAAACAACAAAGTAAACAAAAAACAAACATCATTTTTCAGCAGGCAGAATGACTTCCCAGCTTCTTCAGCTGCACTTTCAACTTCACGAGATGCCTATTACAGCAGAAATCAAGATGTTCTTAAAGCCACTAAGTACATGAATACTTGTACTAAAGGAAGGGCCTTAAGTTGATTTTTTCATATTTTTCTTAATGTCTTCATAGCTTGCTAAGGCTTTCTCTGTAATTGTGAGGAAGCCTGGCTCTTACTTAAGAAATTAATGAGTGGAGAAAATCATGTATGGATCGACACATGTTTTTCATTTTCTTTTTTGAGATGGGGTCTCACTCTGTCACCCAGGCTGGAGTGCAGTGATGCTATCTCTGCTTGGTGCAGCCTCTGCCTCCCAGACTCAAGTGATTTTCTAACCTCAGCCTTCCAAGTAGCTGGGACTAGTGAGGTATGCACCACCACGCCCAGCTAATTTTTGTATTTTTGGTAAAGACGGAGATTTGCCATGTTGCCCAGGCTGGTTTCAAACTTCTGATCTCAAGCAACCTGCCGGCCTTGGCCTCCCAAAGTCCTGGGATTACAGATGTGAGCCACCACTCCCAACCCATGGATCAACACAATTTCTGCATTATAACACATCATCCCCTGGTTTATCAATGGTGTAACAAGATAAGATGCATCCAAGAAACAAACACTGTAGCAAAAAAGACCGAATCATATCTTAAATGTATTTAATGCTCTTTGATATAAATGTGAGCGTCAGCCTAAAGAAGGAACTTAAAATCTCTGGGCAAATCAGGCACTCTTAATCTCAGGAATGTCATCTATAAAATACGATATAATCAGGATTCAATGAGATAATGAGTAAAAATGCTCAACACAGCTCTCTGGCATAGAAGAGGTGCTCAAAAATATTAGTTCTTTTTTTCCTCCCTTGGACACTAATAGAAAAATGTTAAAATTTTATATATTCAATACCAAAAATCTTTTTTCATGTCAGTTTTTAGGGTTTTTTTTTTGGGGGGGGCGTTCTCCTGGATTTTATTTTGTTTTGGTGTGCCAGTGTTAAAAAGAAAAAGAAACTATAAATAAAGCAGAGAAGCTGACTTAAATGAAGAATATATAATGAAAACAAATTTTACCTACATACTTCTGAGATTTTACCCAAAATTCCAGAAGTATACTACACAACATTTAAAGTATAAATGGGGATGGAAGAACAAGATAAAGACAGATGACAAATAAAAGTGAAGAAATTATTCTGAAGAATTGGCCAATAAAAAGATCAACAGTTTCCATTTTCAAATTTATTGACATTTTTATCTAGATGTGCCATGAATACAGCAACTTGATATATAATTTTAAAAATAACAAGTTAAAAATTACTGAAAATGGGTGCACTTTTTCATTTATTTTTCCTATTTCTATTAAGATATAACCTTTTTTTTCTGTTAAATAAACGTAAAACTTCATGCGGCACGTTCCTACCAATTTCTCAATTTGTATTTGTTACTAAGATCCTATTAAGTCTTCCATAGACACATGTGCCACGTCCACTTCTTTTGCTTTCCTTCTGGTCCATCCTACACATGGCCATGGCCAGCAGACTTAAAAACAAACCAAAATTTAACCATGTTACTCTCCTGCCCAAACAATGGCTCCAAAAGATTTACACTAGAGTCAAACCAGCTTGGCCTCCAGGTCACTCTATCTTCCACTTCCACCACTATTTCCAGAACTGAGTGCAGAGGCTCACCTTTCCAAACTGCTTAGTGAATCCTTGGATTCATTAAACTGGATTATTTCTATTCTCTCAACGCGCCCCTCCCTTCTTACAATTTGTTCACTCATTTTTTTTCTCCTTGTATTAATAATCTTCTCCATTTACTCTCACTATATTGAAGCCCTTTCTGTTTCACTGAATGGCAAGGTGATGTCCTGGTAAGAGGCTAGGCTTTGGACATGTCCCATATGCAAACCCTCATTTCCAAGCAGTACAATCTTAGTTATTTAAACTCCCTGTATCTCATGGCCCTCATGGATAAAGGAACGATAATCGTAATAATAACAAGCTAATAGAGGATTATGATAAGAGAGCCTGTCAGTTAGTAAACACAATCAATTTTAGCTCATTCTAGGCACTAAACCGCTAAGGACTCAGACTACTTAGTGTTTAATTAATTATATGACATATTTTGTCATTTTATAATATTTTGTTGAACAAGTTATATATCTCCCTCATGCTTATTTGGCTTTTTAAATTTATATTATTTGTTTTTGTAATTATCAACATTGAATTTTCCACACACATGCAAATTTTTAAACAAATGAATCAACAATATATCAAAAATAGGTATGCAACTGGAAGTTGGAAAATCTACTCCCAGTTCCAGATAACTACAAAAATAAGTGATATAGGCAAATCGGATCATTCTTCTGTACCTCAATTTCTTCATCCATAAAACAAAGCTAATTGTCTCTTGACTCATTGGTAATCATAAGTTATAAGGTGACTGAAAGCACTTCGCACAAGTGGTCGGTACTGTTAGAAGGTGCTGATAATATTCTCATTTTAAGGCCTCAAAAAGTGCTTGTTATTTGATTATCTGACAAAATGGCACAGAATTTAAATATATTTTACTTTGAGCTGAAGATATATTAGATTCATTTAAATAAAATCTATGAACAAGTTTGGTGTTAGGAGAACTGAAGAGTTTGGAGACTGGAGCTCTAGTAACTAACCTTTTTACTTTTCTGTTTGATCTTTAGTAAGTCATTTATCTTCATTATGTGCCCATCCTAAGCCTCTTGGTGTTTAACACCAGCCTGATGTTGGTCCATAGAAAGGATTCATGATACAAAAAAAAGCGCATCATTCCTCAAAACCTTTTACTGCCATCTGCTGGCAAATTGTAAAAATAAATATGTGTTGCATCACTAGGACAATAAGTGACGCCCCCTGGAGTTGTTCTTCACACAATCTACGCAACCATTCCTAGTAATGCTGTCTAATGAGGTGTCTGGGACAGGGCAGGTATTCTGTAAATGTTAGATAAATGAATAAATGATGAATGAGTCGCCCTTATCAATAACTTAAGTAATCTCTGTCCCCTTGATATTTTTTTCTAATCACAGAGCAGCTTATGATGATTTTTTAAAACTAAATAAATGTTTATAAGCCACAAATTAATCTGTATACACATTATTAAAAAATATAAACAAAGCCTAGCATAGTAGGGTTGACATTTGGTAAGGTGCCTGCCTACACATATTTATTGTTACAATTGCTCCTCATGGCCGAGCATCAAGGTCAACTGGCCAGATTTTATAATATCAAATTTTCAAATAAGCAAATAGTGGTTCTAAGAGCATAAGTTGCTTCTTCAAGGTTAAGAGACTCTTAGTAGCCTAGGTCTTCTGACTCCAAATCCAATGAATTTTCTTCATCCCTGTGAGTTGTAATAAATCAAATGGAGCCAAGAAAGATTTGATCAATGGACCTGAAATTCTTCAAACTATAATGTTTTGATTGCCATGCTTATAAATATTCTCAAAATTCCCCATTATCTTTCTTAATGATTTAAATTCAAACATCTTGATTTAAATTCAAGATGTTTCATTACTTCACAGCTTTCTAAAATGTCTGGTAATGTTTGATGGATCCTTAGTGGCACAAGTGAACATAGAAAACTAGGAAATATGTTGATATCTATTTGTGATTAGTACTCTTATTATAACTGTAAATTGTTAAAAGTTATTAAAATATTTAAAAGAGCACCAGAGAGAAGCACTTTTATTTGTTGAACAATTAGAGATAGCTTGGCTCTATAAAGTGCAGGAATTTTACATTTAATAAAAGCATAAAAGCACTGGTTGCATCTTAAAGTGTTCTCATATCATGTAATTTGGAAAATTAAAACAAATTTATAATCTTTTAAATAGGCCTATCCTCAGTTTAATTGGGATTGTATAAAGGGAACAATAAATTTAAAATTTAGGACAACAAAATTTGAAAAACAATGATAGTCCCTTCAGAAGTATATTCAAATTATTAAATTAATTTTGCACATATCAACACTCAAGGGATTAATTTCATTTTGGGGGGAAATAGGGCAATTTAGAATCACTCTATAGTTATTGAGCACTTTTCTTCATGCTCTCAAAAATTCATTGCTGTGAGAGATGACCCTGAAAAGAGATAAGTTACAATGATTTCCCAAATGTTAAAAGACAGAGAATGCAGGAGGACCAGTTCCAGAGTCTTCAGATTGTCGATCCTGTTACTATTTGCACTGCTTCCACACGAGGACAGGCAAAAACAAATTACACTGTTCAGCTTGGTTACTAGCCTCAATCTCTGTAGCTCATTTCTCAGTTTCATTGCAAACTAGTCCTATTTTTGAAAGAAGGCCATTCTATTTACAAAATCATATGAAGTCTAACTTTTGGTACTGAATGAGGTTCTTTTGTTCCATTAATTGCTTCTCTAGTAGGACAGTACCTCGGGGAGAAAATTAGCTCCCTGTGTCATTGAAAAGACTCATCTGACACTCTCGGGACCCACCAACTTCCCTTCTTGCTCTATGGGCTCCGATTCTGCATTAAAAGTGAGAAAATACTCTGCCTAACTCCTTTGATATGAAGTAGTGAGGGAAATCCTCTGGGTTACTCTGACAATAAAGATATTAATTTACATTAGCCTTTACATTACATCTTCCCCAAGTGCAAAAGAAGACCCAGTCGATTTAATAGAAACTTTGCACAGAGAGGCTGATATCAAAGAATTAGAGCACAGCAGATAGAAAAAGCATACGAGAGAGGCTGGAGCCATGTAACAGCCCCGACAGAAGATGAGTTTGTGGAGCTCTCTCCTGTAATCTTCAAACTAGTAGACACTCACACACCTGTGCTCTATTTTTAGAAGGTACATTGCTGTAATGTACAATGACTTACTAGCACTTCACCAAAGAGAATAACTGTAAGCAGATGACTGCTTTAACTGATCAACTGGGCAATTCACCCCTCCTTTCCTCACGATTTTGGCTTAGGTAAGTGTTCTAAGTGGTACGTTTGAACTGCATTGCAAGAGAGATGAATAGCATTATTCTTACTTTAGGTTTTAGTATAACAGTGCTTCTATCTTACATATGTGAACATCCAGGAAAAATGCTTATTAATCATACTTGTTTAATTTTTAAAGGAAGAAGGAAGTGGTTTCAAAAATGTAAAAACTCTCACGAAAGCAATCCATACATACAACAGTTTGGAAATTTGAATATACAAAGATCCAAACAGCAAATGCAGTTAATCAGAAACTGAAGTTATCACTTGAGATTTATGATTACAAAGCCTGTGACCAAGTTTTGAACACAAAGGAAAAATAATTGCAAAAGTTACAGAATTACAGCATTTTCTTTCATTGACAATTAAATTCAGACTTCACAATAACATTCTAACCTTACTTCATTATACATTAATCTTGCAGTGGAAATTAGAGGCTTTTAAAGGAGTATTTCTGCTACAATAAAAAAAAGCGTCTTACTACTGTACAACAATAAGGTTGTATTGAGAGTTACAAGTAAACTATTAGGCCTTGTTAGCTAATTATAGTATTGGCATTCACTTAAGTTAGTCAGTTTCTCACTTAATGTCATTTTCTCCTATTCAACTGCTTCAGTTCAAAACGTTTTGACTCCTAAAAAGGGAATACATCATTGTTGCCTTTCCTCAGTCTAACTGCACACCACTTTCCAAAGCAATAGCTTCAATCATGCTTCATAAAATCCCCTGCAAGTATACTGTTGGACACATAAATCAGCAAGCTGAGATTTTAGTATTTCTAAGGCAAGACCAGGGATCACTGACTGGTGGCTTTTCCATGGCCCTCTTTACAAGAGAATAAACAAAATCATGAGTTACACTAGGTCTGTTTTTTTAAACAGCTCCCGGTGGTGTGTCTGATACTTGCTGCTGCATCCTTAATTAGAGAACAAAACACTAGCATAGAGGAATTGGACTCCAGGATGAGGATATCTATATCCAAGCATCTCTGACTTCATCAGGACACATGGCATAGAAGTACTATATGTTCCCTTTCACAAAAGCTACGTCTCTCTGATATATATCTGTGTCTCTATGAGTGCCACACATTGTGAAATTGTACTAGATAGAGAGATCTTTACAATGATGGTCTCCTTCTACCCTGTTTCATTACAGTGAATATGGGCTCCCCTTCAGAGATGCTTGTCTCAGAGTGCCTCTTCATAACCACCTCGTATCCTGACTTACAAATTAGCTGAATCACAATTTCACATCTATGTTACATGTACACATCCAAATTTTATGTCTCTGTGTACTATTTAAACCTATATATCTAAACATTTCTAATTTCCTATGTCTCCAAATTCCAACACACTTAGCCTCTACAATGATAAATTCAGATTCCACAACTGAGACATTTTTCTTCTCCAAACCACTCACAATGTAATCCTAAGTCTGCATAAACTTGTTTCCTATTATGCTCCCATTCTGCCCCACACTACCTACACTTATTTAATTGCAGTTGTATTTTAACTGCAATTTTCAGGGATTGTTTCTTGGTGCTCAAAAATACCTGTCTATGCTATAAATGAACAGTTAAACACAATCAGCAGCTATCTGAAAATTAAAGAAGCATATCTGTAGGACATATGTGCATGCTGATCTTTGCTTAAGAACCACTGAATTAACGAATTGGGCTAGTATTAGCTTCAGATGGACATATCTGCAATTTTGCTAAGACTGAAATATTTCATACTCTATGTTAGGAAGGGAAAATGAGCAGAATCTTATCAAGACACTTTACAAACTATAGGAATATCCAACATTTGCATACTGATTTCTGAACATTAAATCTGCATCCAATCGTGTTTCATCCGCCACTAACACTATAGCTGTGGGGAGGAGAAGGGCAGAAAAAGGAAGGCTTCACATCCAAAATGTCAAGCCCTGCTGAAGAATGATAGAAGGACTCTGTGGAAGAGCAGAAACCAACTTCTGGGCTTAAAATGGAGTTCTACCACCCCCTGCTGGACCAAACGAGCAATACAGAAGAGGCTAAAAATGCTTAGAACTGAATATCTTGGGGATATTTTAACTTGTCTTGTAATTTATTATATTATTTTAAAAAACCAATTTCACACTACACTAACAACATAACATTCTTTGCAATCATTACATATCTCAAAATTAGTGCTATTTTATTTTTCCTTTAAAGACTTTCACCAATGCATGTTTTAGCATTTTGTGTCCCTAATTAAACGTCCAAACTTGTCTGGACAGTTGAAAATGCTTCCATTTATTGTAAATATATTTCATGTGAGTGTTTACTATCTAAACAGCCAGATAAATTCATATCTATCTCTCTAGAGACAAACAGTGATAGCTTCCACAAATTCCCTCTCAGGTTATTCTACCAGGCTATTCATTTTTTTTTTTTAAGAGATAAAAGCTTCCACCAGTTCTCCCACAACCCCAAAAATCCTCTACAGGTGTAATTACAATGTAATGTTATAAAATGATTCCACCTTTCTGTATTAATAAGGGGTTGGGGTCAAAATGAATGACTGCAACACATCCCTAGTTTTATCCATTTGCTTTCTTACACACAATATCCACGGCCCCTCTCTTAGTTTCCAACAGAAATAAGCCATCATCATTCACTTCATAGTCAGGAATTAGGGTTTTGGGAAAGGGGTGGAAAAAAAAAAGAGTCTCCAAGAATCGAACGTCTTGCACACAGCAGATATTTTGCAAATGAGTTTAACACTGATAGTTTTTGCTGCTTCTGTAAAACACCATCGTGCCCTTTCCTTCCGCAACCTCAGATATTTCACTGTTAACACACTCATCCAATTTCTGATAATAAAAATAAGAGAAAGCCATAATCCCAGAGGAAAAAAAAAGAAGAAGAAGAAGCGGTTTCCCTGGATATCCTGCTCACCGATTCCCCTCTCCAATTCTGTATTTTCCCTTCTCTTATTTAAGGGTCTCCACACAACAGATACAATTTTAGGGACAGCTAGGAGAAAGAACGAAAATAATAATAACAACAACAGCAATAACTGTAACTTTAGTTCTTTCATTTCATTCTTCCTGCGCCTCCCTCTTTGCCTCTCTTGGCCGGGTGGAAGGGGGAGGGAAAGTAAATGCAATAAAGCGCCACACTCCTACCTTGCCCGCTACTGACAAGCAACCCCAGCAGGTAGAAGGAGAGGAGGAGGCTCATGTTCAGGACGTGACACCGGTGGACAGTTTCAAAGTTATTAAGTCCAGCCCTGGAGAGAGAACCTTTCGCTGCCCCGGCCGCCTCTGCTAGAGCCGCCGCCGCCGCTCCCGCGGTGCCCCAGCCGCCCGCAGCCCGCGCGCTCCTCCTCGCAAAGTGACTGCAAGCTCCGCTCTTGCCGCACTATATCCAGGCAGCGGCGGCGGCAGCGGCGGCAGAAGCAGCAGCAGCAGCGGCCGCCGCGGCGGCAGCAGAGCCGGGCGGGGAGGGCGGCGGGGGCGGGGGCGCGGCGAGGGGAGGTGCGGCCGAGGCGTATCCCTCCGCGCTGCACGGCGGCCGCTCTTCCGCGAGGCGCGCGGTCCCGGGATTCGTCCGCAGTGGAGCTCGAAGTCACGGGTTCGGTCCCCGGTGCCTCCGCCTAGAGGGGCGGCCGCGATCGCGAAGGCGCCACTCGCCCGCCGGCCATCCGCAGGTTCATGCACGCCCTGAGCCGAGAAGGGCGTGGGGATGGGGGCAGCCTGGAGCTCCTTCACAGCCGCCGGCTGCCTCAGGACAGCTGAGCTGATGCTGAGCTGAGCTGAGCTGAGCTGATGCTCATGCAGATGCTGATGCTGATGCTGATGCTGATACTGATACTGCAGGCGACCGCCCCGAGCGCGCCCCGGCTCAACGTGAATGGGGGATCTGGAGGCGGGCGGTGTGCCCCGCAGCTTATTCCTTTTGGGCGTGGGAGGAGGGAGATTCTTGTCTCTCCGTGGACCTCCTTCTCCCTCTCTCGCTCAAACCTGGAGCAGGCTGGCCCCTTGCGCGGCTGTCCCCTTCCCACGCTCCCCACCCCGCCGCGACAGAGGGGAAGCAATTGTACCCTAAAGTCTACACTGTCTGTCTCCTCAGGCGCTAAAGGGTGGGCGGAAAAATAACGTACAGAGTGTTTCCTCTACATCTCGACCCATTGCTGTTGGGAGCGGCACCTTACGGGAGAGACACTGGAGAGGGGACGAGCCGCGGGAGGGGCTGCGTTCAACTCAGCCTTAGCCTCAGCTGTGTCCTTAGAGGCCTGAAGTCTCTCCTGGCCTCACTCCGCGGGCTCTGCCCTCGGTCCCAGTGCGCTGCACTGGCCAGATCCCCGCCAGGAGTGCACCGAGGGAGGACTGCAAATGTGCAAAGATGAGTTGGGTCGCGGGGGGGAGACCTTCCCCAGATCAGTGCCCTACCCCGAACACCCACGTACCCGCGTGTGCGAGTGTAAATTGAAGTGAGGGAGCCGTGGCAAACGCCCGGAACTAACTCTCTGCTCCTTAAGATTGGGGCTTATCGTTATTTCTCCTAGAAGGGTAGGAAAACGTTTGTGAGATTAACGTCACCTCTCCTGCAAGAGCGGTTAAGAGGCAGAATCACCGGCCCGGGTGCGGAGCCCATGTCAATCTGGCCTGGGGTTACCGCGACCTGCAAACGCTGACGATGGGTCCTTTCATCTGCACTTTCTCTCTGGCTCCTTAGAAAACTCAACTGCCTCGCCCCGGCCTCCACAAGGACCCTAGCTCCTTCCTTATCAGTGAGGACATAGAAATAGCGGGGGTTGGAGAGGGGGGAGGTAGAAATGTAGAGCTCAGAATCCAGCCCCAGCCTGGGGATTTCACGCTGAAAAGGGCAGTGCATTGCCTTCAGGGAGGGCAGGGGGCAAGAGTAGACACAGGCTAACATGCATAGGGGAGATACCGTCTGCGATTTGTCCTCCCCAGGCAGAGCGCTTTATACAGATGATTCGTCCACTTGGCATCCTGGGATGGGGTTATCAGGAAGAGAGGAGGGGAAAGGCGGCCCTCAACTCACCATCGCTGAACTGCCTTAAGCAATGGCCCTCTCAGCACCTCACAGCTAGAGAACCTCTTATTTCCTCTTGATCTTATAGCAGACAATATATTTAGAAAGTTATTTTGCCACGGTACCCTTCTCACACCCTTTACTGGTTCTGGAATGCACTAACCACACTTAAGTAAACTCATGGTCAGCTCTTTGCAGGAAAGGGTGGAAGTAGCACATTTATAGATGTGAAAGACCGTGACTCATTTATTTACTCCAATTCTTCATTTCTCTTGGGCATTGATAAATGCTACACAGTAGGCCTTCTGCGTCCACAGTTCTACATCCTCAGATTCTACCAACCATGGATGAAAAATAACTTTAAAAAAAATGAAACAATGATACAATCAAAATAACGTAAATAAAAAAATACAGCAAAGTGACTATTTACAAAGCATTTGCATTATATAATGTATTACACCTAATCCAGAGATGATGTAATATGCAGGAGGTTATATGCAAATTTATGCTATTTTATATAAGGGACTTGAGCATCCAAGGATCTGTGAGAGTATTGAAACTAGTCCCCCCTGTGGATACCAAAGAATGACTTCAGCACACACACACACACACACACACACACACACACACACACACAAAATCACAGAAGACAGTTAAAAGTATACTCTGTGTGTCAAATAGCATCTTCACACAGCCTGCAATTTTTCAACCTGACACTGGGAGTGGCCAAGTGCCTATCACACACACATACATGCACATCTGTTAATCAGGTGGAAATATTGACAACTGAATTCTCCTCTGTGTTATTAGAAGTCAAATTACTTTCAGGCTGGGCGTGGCTCATACCTGTAATCCCAGCACTTTGGGAGGCTGAGGTGGGCGGATCACAAGGTCAGGAGTTCAAGACCAGCCTGGCCAATATGGTGAAACCCCGTCTCTACTAATAATACAAAAATTAGCCAGGGGTGGTGGCACACCTCTAGTCCCAGCTACTCAGGAGACTGAGGCAGAAGAATCGCTTGAACCCAGGAGGTGGAGGCTGCAGTGAGCTGAAATTGTGCCACTGCACTTCAGCTTGAGTGACAGAGCAAGACTCTGTCTCAAAAAAAAAAAAAAAAAAGTCAAATTACTTTTTTCTTAGGCAATGGGTTAAACCATGCCAGAGGAAAATTTGACTGGTATCCTGTAAGGTAATTTAGACATTAAATGTTCTTAGAGTGAGGTTAGGGAGATGGTAGCAATAGTCTATCAGACACAAATGAAATTTCTGATTAGAAGTTTGTATCATAAGACTATACTGTGTCCAAACTTCTGTGTGTGTGAGAGAGAGACAGAGAGAGAGAGAGAGAGAGACAGAGGGAAGATAAGAGAGAGAGAGAGAGCATCTCTGTGTATGGAAAAGATAAATGGACAAACCCTTGGTACTCAGGAATATACAAAGAAAGGTGATACAGCTATGGATCCTGCCCCTCAATTCGTTAATAGCCACTTGTTGAAGATATCAGGCATAAGCACACAATTCAATCATCTACATCAGGTTTTTAAAAAATGCCATAAGAAGAGTGAAAATGCCCTGCTATTGTGACATAAGAGGAGGGGATCATTTCTGAATAGAGGATTAAGAAAGGATTCATGAAGCTTTGAAGAAAGCGGAGAAATTAGATAGGTAGGGACGTGGGCAGGGCAGAGAAAAACTTAAGTAAAGCCTGGGGGCGTGAAACCACACAGCATGTGTGGAAAGCAGAGAGAAGTCTAATTTGAAAAAAGTACAGAGTGAAAAATACAAGGTGGGAGAGAGTTATGCTAACAAACCTGATATTCACAGCCTCTCACAATGTAAGTCGTGGCATGCATAGTCAGAAAAAGTTAGGATGACTCTCTCCATCCCGGGGGCTACACGTCTGACGGTGAATCATAGGCCCACATGAGGATTACAGTTTCAATGTGTCTATCAAAAAGCATGTGTTGGAAACTGAAATCCCAGTTCAACAATGTTGGGAGTGCGGCCTCATGGGAGGTATTTAGGTCTAGAGGGCTACACCCTCATGAATGGATTCATGCCGATTATAAAAGGGCGTATGGTTGTGAGTTCCATCTCTCACTCTCTTGAACATACTCTGTCGTTTATGTGATTCATTCCACTATGTAATGAGGCAGCTAAGAAGGCCTTCACCAGCCTGGGCTTCCCAGGCTCCAGAACTGTGAGCCGAATACACTTGTATTGTTTATAAATTACCCAGTCTGTAGTGTTCTGTTATAGCAGCACAAAATGAACTAAGACAATTCTGAGGCTTTCAAGGGTTCTCCCCATCTTTAGCCTAAATTTATATTGCCATAAGGACTCAATAGCAGAATGTCATATACTCAAAAAAACTTGCCTCAACTGCTTCTTAGCCAAAAGTAGAAGTGCCTCTCCAGGGCTCTATCAGACGCACATTTATTTCTCATTGCAGTGACAAAGTAATATGCAGCCTGACATTTGCCTTAGCCAGTTCTTCTTCTTAATAGATTGACCATATGAGGACACCATGTAGAAAAATTGCCTCTTCTCACTATTCCCCTCCACTGTTGGAAAGGAGTGCTTTCTATTATGTAGACATTGAATACTTTTATTGAATGTACCAAATCTATGAACATGAGTAAGCCATGTGCAGTGTAGGATATAAAAGGTATAGAAACGCATCCTCCCTCCTCTATGTAGCTCATAATTTACAAGTAAGACAATTTATCCACTTCTTCATCTCTCCGAGGAAATGTGTCAGAGGCATAGTTGGGGTGATAGTTATTTCATTTATAAAAATAAGAGCCAGTTGAACAAAACTCAGGAATCTATGAAAAGCTGAGTAGTAGGAAATACCAACAGGACTGGATGCATGGTTAACTGAAAGCAGATAAATTTGATTTAAAAGAATCAATAAAATGAACATAAAGGAGTAGCAGAGAGACAGAAAATGGTAAGGCGCATTGTATGTGGAAATTATCTTCTCAGAGAGATTCTGTTTCTTACTTTTGCAATCTGCTCCTGCAAAAATCATGCAGGTATATCATGTACACATAGAGCCTAGGCATGAATGATGAGCTGTGGATATTAAACATTATTTTTATTTGTGTACTTCTGATGTTATGTTTGTTTAATCTCTCTGTTGATGGAATTCATGTGTGTTAATATCATACTATTAAGAAATAGGACATTCCGTGTGATCATTTATATTTTTAAGATAGCACAAGCCATTATAACTATTCATTTACTTGTCTAGAAAATTGCCTGTTTTGACTTTTCTTATTTAGGCTATCTTATATAGACAGATAGCCTAAAACTTCTATAAATAGATGATCCTGCTACTGCCTTCCCCTCTCCATTAATGCCACTTTTTTCTAATGATCGTGTCTTTGAAAATAATTTTAAACTTCTTGACACAACATTTTAGACCCTTTACCAGGCATGTAACTGCAGCTACTTTAACGATAGCTTTTAGATTTTAACACCTTGCTTTTAATATGTTTTACTTTCTTAGCTGTTCTATTTGAAATTAAGAAATGGAGGAGACAGATTTATGGTACTGAGGCACCCTCATTGTCACAGATTCTTACTTTTTAATTTCTTCCAAGATACATGGGGTCATTTTCTTTCATGGCTACTTCATGGTCCCTCTGGGCAAATAACTGCTCACTTCGCTCAGAAATTATGCAATAACTGCCTATAATTTGCCACTTCCCAGAATAATATTTTCTTAACTCTAAGGGGATATTACACTTTTCTTCACCAAGACATCCCTGGGAAACACAATGATGGACAGAGCAGAAAACTTAACAAGCCTAGAACATGTTGACAAAACAGTGATTGATACAATTTCAAGAATATATTCAGGACAAAGTAAGATAGGAAAAAGGAATCAAGCAATGGATAGCAATGAACCTATGTGATATGACAAGGATCATGATGCGATATTTAGGTTGCCCAATTATTGATCACAGCACTCAGGAATCACATTTTTGTCCATAGGTAACATTGACCAAGGTGGCGTCTGCACAAATCCTTCCATGTGGAGGGGAGTTATCACATACCAGGTAACAATAAATCCTTCATCCCTGGCAACTGATCCAATACAAGTATAGATTTGATAGGACACAATATTAATCATTGCATTTTGGCAGGGCAATAAAATTAGGCATTTCATTCAAAAATCTCTTATTGCACAGGATCATTTGGTTCTTTCCTTAATGGAGATGTGCTTGCATTAATTTTCAACTTAGATAAGAAGTTCTATTAGTAATAGGCAAGCTAGTAGTAGCAATAAGATTCTTTCCTATATAACCACAAACCGTTAATATTCTACCTAATAATCCACCAAGGCACATTGTTTGGATACACTTTTTAAATTTTAATGTTATGGGAAAAACTCTTATACTTTATGTCTACGTGAAATAATCTTAACTCGTTTTTAAGAAAACAACACATTTCCCCACCAACATTCTTAATGATTGGTCCTCATATTTAAATAATTATGTACCCAACACCTGCTACTGGGTTTCACAACCTTTCTAAAGTTAAGAAACTCAACACCTATGAAAGAAGTTGACTTTAAAAGAAATAGCTGAGCTATGTAAAAAAAAAAAAAATAGAAAAATAAAACTAAAGAGCTGTGCTTGTTTATTTATAAATTAATGTTTAATCTTCTCAAATTCTGGCATGCTAGTTATAAAAAAAAATTAGGAATGCCCATGCCCTATCAACCAGAGGCTATCTCTTGAACATTTTGGCATATTTTCTTCTAGTCTTTCATATAAGTGTACATTTTCTTAACATAATGAGAAAATGCTATTTGGCATCTTTGTATTTTGTTTTGTAAAGGGAATAAATTTTATATTTTTATTAATTTTTTTTGAGGCGGAGTTTTGCTCTTGTTGTCCAGGCTGGAGTGCAACGGTGCGCAATCTGAGCTCATTGCAACTTCCGCCTCCTGAGTTCAAGCGATTCTCCTGCCTTAGCTTCCCGAGTAACTAGGATTACAGGCATGAGCCACCACGCCCAACTAATTTTGTAATTTTTAGTAAAGATGGGGTTTCTCCATGTTAGGCTGGTCTCTAACTCCTGACCTCAGGTGATCCTCCCGCCTCGGCCTCCCAAAGTGCTGGGATTACAGGCATGAACCATCGCGCCTTGCCTCTTTATTTTCACAAACATAAATTTAATGAATTAATTTGTTGACATGGACTGAACCTAATATTCTTAACAATTTTCTTAGACTAAGACGTTACGATTTTATCCGTAATTTTAATTATTATGATGAATAACACCACAGTGTGAATATCTCTATCCATAGAGCTTTGAGGTTATTATAGATTACATTCTTAGACTACTAGAAAATCAATAGTTTTGCAAAAACATATGACCATATGTAGCTACTGAACTCATATCGCCTAAATTGTTTTCCAAACTACATAATTTACACTGTCATCTGGAAGATGTGAAAGCACTTCATTTCTATCAACATTGACAGCTTACTATATTTTATTTTATATTTTGTTGGTTAATCTAGAGTTTCCATTCTGTAATATCTACCTTTAATCATCTTCAATTGCCTGGCTGTAGATAAATTTTCATATTCATATTTATCAAATTTAAGGTCCACTGAAAGACATCTCCACCTTAACATGTTATATTTTAAGAATCTTATTCTTCTGCTCTAGGATCCAGGAAGTCCCACTGTACTTTTTAGGAGAAAATTCTGCACAACTCGATAATTTGGGGTAACCAAAAGTTCTCAATTATTCTAGCTCACCAGCATCAACTTTCTGTACTACATCACACAGATAAAGTCTAAGTATCCCCATCTATTTGCTAATAGGGATCTCTGAAGATGCCTGAAGAATGTTGGCATGTTTCACACACAAGATCAGGAAGGTGTTTCTCATTCCAGCCCCATCTTTGCCCTAATCTCTGGCAGTTATTTTTGGCCATCTTATATAATAGGCTTTCCCAGGCTGTACCTTCCTTCTGTATCACCTCACTTGAAGCCTGAACATATCTGCCTGCCTTAACGCCTCAGGGCTCAAGCAAAGACATATTTATTTATTTATTTATTATTATTATTATTATTTGAGACAGAGTTTCACTCTGTCACCCAGGCTACAGTGCAGTGGCATGATCTCGGCTCACTGCAGCCTCCGCCTCCCTGGTTCAAGTGATTCTCCTGCCTCAGCCTTCCGAGTAGCTGGGACTTCAGGCGCCCTCCACCACACCCGGCTAATTTTTTTTGTATTTTTAGTAGAGACGGGGTTTCACCGTGTTAGCCAGGATGGTCTCGATCCCCTGACCTCATGTTACGCCCGTCTCAGCCTCCCAAAGTGCTAGGATTAGAGGCGTGAGCCAACGCGCCCGGCCGCAAAGACATTTATTACAGCTTACGGAAAGATTGAGAGTAATAGAGACACAATAACTTATTAGAGGGAAACCCAATATTGAGTAAGGAATACCTACCAGTTGTCTTGGAGACTACTGGCTACTTCTTTGATTCCCTGTACAGAGTCCCTTCATGGATTCATTTCTTGGACCCATGAACTTTTTAGGCACCAATTACCTCCCAAAGAAGAGTTTCTCTAACTCAGAGCTTCAAGATTGGGTTTCACACCCCTTGAACATGTGACAATATTTAGAGACTTTTTGTATTGCCATGACTGGGAGGAAGGTGCTCCTCGCATCCAGCGGGAAGAGGCCAGGGATGTTGCTATGTGGCTAAACATCTCATGCACACAGGCGACCTCCACAGCAGTTAATTATCCAGTCCAAAATGGCAGATTCAAGAACTCTACTCTAAACTGTCTTTTCTTAGGCTGAGTATAAGAACAACTCCCTGAATCTCTAGAAAATGAACAATTTGTTTGTTTCTCCAAAACCAAAACCTGTCTCACCCCATATTCTTCCCAGAAATATATATAGATTAAAATATATATTTCTTATATATAAGAAATATATATATTCATAATATATCTATATATATTATGAATATATATATATATTTCTGACAGAGTCTTGCTCTGTAATCCAGTCCAGAGTGCAGTGGCATGATTTTGGCTCACTGCAACCTCCGCCTCCCGGCTTCAAGCAATTCTCCTCCTCAGCCTTCCAAGTATTTGGGACTACAGGTGCGTGCCACCACACCCAGCTAATTTTTGAATTAGTAGGGACCGGTTTCACCATACTGGACAGGCTGGAGTCTCCAACTCTGGACCTCAAGTGATCCACCTCCCTCGGCTTCCCAAAGTGCTAAGATTACAGGCATAAGACACTGTGCCCAGCCTTCTCAGAAACATTTTGAATAATACAATCTCTTTTAAGAGCAAAAGTTGATCCTATACAGGTTATGATGTGACCTCTCATGACCTAAAGAAAGACAATAATAATGTGGAAATTTAATTTTTGATAGTTTGTTTTCTCAAATTACATCATCTGGGAGCACGCAAAGGGAAAAATGCCTGGGTTAGAGTACCTCTGTTTGTGGGCCTATACCTATATTATTCATATAAAATGTCTGAGTTAGTTATAAACCTAAACAATTTATGAGAAGACTAGTCTGCTCAGTTCTACTTACCTAATAGTGCCTCTCAATCTTATAAACAAATACTTGTCAATAGCATGGTTTTGAAACAGTGATAGGAAAGTCCTGAGAATGAACTGTAGATTTAAAACTACTAAAGTCTTACCTTATTTCTAAAAATAAAGACAAACATATTTTCCAGAAAGGCTTATCTTGGTAATTGTACACTCACTCGGTGTGTCCTCACTCGGTGGAAGGGACAGGACTACTGTCTGGGGCTTCTTTATAAGAGCAATATCCCATTCATTAGGGATCTGCTCTCATAACATCATTGTGTCCTAAAGGCCCCACCTCCGAATATTATCACTTTGGTCATACAGTTTTAACATACAACTTTTGGTGGGACACAAATATTCAAACCATAGCACTGGGAAACCAGAAAGAAAGCATCCATGGGAACCTACGCTCTCTCTGTGGAATTTCTCCAGACTCACCTAAAACCTCATTTCTTTCTTTCTTTCCCTCTTTCTTTCTTTCTTTCTTTCTTTCTTTCTTTCTTTCTTTCTTTCTTTCTTTCTTTCTTTCTTTCCTTCCTTCCTTCCTTCCTTCCTTCTTCCCTCCCTCCCTCCTTCCCTCTCTCTCTTTCTCTTTCTTTCTTTCTTCTCTCTTTTTTTGTTTTTGAGATGGAGTTTCACTCTTGTTGCCCAGACTAGAGTGTAGTGGTGTGATCTCAGCTCACTGCAACTTCTGCCTCCCAGGTTCAAGCAATTCTTCTATCTCAGCCTCCTGAGTAGCTATGGATTACAGATGCCTGCCACCACACCTGGCTAATTGTTGTATTTTTTAGTAGAAACGGGGTTTCATCATGTTGGCCAGGTTGGTCCTGAACTCCTGACCTCAGGTGACCCTCCCGCCTCAGCATCCCAAAGTGCTGGGATTACAGGCATGAGCCAAACCTCATTGTCTTTCTTGGTTTCTCTACTCCATTAATGGCTTTGTGTCTTGGTTACTCACCTCCTTGCAGGATGTCATGTTTACAGGTCAAGTTTTATACTCTCTTTCCCATCTTTGATTTTGGCCTTATCCCTTTCTTACCACTTCAAGTCATGTATTCTTATATTTGACAAGGACTCACACCTGCCACCATGCTAACTTACCCCTCTCTAGACCTCATGCTAGTTTAGGGCTGATTCCCTTCATTGTTCTCATAGCTATTTCTATTGTACCACTAATGAATTGCCTTCAACCAGCACCCTAGAAGTGTGAACATAGCAGTGCTCCTAACTTTATGTTAGAGAACTTGTAATGAAGGGCTAGGGTCATTCTGAAATTAATCAGAGTTATATGATTTATCACAGAGTTATTTGTGTTATTCAATTTATCATATAGTTATTTGATTTATCAGAGCTAAAGCAACATTATTTTAAAACACTTGAGGGTCTGTTTTTTAACTTACCTTGAAATAGAGCAGTTGTATTTGAAAATCTTATGGTACTGAGAAAATGGTGTTAATACTGGTTGCAGAGCAGAGATGGAAAATATTGTAGGGATAAACTAGGAATATGGCAACTTCAGTGAAGCCTGCTACTCAAATACACTTTTTACTGCTGCCCTTATTAAAAGAATAATTATACCTAACGCACCTTAAAATTAGCAAATGGCAATATTAAAGAGTGGTCATAAAATGTAACTTCAAAATTCATTGCTCACACAAGAAAGAAAAATCAATGCTCAGAAAATTTGACCTTTAAGTACATCTTCTTCAAATTACAGGTGATGTCTTTAACAAAAAGTATCACAGTAACTCCTAAGTATGGTAAAATTAGGTTTATCCAGTATTACAAAGGCCAAAATATTGTCCAATCCAATGTTTCCATCTTTACCCCATTTACTTGAATACATTATTTAGATTGGTAATATTTTTTTACCTTAAAATTAAAAGTCATAATATTTTTATAATTATCTTATGCACAAGTTTTCTTTCACTAAGAATCAAATAAAAGTAGTACTTAAAATTTTGTTTTCTGTATCATCATCATTAGTACCCTATTGTCAATTAGTCATAGGTACAGTATGAGAGATTTTAGATATAACATATAAGTTTGACTCTAAATTTACAAAGGAAAAAAATTAACACAGAGAAAGATTAAATGACCTGCTCAATTTCATAGAGCTTCAATAGAAAAACTATAACTTGTATTCAGGGTAATGATTTTTCTGCTACAGAATGCTTAAAAATGAAAAAATGTTAGATTAATTTCCCAATCACTGCATAACATAATTCTATAATTTATGTCCTAAATGAAGTGTGAGAATATTGCCTGTTAAGACATTTTTTAGAAGTTAAATTCTATGCTAATAATTTAAAAGAACAGTTTTATTTATTGGTAACCCTGATGCCATTATTATATATTAATAGATTCTTATCTTCTTAATTCAGCTTTCATCTCTAATTACTAGAGTGACTATAGCTACAAATGCCAAAATCTTATTTAAAAGTGTAGAACTGAGCCAAATCATCACAAGCTTTGACAATTTATTGGCTAAAAATCCCTAAGAACTAGTTTAATTTTTTCTAAAGGCGCCTGGTCAACAAATAGATGCTCAATAAATAATAGATAATTGGCTGTAACCAACTTTTTTTTTTTTTTTTTTTTTTTCTGAGACGGAGTCTCTCTCTGTCGCCCAGGCTGGAGTGCAGTGGCGCGATCTCGGCTCACTGCAAGCTCCGCCTCCCGGGTTCACGCCATTCTCCTGCCTCAGCCTCCCGAGTATCTGGGACTACAGGCGCCCGCCGCCACCACCGGCTAATTTTTTATATTTTTAGTAGAGACGGGGTTTCACCGTGTTAGCCGGGATGGTCTCGATCTGCTGACCTCGTGATCCACCCGCCTCGGCCTCCCAAAGTGCCGGGATTACAGGCATGAGCCACCGCGCCCGGCCTGTAACCAACTCTAAGCATAATGCAAAAAGGGAAAAGAGAAGAGATATGTTTTCTGCTATTAGGTAATTCAGAAAGCAATGTACTATCAGTTCTATTAAATAGACCCTAGTTTTGGTTTTGTTTGTAACATATAAAATCACTTTATTCATTGTGGGTGCTTAATAGATACCTACTGAAAGTAAAATTTAAATTTGAATTGCCTGTAATTAAAGTGACTAAACTCTTACTATGATGGCTGTAATACAAACGAGAAAAAAGGACATAGGTAAAAGATAATTACAGAAGGAATGCCTCTATTAAATATATTAATGTTTTATAGTATAACATAATCTACTTGTCATATCTAAATCGAAAGAACTTACTGACATCCACATTCGGTAATTTTGTCAATTTGAATAGGTTACATGTGTTGGGTACTAATTGAAGCCTTTTAAACACATCATCCAATGTATTTCTCCCAATATTATGAGTAACATTGTTACTCCCATTTAGTGGAGGAGATTTGATAAGATCACAGAGCCACTGTGTGTGAGAGATGTAAGTCGGACCCAGGCATCCCTGAGTGCAAAGGCCTTTTTTTCAATCAGTTTAAAACATCTCTTTTAACTATAAGGGAAACATAAGCTACTTCCTAAATGTTCTTAGGAAAACAAAGATGTTTTTAAAAAGGAAAATGTAGAAAAAATTTAAAATTTTTCCCACAGATTACAATTTTGATGTATGATATGGTTTGGCTGTGCCGCTATCAAAAATCTCATCTTGAATTGCAATAATCCATATATGTCAAGGGTGGGACCAGGTGGACATACTTGAATCATGGGGGCAGTTTCCCATATACTGTTCTAGAGATAGTGAGTGAGTTCTCACGAGATCTGATGGTTTTATAAGGGGCTCCTCCCTCGCACTGCTCTCATTCTCTCTCCTGTCACCACATGAGGAAAGACATGTTTGCTTCCCCTTCCGCCATAATTGTAATTTTCCTGAGACCTCGCCAGCCATGCAAAACTGAGTCAATTAATCCTCTTTTCCTTACAAATTCCCCAGTCTCGGGTATGTCTTTGTTAGCAGCATGAGAACAGACTACTACAATGTACTTAGAGGCCAAAATGACAAAAACCATCAACAAAAATTCTAGGATGATAGCTTAAAATTTAAAAAGTTCACAATATTAGTTTGCTTATCTCTGACAGTCATAAAGTTTAGAGACATTGATTATGATTTACACACACACACACACACAAAGGGAGAAAGCATGCTTGTAAGTTCCCTGAGCAAAGGTAAATACCCCCCTTACATATTTTGTTATATTTTCATTGCAACATTTATAGCTTTGTGCACAAAATGGAATATGTGTGCATATTATGTTAGGTTAACTGGCATAAGTAATAATTTTAGAAAAAATTATTTTTGGATATAAACAATTAAGAAGAATGTCAACAACTTACAAATAAATAATAATAACCGGTATACTGTTAAATAAGTATTAATGATAGTGTATCTTTATTATGCATTGTGGATATATTTAACATATTTTTAATTTCTCCTAAGTCATAACATTTATAATTTCTAAAAGTGTATGGCATAATACATTGAGCACATTAAAAAAAAGTTGGCTCTCTCTTTACTAAAAATGGTACTCTTATGAATAACCTAAAGGAGAATAAATAGTTGGAGGAAATCTTTAACATATTCTGGTGGAAACCGTATGAAAGAAGCACTTAACTGAATTTTTTTTTTTTGATTGGGGTATTTGTAGGAAATTCTCTTCTTACAAAATTTTGAGTCATTTTCTGAAGTGCTCATGAGCCAAATTGCTGATCTTCACCCAATGAGTAATTATCCAAACGGAACACTTCCCTGTGAATACTGCAAATGCAATTAAAGAGACACTAACAGAAATTACGTTACAGTGTCCAACTATATTATGTATTGTATTCAAATTCTAAAAAAATTTTGAAAATATCCCCAAATATATTATTGGTACTTTGTTATAATATTCTTTAAAAGCAGTTATAAATAAATTTGGTGTGATAATAAACAGAGAATAAACTGATAATAAGCTATGTTGCTACATACCATCACCTTACAGGCTTCATTTGTGATGAGAAATGATCACTGTGTTTGTAAAGGCTGTCAGTGTTGTGTCGGTTGAATGTACCTGTGAAATTTGGATGAATATTATGCTCACTGTGTAGGATATGTGACTAACTTTGTGTTCTGACAGCACCTAGTACACAGTTGGAATTTCACTAAGGGTTGAATAACAATCTGCAGAAATCAGTTTAGTAATAGAAAAATATGCAGTTCTGCAGTGAAATCATTTATTATTTCTAGGAATTATTGAAAATATACTAGCTTAACAAAAAACGTGCTGTACTTGAGTGATTCTGTCCTGCAGGAAAATTCCATATATCCCCTGAGTGCATTTTCTATTTCTAACATATAAGAATAAAATGGTGAATTCTGAAATGAATGAAGTGCAGATCAAAGAGCAGAGAACATGGACCACATGCCATACTGTTTTGGAATGTTCTCTGAAAAAGTTGGCATGGATGTTCACAAAGCAGATGCAGCCCTCTAGGCAATCCGTGTGTTATATACTGGCCTTTTAAACTATGTAACCAATGAAAGTACCTAAAGAGCATGCCCTAGGATCATAGAATTCCACAGATGCAAGAATTTTCAGCAGAACACATCCAAGCACAGAGGCTTCAAGCTGAAGCGCAGAGATACTAAGTGACATGCTTAAAGTCATGCATAGATTGAGAGGTGACCTTTTTCACTTTGCTACCTTGTCCCAAATCAAAAATAATAAAACATTTTTCTGCCACAGGTATAAACAGAAAGCTCTGTGCCATCAAGATGGGTGACTAGAGGCACCCAACTCTTGCCTCCTTCACAAAGAAGGACCCGAATAACCACAGGTAAAATAGAGAATGTAAAGGAGAACAACAAAACTCAGCAAAGAAGTGGCACAGACCCTGTGGGATACAGAAACTCACAATGGCAGCAGGAAGAGGAAAGTGAAGCAGCCAGCTAAGATAGGCTCGGAGCCAAGAGCAACATCTCATTGAGAGGAAAAGGTGAGTTGGAGATCCCTAGCATCTACATTTCTACCACAAATGCCTGCAATCATTTGTGGGGAAAGTCAATATAGGTCTTCCCCACCCCCAAGACCCAGGCTGCTGCAGCATAGCACCATTTTGAGAGCAGAGCCATCAGAGATTACACTCTGCCTTGGCCCAATAGCCCCTGCATCTCCATATTCCTGAGGTCCTCTGCTGCACTGGTATACCAGCTAGACCTATTGATACAGCTGAGTCCCTGGCATCCGAGTTGATGCATGGCCCTACACACCAGGGAACAGGTGGTCCAGTGCATTAGGGAGGCTGCCCCCAGGACAAAGCACATATTCCCAAGAATCAGAGCCACCTGACTGAAACCACTGCCACTGACATTAGACCCACCCTCTCAAGCAACAGAAATGTCACATGCCTCCCAGGGGCTCAAGGATCCACCCACCCCGCATCTCCATCACCAGCAAAACTGCCCCAAAGCTCCATAAACAACTACAACCTAAGCCACTAAAAAACTTGAAGACACTGCTGACGGTGATTACAACTGAAGAAATAATATAGATACTACAGTACTGTGCCCACCCAAAACAAAGTTAGGCACCTTACCAAACTAATGTTATAGATATATCTACAGAAAACGTCTTTTCCTATGAAGGTGACTCCGTAACATTAAAGTAAGCAGCAATTTCACCAGATGCACATATATCAATGCAGAGACACAACAAACATGAAAAATCAAAGAAACGTGACTTCTCCAATGGAACACAGTAACTGTCCTTTAAGAGACTCCAAAGAAGGGAACAGCTATAAAATGCCTGAAAAGGAATTCAAAGTGATGATCTTAAGGATATGCAGTGCAATACAAGAAAACACACGTAGACAATACAAAGAAATTAGGAAAATGATCATCACATGAGTTAGAACTATATATATATATATATATATAATCATATAAAAGTACCAACTGAAATATCGGCACTAAATAACTTAATGAATAAAACTAAAAAATACAACTGGGGGTTCAACCATAGAGTAGAACAAGCAGAAAAAAAAGATTTGGGGAACTTGAAGAAACATCTTTTGAAATAATCCAGTCAGGCAAAATAAAATAAAATAAAATAAAAAGAGAGAGAAAAAGAATGCAGAAACCTTATATGACATGTGAGACACCATTAAGTGCACATTTTAGGAGTCTCAGAAAGTCAAGAGATTGGACTGAAAAAGTCATAGCAAACTTATTTAATGAAATAATAGCTAAAAATCTTCCCAAGTATTGGAGAAAAAAGCAGACTTTTCAGATACAGAAAGCTTAAAAATTCATCGAATATTTTCCACCCAAAAAGATCCTTTTTAAAGGCACATCAGGCTGGGCGTGGTGGCTCACACCTGTAATATTAGCACTTTGGGAGGCCAAGGCAGGATCACCTGAACTCAGGAGTTCGAGACCAGCCTGGGCAACATGGCAAAACCCTGTCTCTACTAAAAATGTGCACACACACACACACACACACACACACACACACTAGCTAGGCATTGGGGCACATGCCTGTAATCCCAGCTACTTGGGAGGCTGAGGCGTGAGAATAGCATGAACCCAGAAGGCAGTATTTGCAGTGAGCTGAGAGTGTGCCAGCACTCCAGCCTGGGTGACAGAGCGAGACTCTGTCTAAAAAAAAAAGGGGGCACATCATACTTAAGCTTTGAAAAGTAAAAATGAAAGGGAGAATTCTAAAAACAGCAAGAGAAAGGCATCAAGTCAAACATAAGGGAATTCCTATCAGACTAATAGCATACTTTTCAGCAGAAACCTCATCATCCAGGAGAGAATAGGATGATGTATTCAAAGTTCAAAAAAAATTGCCAGTCAAGAATATTATATCTCACAAAACTATCCTTCAGAAATGAAAGAGGAAAAACTCTTTCCCAGATGAGCAAAAACTAGGGAAATTTATCACCACTAGAACAGCTCTATAAGAAATTCTTAAGGGAATCTTCATATTGAAGTGAAAGAACAATGTCTGCCATGGTGAAAACACACAAATTATAAAATACATTTGCAGAGCAGATGCACAAATGAGAGAGAAAGGAATCAAATGTTATCACTAAAGAAAACGACCAAACCACAAAAGTAAACAATAAGAGAAGAATAATAGAACAAAAGATATATAAAACAATTAACAAAATAATAGGAATAAGTTCTTGTCTATCGATAACAATCTTGAATGTAAACAGTATCAGTTCTCCAATAAAAACACATGGATTTGCTAGATAAATTTAAAAAGACCCAACTATATGCTGCCTACAAGAAAAATCTGTAAAGACACACATAGACTAAAAGTAAAGGGATGGAAAAAGATAATCCATGCAAACATAAACCAAAAATATGTAGAAGTCAGAAAACAAAAATAGACACAGTAAAGTTTATTATGTAATAATAAGGAAATCCATCCAGCTAGAGGATATAACAATGGTAAATATATATGCATCCAATACTGGAGCACCCAGATTATATAAAGCAAATATTATTAGAGCTACAGAGAAAGATAGAAAACCATATAATAACAGTTGGGAACTTCACTGCTCCACTTTCAGCATTGGACAGATCATTTAGATAGAAAATCAACAAAGAAACATCAGTTAAACTATACTCTAGACCAAATGGACCTAACAGACATTCACAGAACACCTCATCCAACAGCTACAGAATACATTTATTTCTCATCACATGGAATATTCTCTAGGATGGACCATATGTTAGGCTACAAAACAAGTCTCAAAAAATTTTAAATCATGGAAATAATATAAGTATATTCTCCGACCACAATGAAATAAAACTAGAAATCAATAACCAGAAGAACTTTGTGAATGGTACAAATACATGGCAATTAAACAACATGCTCTGAACAACCAACGAGTCTATACGGAATTTAGGAATAAAATTTTAAAATGTCTTAAAAACAAATGCAAATAGAAAGGTGACATACAAAAGCCTATGGGATTCAGAAGAAGCAATTAATAATTATAAATATATCAAAAAAGTAGAAAGATTTCAAATAAACAACCTAATGATGCACCACAATGAACTAGAAAAGCAAGAACAAACCAAACTCAAAGTTAGCAGAAGGAAAGAAAGAATAAAGCTAAGGGTGAATTAAAGGAAATAGATATAAAAATAACAAAAAGATTAATAACATAATAAGTTTTTTGGAAAGATAAACAAAATTGGCAAACAATTATATAGACTAAGGATAAAAGAAAGAAGACCCAAGTAAATAAAATAAAAAGTGAAGACATTACAACTGATACCACAGGAATACAAAGAATTATTAGAGATTATTATGAACAACTATACACTAACAATTGGAAAACCTAGAGGAAATGGAAAACTTCCTGGACACATATAACTTATAAAGATTGAGCCAAAAAGGAATAGAAAACTTGAACAGGTTATTATATGAGTGCTGAGACTGACTCAGTGATAAAAATTCTTTCAACAAAGAAAACCCTGGCAGCATGGCATGGCTTTCCTGCTGAATTCTATCAATATTGACAGAACTAACTTGATTTCCTCTAAAACTACCCCAAAAAATTAAAGAAGAGGGAATTTTTATTTCTAATTTCTTCTGCAAATCCAGCATTACCTTGATACCAAAATCAGATAAGGATACACATAGAAAAGAAAATTATAGGCTAACATCCGGGATGAGCCAGATGCACAAATCTTCAAAAAAAAAAAAATTACTGGCAAATAGAATCCAATAAAACATCAAAAAGAGAACACACCATGACTAATGGGGTTTGTAACACGCATGTATGCATGGTTTAACATATGCAAATCAATAAATGTATACAACACATCAATAGAATGGAGAACAAAAACTGTATGATCATCTCCATAGTTGCAGAAGAAAAGCATTTGATAAAATTTAACATACTTTTCTGTAAACTAATAACAAGCTAGCCAGGAAAGAAATCAAGGCCTGTCATGGTGGCTCATGCCTGTTATTTCAGCACTTTGGGAGGCCAAGGCGGACAGATTACCTAAAGTCATGAGTTCAAGGCCAGCCTGGCCAACACGGT
Organism: Homo sapiens; assembly: GCF_000001405.40. Taxonomy (NCBI): domain Eukaryota; kingdom Metazoa; phylum Chordata; class Mammalia; order Primates; family Hominidae; genus Homo; species Homo sapiens. The sequence goes on along the minus strand of NC_000021.9, from coordinate 20,979,103 downwards.
GAAACCCCCATCTCTACTAAAAATACAAAAATTAGCTGAATGTCATGGCACATGCCTGTAAACCCAGCTACTCAGGAGGCTGAGGCAAAAGGATCACTTGAACCCCAGAGGCAGAGGTTGCAGTGAGCCAAGATCATGCCACTGCAGCACTCCAGCCTTGGTGACAGAACAAGACTCCATTTCAAAAAAAAAAAATAAAAAAAAGCAAATCCATTTGTAATAGCTACAAAAATACTTAGGAATAAATTTAATTAAGAATGTGAAAGGTGTCTACCACGAAAACTAAAAAAAAACTGATAAAAGAAATTGAAGAAGGTACAAATAAATTAAAAGACATCTGATGCTCATGGATTGGAATAATTAATATTGTTAAAATGACCATAGTGCACAAAGTAAGGAAAATACCAGTGACAATCTTTAGAGAAATAGGAAAACTGCTAAAATTTGTATACAACTGCAAAAGACCCTGAATAACCAAGGCAGTACTTAACAAAAGAACAAAGCTGGAAGGATCATAGTAGCTAAGTTCAAAATATGCTACAAAGCTATAGTAACAAGAACAACATGGCATTGATGAAAACATCAACATCATGAAAAGACATTCTGTAGAATGGGAGAAATATTTGTAATATGTATGTTTGACAAGAGAGTAATATCCAAAATATGCAAAGAAGTCAAACAACTCAACAATATAAAAAATCTAATAATTTGACTTTAAAAATGGGCAAAGTATCGGAATAGACACTTCTCAAAAAAGGCATAGAAATGGCAAACAAGTATATGAAAAAAATTCTCAACAGCACTAATCATCAGGGAGATGCAATTGAAAATCACAATGCAATATCGTCATCCTTCAGTTAAGATGGCTATTAACAAAAAGCCAAAAAGCAATAAGTGCTGGCAAGGATGAAGAAAAAAGGGAACTCTTACACACCATTGACAGGAATGTCAATTAGTGAAGTTATTATGAAAAACAGTATGGAGTTTTATCAAAAAACTACAACTGTATTACCATATAATCTAGCCATCCCACTACTGGATGTTTATCCAAAGGAAAGAAAATCACTACACTGAATAGATACCTGCAACCCCATGCTTATGGCAGCACTATTCACAATAGCAAAGATACAGAATCAACATTAATGTTCATTAACAGATAAATGGAAAAGGAAAAGTATTATATACAATAGAATACATTCGGCCATAACAAAGAATAAAATCCTGTCATTTATGGCAATATGGACAACACTGGAGGATATTATGTTAAACAAAATAAGTCAGGTCAGAAAGAGAAATGCTGCATCTTCTCACTCATAAATGGGAGCTTAAAAAGTTGAGCTTATAGAAGGAGAGCATAAAATTATGGTTATTAGAGACTGGGAATGGTGGGTGAGAGAGCCAATAGGGAGAATACAAAATTATAGCTAGGTAAAAGAAATAAGTTCTAGTGTCCATAGCACTGTAGGGTAAATATAGTTAAAAATAATCTATTGTGTATTGTGGATTCTTCTAAAGCTAGAAGAGAATTTTTGATTATTCCCAACACAAAGAAATGATAAATGTTTGAGATGATGGATATGCTAATTATCCTGATTTGATCATTACACATTGAATACATGTATTGAAATATCACTCTGTATCCCATAAATTATTATGGGATTAAATTATAAATTATTATGTGTCGACTAAAAATAAAGGGAAAAAATTGAACTTATCTCTGTCCATATTTATTCAGATAGGTGATAGGCCAAACAAATACTGCTCTCAAAGACGGAAATTAATTTAATGATATTATTGGTCAATGGATACCATTCAGTTATTTGTTAGAAAATGGGGTATTTTGTTATGACGTTCCTATGCCTGTATTTTCCCCTTTCTTATTTTGAACACTTTTTTGAAACAATTTCTATCCTGTATTTTTCCTCACTGGGGATTCTGTTGCTCAGCCAAGGCTCAAATGTATTTGATCCTCCACACCATTCACTCATATGTGAAATATGAGAATGACAGTAGCATTAGATACATTAACAAGCATTTCAATATTTCTTTCTTTAGATGGTGGATTCAGAGCATAGTACTTGGATCTACAAAGTAATATTATTGTGTCCAGTGGATCTTATTTTCAATAAAACCATAATGCAAATGAAATGTTATAATTTTAAAACCCTGGTGATGATACACACACAAAGCTATTCTTTAAATTTTTTTCTTTTTCTTTTTGCTGTGTATGATAAAGCTTCTCTATAATTTGTGCTGAGTCCTAGTTATAGGTAACTCTTTAAAACAAACAATTGTGCATGATTTATGGTTTGGGGTGGTATATAAATGTGACTCTTTAGGATTGCATAAAGAGAGTTTATCTACTTCAAAATAAAAAATGCCTCATGGCTTATCATTCGTTTGCTACAACTTGTTGGACCTTTTCTCATGACCCTAGAAATAAGAAATAATTATAATAATAATGATGTAATGATGCTCACATGTTTGCCTCCATACTCTATCCATATGGTGGAGTTATGCTTGTCCTCTTTTTTTTTTTTTTTGGCAGAATTTTGCTCTTGTTGCTCAGGCTGGAGTGCAATGTTGCGATCTCCGCTCACCGCAACCTCCGCCTTCCAGGTTCAAGTGATTATTCTACTGCCTCAGCCTCCTAAGTAGCTGGGATTACAGCCATGCGCCACCACACCCGGCTAATTTGTATTTTTAGTAGAGACGGGGTTTCTCCATGTTGGTCGCTGGTCTCGAACTCCCTGACCTCAGGTGATCCACCCACCTTGGCCTCCCAATGTGCTGGGATTACAGGCGTGAGCCACCGCACCTGGCCGCTTGTCCTCTTCTAAATGGACATGCCGTCACTTGAATAATATCTGAAGATGTGTTGAACTTTAACACATGTTATCTTACTCTTTTTTGATGGTTTTTAACTTAGAGAAAATGTCATGTTAGTGTTTATATTGAAATCTTCCACCTTGAAGTGTGTTTGTCTCTTATAAAAAGAAGTCAGTTTTTGACTAGATAAAAAATAAACTGTAAGCTAGAAATACGTGGCATTACTCTCATGACAGACAGAGCTACTAAATACAATACAATTAAAAATCATGTATTTTATAATTTATAATATATGCTCTTTCAGGGAAACAAAGAACGAGTTCCATATTTATGTCAACATCTAAAAGGGCTGAAGAGTTGTAAAGTCTTTTTCTTTCTGTCCAAATACTGGTTTTCTAACAGTCAGAGAAACCTATTTCTGTACACCTGTCTCTTACTTCTGGAGACGGGAGTAATATTATTAAGCTGATCTCCTTTCTTGTCTTTGCTGAAATACCCTTTGGTGATTCAGCATGGTAACCCAGCGTGAAGGCAAAAAGATCTTATCTGTAATCCCTGAAAGATGACCTTCTTTTCCTTACCTGAGAACCTAATGCTCTGTGTAACCTAGTCTAAAAACATGCAAAACTTGAGTCCAGGTACCTTAAATCCGTCTGCAGTGTCAGATGGATTTCAAGTGAGCAGGACAATGTGTAGAAATTGGCGTTTGCAGCTCTATCTAACAGAATGGCTTTTTGTATCATAAAAGGGTACAAGTTTTAGAACTAGGCTTTTTTTTTTTTTTTTTTTTTTTTTTTTTTTTTTTTTTTTTAAGTGGCATTGCCATTGGGCTCAACTGCATTCCAAAACACTCTTTTTTTCCCAGCTCTCTCAGTATAATCTCCCTGTCATGTGGAGCACTTCAGGATTCCTCCTATGCTAGATATTACGCCTGTAATCCCAGAGCTTTGGGAGGCCGAGGCGGGCGGATCACGAGGTCAGGAGATCAAGATTATCTTGGATAACACGGTGAAACCCCGTCTCTACTAAAAAATACAAAAAAAAAAAAAAAAAATTAGCCGGGCGCGGTGGCGGGCGCCTGTAGTCCCAGCTACTCGGGAGGCTGAGACAGGAGAATGGCGGGAACCCGGGAGGCGGAGCTTGCAGTGAGCCGAGATGGCGCCACTGCACTCCAGCCTGGGCGACAGAGCGAGACCCCGCCTCAAAAAAAAAAAAAAAAAAAAATTCCTCTTTGCCAAATACGTGCTGCTATCCCTATAGAAAGATGCTGGCTGGAGTCATTGGAAGAGGGAATAAACTCTAGTTTATTCTTCTCAAAAGACAAATCTGGAGATGAATTTCTCAATAGTTAACGTAAGAAGCAAACACTTCTTACCGAGAAAAACTTGTATTTTTTCCAGAGATAATACCCCGTATTCTCAAAGGAAGAAAAGACATCCCTTTTGTTTTTGTCAACCGAGTTTCTTAAAACAACAATAAACTATAATAATAACATTAACTATGAATGTTTAGATTCCTGTCTTGGCCAGGCATACTTTGTAAGAATTAGCACAAGTTCAGATTTTCTTTTTTTCGAGTGTTGTTGTTATCTTTTTTTTTTTAATTTTAAATTTTTCCAAACCTTGGTTAAAGGATTGTGGTTTATTCCTATATGATCAAACTTTTGGGTATGTTTGACCCTTTTTTCAGAAAAGTTTTCTACATTTTTAATATGATAATGAAGTAAGGTTTCCATTATTATATAATTATGAAATAATAGAATGTATTCACTTATAAGTATTCATGGACATACACATATGAATACATTGCATGTCTCCTCTGATTAATCAAGTGTGTATGTGTATCTACTTATCAATCTAGTTAGGTGGTTTGCTATAGTTTTGTAGAAAGACGTTCAGATTACATCTACCACCATGACTGAGAAAAGGGGGAGGTCACAAATTAAAATTTCAGTGGGGACAAAATATTTGAATACTTGCAAAGGGCAAGTCAGATAGCAATAGGTGAGAATAATTTATGATCTACTAATATATTGAGATACTCTGCCCATTGTATCTTAATAAAAACCTGAAATTTGCAATGTATGTTTAATACGCCACATCTGTCAACACACTCCCTGCTTCCCTTCCCTTCTGCTTTTGGATCTATACCTTTCTGATCAGTCTCCATTCCTAAATGCAGAGGAAGATAATGAGCTGCTGTAGCTAATAGTAAGACAGGCGGCTGTCAAGTTCCAAGTTAACTTGCTGCTTTCTCTGCATTAATCTGTGCTCCAATATCAGTAACTGAATACCATTTTTTTTTTTTTCACTCAAAAGGCTGTGCACTACTCCACTCTGTCCTTGAGGCTGATTTCTAGCCCCTAAACTCTAACTCCATGTTTAGGAAATTAGTATCTGTGAAACAAAGAAAAAAAACGATTCTTCCTTATTACTAAAATCTCCACAAGTAGCCTACAGCTGTATTTTAGCTCAAGGCTATTATGAAGCCTGCAGTTCTTAATGATCTAACATCCCCTTTCTTAACTTTCGGTAGAATGCACACTTGGTACTCAACTCGCCGATGCTGGTTCTGTGTCATAGTTGCCAACTGTGACCTTCTCATTCTTGCCAAATCCTGAAATTGTTCCCATGTCTGTTTTAACCCAGTAACAGTTCCTGCCTGATTAAGCTTTCCAGATTTAACTACACCAGGCAGAACTAAAGCACTGCTTACATACCTATACTAACAAGTATATTTTAGTTTTTAAAATATATTTCTGCTTTTTGTTTGTTTTCTTTCTTGAGAAATAAAATGAATGTTTCATGCTTCCTTTCTATCAGCATGTAATGAAGTAGATAACATTATAAAATCATGTAGCAACAGAAAATATGTGTATTGCATAATAGGTGCTCAATACATATTTTTAAACTGATGAATGAATAAATAAATAAATAAATAAATAAATAAATAAATACCATTATGAAACTACCCCTATGCTAGCATGTCTTGTCTCTCGGTAAAATATTCCCAAATTATTTACTTATTTCTTCATCATGTACTTTGTCATGTTCTAATCATTATCTTTTCTGTGTTTTCTTTTTAGTATTCTATAAATTTACTTTCTACTTTCAAGTTGGAGTATATGTGTGCTAATGATGGCCTGATTCTCAAAAGATAATTATATTAGTTATAGACAATTATACTTTGTATTTAAATAATTAAATTTTGTTCTGTAAAATATTTTATCTAATTTTATTTACTTTAAAAATAACACTACATGGATGATAATCACATATAGGTAAATTTCAGTGGCCAGTATTATTTTATTTATCTCATATATCATTTATACAAATATTTATAATGTATATATCTGTATAAATATACATAATTTGTATAAATGTAACTAATTTATATAAACATGTCATTTAAATAAGCATATAGCTATATTTAATTTATATTTATATGGGTGCGTATATTCATATATAAGTAATTATATAAGTATACACAAAGCAGAAACTTCTAATAATGTATACCTTTTAAATATAAATAATAAACATTTATTGAATATTACATGCATAGTCATATGGCTTATAGAAGCAATGAAAGTAATGAAACTTTATATCCTACGACGTGGCACTATGAAAAATAATAAAAATAAATATTTAGTAAAATGTATTTCCATGCCTAAGTCTTAGAATACAAATTGCTGTTGAAATGTTCAGAACTAATTCCATAGCATAAATATAACAAAGTCATGTAAATTTAAATTTAAACACATTTCTGTGTTGTAAATTCCTTTTTTTTTTTTGAGACGGAGTCCCACTCTGTCTCCCAGGTTGGAGTGCAGTGGCGCGATCTTGGCTCACTGCAACCTCCGCCTCCCAGTAGCTGGGACTACAGGCGTGCGCCACCACACCCAGCTAATTTTTGTATTTTCAGTAGAGACGGGGTTTCACCATATTAGTCAGGCTGGTCTTGAACTCCTGACCTCGTGATCTGCCTGCCTCAGCCTGCCAAAGTTCTGGGATTACAGGCTTGAACCACTGCGCCCGGCCTCCTTGTTTGTAAATTCTAACACACATTCAAACCATAGAGTTTAGTGAAATAAACAAGGTAAAGTATCCAAAAATAGAGTGTTTTCCTTGTAGTTTTAAACTGTTACCTCTTTTTTTTTTTTGCTTTTCTAAATCACATAACAGCCTTTAATAAGGTTTATAAACCTTGTAAAACTAGTGATTTTATCTAGCATTTATTAAAATTATCTCTACACTTAAATGAAAGTTTTGTTTATTTGTAAGGTACAAGTATTCATGGTTAAACATGGTGTGGTTTTTGTACTAGCATTTTGATTAAATATAGTTAATAGTGATGCCAATTAGCTCATCTTAATATTAAATATCAGTATAAGCAGTTAAGTTTTTGTTTTGTATTTTGTTTTTGTTTTTTTTTAGCAATAAGCAACATGTTTCTGTGGAGTTTACATACCTTTATGGCAAAATTACTAAAGGACATTTCTACATTTCTTTTATCTTATGTTCTTATTTCCAAGAAAAAACAGTCTCTGGATATTAAACATTCATCATAAGAATATACATTTCCTTGTTTCAAATTAACTTGAAGTCATGCTCACTTTTTATGAGAGGTAGTATAAAAATGTAAGTTATTCTTACTATTTTATGATAGTTTATATTACAGAAGTTGGTTTTTTAAAATGATGATCATTTTTTTCTATTTCTTTTAGCTACTGAAAAAGGAACGAGGCCGACACCAGAGGGAGCCCAAGTTACCTAACCCTGTTCTCAAGAGCTAAAGTGACATCACCAGTCATCCTATTCATAAGTAGATTTAATATTCAGAGTCAGCCCAACACAGCTAAGAATGGAAGAAAGAAATGATTTACTGAAGTTTATAAAAAATAGGCTGCAACATATATTTTTCACTATTTAATACTGCAATTTCTTAAATTACTTTGAATGTTTTTATGCAAAGGCATGAGCAATTTCTAAAACTACTTGGAATCTTGAGTGAGAAAATGAATACAAGGTATACTGTGAATCCTTTAAGATCTGAACCTCAGTGTACTTGGAGCACATGGTCTATTTCCCTCCCCCATTTTAAAAAACATATTAGTTTACAGTATTCACAGTTTATCATTTTACTTTATTATTTTATAAATGACAAAGCCCTTCTGTAAGCCCCTTTTCCATTTCTTCCTCTTTACCAGCTAGACTTTATTTTTTCCCTAAAATTAATGCATGCAAAAAATATCTACAGCTAAGAAAATTCGCTTTTTCACTTGGACTTCAGCAATAACAAAATAGAGATGCCAACATTTCACCATACTCATGATTTAGTGATACAAGTTGTCTGTTTGAAACCAGCACATCAGGCAAAAGAAAGGGAGAGCTTGTGTTTGGTGGGGCTTACTGGCTGCAGTTCAAACATCTGGAGCTTCAGCCTTTGAACAACAAAAGGAATTTCTAAATTCCCTTTTTCAGCTTCTTAAAAGTGCTATTGATTGCATGTTTTTCAAATAATTCTAAAGCCAATTCATATAATCATATGAAAATTATGTTCTATTTGCCATTGGTATTTAATGCCCTTCCTTTTTCATATTTTGTCTTTGAATTTTTTTTAGTATATTCTGTCAAGGCAAATGGATAATGTGTTTCATAGTGATGGAAAAAAATAACTGTGGTTTATTTACAACCACTCCAGATATGAGACCCTCACAATTCCTTTTGAAAATCATTCTTTCAAATTCCCGAATACGTTTTAATTACTGTTGTTAAATCCTAATTTAAAAAATTTTGCAGGTGATTTTTAAACTTAATATTATTGGAATACACCTTTCAAGAATGAATTTTGTCCTTTTTCCTCCTAATTATAATACATATTTCTGACCCTTTTCATTAATTTATTTTTCCTTCTGTGCATTCTGTCCATTGATAAAGTTCATCTGCAGTGAGCCGAGATCACACCATTGCACTCCAGCCTGGGCAACAAGAGTGAAACTCCATCTCAAAAAAACAACAAACAACAACAACAACAATAACAAAGAGTAAGAAATCATCATATATACTGGTAATACCTATTAATCATGTGATTTTGATGACATTTCCTAGACCGTTTTTATTCTCAATTTCCTTGTTTGTAAATTCTAAAAATGTTACGTATCTCACGACACTGTTTTCTCAATGTAATGGATGGTTTATATGAAACATTTGGCATACTATATTTCATAATAGCCACTGAATAAATATAAGATATATGTAAAAAATTTTTACACATGAATACTCTAGTTGTACTGGAAATAGCGTTCATCTTTACAAATTTTCCCTCCAACATAGTGTATCGAACTTTTATCAGCAGTTAGATAGATAGATGACAGATTAGGTGATGGATAGATGGATAGATACATAGATGGGGCTATTTTATTGAGCTCATTGATATACCAAAGAAGATATTACAGATCAGTAAGAAATGTGTTTTACATGACCATTTCCTCGGTAGTAAGGGAATAAGAAGTATGTTTTTGTCAATTATTGAGATATTAAATCCATTTATACTCTGCTGCACACATCTGTGTTACCTTAAACCCTAACGAGTTGCTGTTTAGATGTGTAGCTACAGTCCACTTGCCATGTTCTACGCTTGCCTCGGCCTCCCACGGCCCTTCCCATGAAACAGTGCTGCCTGGATTCTGGGCCTTCTCTTTTCATTGTAATAAACACAGACCAAAACCAAAACTAAAAGCGTATCAATGATGTTTCCCTTTCTATTCTACTGACTTGGAGAAGGATAGAAAAGTCCAAACCTGGGATTTGAGATTTAGCAAACCACAGTGACATATATGGTTCTAGCACTGCTTTCCACTTTTAGCTCAGCAGCCAGTTTGGCATCTGAGCATTCCTTTCTCAGCTCGAAGTACATTTCCCAGTATATCCAGTCTAAATTCACAAGCATTTTATGATGACTTGTTTAGGGTTTAACACTGTATCCATAAAAATATTAACTGAATGCTCAAAAACATGTCACAGACTTGACAAAAAGAATTACTAGTTTCTGTTGGCAGCATATGTCTTAGTTTAATTTAAATACTTGATGAATAAATATGTATCATGAGTGTTGGAAACATAGCCAAAACGAAATACTGTCATCCTCTTAAATATTAGCTGGAAAAAGTCTGAAGCACAGAGCGACTATGCAATACATACAGAAAATTACTGATAATAGTTGCAGTGTGCTGAAGAATATCATATTTATTTACCATAATTTGGATGCAAGAAAGCAGCAATAAAAAGTATGCCTTTTATTTTTGAAATGAATTATCGTTTTCTTATATTAACCAGAGTGCATGCTTAAAGAAACAGAAAACAGTTTCAAAAGCCTGTGAGCTGCCTGTATCAAGCAGTGAGGGTCACCATAATTTGAACATTATTTTGATAATAACCTATTTTTAAAATCTCATTGCAAATGGTATTTGTACACTGTAACCACTTTTCAAAATATGTGACAAACTCCTAGTGATGAGAAGTTTCTGTGTCTTCATGGTATTCGAATGGTACATTTGTTACATACTGATTTAGAGATGTGGCATTCAATTATAGCAAAGGGACGGGTCTGTCCAATTCCCCACACCCAGGCTGTGCTAGGACATGTCCCCTTCAGGCTTCTGTACTCTCGATCATCCAGACAGAAAAGGTGGTTGCCATGGGCAGAAAAACATTAGGGGAAGCATGCTTGGCTAGTGACTGCTGATTGCATAAGCCACTGCAGTCCGTAAAAATTGGGTTTCTGTGTTTTCTTTCATAATGAAGATCCTAGAACTATTTATGCCTGGATAACTGGAAAAGGCCTGATTTTGAAATAGATCCCCTTCACTCCCAATCTTGCAAGAGTTTAGCCAGCTTCTCACATGTGGGGGGAAGAGCACACCAAAAAAACTCTCATTGTCATTAACACTGAATTAATTGCAGCATTAACACTGTGAAGTCATGATATAGAAACTAAATGTAGCTTTTTGTTCTCTCTTCGATTTTTCTGTGGCATTTATTATGCATTCCAAAATGCCTACACAAAATGGTGTGTCAGGAAATAGCTAATTAATCTCTCCATGTAATAGATCATATTCCTTTTCAATTGTTTTGACTGATAAGCAATTAATCCAAAATTCAGTATTCAGTAAAAGTGTGTTTAGCAAAAGGGATAGAATGTAGCCACAAGATAGGTAATCCAAAGTGATTAATAATATAAAAATCTTTATTGCTAAAATAAATTTAGCTTCACATTTGCAAATTGAAAAAATTAATCTAGCATAGTTTCTTTTCTTTATTTGTACTTTTCAAGTGGAGCTATTTTCAATAACTATTGTATGTTTCCTACATATTATGAAATTTTATACCACATTTTATGTGGTACATAATACACATTTATCTTTGTGTATTTATGTGTATTATGTGGTACATAATACACATAAATACACATTAATCTTTGTGAAATAGTTTCCAATATCAGAAACTTCTTCAGTCATTTTCTGTCCCTCCTATCCCAGCAAGAAAGCCACAGCTAATATTTCTTAAGTATTTCTATATCTCAGTATGTAACAATTCTAATTCAGAAGAAAAGATACATATACATATAAAACTAAACTTAAAAAAGGATAATGAAGGTGTACCAAATACAATCTAGACCAATTGTTAGAAAATGTCAATATTTTGGTTAGTTTAGTTAGGTCAGTTGTTTAGTGGCGTTGATGGGAATTTGAAACCATATTAAATATTCATCTCCAGGTGCTTTATGTCATAGACATATTTGGAATAGGTAGATAATAGTAAAGATAAGTCTAAAATCTTCCAATACTAGTTACTGAATATTATCTGCTTTCTATTGAAGTATTTTTTTTTACCCTAAAATGATGGGCACAGATGTAGACATTTGATGGAACATCTAATATAAATGGTGTTTTCCTGAGGTGTTTTATCCTACAACCTAGTTATTGAAGCTGGTTATGAATGGGCATTTTACATGTCTGAAAAATACAGAGTTGTAGAAACAAGATCTGCATTTATATGAGAATGTAATGGAAGCAGAATAACTGATGAGTGAACTTAAGGGTAAATATTTATACTTAAATATATATATATGTGTGTGTGTATATATGTCAGTGGTTTAGAAAACATCAGAACGAGTGATATAAACATAAAAAACTAAAGAGTTTAAACAATAAAATTGAGTTTGACACAGCAATCTTTATATATAAAACTCTATACAAATGAAGCATGCTAATCTCAAAGTCTGAAAAATGGAGTTTATATGCTTTATTATTATTATTATTAGTTTTATTATTTCTGTATCTTTTTATGATTATAGTTTTCATACCCAAAGCTCTCACTTCTTTGGCATGCAAACTAATATGGTGATAATTATACACATTTCCTAAATGTTTATTTCTCATGGAAATAAGAAAATCTTAGTTGTTTTTAAATTGCTCAGATACCAGAAGAAAAAATATAAAGCAAATTTAGGTATATGAGACCATAACTGCTCAAGATATGTTTGAATTAAGTGGTAAATTACCAGCAAAATTAAAAAGTAAAGAAATTGAACTTTATCACAACCACATGGCAACTCATAGAAAAATAATAAGGTGAATAAGCCAAAAGGAGAAAAGAGCATGTGGGTTGCAAGAAATAAAGTAAAAATGAAAACATTTCATTTTGGAAGTAAAGTAAAAATGAAAACATTTCATTCAGAAGCAAGTATGTGGCCATGAGTTATGAATGCTACCTAGGAAATAGACTAAATTCAAAAGAGCAGCAGCATATAAGTAAATATAAAAGCAAAAAAAGTTAAGTAATGAGACTATTTTAAGAACAGTTGAGATTCATTAAAATATCAAATTTGAAAACTCAAAAAAAGTGCATAGAACAATGAAAATTGTTAAGGGCAGACATGAAGACATTTTTAATAAAAATCAACCAAGATTAAAGGAATCTTTAATACAAAAGTCTATTTCTCCCCTGTGTGAGAAAGTTTACGTGTGAGTTTCAAATGGATAACAGGATTGCAAATAAAGACTGTTAGTTTAATTCATAGTATTAAAGTCTACTTCCTAACAGTGTGGACACAGATCTCATGGGAAACACAAAATACACTGGACATTATTTGTTAAAAATGCAGTATTACATTGGGTATCAAATAATCGCTGTAATGGATATTTTGATAGACCCCTTGGGACCATCCTCTGGTTATTAATCTTGTGTAGATCTCAAAGGTCCCATGCCTATGGGATCACCAGGTCATGTTATTACAGATTCATTCCAGGTCATCACAGTGCTCAGAAAAATGTCATTAAAGATTAATCCATAATGACACTCAAGTGTTTAATATTTTATTTGGGAAATGTTTTCACAGTGGGAAACAGTATAAACTCCCTTTCTGTTTTTTTTTTTTTTCTTTGACAATGAGTTTGGGGATCCTTCAGTGTTTCAAAGGCAGATGCTAAAGCAAATGTCTTTCTGAACAATGTTCTACGTCTGACAGTTGAGCAGGTCCTTTTTCACCATCTTGTAAAAAGAATGGAGGATGAGGGTGGACTGAACTCCCTTAGATTATTTAGAGGTTTCACTATTCCATTGTTATTTAGGCAGAAAAAACGTATGTTTTCCAAGCTCAGTTTATTTAGCAAATATCCTTCAGTTTCATCCACGTTGGGGCAAATGGCTGGATTTCCTTCTTTTTAAAAACTGAATAATATTCCATTTTATGTATATACCACATTTTTTAAAAATCCATTTATCTGCAGATGGACAGTTGGTTTGTTTCTAAATCTTGGCTATTGTGAAAAGTTCTGGAATGAATATGGAAGTGCAGATTATCTCTTTCAGTCCAAATCTTAATTCTTTCAGATAGATACCTAGAAGTGGGATTGCTGGAATACATAGTCATTTTATTTTAAATATTTTGAGGAATTTTCATACTGTTTTCATAGCAACTGCACCATTTTACATTCCCATCACCAACGTTCTACAAGAGTTCCAATTTCTCTGTTACCTCACCTTGCCCACACTTAATATTGCTTGATTCTACTTATATGTGATATTTAAAATAGTCAAACTCATTGAAGCAACAGCAGTTGCAGGGGCTGGCAAGTGGGAAAAATGAGGGGTTATTATTCAAAGGGTATAAAGTCTTAGTTATGCTGGACAAATGAGTTTTAGAGATCTGCTGCATAAACAGCACTTATAGTTAACAGTTTGGTACTATGCACGTCGTAATTTGTTAGGAAATTAGATCTCATATTAAGTGTTCTTAACACACACACACCCAAGCAAAGAGATAAAAGGAAACATTGGGAGGTTTGTGTATGTCTGTTACCTTGACTGTGGTAATGATATCATGGGTGTTTACATATGTTCAAACTCATCAAATTGTACACATTGATAGGTTTGGTTCCTTGTGTACCAATTATACCTCCAAGCTGGAGTGCAGTAGCATGATCACAGCTCACTGTAAACTTGAACTCCTGAGGTCAAGAGATTCTCCTGCCTCATCTTCCCAAAGTGCTGGGATTACAGATGTGAGCCACATCACCCAGCCAAAACTTTTTTTTAAAGCTCAATTTTAAAGCATTAGAAGTGAAGAGATTTCAGAAATTTGTCATTTCCCTCTTCAGAAAGATTTGGTAGCAATAGGAATTGATCAGTGTCTCTGTTACTTTTTATTATTCATAATAAACATTTTGGCAGTTTATTACAGAGTGTGTTTTTTAATTATAGTGAGTGTATTACATATCATGATTGTCAAATAGCTATTCAAACATTTTTAAATTTTAATTTTGTCCATCTTCATATCAACTACTCACCTAAGTGTAATGGGGAGAGAGATTAAAAGGTGTCCTTTCATAGGAGTCTGTAAAATGCTATCTTCTCCTTCATGTCCCTGAAGCAGATGAGATTTACAAAATAAGTAAGTAAATGAAATATCTAATTCATAGAGCAAAGAGTTTTTCAAGCTTTACCTTGTGCTTTACATGGATTACTTATTCAATTGTCATAACAAATTTATAAAGCAGGTATTATTTTAATTCTCATTTTACATATGAGAAATCTGTCTTATAAATATTAAATGTTTTGCCAAGGGTCACACAGATATAAATTATAGACGAAAGATTCTGTCTATACTCTTCACTATAATTCCATGGTGTATACTAATAAAAGTAATAGGTTTTCATAACAGATGAATGTATGTATCAGACCCTCATTGATCCAAGAATCAGATCTAATAATGTCACGTGAAGTGGACATATATCAGTGAAGTGATTTAACAATTCCTATTGACAAGAAATATTTTTGAACCATGTAAAATATTTGTAATTATATTCACACAATTCATAGCTTTTCCCTTTTTCTTCTACACTAAAGACATATTTGAATGTTTTATGTAACTTGAAGTATTTTCAAATCAAAGCAAACTTTTACAAATCAAAACTTTGCAATTAACAAGGAACAACGAGTATGTTGTAATAAGGAAATAATCATGATGCTAAACTGTGTACCACTTAAAAATATAATAGCTGCAAATGAAGAGAAGTCTTACATATATGAAGACACAGACTTCAGGTCACCATTTGTTTTAGCCCTTCTGTCTTCCCACCTCTATCCCCAACTCCTACCCTCTGTACCTTTAGTTCCGTACTGTACTGCCTAGGCACCTGGGCCCCAGCTTCTCCTCCACAGCTCCATAGGCCTCTTATTTATAAAGGGTAGAGTCAAGTGTTGCAACTAGCTGCTGAAAAAGATGCAAGCATTGTGCAAGTTCTTAGCCACAGGCACACACTGTCGTATGCATCACCTGCAAGGTCCGTGGGATGCAACCTCAGATTTTGCTTCTTTTGAGTCACTCTGATTCCCAAAGTAGATTGCTTGTTATTAGTGGTGACCAGCCTATCATCTTTGCCTGCCCCTAGGCTCTACCAGGGTGTCCTGTAGATTCTGGGTACCAATTTCTCATGGCCCTCCTGTTTGCCTATTTGGAACACATCAGGATGCCATAGCATATGATTTATAAAGCTCTTACCTTGAGCATTTTCTAGACTCGCATTGTGGACATGAATTCTGTTCATGAAAAAATAAAATAAAATAAAACTTATAGGCTGTTTTATACCTTATTTGGACCTAAAAACTTACAATAAATTTAATTCACTCTATATTAGTAGTTGTTTTGATTAATACCCATATGCCTGTAATTGAAAGTTACTATTATTATCAAATATTGCTCTTTAATTTATAAAAACTGTAGAACAACTTTTTAATTTATAAAAACTGTTTTTTATATTTTTTTGAATAACCTACAGCTTACCTTTCTGAGTCATCTGATTCTAGTTTTTCGCGTCTTTGAGCTCTTTTATAACTAATTTGTACACAGCCAGTTAACATGCAAATTCTGCTGATTCTAGTTGAGGTTCGAATTTTCTCTTCCACTTTGTGGAAAACTCAACTTTGCCTTTATGTACAAATTCATTTCAATATTCCCAATCTATAAATGTTTCTACCTTTTGGTTGCTCTTTTGAACCAAATATAAGTGTTTAAGTTAACCAAAATATAAGAGTGATGTCTTCATTAAATTGAATAACATTTTTAACACGGGTTCATTTTACGTATTTTTTTCTGAAAATTATTTTGACTTTTTTTGAAAATCATCTTTTAACAAAACTGAAGACCTCCTTTACTACTGTCTTGTAACCCATATAAAAAGTGTAAATCTCAATGAGATAATGCACGTGAAACCGTGTTATCCACTCTGAAGCCCTTTGCCAACAAAACATAGAGTTATTCCAATAACAAATTCAAGAGATATGAGAAACACATTATTTGAGAAAAATCTAGTATTTTCAATTAGAAAGAAATTGAAAGCTTTATTTTCTGTCAGAATTTAGGTACACTGAAAATAACAGGAAATGCTGATCAGAGTTGAGAACACAGATCATTCAGAGAGTGATAAATCGTTTAAAGAAAGTCAGCCTGAATCACAGGAAGACGGGCACATCTGACAAACCTGATAGTGCTTTGCTTGATAAAATAATACAGTTGTCAGAGAAAATTGGGGACATAATTTTCCTACAGTACGAATCGTTTCCTAAATGACCAGATTGAAAACTAAATCTACAAGGTCAACCGTTATGGAGAGAAGTGAAAGACAGCTACTTGGATAAAGAACTGTCTTGAAGAATGAAGACAAATGATAACATGAGAAGAAAAACCTCAGTGTGGATAGAGGTGACAAGGGCGATGCATCACCTACCCACATAATTTCCAATTGCAGAAAGTTAAGATGCCAGTGATGTGAAAGCAGAACACTCAACAAACCCAGCAAGTGTTCTTATGAAAACAATTTGAGTTTAAAGTTAGCAATTCATCCAACGATTAAGGTCACTATTTTTCAAGGATTTGTTAAAACTATGTTGAACGATGATTTCAATAGGCTAGTGACTTAAGTGTTATTCATTGTAATAACACTAGGATAACTAGACACTGACAAGACAGGAGAAAAATACATTCAGTCCTCCAAGGTTGTAACACATTAAACATAAAAAAGAAAAAAATATTTTACATATGTAATGTGTGTGTGTGCGCGCATACAGACAACAGGATAATCGCTATGCCTTTTCTACTGCCCTTTACTTTTTCACCTAAACCAGGAGAACGGAAAGCATGTCATCATCTCAAATATCAAGAAAAATTTGCCTAGCTATTTTAGCAGGCCAGGACATACTAATAAAAATAGTGCTGAAATCTTCATAAATGTGGCAATGAGCAGCCAGATTGAAATTACTGTACAACCTCAGTGTCTTGCATTTTGAAAAGAGAATTTCTAAGTATGAAAGTGTCTTTAGGTAGTTAGATATAAGCTACATCAAGCAGTTTAATAATGGAGCAGATACTAGGTTTAGATAAAATGCTGAAACTAATAAAGAAAAATCTCAAGTAAAGAAGGATGTTTTAGGTCATTAAATCAATTTTAGTAAGAATAATACATAATCCTTTTACATTAGTTTAAATTATTTTGTTTTTCTAACCATAAGCTTAATGCACAAACAGTATGAAAATGTAGCAAATCACATAGAAGAAAAGCACTTTTATAGAATGAATATTTGATCCTTATACTGTCATGTATGTGATATTAGTTTCATTGTTTTTATTTTTTTCATGCCATCTTAAGGGCATTTCGTTTTCATTTTTTCTTTTTCACTTTAAGTTCTGGGATACATGTGCAGAACGTGCAGGTTTGTTGCATAGGTATACATGTGCCATGGTGGTTTGCTGCACCTATGAACCTGTCATCTAGGTTTTAAACCCCATATGCATTAGGTATTTGTCCTAATGCTCTCCCTCCCCTGACCCCACCCACTGACAGGCCCCGGTGTGTAATGTTCCCCTCCCTGTGTCCATGTGTTCTCATTGTTCAACACTCACTTATGAGTGAGAACATGCGGTGTTTGGTTTTCTGTTCCTGTGTTTGCTGGGAATGATGGCTTCCAGCTTCATCCATGTCCCTGCAAAGGAAATGAACTCATACTTTTTTATGGCTGCATAGTATTCCATGGTATATATGTGCCACATTTTCTTTATCCAGGCTATCATTGATGAGCATTTGGGTTGGTTCCAAACCTTTGCTATTGTAAATAGTGCTTCAATAAACATAGATGTGCATATGTCTTTATAGTAGAATGATTTATAATCCTTTGGGCATATACCCAGTAATGGGATTGCTGGGTGAATGGTATTTCTGGTTCTAGATCCTTGAGGAATTGCCATACTGTCTTCGAAAATGGTTGAACTAATTACACTCCCACCAACAATGTAAAAGCATTTCTATTTCTCCCCAGCCTCACCAGCATCTGTTGTTTCCTGACTTTTTAATAAGTGCCATTTTAAATGGTGTGAGATATTATCTCATTGTAGTTTTGATTTGTATTTCTTTAATGACCAGTGATGATGAGCTTTTTTTCAGATGTTTGTTGTCCTCATAAATGCCTTCTTTTGAGAGGTGTCTGTTCATATCCTTCATACAATTTTGGATGTGGTTGTTTTTTCTTGTAAATTTGTTTAAGTTCCTTGTAGATTCTGGATATTAGACCTTTGTCAAATGGGTAGCTTGCAAAAATTTTCTCCCATTCTATAGGTTGCCTGTTCATTCTGATGATTCTGATGATAGTTTCTTTCTCTTTTTTTTTTGAGACAGAGTCTTGGTCTGTCGCCCAGGCTGGAGTGCAGTGGTGCAATCTCGGCTCACTGCAACCTCTGCCTCCCGGGTTCAAGCAATTCTCCTGCCTCAGCCTCCTGAGTAGCTGGGATTACAGGCGCCCACCACCATGACCAGCTAATTTTTTTGTATTTTTAGTAGAGACGGGGTTTCACCTTGTTGGTCAGGCTTGTCTTGAACCCCTGACCTTGTGATCCACCCACCTCAGCCTCCCAAAGTGCTGGGATTATAGGTGTGAGCCACCATGCCTGGCCTGATGATAGTTTCTTTTGCTGTGCAGAAGCTCTTTAGTGTGATTAGATCCCACTGGTCAATTTTGGCTTTTGTTGCCATTGCTTTTGGTGTTTTAGTTATGAAGTCTTTGCCCATGCCTATGTCCTGAAAGGTATTGCCTACGTTTTCTTCTAGGGTTTTTATGGCTTTAGGTCTTATGTTTAAATCTTTAATCCATCTTGAGTTAATTTTGTATAAGGTGTTAAGGAAGGGATCCAGTTTCTGTTTTCTGCATATGGCTAGCCAGTTTTTCCAACCCCATTTATTAAATAGGGACTCCTTTCCCCATTGCTTGCTTTTGTCAGGTTTGTTGAAGATCAGATGGTTGAAGATGTAAATGTTATTTCTGAGGTCTCTATTTTGTTCCATTGGTCTATATATCTGTTTTGGTACCAGTACCTTGCTGTTTTGGTTACTGTAGCCTTGTAGTATAGTTTGAAGTCAGGTAGCATGATGCCTCCAGCTTTGGTCTTTTTGTTTAGGATTGTCTTGGCTATACAGGCTCTTTTTTCATTTCATATGAAATTTAAAGTAGTTTTTTACCATTCTGCAAAGAAAGTCACTGGCAGCTTGACGCGAATAACATTGAATATACAAATTATTTTGGGGAGTATGGCCATTTTCACAGTATTGATTCTTCCTATCCATGAGCATGGAATGTTTTTCCTTTGTTTCTGTCTGCTCTTATTTCCTTGAGCAGTGGTTTATAGTTCTCCTTGAAAAGGTCCTTCACATCATGCCTTGTCAGTTGGATTCCTAGGTATTTTATTTTCTTTGTAGCAATTGTGAATGAGAGTTCACTCATGATTTGGCTCTCTGTTTTTCTAATATTGGTGTATAGGAATGCTTGTGATTTTTGCACATTGATTTTGTATCCTGAGACTTTGCTGAAGTTGTTTATCAGCTTAGGGAGTTTTGGGGATGAGACAATTGGTTTTTCTAAATATACAATGATGTCATCTGCAAACAGAGACAATTTGACTTCCTCTCTTCCTATTTGAATACTCTTTATTTCTTTCTGTTGCCTGATTGCCCTGGCCAGAAATTCCAATACTATGTTGAATAGGAGTTGTGAGAGAGGGCATCCTTATCTGGTGCTGATTTTCAAAAGGAATGCTTCCAGCTTTTGCCCATTCAGTATGATATTGCCAATGGGTTTGTCATAAATAGCTCTTATTATTCTGAGATATGTTCCATAAATACCTAGTTTATTGAGAGTTTTCAGCATGAAGTGATGTTGAATTTTATCAAAGGCCTTTTCTGCATCTATTGAGATAATCATGTGGTTTTTGTCATTGGTTCTGTTTATGTGATGGATTACATTTATTGGTTTTTTTTGTTTGTTTTAAAAATTAAAGAGACAGAAGTGTTTATTAAGTGACAGTATTGTCCTAACCACTTCTCTAGATATTTTTTTAACAAAAGCCATAGATTTTTAGAAAATTTTATTAGTATCCCAGGTATACAACACATACTTTATTTCATGCGCATAAAGATGAATGGAGGTTATTGGATTTATATATCATAATATCACTACGTCCCACTTTTCTCTTCCTTTTCTCCACCACAATGCACAATGTATAGTATTAATGAATGAGTAGAAATTTAAATGATAAAAATTTTAAAACTGTTTCTATACTAGAATATTAGAATCTACCACCTGATTACTAAATGAAAGTGATGTATGTTTTTTTCTAACAAGACCACCACTATCTAATAGAGCTTTCTGCAGTGACAGAACTGTTCTATAATTGATCCTCTCCAATACAGTAGCCACTAGCCATATATAGCTATTGAGTGCTTGAGATGTCATTTGTGCAACTGAGAAATTGATTTTTACATTTTATTTAATTTTCAATAATTTAATTTAATAATCACACATAACTACTAACATATTGGACAACGTATACATAGGCCATTTTTCCACTAGGTAAAATATATTTTACTTGTATTTGAATAAATCTATCTACATGGAGATGATACTTTATGACTCCTCAGAAATGATCAGATCCTTAATATCTATGATCTCTGCTGGGCACTGTGGCTCATGCCTGTAATCCCAGTACTTTGGGAGGCCTAGGTGAGTGGATCACTTGAGGTCAGAAGTTTGAGACCATCCTGGCCAACTTGGTGAAATCCTGTCTCTACTAAAAATACAAAAATTAGCCAGGCACAATTCCAGGTACACAGGAGGGTGAGGCAAGAGAGTAACATACAAATCATCAAACTTGTATATATGTAATTCCTTTAAAATGACAAAGACTCTATAAAGCTTTTATAATGTTTTATACTCCTTTAATGAAACCTATATAAGTGAAAAAGGAACAGGTAACCTAAACCTAAAAGAATGTAGTAAATATCAGAAAGAAAAGGCTGTCACTGAGGTTGTTAATTTTAAAGTATTTTGAAAGCTTGTTATCAACATTCCTTCTACAGCCCAGTTCAACAGAAATTCACTGAGCACTTATGGATGCAGTTACATTTGGTTTCAGGTGGACATACAAGTGTTAACAGGAAATTGTTCTTTTCAAGCATGTGTCCTGGGAAATGTGCTTTAATCACTCTTCTTGTTTCATTTCTAACTCATTTTTGTTGGTATTTTTAGTATCCCTTCAGATTCTGGCAATAAATATGGGATTAGGTTGCTCAAAAAAGTTAGAGTTTCTCTCAGGGTATTCACAGAACATGGAAGGGTCATGTCTACACAAAATTATAATGAAAATGCCAACTTATGTTTGTTGGAGAATTAGAACTTTTACATATTAAATCTGTTTGATACTCATTACTTAGTGAGTTTGTAAAGCGTTAACTGATGATAAACTGAGACATTAAGTCATTAATTGATGCTCGACCTAGCAAGGACTTGAACCACAGTGTCCTGATTTTAAATTTAAGATTTATTCCACTGCACCAAAAATCTAGTTAAGCCAAAAGTAACATCACCTTCAGTACACTAGAGGGGCTGTATTTAAGTGATGTTGAATTATTACACTGTGATCTGAGAGACACCCGAAAATACTCAGATAAACTGTGCCATGTGAAAATAAACTCTATATACTAACGGTTCAAATAGAAAATACATTTTAAAAATCAGTGAAGATTAGTTTTATGGCTCGGCTGGGAGGTTCTAACATTTATAAGTCCCCACAGACTTGCTTTAAAATGTTGCCTCTAAATATAATATACAAATCACGACACAGGTGCTTTAAGCCTGACTTGTTAAATGGTTTCAAGATGGTGCATCTTATTCATAATAAATCACATGAATATTTGCAATAAAATTATTTCAGTAAATTAAATTAAAGTCTAGGGCCCTAATATTCTAGTTTATGGGTTCAAGGAAAACTCTAAATGTGGAAGGAAATCATTATTAGGACTGGAAGTCAGAGAAATGATAATCGTCTCTGAATCTGAGCTCTTGTTTGGTTCTCGCAAATCATGGGAAATTGACAAAGAGCTCCATTATTCAAAGCATATTCTTTAATAGAATAATGTCTAGTTTGTTTATTCAATATTTGCATGAACATAAACAAAAATGTGTTAATTATAATAACCAAGGAGTGATAACAATTTGAATGGTTTTATTTACTTTAGGATGTCTCTGCTCCCTTAACACACTAAATGCACGTAGTGGAGAGGAATACTTGAGTTTTCTAAATATTTTAGAATCCAAAGCCACTCTTGTTGCTTTCCATTAAGGCTTTCATAGGACCTGCTTTTATTTGGAACATAGTTTGAGAAATGACTGATACTGTATTATTTCAGTCTATACTTCTTGAACTTGGATTGTTGTTTTAGCACCGAGAGCAGTGAGTGGCTGGTTTAGTGGCTTTTGCTATTAGTGTCATGATGGAGCAGGAGAAAAAAGACAACATACTGTTGGACATTTGGGTTGGTTCCAAGTCTTTGCTATTGTGAATTGTGCCGCAATAAACATTCGTGTGCATGTGTCTTTATAGCAGCATGATTTATAGTCCTTTGGGTATATACCCAGTAATGGGATGGCTGGGTCAAATGGTATTTCTAGTTCTAGATCCCTGAGGAATCGCCACACTGTCTTCCACAATGGTTGAACTAGTTTACAGTCCCACCAGCAGTGTAAAAGTGTTCCTATTTCTCCACATCCCCTCCAGCACCTGTTGTTTCCTGACTTTTTAATGATTGCCATTCTAACTGGTGTGAGATGGTATCTCATTGTGGTTTTGATTTGCATTTCTCTGATGGCCAGTGATGGTGAGCATTTTTTCATGTGTTTTTTGGCTGCATAAATGTCTTCTTTTGAGAAGTGTCTGTTCATGTCCTTCGCCCACTTTTTGATGGGGTTGTTTGTTTTTTTCTTGTAAATTTGTTTGAGTTCATTGTAGGTTCTGGATATTAGCCCTTCGTCAGATAAGTAGGTTGCGAAAATTTTCTCCCATTTTGTGGGTTGCCTGTTCACTCTGATGGTAGTTTCTTTTGCTGTGCAGAAGCTCTTTAGTTTAATTAGATCCCATTTGTCAATTTCAGCTTTTGTTGCCATTGCTTTTGGTGTTTTAGGCATGAAGTCCTTGCCCATGCCAAAAAAAAAAAAAAAAAGGACAACATATTAAGGGATCTGAGTTATAGATCTAGCTCTGCTATTACCTACTATTATCACTTTGTGCAAGCAACTTAAACTCTAAACATCAGTTTGATCATCCATAAAATACAGGTGGAATTTGTTGATAGTAAATTTATTTTCTCCAGGGCTTAGTATCTGACACTTTTATACTCATTTTTGAAATTTTTCTTTGACTGAGGCATAACCCCTAATTTTACTTTGAAAACTATTTTTATTAACTCCTCTTACTTCTTCTTCCCTATGTTTTTAGTTCTTTGCACACCCCCTACAGTGTAAAATAAAGGTAATTAAATCCTTTTCATTCTTCTTTTTATCACTATTCTAGTCTTTTTAAAAATTGGGAAAACATATTCTAGCAACAAACTGATCTTTAATTTCAAAATTCTGTCGTAAAGGGTTAAAGGATGTCTTGCTACTTAGAGGCTTAAACTGATGTCTTCTCAAATTAATTGGAAAATGTGTCATTCATTAAATAACAAAACTAGATTCTAGGTCTTTGAATATGAAAAGCTTTACTGCAAAACATTTATCTAAAAAATTTAAGTGTCTCTCTTACCATATTTTATACCACTTCATTACAATTTCTACACCATATAACATAGGTATAACAAGTTTTCTGTGATTAAAATATAAGACAAGGAGGTTAATGATGAATACATTATTCATTAACCAGTTCTTGTTTTTAGGTATCATGCTAGGGACAATGCATTGAACATCTCCTTCCTCACAACAAACTCGTATGTCATGTCCTGTATTTTGGTTTCACAGATGAGAAAACAAAAGTCAGATCTTTCTCTATAACACTTATCTAATAATTGTAGAATGAGGTTTCAAACAAGGTCTTCCTAAAGTCTACAAACTTTAAATAGAGAATTTTATATTATACTAAGTTATATTATATAAGGACAAGAAGAGATTAAATTAGAGGGAGAGAGACACAGAGAGAGAGAGAGATTGGAATTGTAATGAACTTTAATACTCAGGAAAATAATGTCAGAGTTACTGACTGAAGGAAGAACCCCACATATGTGGGTGAGTCTCTCCAGAAGTGACATCAGAAAGATACTTTTGTTAAACTGATTTCTATATGAAATAGCTTATCCCAGAAGAGACATAAGTGATAACTCTAGATTGGAGAAACGAAGCCCCAGTCCCCATATTATACTCTGAATTTCTATGTCACGTCAAAATAAAAGCAGCAGCTTAATTTGTGGTTTTCAGTTCATGCATACACAATTATAGTTCTCAGTAAAGATTTTTAAAAGTCCTAAATTACAAAATATATTACACAATGAGCAGACCAATAACCATCTTTACTTGATTATTCACTTGCAAAACAAACAAGCAGAAGAAACAAGGCCATTGTGATTAGGCAAATGCTACAATTATGGACTCTTAAAAGTCTTTAAAAATAATAAGTTCAATATCCTTATACTACATTTTTCTTCTTGTCCCTGTTTTATTAGAATAAAGGAAGACAGAAAACTCATATGTTTCCTTGGACAACTTTGAATTCTCAAGCATAAAGGAACCTTTACATGTCTGTAAACATTTGTAAACTTACAGGATAACAAACTACCTCTTCATCTATTATAAAGCACAGTTTCCTTGTAATACATTCAGATGTCTCTAAAAGCTTAAGTACAGCGAGACCTCTTGTGCCAAAAGATGCAAACTTTCATTTTTTATTGTTTGTAAAAGTTAGGTAATCATATATATATGTGTGTATATATATGTATATATATGTGTGTGTGTATATATATGTGTATATGTATATGCACGTGTGTGTATATATATATTTATTTGTTTGTTTGTCTGTCTGTTTTTGAGATGGAGTTTTGCTCTTGTCACCCAGGCTGGAGTGCAATGGCGCGATCTGGGCTCACTGCACCCTCTGCCTCCCAGTTTCAAGCGATTTTCCTGCCTCAGCCTCCCTGGTAGCTGCGATTACAGGCGCCCACCACCATGCCTGGCTAAGTTTTATATTATTGGTAGAGAAGGGGTTTCACCATGTTGGCCAGGCTGGTCTCAAACTCCTGACCTCAGGTGATCCGCCCACCTTGGCCTCCCAAAGTGCTGAGATTAAGGTGTGAGCCAGTGCACCCGGCCCAGATTTTTTTTTCTCCAAAACAATAAAAAAATCCCATATATGAGAAAGACATCCAGAATTGGATGCTGCAAATTCCACCCTGAGGTTCCAATCAGAGATTCATTGAAATGGAAGGAATTGGAATTGTACTGTTATAGAAAGACAAGTGTTATTTTTCAATTTTTAATTTTTCTGGGGAAGATCAAAACATCCTGCCCAAAACTGAATGAAATTTAGAACAAACAAGCATAATTCGTCTAGGCTGAAAATTAAGACAATTGGTGAACTGAGGCCTCGGGATAAAAGTAATTAAACATATGCAGAATTTCCTACACCTTATAAATAGTGTTTATGTCACAGATTTATGTGATGGAAATAATTTCTCTTGCTAATATGTAGCCTGTCCTAATGTCTTTATCATGAGAATAACAATCAAATGCTACCTTTGTAGCTTTACCTAAAGCAATAGGGCCGAAATTTTTCTTTTTCTTGTTTTTTGATGACATCTGTTAGCATTTACCTGCTATTCTTTATATTGTGAACATAGGGAAGAACATTGTAGTGGGAAATAATGAAAAAAGTTGGGGAGATCTTTACCAGGATATGTAATAATATTCTAGTAAAAATACCCCCTTTAAGATAGTAGTTACTTTCATAGTTATTTTAAAAAACAATGTAAGTTATAGTCTTATAAAATGTAATATTTGGCCATTTCAGTGGTACGTTATGGATTCAAATATAGTATTTGGTCATGTCAGTGGAATGCTATGAATTTTAATTCTCATTTTGACTAATAATTCATATTTATATCTTAGATAAGTTATGAAAAACTTGTGCCAATACTTGCAGAGCAAAACTAAATAAAGTTTTTGAAACATGACAATTTATTAATGTTGAAAGAAACAGGCTTTACATCTAAATATTTTGCTAAAATTTGCATCCTCTTTAAAGTCCTTGTGGTCTTTTCTAACTTAATGTGTTTGGTTTAATATCTTCAGTTAAATATACAATAAATGTCCTGTAAAAGCAAATTTAATTCTTTCACAGTCAATACAACTTTCAGTTTTTTTGCTATATCATATTGTTTATTATTTTTCCATGGGAAGCCATTTTTAATTTGTAATTGGAAAGAAATAAATGCTTTAATTCACTTGCTTTCATATGCCAATTACAGATATTATCATACTTTAACCTCAACTTACAAAAGATGCAAAGTGCACACAATTTTATTTTAAAAAATTACAGGAATTTTGTGTTATCTGAATGTATTAGGCAATTTTTCTATAGATCTATAATAAGTACAAAAGACATAATTGGCACAGTCAGGGACAGGAGTTCAGAGATAAAATTAGTACCTGACACAGAAATGCAGTTGTATTCAAGTTTTAATCTAAGATAGCATTTAGAATTTTGAGTCATTTTTACCCTAATTTGCTGAAAACGCAGCTTGAAATCTTAGTATGGTTGATATTGTGAGATCCTAAAATTATTTTGTAATTTATTACAAAATATTTTGTAAATTATTAGTAAGTAGTTCTTGTTTTGCAACCACATTTTCATTTTAAAGGAAATCTTTTAAATATTATTAAACGCAAAAATGTAAAACTAAAATGATAAGAGGCCGGTTATTCAATATTAAATTTTAGAAAACAAGCATCTACCACCACGATCACCACCACAGCTATTAGAGGGAATGTCCCCTTTGCCACTATTCTGGGTTGGAAAATTTTGGAATTCCCATTCTAGATAAATTCAGGATGATTAGTAATTTTGACACAGTACATTATATCATTGATTGATAAGATATATGCAATTAGAAATTTACAAAATTCAATTAAAGTAGATACTGCACATGAATTATTTTTAGGAAAATAGAAAAATGAGTATTTTGAAAATATCACTGGTGTAGTAAGTAGAAATGGCAAAGACATTATTGAAGAAGCAGTATTTAGTGCATGCAGGGTGTTGAAAAGGATAACCTATAAATAAGGAAAAGTAAGAAACTGTTGTGGTAAGCTCAGAATGTATCAAGAATAGGATCAATTAAGCTAAAAATTTTAAAATATTTCTGATTCCCTTCTCTGGGTTTTCTTTGTTTAGATGATTTTTTTTAAACTTCTAGAAGCTAGTTGGAATTAGCTATGTCTGAATTTCAAAACAAATACCTTTTTATGGCCTTGGTCTTTGTCAGTCCTAGCCCTTCTTTCCCTGCTTTTACTCCAAAGATCATTTTCTAGTAAAACAATTATTTTTCTTCCAAACTTCTGAAGGAAGGCTCAGAGGGGAGTTTGATTTCTGGTCTCTGGCTATTACTAATTTTGAATATTGATAATTAAATCTTAAAGCATTTGTGAAGTGGAAAATATTCTGGAAACAAAACTGTATTAAAAGCAAACAACTGAGAATTAACAAGTGATTGGTTAAATTTCAGAATAAAACTATTTTGAAAAAGTAATAATAAATCAAAGATGCAGGATATAATCTCTAGTTTAACCCTTAACATTTTAAATACTTTTATAGTTTGTAAAGATAAAAAAATAGAATTTTTATTAGCGCAAAATAAAAAATGGGGAGAGAAATAAAAAGGGATAAGTAAAATAAAAAAATTAGAAAGGAAGACATGAATGCAAAATATATCATTAATCATCTAAATATGAACTAAATACTAAGAATAAAGATCAAAGATGGTCAGCCTTGATTAAAAATAAACACAACCATATACTGTTTACAAGAGCTGCAAATCAAAGTAAAGGACACAGAGAGATTTAAGTTACAAAGCAGAAAAAGATATGCCATTGCTAAGGTTTATCAGAGGCCATCGTTTGGACTAGCCTCTTGCCCTATGCCCAGCTGACCACACCAAACCAGAATGGAGTCAGTTGTGCTAAGTGCCATGTAGTTAAATTGAACTTTGAAACGATCCAATTTTCACAAAAAATAGGAGATTCTAGTCAATCTGAGTCAGCATAATAAGGAAGTCTCCTCTGTTTTAACCCTATAAGGAAAATAACTTTGAAAGGACCAATCTAATTAATTGTTTCCTGTTTCCGCTTTCTGTAGTGCTCTTCTATGTGTAAATCGAATCTCCTCTGCCCAGCCCCTTAGAATATTTTTTCTATTTTATAGATTGAGGTATTACTCCACTCCAGAGTCAGAAATAAAAGCCAATCACAGCTTAAAATTAAATTTGTTGTAATTTTGTGGTTTGATACTATTAAACTGTAATAAAAATTCCCTGCATCTATACTCAAACAGGATAATATAAAGATCAACTAGGGCTTATTTCAGTTATAAAAATGTCTTAATATTTGAAAAATCAATCCCCCTTCATTAACAAAATAGTGAAAAATGTATAATTTTATATAGATACAGAAATATTAAAGATGAAATTCAACATATATTTATGACATAAACTCTTAGCAAACTGGGATAGAAGGAAACTCTCTTAAGTTGTGAAAAAACACACATGCACATATGCACACACATATAAATAAAGAAAAACAATACATAATTCATTTTTTTTAAATTGCATGTATTCTTTGGAAATTAGAAATGAGGAAAAAACATACCTGCCATCACCACTTCTGTTCAAGGTTTTACTGGAATTCATACTATAAAATATGAAGAAAACAAAGGCAAACAATTAGAAAGAAAAAGTTAATATAGCAATTAATTGTGGATGACACCAATTTATTGTAGAAAATCTAGAATTTTAATGACAAACACTTATAATTAAGAAGAGTTTAATAAAGTCACCAGAAACCTGGAAAACTACATAAGTAAACCAGTTATTTGTATTTCCATATTCTAGCAACAAACGTGCTATATATATTTAAAAATGTTATTTCCCCTTATTCTGTCATCAAAAAATGTCAAATTTCCAGGAATAACAAAATAATAGGTGGGCAGCCCTGCTGGTGGGTGGTTTGGAGTCAGGGTGAATTTCTTACGAAATTTTACAGGCATACTATGTACTAAAAGGCTTTTTGATGGTTGGTGGGGTGGAATTTGGTAGCAGGGATCAAATTTTTAGTAGATCTCAGGGGAAATTTGGGTTAGCTTACTTTAAAAGTGAAAGATAAAGAAAGAAAAAAGCAAAGGAAACTAAGCAAGCTGACTAAGAAATTAGAAAGGAAGGGAAGTAGTCCTTGCATGCAAACAGAAAATAACCCTTAGAAGGTCATGGCAACCCCCTGAAGTCATTGTATCAGACAGTGTCTTATTCTTTAACATACAAATAGGAGAAACTTCTCTAATTATTGAAATTTCTAAAGGGAGTTTGTTCTGTAGAAGCTGAAGATCAGATCTTCAATTGAGGTTTTTATTTCTCTTATGCCCAAGTCTTACTTTCTGACTAAGCACCTGTTTTTGACTTCTGCTTAGTCCCTCCCTAACATTAAAAAAAGAAAAAAATAAATAAAAATTTAAAAATATCTGGGTAAAATTAGATGACAAAAAAATGGAGGGATGGGAAAACTCAATGATATAAACATGTCATTTTTGCGTGCTTTGATAAGCAGTTTCAATGATAGCCCAATTAATATTCCAGCAAGTTTTGTACTGTGTGTGTGTGTGTGTGTGTGTGTGTGTGTGTGTGTGTGTATATAAACAAGTTCCCATCTAAATTTATATAGACCTGCAAAGGCCAAGGATAATCAAGGCCATCTTGAAGAAGAAATAAACAGATACATCATTTATTAGAAAAATATAGTAATTGGGTTAGCATAGTACATACATAAGTAGAAAAGTGGACCAGAATACATTGCAGAACCATACCCTTACATAAACAGCTCCCTGACAATGAGAGTGTTGACACTGTGGCATAATGGGGAGGTATGCTGTCAATAACTGGGGCTAGATATATCGGGTATTCACACAGAAAATAAAACATTTCCTGAGCTCTACTTCCCACCATACTACTCCCCTCAAAGTATTTGATGGGTTTTTTATCTAAATGTAAACCACAAAAAAATGAGAGTTTAGAAAAAAATTATATAATAATATCTTTGAGACACTGAATGGGCAAATGATATTTGAGTGGGGCACAAAGAGAGCTAAATTTGAAAGAAAGAGGTAAAGCAGACTGCACTAAAACTTGATACTTCTATTAACCAAAATTCAACTTTGAATGAATGAAAAGGAAAGCCATTGGGAGAAAGTATTTGCAGATACAATAAAATAAGAATATCCAACACGTGTAAAGAATTCCTACAGTTCAATAAGACAAAAGGATTTAAGGATGTACATTGTTCTGACTTTTTGGAAAATTGTTGGGCATTGATTAGTAAAGCTGGAAATGTGCAAACCCTATGATCCAGGCATTTTAATCCTAGATATACAACAGAAACACACAATATGTTCACAAACAAGACGAGTTAAAGAATAATATGTTCAACAACCCCAAATTAGAAACATCCAAAATTCCTCTCAATTGCCAAATGAATAAATTGTTCTGTATTCATAAAATTAAATACCATATAGCAGTGAGGATGAATGAACTGTTGCTACACAGAAAATGAAGAAATATCTCAAATACTGAGTGAAAGAAGCTTAACATAAAAAGTGTGTAGCATATGATTGCAATCATATAAAGTTCAAAAATAGGCAAAACTCCTTTGTTGTACTAAGCAGGATCATTATTAATATGTCTAGGGGTGTAGCAACTAAAGGGCAAGAGAAGGGCTCCTGTAGTGCTGAAACTCTCAGGTGGTCTGATCTGAGTGTTTGTTACCTGTGTGTTATATTAGTCTTTTATTGCTGTGTAACAATATCCCACTAACTAAGTGGTGTGATACAACATAGATTTCTTATCATCCAGTTTTCTGAGGCCAGCAGTCCGGGCATGGCTTAGCTGGTTCACTTCTCAGGGTCCTTTTCCCAGGTCTTGCTGCAGTCAAGGTGTTGGCTGGACTGTGTTCCTTTCTGGAGCTCGAGGTTCCTCTTCCCAGGTCACATGGATGTTGGCAGCATTCAGTTCCTTGCAGATGTGGCATTCGTGTCTCCGATTTCTTGTTAACGGTCATCTGGAGGTTGCTGTTCAAAAAGCCTCCCACAATTCCCAAAGGCCCTTTGAAGACTGGCTCTTTGAATCTTTCGGGCAGTAGGAAAATCTCCCTGACCTCAAAGCTCTCCCTTCAGGGAAGGTCTGGACTGTTTTTAGAGGCTAATTTGATTAGGTTATCTCACCTGAAATAATCTCCTTTGGACTCAAAGTCAACTGATTTTGGACCTTAATATCAGCTTTGTTATTTAAAATGATGTAATCACAGGAGCCAATCTCTTCAAGTTGACAAGTCCTGCTTACACTCAAGAGAAGGCACATAGTCGTGGGGATCTTGGGGACCATCTTTTATTCTGCCTGCCACATTCCTCAAGCTGTATGTTTATGACTTATGCACATTTCTGTCTGTAAGATTCACCTAACAGATAACCCTCAAAAAGTGGAAAATAAACTAATCAAGAAAGACAAAGAAGACAAAAAAAAAGTGTCAGGATAATCATGAATGTATATTCATAAGGCTAAACAAAATATACTAGATGCTAGTATTTAGAGACCAGGAGGTGAATTATTAGGAAAGATGAAGTTCCACAATGATAAAAATTTGAGGCAATATTTTATTACACTAAGATTCATAGTGTTTGCTTTCATTTCACATAGAGAGCAACCCTAGAGTTTGAGTTGAAAGGAAGTTGTTGCCTCTGCAACTGCTTAAATGAAGTATGCAAGCCTAGATCAAATATTAACCACTGAAA
The DNA here is from genome assembly GCF_000001405.40 of Homo sapiens. Classification (NCBI taxonomy): domain Eukaryota; kingdom Metazoa; phylum Chordata; class Mammalia; order Primates; family Hominidae; genus Homo; species Homo sapiens. The sequence goes on along the minus strand of NC_000021.9, from coordinate 20,946,310 downwards.
GTGAAAGAGTTGAGAGACTCAAGAAGGTCAATTCACTGACTGGAATCAATTCTCCAGAGAAGTCAGTGAAGATGGGATTTGAAAAATGACATTGAATTTGTCTAAATTAAATTGATAAGCCTTGAAATGACAGATTCAATGAAGTGGAAAAATAATACACTAATTTAAAAGAAATCCTATAGGTAATGTTTGCAAAGGCAGATGAAGATTTAGTCTCTTAGATGTTCATTCATAATTCTACTATTTTAAAACTGCAAAAATAAAAAAGTAAAAGAAAAAACTCTCTAACAACGGAGAAGTGATACTTGAACCTATCATGTATCTGTAAAACAGAATATTATATAGTAAATTTTAGAAACATTATTTTTGCAATCATAAAATAATTGTCATGGAAACATAGTGTATATAGTTCATAAATTTAATATTTTTCATTATAAAAAATGATGTACTGCGGAGAATACAAGAAAAAATAATTTTGTATTTGTATTCTTTTAAAAATATTATAAGATAATAGGTAAGTATAATTTAAAGGAAAAATAAATAACTGTATAAAACACAAAATTTCAGTCATCAGAAGACAGATTGTAAACAGCCTTCAGGAATTAAGAGAAGAGTTAGAACAAAAGTGATTCACAGAGCAGGCTAAACAAACATTGCCAATAGCCAATGAGGTTACTTTTCTAGTCTAGAAAAGAACAGTAGAAGAAATGAGTAGCCAACTCCATCATTTAATCATTGAGAATATGTCCATATAACACTTAGAATGAAGGTAGATGTAGAATAGGTAAAATTCTTCCCATTTGTACATATTTTTTAAATCAAAAGTGCTTTCTTTGCACATACCTGGAATTCTCTCAACAGCTCTAAAAAATAAGAAAAGTAAGAATCTTTTCTGCACCTCATGTTTTTAAGTGACATTTTCCAAATTACACAGATTATTATTATTTTTAAAAAATTCTATAAAACTTTATGCCTCTTCACATCTTATGCCTGCTTTGTGACAATTTGTTTCATGTTGCAATTTCTTGAAAGTGATCCAGTTTTCAATATTTTAATAGAAGAATGGATCTTTGTCACTCGAATTTTCTACGTTCATCTTTCTTGCTAGTATTAGGTCACATTCCCACATATTCTGTAATATCAGTAACTTGTACATATGATAAATTCAGTGTTCACAAAAGAATTTCTCACAATATTTGAAAGAATGGCTTAAGAATTCCTTTGAAGAATAATGCAGTCTTTGATTATTTTTAACTTTCCCTGAGCTTTACTTTATTGCCCTTTCTCTTAATACTAAAAATTGAGAATGAACTGAATCTGACCGTGTAAAAGAAATCAGATGCAGAATTTTGTTTAAATTAGCAGTGATATTGTGGATTGAGCAGTAAATATGGATAAGAATGATTAAGTATCTAGCTAATCAAAGAATATGTTAAATACTGCACGGGCTTATATACGCCCTAGGGAATTGTTGTAGATTTGAATACTTACGCAACCATAAGTATTAAAAATAAGGTCCTTCCATCAAATGCATTTAATAAAGACCTATCAGGAAAAAGAGTTTTAACCCAAACAGCCTATGCCAGCATAATTTTCAATGTTTTCTTAATTTGCTAAGAATAATGATAATTTTTAACTGAGCCAATTCTTCATGTAGGGAAAAAAACAGTTCAAAGTGAAAACTAGGTTTTCTTTACCCTTCATTTTGGGGCTAAAATCAACTCAGGAATTAATTTAGGTATTGACTAAAAATAAAAAAAGAAAATGAAGCTTCTTTCCTCAAATCAGAATCACTTGATTGATTGGGGATTTGTAATGAGTTATAAAACCTTTCATCTCTAGGTCACTGATACAAACACTGTCAAGATAAAGCATGACTAAAAGTTGCTGTAATTTGATGGATATTCAGTGACCCATGAGAATTTGCTAGTGGTCTGATTTCAAGTTCCAGAAGGCAAATTGCCATATCTTGTGACAGTTATATAATTTAATGCATTAGCCTTTAATAAGTAGTCCTTTGTACTGAACTGTCTGCCTCCAATATGGTAAGCCCCACAAGAAATTATATTAGGGATTTATGTGCTTGCATATCTTATTGCATGAATAAATATATCACTCTATGATTTGTCCTGATTTGAATAGTATTTAAAGGTGTTTTTGTCATTTAAAAAACTAATACAATAAAATGGGGCCAATGACATTATTAAAAGCAACAGATGAATACTTTCGCTATGTTTTTCACATGCTAGGATTAGATGGTAGCCTAGTCGGAAGTCTGCCACCATTTATTCTTCAGCTAAAAGTAAAGCAGGGCAAGCTAAGCATCTTGACATATCCGTTTAACCTCTGCTTCGTATGTAAAAGCTGAACATTTATCAACCTACACAGCCTCGGCTCTTTGAATTGCTAAGAGTGAGCATCTGTATTCAAACATATGCTGTGGATAACGAAGATATTTTAGCCAGTTTGCTTTAGCAGCTGTTCTGTAAAAGTGAGATGAGTAATTTAATAAGCAACTCTCCTTGACTCTGATACTCTTCCCCCAGTGTATGCCAACCTCAGCCAGAAATGCAGCCTAAAAAGGGTTCACTGCTTGTGAGACATAAAGACAGGATAATGATTTATGCAGAGGACCATCTTCCAGGCGCTGACAAGTGCTTACTGTCCTACACAAGCCATCACTGCTGCTCTACAGAGAACAGATGGCTTTGCACACACCACTAACAAAGAAGGAATTCTGCACAAATAGCATGAAACTTCACCACTTTTCTGAACACATCTTGTCATAACCAAGCAATAAAATGAACTTGCCAAATGCACATTGCCAAAATGCAACAAATGAGGACTTTGGCCTTGCTCCTAGCAAAACATAATATGGGGTAAAAAATATTTTAAGAAATGGATAAGAGCAAACTACCACATTTGTTATTTCCTGTATTGTACCAAATAGATGTTCCCACAACATGAAATCAAAGCAAACCCTTGGTGGATTTGGAAGATTGTGACTGTAAAGCTATCAATGTGAGGAAAAATTCTAGATTCAATGTGATGCCTAATGGTTTCTACATTCACAAAATGATTAAGATGCTTCAGAATTCACTTAGAAATGTATAGCAGTTGTATATTTTGGAAAATGCAAAGAGAAATAATAGACAACATCTTGATTAGCAATAATTTTTTAAATGTTTTATGTAATAATTTTATGCAATAATTGTTCAGGGAGTATACTCCCAAGCAACTAACCAAGTCTGCTCTTATTATAATACACCAGTTAATTTTTGTTATATTTTTACCTTACAGCATATTTAGTGTAATGGGCTTTATAATATATTTAAATATTTATAGGTTTTCATGTAACAGTTATTCAGAATGCATATTTATTAACAATTGGATCTTGGGAAAATGAGTGTAGGTAGCATAACCAATTAAAGGCCAATTTGGCAATGCATCATAAATCTCCATTGGAAAAAACAAACAACAGTAATATACATCTATTTGTAATTGTAAATGTCGAGGTTTCTGTATTGCATTGTTCAAAAGAATATTGGACAATATAGCTATGGTTTAAAGTGTGGCATTTTGCTGAGCTTTCAATTATTGCTGCCATATTTTTTTGATCCCCACTATACAACTTGAAGTATATGGAACAGTGATTTTGGCATCACCAAGGAACTTTGTAGAAATTCCTACTCTCATGAACCAACCAATACCTACTAAATCAGAATCTGCATTTTATCAAGATACTCAGCTGGTTTGCATGCATATTAAAAATTTGGAAGCACTGCTCTAGCCCATTGGTTTCAACCTTGACTCTAAGTAGAATCTGAGGAACATTGAGAAAGTAACTGTGCATGAGAGTCATTCCCTGGTTGATACATCAGTCTGTAAAATAAGTGTGAACAATACAGTTGAGGCCTCTGCTCCTTTAAAAAATACAGTCTAGTATTTTGACCGTCAGCTACATGTGAGTTCATATGTGTGTCATGACCAAAAAATGATCACCAAAATACCTTACAAATAAATGTATTTAATGCTTACATTGTAAAAGCCAAGAAGCTTTGTTGAAAATATGAGACAGTGTTTGATTTGGATCATGATCCCTTTTATTGAACAAAGATTCTGAAATAGCTCTCCTATTCTCGGCCTGCTTAACAGTAAAAAGAAACAGTTCAGATATCTAAGCCACGAACTGATCTGTATGCCGTTATTTCTCCAGTCCCTATTTTTGTCAATATGTAAAAACATGCTTTGGTGGATATTTAAAATGTTTTTACCTCTTTTTGTCATTGCTCAGCTGTATGTCAATACAAAGTAAATATACAGAAGTCTTCATGAAATTGGATAAGTAAGCTGGCCAGAAAAACAATACAGAACAGAACAAAACAAAACAAAACCCCATAAACATCAAGAAACCAGAGAAGAGTCCTGAAATACATTTGAAAAAAAATCTGAAATAACTGTTGATTTGTAACTGCAGATACATTGTTCAGATTCATAGCAGTCTGAACTGTGGTGCTTAATAAAACAAAAATGCCATCTGCTGTGAAAACAATGCCATCATCTTTGAAATTCAACTACTATTGTTCATGTAGAATTAACTAGATTATAAATCAATCAAGTGGTTGACATTCTGGGATACTGGTGCAAGTCACATTATATTTTAAATATTTGAATTGACACATATGAATTTAAATGTATACATGTACCTGTATGTATATGTGTGAACCTTAAAGCAGAAACCAGGAGCAACATTTTATCTGTAACTGGGAATATAAATTATATAATCTAAGCAATTGTCTGTGCATTACCCCTTAATGTTTGTAGACAGAGTTACAGTCGACTCTTTTTTCATTTCAATCACTGGCATAAATAACCTAAAAATCACTTCAGGCAGATGTTTATGCTAGTTGGAACTCTTCCTATGAAATGAAAGAGCTGGTTTTGAAGCTTCTCTGTGCTGCTTAAATATTCTGGAGTGGGGGTTATTTTTAGTCCTGACAACTGCAAGAGTCCTGCGGTCACTTCTTCAATGTAACCATAGAGTGCCTCGTCGCCTGTAGCCTTCACTGTCCCATCTGCATTTCATACTAACACCACTATTCCACAGACGCTATTTCTCCATTTCTAGATTCTATGCAATAGTAGGTGATTTAATTTCTGGTTGTAAATATAACCCTATCTGGTATGATTTTTCCCACCTCACAGATAAGCTGAGGAAGTATAGTCATATCTGAGTGGGCCAGGTCAGACAAATTGCTGACAATGCTCTCTTAGTCCCCACTGCAACACAAGTCGTGTAGAAGCTAACAAAGCTTCCCAACCCCAGAATTTATTTATTCCCCCGTCAGGAAGTGTTGATTTAGCACAGGGCCAAACTTTCTCATGTATTGTTAAATAGGTTTGAATCACAAGATAGAGAGATGATGGATACTGAACTCCCAACACCAGGTTTGTGTGATGTATTGGTGACAGAAAAGGCCCTTGGTCTTTAGAATTAAGTAACCTGTAAGTGGTAGACAAAAGTATAGTGATCCAGTTCAAAGGACTCAAGAGGACATGTGATTTACTGCATTCCCCCTGATATAGAAGTGAAGACTGTTGGAATTAGGATTATTTTAAAACCTGACATTGTAAAAAATAGTACTGGTCAAATATTATTTGACCTTAGTGCCTTCTGTACAACTGTCAACTCATCAGAATACGATGATAGTTGTGGTATTTTTCACTTTAATTAAACTTATTTCATTACAGAAAATGTGTGGCAAAACTCCAATCTCCTCAAAGCCATTTTCTATTCTGGGCTACCCTATGTCTAGACCCTAGAATTGTGGTTGGAACATAATAGACACTCACTAAATATTTACTGAACAATGTGCCTGTGAGTAGTAATAATTATTATGGATTCTATGTATGTTTCAGACAGTTCCTTCAAATAAAAGCCTTATGCTTAAGGCTTTTATTATACTTAAAGTATAAGTAGAAGCCTTATACTTATATTTAATGCTTTTATTCCTTCATCTCCCAGATGTGAGGAGAACACAGGGAATGTAACTTTTGGAATTCTATTACAACTGCAGAGTTAAACTGTACAAAAGGTGGCAACATCATACTATATCTCATGATAAATAATGCTGGGTCTCAATTTATCCACTACAGGGACAACAAGGTGCTTTACTTCACAAACACCACTTAGTCAACTGTCAGGCTGACAGGCTCCCCCTGACAAGTTTAATTTTAATATTCAATGTTCTTTCAGACAAATGCAAGTATTTTTATACGGGTAACTGTGATACTTAATTTTGTGTGTTGACTCGATTGGGTTGTAGGCTGCCGAGATATTTGGTTAAACATCTGGATGTTTCTGTGAGGCTGTTTCTGGATGAGATTAACATTTGAATAAGCAGACACAGTTAGGCACGTTCCCTTCCCCAATGCACGTGGGCCTCTTACAATCCATTGAAGGCCTGAATACAATAAAAGACTGAATAATAAAAAATTATTTGTCCATCTGGCTGTCTTTGATCTGGGATATTAGTCTTCTCCTGCTTTCACACTCAGACTCAGATTGGAACTGAGTCAGATTGGAACATCATTGGCTCTACTGGTTCTCAGACCTTCAGACCAAGGACAGCTATATCCTCAGTTCTTCTGAGTCTGAACTTCTCAGCCTCCATAACCAGGTGGGCCAATTCCTTATAATAAACAAATACGTACATACGTACATACAAAAAACATGGACTTATGGACAATTTGATTTAATGATTTTTCAACACTCTAATGATGCAAAAGCAATATACTTTCAGTAGAAATCATGCTGGGAGTACCCATATGATACAGTTTGGCTCTATGTCCCCACCCAAATCTCATGTTGAATTATGATCTTCAGTGTTGGGGGAGGTGCCTGGCGGGAGGGGACTGGATCATGGGGGCAGATTTCTCCCTTGCCGTTTTCAGGATAGTGAGTGAGTTCTCATGAGATCTGGTTTTTTAAACTGTGTGTAGCACCTCCCTCTTCGCTCTCTCTCTCTCCTGCTCTGCCAAGGTATGACCTGCTTTCTTCCCCTCCACCTTCCGCCATGATCGTAAGTTTCCTGAGGCCTCCCAGCCATGCCTCCTGTACAGCCTGAGAACTGTGAATCAATTAAGCCTCTTTTCGTCATAAGTTACCCAGTCTCAGGTAGCTCTTTATAGCAGTGTGAGAATGGACTAAAATACCATACAATCATCTTGTTTTTCACTTTTAGTACAGTTTTCAATAAATTACATGAGGTATTCAGCACTTTTTTGTAAAATACGCTTTGTGTTACATGATTTTGCCTAACTGTATGCTAAGTGTTCTGAACACGTTTAGATAGGCTAGGCTAAGCTATGATGTCCCATAGGTTAGGTGTATTAAATGTATTTTTGACATGATATTATCAATTCATGACGGATTTGTCAGGACATAACTTCATAGTAAGTTGAGTAGTATATACATACATCCAGATGTTTCTTTCTATTCCTCTGGAGAAACCTGACTAACACAATAACCAGAGATAAATCCCACCACTTTTGCAAAGGATTAGAGGAATGAGGACCTGCTAGAAGTGAATTATGGAAACTAATAATGAACAGAAGAAACTAGCAAAATGAGAGAATAAAACAAAAGGACACACAGTGCTTAGAAAGTTTTTTTCTTATTTACTGTTCTTTGAAATTGCTGTCAGTTAAAAAGCATAACTTCAAACAATAGTTTTTTTAACTCTTATAATATTTGTTATTCTACATACACATTGATACAAAATATAGCTCTTGGCAAAAAATGCTTAAAATCTGTCAGAATCAATGTTTTTTTTTCAATTGCAGACATATTTCCCTGTTTATTTTTTTTAAAGGATAGCAGTCACCCAAGAAAAACACATTTTTTTACTTGAAAGCTCATTTTACATTGTTTGAAGAAACGGTACTATTAGCATTTTAAGTGAAAGCTAAGTCCCTACACCAGTCTGAAGAGAGCAATAAATAATATGTTACACTTGGCTTTACATTTGCCAAATACAAGTTTCTGGGTTTAATATTGTGAACAATAGAATACAAAATATTCTGCTTTCAGGGCAATTGCTTTTATTTATTATCATTATTATTATTAATACGGAGTTTCACTGTTGTCACCCAGGCTGGAGTGCAATGGTGCAATCTCGGCTCACTGCAACCTCCACCTCCTGGGTTCGAGCGATTCTCCAGCAGGGCAATAGCTTTTAAAAATCAGAATGTCTCATTTCTTAAATGCCATTTGTCATGGTGTGTGCGTGTGTGTGTGTGTGTGTGTGTGTGCGTGTGTAAAATAAACACTCCAGAATATACTGTGGTGTATGTCAGTGGCTCCTTGATAAAGTTAATGAAGTGTGCACTATGTTAAGTTGTTAGATGTCTCTGCTATTACTTTGGTATGCTTTAAAGAATATCTGCTATGTGTTGCCAGTTAATAGAGAGGCAACTAACACACAAGCACTGCTATCAGGAGCAAGTTTTTATGTCATTTTCTGTTAAAACATTTTTTATTTACTTGAGATATTTGCTGAAGTGTTTGGTGAGTATAAAAAAATTAAATGAATGATTTATAATCCTTTGGGTATATACCCAGTAATGGGATGGCTGGGTTGGTAATTCTAGTTCTAGATCCTTGAGGAATAGCCACACTATCTTCCACAATGGTTGAAGTAATGTACGCTCCCACCAACAGTATAAAAGCATTCCTATTTCTCCACATCCTCTCCAGCATCTGTTGTTTCCTGACTTTTTAATGATCACCATTCTAACAGATGTGAGATGGTATCTCATTGTGGTTTTGATTTGCATTTGTCTAATGACCAGTGATGATGAATTTTTTTCATGTGTTTGTTGGCCCCATAAATTTCTTCTTTTCAAAAGTGTCTGTTCATATCCTTCACCCACTTTTTGATGTGGTTGTTTGTTTTTTTCATGTAAATTTAAGTTCCTTGTAGATTCTGGATATTAGCCCTTTGTCAGATGGATAGACTGCATAAATTTTCTCCCTCTGTAGGTTGTCTGTTCACTCTGATAATAGTTTATTTTGCTGTGCAGAAGCTCTTTAGTTTGATTAGGTCCCATTTGTCAATTTTGGCTTTTGTTGCCATTGCTTTCGGTGTTTTAGTCATGAAGTCTTTGCCCATGCCTATGTCCTACATGGTATTGCCTAGGTTTTCTTCTAGGATTGTTATGGTTTTAGGTCTTACATTTAAATCTTTAATCTATCTTGAGTTAATTTTTGTATAAGGTGTAAGGAAGGGGTCCAGTTTCAGTTTCCTGCATATGGCTAGCTAGTTTTCCCCGCACCACTTATTAAATAGGGAGTCCTTTCCCCATTGCTTGTTTTTGTCAGGTTTGTCAAAGATCAGATGGTTGTAGATGTGTGGCGTTATTTCTGAGGCCTCTGTTCTGTTCCATTGGTCTATATATCTGTTTTGGTACCAGTACTCTGCTGTTTTGTTTACTGTAGCCTTTTAGTATAGTTTGAAGTCAGGTAGTGCGATGACTCCAGCTTTGTTCTTTTTGCTTAGGATTGTCTTGACTATACAAGCTCTTTTTTGCTTCCATATGAAAGTTAACATAGTTTTTTCTAATTCTGTGAAGAAACTCAATAGCAGCTTGGTGGGAATCGCATTGAATCTGTAAATTACTCTGGGGAGTATGGCCATTTTCACGATATTGACTCTTCTTATCCATGAGCATGGAATGTTTTTCCATTTGTTTGTGTCCTCTCTTATTTCTTTGAGCAGTGGTTTATAGTTTTCCTTGAAGAGGTCCTTCAGATCCCTTGTAAGTTGTATTCCTAGGTATTTTATTCTCTTTGTAGCAATTGTGAATGGGAGTTTGCTCATGATTTTGCTTTCTGTTTGTCTATTATTGGTATATAGGAATATTTGTGATTTTTGCCCATTGATTTTGTATCCTGAGACTTGGCTGAAGTGGCTCATCAGCTTAAGGAGATTTTGGGCTGAGACAATGTATCCCAGAACTTAAAGTACAAAAAAAAAATAAAAAGATTTAAGTCAACATATTGAGCAGGATAAGTAATGACACATTAAATATTTTCATAAAAAAATTAAAAGAAGATGAGTTTAAGCCTGTTACAATGCACTCTCCTTCATCATATCTCAGATTCATAAAAGATAAATCTGATAATGTGCTTTCTCTAAAGGAAGATCACTTTTACTGGAAAATTGAAAAGTACTATGATAATTGGTTAATTCAGTTCACATGTTTTTGAAGATGATAGATTGACATCCACAGCAATTATCCTTCAGATAATTTTATCTATGTATCCACATGTACACAGACTTTCTTAGAACTAACTCAATTCTATGTTCTTTCATATCAAAGTATGGGAGCATTTTTACAGAGTTTTTGTTAATTCATGTGTTTATTTGAGGTCACTTGTTGCCGTGATGATTTATAATTTTTCACTCCTACTGCCAAACTTGGTTTTAAGAATTTTTTCCACTTTATCTTTGCTAGGTTTTAGCAACTGAAGTTATGTTCATCTCTGTGTGGGAATGTCTGTTGTTCACCCAGCACTATTTTCTCCCCCTCCTACACTCTTCCCTGGGGAACACAGGGTAATCCCTTTTAGTTGTGCTGTAAGTTAGGCTTTGCTGATGAGATGAGAGGCATTGAAAGCCATCATTCCTGCTGGTGCAATGGCTCACACCTGTAATCCCAGCACTTTCAGAGGCCAAGGCAGGTGGATCACCTGAGCTCAGGAGTTCAAAATCAGCCAGGCACCTGGTGAAACCCCGTCTCGACTAAAAACACAAAAATTAGCTGGGTTTGATGGTGGGCACCTGTAATCCCAGCTACTTGGGAGGCTGAGGCAGGAAAATCTCTTGAACCCAGGAGGTGGAGTTTGCAGTGAGCTGAGATTGCATCATTGAACTCCAGCCTGGGAGACAGAGCTAGACTCCATCTCAAAAATTGAAGAAAAAAAAAAAAGGGAAAGAAAGAAAGCCATTATTCTTTAGTGCATTCTCCCGGGAGGTAAGTGCTAGGAGATCTATAGACATTAGATGAAAGATGTTGCTCTCTGTTTCCAGATGAGCAAATTATTCATTTTGGCTCTACCAGCAGTTGAGATAATATGCGAGGTGTTTTCTCGGGACTTGGATTCCCCAGCTCTTCCAAAATATCATGTAAGCTTCTAATTCTCTGCGTTATATTTCTTCCTATTAAATACACCCAGAGTGTTATTTGTTTGCCTGGCCTATATAGTGCCTGTTTTAATATTTACATGTAGGTTTGAGATCTAATACCTTATTATCCTTCACATTAGCATGAAACAGGCTTCAGATATGTTCACTCCCTGCTTTTTCTACTTATGACCCATGTTTTTTATGGCTAGCCATGATATCTTGACAAATGGTAAAATTATCAAATATCTGTAATAGAATGCTTAAATTTAACTCTCGTGGTCTGAGTTTCAATTGAGGTGCCAGTATCCTTTATGAGAGTCCAAAACAGACAAATCAACATGCATAGTTAACAACAACAACAATAACAACAACAAAAACACATCTAAACTTATTTCATGACTCTTAAGCATTTCTTTCTCTTTCAACTAACATTTAAAAAATCAGAAAAGCTGAATGATTGTGGGAGGCTATTTTGCAGAAAGGAATACTATTATTTCCATCTCGTCTCCCAGGAAGGAGAAGGGAATGATACTCCCCCTTTCAGTTAAAGGGCAGCGGTATTCTCTAGAGCTTCAGCGGCTCCATCTGCATTTGGGATCATTCTGGTCTGTGGATTTCTAGCAGGGCAGGGCCAAGAGAGTCTTAGTACCCTGGAGTACCCTGGACTGCCCTGATACTCCAGAGTGGTGAGACAAAAGGTGTGTTTTTCTCATGATTCAGACACATGCCATGTAGGGGGGAGTAATCTGGGGAGCAGTTACCTCCTGTCCTGTCCAACAAGGCTGCCTAGATAGGTGGGAAATCTCAACAAAAAGAAACTGCAGGGGGCTACCAGGTGCCTAGGGCTAAGGAGTGTTGTATGTAACCACTTTTATTAAAGATGCAGAGATATTTCCATTCAAAGTGAGATAACTGCAGGAGAGAGAAGCCTAAGAAGGAGATTTCTAAAGAAACGTTTGCCAGATTCTGTGAGAGTGCAGCCAAGTCATAGTGAGACCCAATCAAATAAAAGGTTGCCTGTCCCCTTACCTGTAGCTGGTCCCACTCAACCAACACTGGTGCACAGATATACTAGCTAGTTAATTTGGGGGAGGGAGTGAACAAAAAGGAAAATAAATGCAAGTCACTGAACCCAACAGTCTGACCCTTAAATCTTCTTGTCTTATGCAGCAGTCTTTCAAATTCAATCAAGTTCTTATCTTAAAAGGGAGGAAGATTTTATATTAAATAAGATTCATAGTATTGATTCACATCTTGGACTGAACATTTAATGTCCTTAAATCAGACTTCTTGAGACAATGAGAATCATACATTTGTTTATTTCCTATAAGAGAGCAGAAAGGCCAATCAATCTATAGGAGTTTCCATGAAGGAGCAAGTCAGATTATATTCACCAAATGCTGTTTAAAGAGATGATGGGAGACAAAGTTTAGTTGAAGTTTAGGTCACAATTCGTGTTTTATGTAAGTACAATTTAATGATATGTTTTACATCCAGAATAACAGATAAAAGCATACTATCAAAGATTGGACAAGTAAAAGATGCAAATAGTTATCGGAATTCTCTATTGAATCTTGATTTAATCCCTTTTTTGGTCTTCAAAAGAGAAGGATTAATCAGTTATATTTAGGAGGAGTTATTCTCTCAAAGCAGGTTGTGCTATTTTCCTCAGTGTCATCCTATAAGAAGGAGCCCCCCAGTGCAGGGATCTAATTGATGAAACTCCTTATTTTCTTATATAAAAAAATAAACTAGTGACTTTGGAATCAGGCAGACAAAGCTCTGAGTAATTATTGACATAATTAAAGTTTTAAAGTTTCACTTTCCTAAACTTACACTAAAATGGGGCAAGGGAGATGGTGAGAAAGAGAGAGAGAACCAGTATGTATTTCATATGATGTTATCTTGAGAGTTAAATTAGCCACTCTTGTAAAATTCTCAAAATACAAATGAATTTTAAGTTCTTTCTACCTTATCTTCCAGTCACATAGAAACAAACTGACAATGGAGTTTCTTTTCATTTGAATTGTACACATCACCTTCTGGTGCAGTTTAACATTTAGGTAGGGGGTAGATCCCCATCCATCTTTAATGCATGGAAAATAAGACAACATAAGTAGCTCCTGTTGAATTAACTGGATGAGAATAGGGCTACAGACCTTTCATAAATTGTAAATTTTAAAAAGACCCCAATACAAAACTAAAGCTAGACTTCAAACTAAATTGAACATAAATTAATAACTTTGATGTGTCAGAAGAAATTGAATTTTTGATCTGAAAGAAACAATTCCCTATGTGTCAGTCTACAATTATAGCTACTAGATTTACCATCAATGTCAATTATTTTGATGTCCCCCAATTGCTGAAGATGCATCCCTTCTCTTCTTTTCCCCTAAATAAGTAAAGCTGGAAAAGTAATGCATTCTACAGTTTTTCCCCTATATTTAAGCATAGGAAGCCACTAAATGTTAAATGTATTAAAAAGCTGCGTTTAAATTATAACCTTTACTTATAAACCTCAAATCCCATTCTTAAAACATTAATGGGATGAGGAATTCTGCTTAGATAACAGTGAATAACTAAGAAAGTTTCTCCTTAGAACGTTATTGATTAACTCAGACAGTACAGTGTTCTTTTAATCTTGAAGGTTCTACTGAGATCACCGTTTTTCCTAGCCAGGCTGAGGCAACATTTTTAGATTGGATAGGAGTGAACATTAATTTTTAGAGTTGGAAATTGAGATATGTTTTTAATTTTTCTTACTTTCATCTCTTACTATTGGAAAATATTCATAAGGTTGAAATTGAGTAGTGAGGTTTGCTAAGCACTGGCATACTTTATCTGTCAGTTTGTGGTTGCTCCAGTACAAAATTAGAACAAGTTCCAAGAGTTCATTTGAGTTCCAGTTTCCTCAATTTAGGAGGAGAATTAAGTTATTCATTGAGTCATTATAGGGCATATAGTCTACATTTCTTGGAGATGCAAGAAAAAAGTACAGTAAGAGCCCCAGGAAAGATATACAACTAAAATACTAGGGGAGTTATGGGCACACAGAATGGGTGTAGGATCAGAGGACATGAAAGATATCCTTGTTTATTTAGTTCTTTGCTTATTTAGCTCTTTGGAGAATTTCTTTCTGGTGTTTACCATTTAACAGACACTGGAATAAGTATTGAAGCTACTTTGATGAATAAAGTAAAGCTGTTCCTTACAAGGCTGTCTCAGAATAACTACCACTTGGCTGTGTTTCTTAACCTGTAAAATAGAACTGATCGGAATTCTCAGTTTCTAGGTCGGCTGTGAGGAGTAAACTGGATAATCTATGGAAAATGTTCTCTGTACTGCCCAGCACTATGTAAATATTAGTTGTGTATTCTGTTAGTGTGGTAAGAGACCTTAAATTGCTCTCTGAAGGATCAGTGTGTGAGGAACTTGTCAACCATCAACCTCTACAGATTAAACTTTATATAATTTATGTGGGTATTAATATCTAAAGATAATATTTGGCACATTAGACCTAATATTTTCATAATTTGGATCTCAGATAATGTCTTGTCCCTAGGGTTAAATGTCTTATATGCATTGGTGGCATGCTACTATAGATATAGATGGTTAGAAACCTTGGCCAAATCTGTGTTGATTCAAGTTCCTTTTAGAAATAAATCAACATCAGAATACTTTGCTTTTAATGTATATCATCCTTACAAAATACCTGCAAAAATGGGAGGGAAAATGCAGTTACTCTATGCTTGACAATTAATGAGAAATTTATACACTATGACGTACTTTTGTACAAACATACCCCATTTGTTTCCAGGTAACCTCATGATTAAAGTAGAAAGCTGCTTTAGACAGACATGAGCTGCTATAACAATCCCAAATCACAATGGATTAACATCATTAAAGTTTATTTCTCACTCATGCAAAGTGCAATGTGGATGTTCTTGGTCAGACAATCTACAGGACATCTCTATCCATCCAGGACATCCAGGACATTCTGATTCATCCTTCAAGGGGTGAATAGGGAAGGAGATACTTTCCATGTATTGGTTCTGGGACCACTTTGGCTCTTGCCATCCTCCACTGAGTCTTTTGCCTCCTGCTACTAAAAAATAAGTATAAGAAGAATGTGTATGATATCATAGTGCCAGAACTGGAAGTGCACTATATAACTTCCGCCCATATTCTACTTGCCACGTGGTCCCAGCCAGCTGATAGGGGACTAACAAAATGGAGTCTTTTATGTGCCAGGGGGAAAAATGAAACAGTCCAATCAAATTATAGCATTGCATCTATCATAAAAGTCCATTATTACAACTATATTTGAAATTTTAGAAAAGTACACCAAATTTGTCATTATCAATATCTGAAACATTCTCTAAATAAATACCTCACATCTGTTTACTATAATTTATAAAAAGTAATACAAGGGATGGCTAGAATTTGTGATTATGAGATTTCTTTCTCCAAATGTAAATCTTAGGCTTTAACAAGAATTGTGCAGCACAGATTCTAAAAATAAATTTCTATGTATCCCTTTCTTCACCATTCCTGGTAGAGTGCAAAAGATAATAATATTCTTTAAATAACTTTTCACTTATACTTAATCTTGAAAACAAGATTTGTATACATGAACTCAGGTGTTTTCATACAACTAATATAATCTCATTTTGTTTTACTGAAATTGAAAAAATGCAACTACAAAGGAAACCTATTTTCTTTTCAACCATAATGAACTTGAATAAACATAACATTCAGAAGGTTTACTGGTGATTTCTTTTCCTGAAATGGTGAATAAAATACATTTCATTGTGATCTGAGTAAAATTTCATGGGGTAAAGCTTATTGTACAATAAACACACTTACATTTCATTGGGTCTTTTCAAATTGTTATATATCTCTCTATACCTGAGACAGTCTATAAAAAAAGCAATATGGCAATCATTTACAATTTCACAATTATTTTAAAGTTGATAAGTAATGAACTGCTGGACATGTGATGTAAGGTCATTTATATTAGGTTAGTGCAAAAGTAATTGCAGTTTTTCACATTTAAAGTAATATTTGTGACAAGAGGTGATTTTAAGTTTGTGTTAGAAAATCTCTTGTCTCAACATCATAATCAGAACAATGATACTATGAATCATATTATCTTACTTAGACTGCTTCAAATGTGAAACAGTAAAATGCTAGAAAATGTCATCATAGTTATATGGCTAAATATGGTGGAATCTAATAATTTTAAATAAAAGATAATCAAATATATTTCATGTGCAATAGACATACAATTGGATAGCATTGTGATGCAGATGAGTAATTCATTAAAAAATCTGGCAGAAATGAATTTAATACATTTTCCTTTGGACTGTCAGCACTGTGGTTAATCACAGAACAATTCTAACTCTCCCCAATTAGTGTATCTGTGTTTCAGTCAAGAAATTGGAACACTTACTTTAAGTAAGAAAAGAAATATGCCTAACACAGGATTGAACAATAAATAACCCTCAGTCCCAAATTTTTATCACAATTTTATTTTATTTGTATATCCTCCAATAGGCTAGGAGTCACTTGGCATATTAATAATAGTATCAGTTCAATTTTTTGTGTGTGTTGATATAATTTCAAACTTTATGAGAAATTACAAGCACAGTACAAAGTAGTCCCACAAAACTCCTTGCCAAGACATCCCATTCAAATTTGCCAAATGTCCCAATAATATCCTAAAATAAATCTAATCCTGGATCACTCCTTGCATTGATCATCATGTCTCTTTAGCATTGAGGAAATAATTCCTCAATGCTTCTTCGATTCTTATGACCTTATATTTTTGAAGACTATAAGCCAGTTATTTTGTAAAATATTCCTCGATTTGGGTTTATCTGATGTTTTTTCCTGATGAGATTCATGTTACGCATTTTTGGCAGGAATATCACAGAAGTAATTCTGTGTTTTTATCATTGCCTGTCAATCTATCACATCTCTGGGAATATTGACTTTGATCACTCAGTTATACTAGTGTGCTAGCTATCTCTGCTGTGATGTTACTCTTGCCCTCTTTATAATTGATAAGAATTCTGGAGGGAAGTACTTTAAAACTATGCAAGTATTTCAATGTTCATCCAACTTTTGTATACTAGTGATAACATCCATAGATGTTTGAGTTAATTATTACTAACATGATTGCCAAATGGAGATTTCTGATTTCATTGATTTTTTTCTACACCTACTTTTCATTCTATTTTGAGTACATTCCCTCTCTCTATCTCTATTTATAATTACTTTGTTTTATTTGGTTAGATGTATGACATCATATATATCATTATATATTACATATAATGTTATATATAATACTAATGTCAGTACAACTTGTTAAAATACATCTGTTGAATCTGTGGAGGCTCACTGAAATAGCTAATATTTATATGTTGGTCACCATGATCCAGATAAGTCTCCCTGTATCCCCACACATACCACTGTATATTTCATATGATTTCACATGGGTGTAATAATTTGCAAAAATTTTAGCCATGAAACAGGTAATTTTCCTAAACATATGAGGCTAATAAGGTTGATGGTAACCACGCTGCAAGAATGGTCCTTTTTGACTTAACCAAATTTTGCATAAATGAAGCACTCCAGAACCAACCAGGATTTCTACTTTGATGAATCAAGAGGTAATCACCAATAAATGACTAAATCAAAACGGATTGCTGAGTATCCACAAAACGATGTTTAAAACATAGCCCTTGAAGACAAAGCTAAAATTATTCATAGAATAAGCATCTAAGCTGTTTATTTTGCAACCTTCTTCATTTTGGCAATTGAACTTACTAAATTTATTTAAATAGATTTTCATAAATAGTTTTAAATTCTTTCCAGCTGAAATATAATACTCAGCATCTCTGAATCATAGAGATTTTAGAGGATATTTTAAGTTAAAAAGAGTGAACTGTTAAGTAAACCGAGAAACTAAAGTTTATTTCTAAATTGTATAGCACTGCACTTTTTAAGTTGATACAAAGTTATTATGTTATTAAATATTTTATAATAAAAGCTATGGGTGAATTAAAAGTGCTTATGTTACTGGACGATCTTTGTTCTTAGGGCTCCTAAGATGGGGCAGGCTGCTCCCAAGATGGCAGCAAGTCTTTTGTTCTCTGACCTGGGGTTCTTGGCCTCACGGATTCCAAGGAATGGAATCTTGGGCCATGCAGTGTTATAGCTCTATTAGAAGCCGTGGGTCACAGAAGAGAACCGTGGAACCCAGCAACCAGTGTTCAGCTCGAGCAGGACGAGCCCGGGCACTTAGCTGTGCAGCAACAATGGCAAGCCTTTAGCCTGGTTGGGAGTGGCAATGGGCGCCTCGCTGGATCAGGAGCACAGAGGACACCCTGCCGGATCTGGAGTGGTGGACATCAGCCGCGGGTCTGCGATGACAACCATCAGCAGTGGTGGACTGCAAGCAGAAGCTCAGCTAGAGCTGTAAAAAACACTGACCAGAAGAGTGTACAGTTGCAAGATTTAATAGAGTGAAAACAGAGCTCCCATGCGATTGGAGGGGATCCAAAGCGGGTTGCCGCTCCCTGCTCAAATGCCTGGGTTTATATCCCCATCATTGTTGCTCCCCCTGTGCTCTCAGCTGATAGATGATTTGACTATTTCTTTACCTCCTGCTTTTAGCCTAATTTGTATTTTACTGAGTCCTCTTTACTACTTGATTGGTCAGGTGTGAGCTGAGTTACAAGCCCCATGTTTAAAGGTAGGTGTGGTCACCTTCCCCAGCTAGGCTTATGAATTCTTAGTCAGCCTAGGAAATCCAACTAGTCCTGTCTCTCACTTATTCCACTATGATTCACTTTATTATTATAATTAAATAGATTAGAAATGTTTGTACTAAAGAACGACTTGCCCTTTCATTAGATTCTTCAGAGGAGAAAGGAAACCTGTGACATCGCAAATGCCATGCTAGACATTCGACTAGCCTTCTATGGCTAGACTACTCGCCATAAAGAGGACCTCACAGAAAAACAAGAGGCTTGGGAAAAGTAGAGGTGACTTGGTAAAGGCTGCAGAATATGAATGAAAAAGAAGCAAAAAACCAATAACCCTTACTTTGTTCCAGAATAAATGTTCTATTAGAGCAATTTCTTTTTTTATCGTCTTCTCAGAAGTCAGTCTTGAAAATCACACAATGGGTATTAAAGTGTAACACTTACGGTGATGAATATACACTTGTATAGAGAATCACAAATGTACATTTGGTTGTTATTTCATTACACATGTAGAGATCTCAGTTATGTGCACTCCAGTTGGGGAATGTTCTTCATTGATTGATTATAACCACAGAAGGAAGCCTTCCAAGAGCTCAATATGGAGGAATTTCTACTCAAATTTACATCAAGATAGTAGTTTTCATCTGTATTTCAGAAACTGAAACTTTATATGGATAAAATATCATATTATTATGTTATGCTATCTTGTCAAAATATGTGGATTAGACAAAATATTTGTTAACATTTAATGATGGATATACAAGAAGGCTTACACACACACACACACACACACACACACAATTATGCACACATCACAGTATACCAGTGATTTGTTTATATATTTTCACTAAACTAGTTCAAAATATATAACATGTAAATTTTAATGTATTTTATGTATTATTTGTTGTTTTATTAAAGTTCTTAAAGATACTATTTAAAATTTGTTCCACCATTAAGCTTAACTTATACTGTAGTGAAGAAAGTTGTTTGTAATTTACATTATACTCTTAGCTATACTTTATTTTAGCAATGGTAATTCCCAATCTTCTATGCCAAAATTCTATACATGTGGTTGTACCTTACTAACTTATTATTGTTAAATTTGCACATATATTAACATTGCTATTGTGTGAAATGCCTTCAAAAATACTGAAATTGAATAGGAGTGGTGAGGGATGGCATCCTTGTCTTTGTGCCAGTTTTTAAGGGAATGCTTCCAGCTTTTGCTCATTCTATATGATATTGGCTGTGAGTTTGTCACAAATAGCTCTTATTATTTTGAGATACATTCCATCAATACCTAATTTATTGAGTTTTTAGCATGAAGAGGTGTTGAATTTTATCGAAGGCCTTTTCTGCATCTATTGAGATAATCATGTGGTTTTTTGTCATTGGTTCTGTTTATGTGACAAATTGCATTTATTGATTTACATATGTTGAACCAGCCTTGCATCCCAGGGATGAAGCCAACTTGAACGTGGTGGATTAGCTTTTTGATGTGCTGCTGGATTTGGTTTGCCAGTATTTTATTGAGGATTTTCACATCGATGTTCATCAGGGATATTGGCCTGAAATTTTCTTTGTTTGTTGTGTCTTTGCCATGTTTTGATATCCAGATGATGCTGACCTCCTAAAATGAGTTAGGGAGGAGTTCCTCTTTTTCTATTGTCTGGAATCGTTTCAGAAGGAATGGTACCAGGACCTCTTTGTACCTCTGGTAGAATTTGGCTCTGAATCCATCTGGTCCTGGGATTTTTTTGGTTGGTAGGCTATTAATTGCTGCCTCAATTTCAGAACTTGTTATTGGTATATTCAGGGATTCAACTTTTTCCTGGTTTAGTTTTGGGGGGGTGTATGTGTCCAGGAATTTATCCATTTCTTCTAGATTTTCTAGTTTATTTGCATAGAGGTGTTTATAGCAGTCTCTGATGGTAGTTTGTATTTCTGTGGGATCAGTGGTGATATCCCCTTTATCATTTTTTAATTGTATCTATTTGATTCTTCTCTCTTTTCTTCTTTATCAGTCTGGCTAGTGGTCTATTTTGTTAATCTTTTCAAAAAGCCAGTTCCTGGATTCACTGATTTTTTTAAAGTATTTTTCGTGTCTCTATCTCCTTCAGTTCTGCTCTGATCTTAGTTATTTCTTGTCTTCTGCTACCTTTTGAATTTGTTTGCTCTTGCTTCTGGGTGTAGACTTTAGATCTTTCCTGCTTTCTCCTGTGGACATTTAGTGCTATAAATTTCCCTCTAAACACTGCTTTAGTTGTGTCCTAGAGATTTTGGTACACTGTGTCTTTGTTTTCATTGGTTTAAAAGATCTTCTTTATTTCTGCCTTAATTTCGTTATTTACCCCATAGTCATTGAGGAGCAGGTTGTTCAGTTTCCATGTAGTTTCCATGTAGAACTCAGTTTCTTAATCCTGAGTTCTAATTCGATTGCACTGTGGTCTGAGAGACTGTTTGTTATGATTTACATTCTTTTGCATTTGCTGAGGCATGTTTCACTTTTAATTATGTGGTCAATTTTAGAATAAGTGTGATGTCGTGCTGAGAAGAATGTATATTCTGTTGTTTTGGGGTGGAGAGTTCTGTAGATGTCTATTAGGTCTGCTTGGTCCAAAGCTGAGTTCAACTCCTGAATATCCTTGTTAATTTTCTGTTTTGTTGATCTGTCTAATATTGACAGTGGGGTGTTAAATTCTCCCACTATTATTATGTGGGAGTCTAAGTCTCTTTGTGGGTCTCTAAGAACTTGCTTCATGAAGCTTGGTGCTCCTGTATTGGGTGCATATATATTTAGGATAATTAGCTCTTCTTGTTGCATTGATCCCTTTACCATTATGTAATGCCCTTCTTTGTCTCTTTTGATTTTTGTTGGTTTAAAGTCTGTTTTATCAGAGACTAAGATTGCAACCCCTACTTTTTTTTGCTTTTCATTTGCTAGGTAAATATTCCTCCATCCCTTTATTTTGAGTCTATATTTTTCTTTGCATGTGAGATGGGTCTCCTGAATACAGCATACCAATGGGTCTTGACTCTATCCAATCTGCCAGTCTTTGTCTTTTAATTGGGGCATTTAGCCCATTTACATTTAAGGTTAATATTGTTATGTGTGAATTTGATTCTGTCATTATGATGCTAGCTGGTTATTTTGCCCATTAGTTGATGCAGTTTCTTCATCGTGTCGATGGTCTTTACAATTTGGTATGTTTTTGCTGTAGCTGGTACCCATTTTTCCTTTCCATATTTAGTGCTTCCTTCAGGAGCTCTTGTAAAGCAGGCTTGGTGGAAACAAAATTGCTCAGCATTTGCTTGTCTGTAAAGGATTTTATTTCTTCTTCACTTATGAAGCTTAGTTTGGCTGGATATGAAATTCTGGGTTGAAAATTCTTTTCTTTAAGAATGTTGAATATTGGCCCCCACTCTCTTCTGGCTGTAGGGTTTCTGCAGAGAGATCCAGTGTTAGTCTGATGGGCTTCCCTTTGTGGGTAACCCGACCTTTCTCTCTGACTGCTCTTAACATTTTTTCCTTCACTTCAACCTTGGTGAATCTGACGATTGTGTGTCTTGGGGTTGCTCTTCTTGAGGAGTATCTTTGTGGTGTTCTCTATATTTCCCGATTCTGAATGTTGGCCTGTCTTGCTAGGCTGGGCAAGTTCTCCTGGATAATATCCTAACAGTGTTTTCCTACTTGGTTCCATTCTCCCCCTCACTTTCAGGTACACCAATCAAACATAAGGTTGATCTTTTCATGTAGTCCCATATTTCTTGGAGGCTTTGTTCATTCCTTTTCATTCTTTTTTCTCTATCATTGTCTTCATGCTTTATTTCATTAAGTTGCTCTTCAATCTGTGATATCCTTTCTTCCGCTTGATCGATTTGGCTATTGATATTCATGTATGCTTCACGAAGTTCTCGTGCTGTGTTTTTCAGCTCCATCATGTCATTTATGTTCTTCTCTAAATGGGTTTTTCTAGTTAGCAATTCCTCTAACTTTTTTTCAAGTTTCCTAGCCTCCTTGCATTGGGTTAGAACACACTTCTTTAGCTCAGAGGAGTTTGTTATTACCCACCTTCTGAAGCCTACTTGTGTCAATTCATCAAACTCATTCTCTGTCCAGTTTTGTTCCCTTGCTGGCGAGGAGTTGTGATCCTTTGGAGGAGATAAGGTGTTCTGGTTTTCGGAATTTTCAGCCTTTTTGTGCAGGTTTTTCCTCATCATCGTGGATTTATCTACCTTCGGTCTTTGATGTTGGTTGCCTTCAAATGGGATTTCTGTGTGGACATCCTTTTTGTTGACATTGATGCTATTCCTTTCTGTTTGTTAGTTTTCCTTCTAACAGTCATGGCCCTCTGCTGCAGGTCTGCTGGAGTTTGCTGGAGGTCCACTCCAGACCCTGTTTGCTTGGGTATCACCAGCAGAGGCTGCAGAAGAGCAAAGATTGCTGCCTGTTCCTTCCTCTGGAAGCTTCGTCCCAGAGGGGAACCCACCAAATGCCAGCTGGAGCTTTTCTGTATGAGATATCTGTCAACCACTTCTGGGAGATGTCTCCCAGTCAGGAGACAGGGACCTACTTGAGGAGGCAGTCTGTCCCTTAGCAGAGCTTCAGCACTATACTGGGAGATCCGCTGCTGTCTTCAGAGCCAGCAGGCAGAAATGTTTAAGTCTGCTGAAGCTGTGCCCACAGCTGTCCCTTCCCCCAGGTGCTCTGTCCCAGGGAAATGGGAGTCTTATCTATAAGCCCCTGATTAGGGCTGCTGCCTTTCTTTCAGAGATGCCCTGCTCAGAGAGGAGGAATCTAGAGAGGCAGTCTGGCTACATTGGTTTTGCTGAGCTGTGGTGAGCTCTGCCCAGTTTGAACTTCCCAGTGGTTTTGTTTACACTGTGAGAGAAAAGCCACCTATTCAAGCCTCAGTAATGGCGGACACCCCTCTTCCCACCAAGCTGGAGCATTCCAGGTCAACTTCTGACTGCTGTTCTGGCAGCGAGAATTTCAAGCCAGTGGGTCTTAGCTTGCTGGGCTCTGTGGAGGTGGGATCTGCTGAGCTAGACCAGTTGGCTCTCTGGTGAAGCTTCAGCCCTCTTCCCAGGGAAGTGAACGGTTCTATCTTGTTAGCGTTCCAGGTGCCACTGGGGTATGAAAAAAAACAAAACAAAAAAAACTCCTGCACCTAGCTCAGTTTCTGTCCAAATGGCCACCCAGTTTGTGCTTGAAACCCATGACCCTGGTGGTGTAGGCACCCGAGGGAATCTCCTGGTCTGTGGGTTGTGAAGGCCGTGGGAAGAACATAGTATCTGGGCTGGAGCGCACGGTTCCTCAGGGCACAGTACTTCATGGCTTCCTTTGGCTAAGGGAGGGAGTTCCCCAACCTCTTGTACTTCCTGGAGGGTGAGGTGATGCCCCACCCTGCTTTGGCTCACCCTCTGTGGGCTGCACTCACTGTCTAACCAGTCCCAAAGAGATGAGCCGGGTACCACAGTTGGAAATGCAGAAATCACCCGTCTTCTGTGTTGATCTCGCCATAAGCTGCAGACCGGAGCTATTCCTATTCAGCCATCTTGCCAGCAACTCTAAACTAAGGAGCTTCTGCACAGCAAAAGAAACTATCATCAGAGTGAATAGGCAACCTACAGAATGGGAGAAAGTTTTTGCAATCTATCCATCTGACAAAGGGCTATTATCCAGAATCTACAAGGAACTTAAACAAATTTACAAGAAAAAAACAACTCCATCAAAAAGTGGGAGGATATGAACAGACACTTCTCAAAAGAAGACATTTATGTGGCCAAAAAACGTATGAAAATAATCTCAGAGTCACTGGTCATTAGAGAAATACAAATCAAAACCACAATGAGATACCATCTCATGCCAGTTATAATGGCGATTATTAAAAATGTCAGGAAACAACAGATGCTGGAGAGTATGTGGAGAAATAGGAAGACTTTTACACAGTGTGTGGGAGTGTAAATTAGTTCAACCATTGTGGAAGACAGTGTGGTGATTCATCAAGGATCTAGAACAAGAAATACCATTTGACCCAGCAATCCCATTACTGAGTAGATACCTAAAGGATTATAAATCATCCTACTATAAAGACTTATGCACACATATGTTTCTTGTAGCACTATTCACAATAGCAAAGACTTGGAACCAACCCAAATGCCCATTAATAATATGGGCACATATACACCATGGAATACTATGCAGCCACAGAAAAGGATGAGTTCATTCCTTTGTAGGGACATGGATGAAGCTGTAAATCATCATTCTCAGCAAACTAACACAGAAACAGAAAACCAAACACCACATGTTCTCACTCATAAGTGGGAGTTGAACAATGAGAACACATGGACACAGGGAGGGGAACATCACACACTGGGGCCTGTCTGGTGTCGGGGGCTAGGGGAGGGATAGCATTAGGAGATATACCTAATGTAGATGACAGGTTGCTGGATGCAGCAAACCACCGTGGCACGTGTATATCTATGTAACAAACATGCACGTTCTGCACATGTTTCCCAGAACTTAAAATATAACAAAAAAATACTAAAATTTACCCACTGTTCCTCTGTAATCTGAATCATTTTAACAATATTCTAAAGAAATTAATTAACTTCCATATTGTTTCCAGTAATCAGTGCTTAACATTTCAGTCCAACGTGCATTTGCTTATTTCTTCAACAACTACCATACTTACTGCTTCCAATTTGCTCTTCCCTTCCTTTATGTCTTCTGGACATAATTTGTTGATTATAATTCAATGAATTATCAAATCTTTCACATTTTACTTTGAATTTGGATGCCCAGAACAATTTATTTGCTAAAACACAATTGATATTCTTAAGAGTTCTCATAAAAATAAACTCCCTAGCTTTTCCAAAAGGAAATTCTCACTGATAATACCTTTAAAAAGTGACATCTATTTTGTGTAAAATGTTAATTTATGCCAAAATAATAGTGACTATTATAATAATATGCCTGACACATAACTGGCATTTAATGAATATTTGCCAATTTTTTGATTGTTATTGTTATAGCCTCTTTATAGTTGCTTATGTACTTGACATTGATTTGAGTGTGTGTGTGTATATCTCATCTATCTATCTATCTATCTATCTATCTATCTATCTATCATTGATCTACCTATGATATTCTCATCTTCACTCTTAAATAGAGAAATTGAAGCTGTTGGGGAGTTTGACTCAAAATGGTTGATCTCCAATCATATCACAATTCTTCTCATAATATTGACATATTGACCTCCTCATGTAGAAGCTACACATTTCAAAAAATCTGAGTAAAATAGGAATTCGTTGGATATTTATCATATATTTAACTCTGCTGAAGTATCTTTGTGAAAATAAGGCCCTAAAAACTTTTATACATTCAAATTTAAACGAAAAAAAGCCCACACTTTGAAATGAAACCATTGTTTTCTAAGAATGTGGTATATATACAAAGAAGATTAGTACTCAATTTACAAAATGAATAAAAGAAGTAAATCTCATGAGAATTTTCTCCTGTTTTTTTGTGTGTCCTTGAAACAATTTGTTTATTAAATACTTTTTGTTTTTCACCTTAACTAGATCCAGTTGATTCTCATTTGATATGGATTTTGAATTCTTCTTTATCTTTATGCTACAAATAAATCAGTGATGTGAACAGAACTCAATCATAAGAGAAAAATATTTTCACAGTTGTCTGCCTTTCAGTAATTCACATTTGCTTCTTAGTATACAAAATACTGGGCTCCTGCAGGCACATGTTTATAAAATATTTCTTAGGTGAATAATAAATATAACTTTTTTATGGCTTCATGTGATAAATGTAATTGTTGTAACATGTTACATTTTAGATTGGTATATTTTACATTAATTCATGTAGCATTGAAAGCAGAAAACACAGCTTTCAAACACATAATGTAGAACAATATATTATATCAAAAATAATAAAAGGTGAGAAAAAATGCATGCATTGAAGGAAAAGTCATGTGATGTAATAAATATGTAGTAATTTTCTTTAAAGTACTAAAGAATAATATCAATTTAGAGAATTTGTAGTTAAAACGGGGAATCTATTTTGAGGATCAACGGTGAAAAGCCATGGAATGCTAAGCTATTAAAGAGGCTTTAAAAAGATAATACATGCATATATATATACTGTATATATATGTATATAATATATAATATATAATTATATATATAAAGTATATATAATTATATATAATTATAATTAAATGTTAATTATAATTGTATATATAATTATATTTTATCAGCTACTTGATAGAAAAATTATGTGTATATATGATTTTTTAACTTTGAAATTGCCAAGACAAAGATTCTTTGACACCCAAGTGTTTGCTCGAAAGATGGGTAAATGAATTGTTGGTCATTAAAAAACCATTCCTTAGGAATTTGACTTTTATACCTGATTATTCTTGTCTGTCAGTTAATCAAGAATTTCAGATTGTTTCTCCAACTTTCCAATTTCTTTTCTTTTCTTTTCTTTTCTTTTCTTTTCTTTTTTTTTTTTCAGATGTGGTCTTGCTCTGTCATCAGGCTGGAATGCAGTGGTGCGATCTTGGGTAGCTGCAATCTCTGCCTCCCAGGTTCGAGTGATTCCCCTGCCTCAGCCTCCTGAGTAGCTGGGACTATAGTCGCATGCCACCACGCCTGGCTAATTTTTTGTATTTCAGTAGAGACGGGTTTTCACCATGTTGGCCAGGATGGTCTTGATCTCCTGACCTCGTGATCTGCCTGCCATGGCCTCCCAAAGTGCTGGGATTACAGGCGTGAGCCACCACACCCAGCCCAACTCTCCAGTTTCTTATACTTAAATTTGCACTGCCTAATGGATTCCTGAGCTTTCACGTTCAGCTCTTTCCTGCTCTTCTCTGCCTCCTCAGGGCCTCTGACTGCTATAACTCACTGGGATACTGCTCAGCCTCCCTACAAGCTCGACATTGATTTGACTATGTGTGTGGGTTGGGGGCGGGGTATAATCTTCATTATCGGATGGAGAAACTGAAGTTGTTGGAGAGGACATGTGACTAGGACTAAGTCACACAGTCACACTTCTTCGGCTTGATAAGTCAACCCTAAGATCTAGAGGCCTGTAGGCTCACCCTTGGCTTCACATGTCTCAAGGTGACTCTGTGTCTCCCTATATCTGATTCAACATCTGCACTTGCTGTTTTCCTATTCCCATATGAAACTCTAGGAATAAAGCATATGAAATATGAGGAACATATTCTTGGCAGAATTGGATGCACAACTATCATCAAGCAATAATCTGTAATGTCATTGAAAGAGAAATCATTTGTATTGCATTTCATTTGCTCAATCTAGAAAAAAATTATATAAAAAGTTTTGACTAAATTTTATTGACTTCCTTCCTAATTTTAATGAGGTGACACATTAAAATTCAAAAGGTAAATAAAGATCTATTCTTTTATGGTTTTTTTCAGAGATATTTTATTGACATTCATGGATAGATAGATAATAGATGGATGGATGATGGGTACATAGATACATATATTTGTATTTTTATATAAAAAAGCATACTATATACAATAGTCATTATCCTTCCATTTTCCTTTAGCAATATTTTGGAGCTTATTTTTTCTGATTTCCTCATTATTTCCCTGTCTTTTCTGTAGTTACATGCAGTTTATTCCTATATCCCTTCTACTCTGTCTTTACTTCTGTTGATATGCTCATGTATCCTTTCAAAACTGTAAGTATAATTTAACTATACACTCCCCAATGGGTTTTGCCTGAGTCAAAGGGTGTATTTGTTGTTTTGAAAGATATTTTTTTTTTGAAGATCAAGTAATTGTAGGTCTGTGACTTTTTTCTGGGTTCTATATCTTCTTCCATTGGTCTATGTGTCTTTTCCATTGGTTTGGTGATGTAGGCTCTTTTATGGTTTCATATGAATTTTAGAATAGTTTTTTCTAGTTATCTCAAAAATGACATTGGTAGTTTGGTAGGAATAACATTCAGTCTGTAAATTGCTTTGGGCAGTATGGCCATTTTAATGATATTGATTCTTCCTATTCATGAGCATGGAATGTTTCTCCATTTGTCTGTGTTCTCTCTGGTTTCTTTCAGCAGTGTTTTGTAGCTCCCCTTGTAGAGCTCTTTTACCTCTTTGGGTAGCTGTATTCCTAGGTATTTCATTTTCTTTATGGCTATTATAAATGATATTGCATTCTTGATTTGGCTCTAAGCTTGGATGTTATTGGTGTATAGACAAGCTACTAATTTCTGGACGTTGATTGTGTATCTTGAAACTTTACTGAAGTTGTTTATAAGTTCTAAAATCCTTCTGGTGGGGTCTATGAGGTTTTCTATGTATAGAATTATACTGTCTGCAAAGAGAAATAGTTCAACTTCCTCTCTTCCTATTTGAAATTCTTTTATTTTTTTTCTCTTGCCTGATTGCTCTGGCAAGGACTTCCAATAATATGTTGAATAGGAGTGGTGAAACTGGGCATTTTTGTTTTGTTCCACATCTCAAAGGGAATGCTTCCAGCTTTTCTCTATTTAGTATGGTGTTGAATGTGGGTTTGTTATAGATGGCTTTTACTATTTTGAGGTATGTTCCCTTAATGTCTGATTTGTTGGGGGTTATTAACATGAAGGGATATTGAATTTTACTGAAGGCCTTTTCTGTGTTTATTGAGATGATCATGAAATTTTTGTTGCTAATCCTGTTTATATGGTGAATAGCATTTATTGATTTTCATATATTGAACCAACCTTGCATCTCAGGAATTAAGCCTATTGATTCATGGTGAATTAAATTTTGATGTGCTTCTAGATCCTAAATTTTGTTGAGAATTTTTGGGTCTATCTTCAGCAGGGATATTGGCCTGAAATTTTCTTTTTTCCATTGTGTCTTTGCCAGGCTTTGGTATTAGAATAATGCTGGCTTCATAGAATGATTTATGGAGGAGCCCCTACTCCTTGGGTTTTTGGAATAATTTCAGTAGGATTGGTACTAGGTTTTCTTTATACATTTGGTAGAATTTGGCTGTTAATCCTTCTGGTCCATGGTTGTTTTTGTTTTTGTTTTTTGGCATGGCTGGCTTGTCATTATTGATTCCATTTTGGAGTATGTTATTGGTCTGTAATTTCTTTCTGGTTCAATCTTAGGAGTCTGTGTGTTTCCAGGAATTTATTCATTAATTCTAGGTTGAAAATAACAATGGGGAAAGGACTACCTATTCAATAAATGGTGCTGGAGTAACTAGCTTGCCATATGCAGAAGATTGAAACTGTACCCCTACCTTTCATCATATACAAAAATTAAATCAAAATGTAGTAAAGACTTAAATGTAAGATTGAAAACAATAGAAACTGTAGAAGAAAACCTAGGAAAAACCATTCCAAAAATTGGCCCTGGCAAAGAATTTATGACTAAGTTCCCGTAAGCAATTGCAACAAAAACAAAAATTGACAAGTGGACCTAATTAAACAAAAGAGCTTCTACACAAGAAAATAAACTATTAATCAAACAAACAGACAACCTACAAAATGGGAGAACATATTCACAAAGTATGCATTCAACAAAAGTCTAATATCGAGAATCTGTAAAGAATTTAAACCAGCAAGCAAAATAACATAAATAACCCCATTGAAAAATGAATAAAGGACATGAACAGAAACTTCTGAAAAGAAAATGTACATGTGGCCAACAAATATATGAAAAAATGCTCATCCCCACCAATCATTAGAGAAATGCAAATCAAAATCACCATGGGAAACCATCCCACACCAATCACAGTGGCTATGATCAAGAAGTCAAAAACAACAGATGCTGGCAAGGCTGCAGAGAAAAGGAAACACTTATACACTGCTGGTGGGAATGTATATTAGTCTAGCTACTGTGGAAAGCAGTGTGAAGATTTCTTGAAGAACTGAAAACAACTACCACTTGACCCAGCAATCTCACTACTGGGTATATACCAAAGAAAAATAAATTGTTCCATCAAAAAGGCACATGCACGTGTATGTTCATCACAATGCTATTCACAGTAGCAAAGACACGCATTCAACCAAGATGCTCATCAACAGTGGGCTGGATAAAGAAAATGTGGTACGTATACACCGTGGGCTACTATGCAGCCACAAAATATAACAAAATCATGTTCTTTGCAGCAACATGGATGCAATTGGAGGCCCTTATCCTAAGTAAATTAATGTAGGAACAGAAATCCAATACCGTACCACAGGGTTCTCACCTATAATTGGGAGCTAAACATTGAATACACGTGGGCACAAAGATGGGAACAATTGGCACCGCAGACTGTTTAAGGGGAGAGGGTGGGAGAGAGGCATGAGTTGGGATATTACTTATGGGCTCTTATGCTCACTATCTTGGTGAAAGGATCATTCATACACTAAGCCTCAGCAACATGCAATTTACCCATGTAACAAAACTGCACATGTACCCCCGAACCTAAAATAAAGGTGGAAACAAAAGGAATAAAGATGTTTTGCCTTTGAAGTGTTTGCAGCGTTTTGCAATTCCATCACCAGTATATGAGAGTGCATCTTCTACTACATACTGTCAACGTAGTAATACCCAACACTGGTGTTTCTGTCTATCTGATAGGTGGAAAATCATACCAGTTTTTTTCCATTTATTTATTTGTTATTAGGAGGTTGAACATGTTTTCTTTGTTTAAAAGCTAATTGTGTCTGCACTTCTGTAAACTATTTACCCTTTTGCCTATTTTTTTCTGTTGGGTTTCTTTTTCTATTTCTTAATAATTTGAAGGAGGTTTTTTTTTCTTTTTCTTTTTTTTTGAGACGGAGTCTCCCTCAGTCGCCCAGGCTGGAGTGCAGTGGCCTGATCTCGGCTCACTGCAAGATCCGCCTCCCGGGTTTGCGCCATTCTCCTGCCTCAGCCTCCCGAGTAGCTGGGACTACAGGCGCCCGCCACCACGCCCGGCTAATTTTTTGTATTTTTAGTAGAGACGGGGTTTCACCGTGTTAGCCAGGATGGTCTCGATTTCCTGACCTCGTGATCCGCCCACCTCGGCCTCCCAAAGTGCTGGGATTACAAGTGTGAGCCACCGCGCCCGGCCAAGGAGGTTTTTATAATTACATAATTGTCTCAGTTATGTGTTACAAATAATTTTATCATTTTACAAATTGTCCTTGCTTTTGATGACTTGTGTTCTCATGTAGAATATTTTGATTTTTGTAAGGTCATAAACGGTTTGATTTGCATGTAGGCAAACGTGTCATTTTTAGCTTTGCACCATTTGGTTATAGTTAAGAAAGTCTCATCCACTATGAGATTACGAAGCAATCCTCATGATTTCTTCTGTCACTTTTATGACTCTATTTTCTACCTTTCAAGTTTTCTTCCATTTGGAATGGATAGGGAATTCGAGTTTATTTGTTTTTCCAGAAAACTATCCTCCATTTATAACAATCTACTTCCTGACCTTTACCATATACTAAATTCCTATAGCTATTTAGGTACATTTCTGGATGTACCATTTTCACCCATTTACCTGTCTGTTCATACACATTATCATATTTTCTAATAATTTAATTTCATTACAGAACTATTTATTCATATTTGATTGATTTTATTTTGTTATGAATGGATGTTAAATTTTTATTAAAATGGGATAGACAGATATGTAAATTTTGTATATTTTCTTAGCCAAATATTAATCTATTTTGCATTGGTGAGGAGAAAAAAATTGTTCCTTGTCATTATTGTTTTAATATGCTTCTGGTTTATATTTGTCAATGCCTGGCATTTTTCTGACATATTAATTAATTGGTTTATTGTTTTCTATTTTTTTACAACTTGAAGAATTTGGGCATCTATGCTATGCAAGCTTCAGAAAAAAATGAAAAATTCTTTCTTTTTCTTTTCCGAAATGGTTTGAATAGCTGTAGAAATTTATGTTTCTTAAAATGTCAATATTATCTCAAAATGTGAATACTATCTGCACCTTGAGGGTTTTGTGGAATTGAAAAAATTCTCTTTTTTAATGAATGGTTTAAATAGTTATTATTTTTATTTTACTAGAAGTTCTTAGAGGAATATATGTTCATACAAAATTGTCTGTTTCATTCAGGATATCAATTTGTTTTTGTAGTTTTCAGCAAAGTTGTTGCTAAGCTTCTTTAAACATCTAAAATATAAGTGGTTACTTTCTCATAATAATTGTGTATTTGCGTTATATGTTCTTTCTTATTTCTGATTATTATGGCTGTTTAATTATTCTAGTGTTTTACTTAAATAACTGGCTTTAAAATTAAGGTACTAAATGTAACACTATTTTGATGCTGATCTATTAATTTCTATTTTTTCTTCCACCTTCATTTTGTATTTTTCCTAAGCTTTCGAGTTATATGTTAATTTTTATTTTTAATTTAATATAACCTTTTGTAAATATCAATTGTCCCTGTGATAATTACTTTTATCGTATCCCAGATGAAATTTCAGTTTTTATTTTCTTTTGACTTAAGATACTTGAAAAAGAATTTTCAAACAATTTTCATGTGTGGTGGGCTTTTGTATTTCTGATTTGTTATCCATGTCTGATACAGTTTGGATCTGTGTCCTCACCAAAATCTCATGTCAAATCATAAATCCCCAGTATTGGAGGTGGGGCCTGATGGAAGGTGATTGGATCATCGGGGTGAATTTCCCCCTTAGTGCTGTTCTGGTGATAGTGAGTGAGTTTTTGTGAGATTTGGTCCTTTAGAAGTACGTGGCACCAACGCCCTCTCTTGCTCTTACTGCTGCTTCAGCCATGTAAGACAAGCCTGCTTCCCCTGTGCCTTCTGCCATGACTGTAAGTTTCTTGAGACCTCCTCAGAATCCCAGCAGATGCCAGCATCATGCTTCCTGTACAACCCGTAGAACTGGGAGCCAGTTAAACCTCTTTTCCTAATAAATTACCCAATCTCAGGGATATCTTTATAGCAGTGCAAGAATGGACTAATACAATGTCCAGTTTTATTCCACTGAGATTAAAGAATGCTTTATGTACTATTTTTTCTTTTTGAAATATATTGATTTTTAAAGGAAAATATATAATCACTGTTTAAATGTTTCATGTACATTTGAAAAGACTGTCTAATCTCTATTTTCAATAAGTATAATACAATATATTATAATTGGATCTGATTCGCTGTTTTTATATCTATTTTTATCTCATTGGTTTTGTCATAGAATAGTGAAGGTTAAAGTTTTCTTTTTCCATTCCCTCAGGTTTTATTTTTCCTTGTCCCATGGAGTTGTTATGGATGCAGATGCTATGTTATTTGATGCAAAATCATTTGTGTGATACACTTACATAATTTTTTAAATGCCTACGTAAAAATTTAATTTTTTTAAACTCTCTTTTTTTAGCTATCTCAAATAGTCCTCAGCCCCTCACCATCTCTGCCAAATGTAAATGTTATTGAATTATTTCTTTTTTGGTAGTAAGCTGGAAGCATACTGATATTTTACTGTGAATTTGGTTTTTATTTCCTTAACCATCAAGAAGATTGAGCCACCATTCGACATCATTTATTAACTGGCTATATGGTTTTGCTATTTGTGATTTTTTCATATAATTTACCCATTTGTATTCTGGGTTGGATTTAATTGCATATGCTTTTTATACAGTAAACACATTAATCTTTTATCTGATCCTTAAGTTTCAAATATTGTTTCTATTTATTTGTATATCCTAGCTTTCATTGTCATATCTTTTGTCTTACAAAAGTTTTAAATTTTATACACCTAAGCATGCTTTTTTTCTTTTATAGCTTCTATGTTTCCTGTGTTGATAAGAAAGTTAAACCCTAGGACTGGCACAGTGGCTTATGCCTGTAATCCTAGCACTTTGGGAGGCCGAGGTGGGAGGATCACTTGAGCCCAGGAGTTCAAGACCAGCCAGGATAACATGGTGAGACCTCATCTCTACAAAAAATACACAAATTAGTCAGGTGTGGTGGCACATGCCTGTAGTCTCAGCTACATGGGAGGCTGAGGTGAGAGGATCTCTTGGGCCCGGTTGGTACAGGTTGTTGCAGTGAGCTGAAATTGTACCACTGCATTCCAGCCTGGGTGAAAGAGTGAGAACTTGTCTCAAAGAAAAAAAAAGAAAGAAAGAAAGAAAGAAAGAAAGAAAGAAAGAAAGAAAGAAAGAAAACAAGCAAGCAAGCAAGCAAGCAAGAAAGAAAGAAGAAAGAAAAAGGAAAAGGAAAAGAGAACAGGAAAAAGTTAAACCCTAGATTATATATATGAGTTTTTAATTGTCGTCTAAGAAATCCGACCTCTGTTTCCACAATAAACCAAAATATTTTAAAGCAAGCCAACCATTTTATTTCTACTCCTTCAAAAGTACTTGGTGTATTCATGGTCTTTTATTGTAGTTGTTTCATAAACATTTTAGAATTAACTTACCATATACTATTATGAACCAAGTAAAATTTCTAACAAACTTGAATTGAGTTTATATTTCTTAGTGTAGAATTTGGTACATCTAACCATTGACTTAAATCCTCTTTTAATGAGGGTGTACTTTTTGTATTTTTGTTTCTATTGTAAAGTCTCCTTTTAAAACTCTTAACATATAGTCTTTAAAAACAAATATTGTAATTGTGCTGGAGAAAAATATGTACTATCAAATCGTTTGATGTCATAGTCTACATTTATTCACCAGATAATTTCTAATTTTTATTGTGTTGGTTTTATTATATGTGCCTTTATTTTTTTATCTGCTTAATAAGAGAGAAATATGTTTTAAAAAACAAAGTTAGGGCTGGGCACAGTGGCTGACATCTGTAATCCCAGCACTTTGGGAGGCCAAGAAGGGCGTAGCACTTGAGGCCAGGAGTTCGAGACCAGTCTGGCCAACATGGCAAAACCCCATCTCTACTAAAAATACAAAAATTAGCCTGGCATGGTGGCACACGTCTGTAATACCAGCTACATGGGAGGGTGAGGTGCAAGAATTTCTTGAGCCTGGGAGGCAGAGGTTGCAGTGGGCCGAGATCACGCCACTGCACTCCAGCCTGGGTGACAGGGTGAGACTTCCTCTCAAGAAAAAGAAAAAAAGTTAGATTATCTATTTTTTTCTTCCATTTTCTATCAAATTTTTATCCATGTGTTTTGGAGCTATGTGATCCTTTGCAGATAATTTTTGAATCTTTATCTCATTGCTGTGAATTTAATATGATAGTATTATTTTTAATAATAATTTCCGCTTATGAAAGTCATTTCTTTTTATATTACTGAAGCTAAACCAGCTTTCCTTTGTTATCATTTCTCTAGCATGCATTTTTTTTATCCTTTACCTTTCAGCGTTTCTCTTTCCTTATATTGTCAGTATATCTTTATACACAGCATACAGCTGGATTTTCTTTCTCTATTCAACCTCACCTTATTAGTCTGTTAGTAAGAAATTTTATTTCATGTAATATATTGTGAATTCTTATCTATATGGATAATTTTGAACATCTTATTTTATGTTCTTCTTTGTCCCACTTTTTCAGTCTCATTTTTGCTCACTTCTTTTCTTGTATGTGTTTAATTGGCTGAGTTTTTTCATCCTAATTGTTTTATACACTCTTCCCCCTTCTACCAGTTTGCTGGTTCCTTGCTTATTTTAAAATATATAATTAACAGTTATAAAATTACTTTATATAATTACATTCATCTCAAAGAACACAGGACCACTTTCTTCCAACTTAGATACTATATTTTTTTACCAGTAATATTTTTATTGGTTATGTTATTCTTTCTGCCTTCTCAGTAAGGCGCAGAATTAGCTGGTGGGAATAACAGAGGTACCATGTTCAGAAGTACCGCAGTCTCTTGCAATTGGTTTAGTTAGGCAGTGGTATTTTTGGAATCTTTCCTCCAACCTATCTGCTCAGTTGCCAATGTGGGCAAAAGCTCCAATTCCCCAGCTGCACTGAGCAGAGGGGAATCAGCTACTTCTAATTTTCTCATTCTCTAAAATACATTTACCTACGCTAAGTCTACAAATCTTTGCAACCAAGACCTCTCGACAATCTACTGCTTGCTATTCAACCCTCTCTCATATTTTTTTCCATAATTTTCTCCTTTCGATTCTTCAGGAGTGCCTAAATATTTCTTTAATTCTAAAGGCGCAGAAGATATAAAACATATATAAGGTGGTTGGGAGCAGCAGGAACACTTTTTGTTTAAAATCTATCCAGAAACAATTTTATTTCATTGACCTCCCGAAAGAATCTTCATTATATTTGTATATTATAAACATTATAATTTATTTATAAAGAGTAGGTAGTCTGGTAGAACTTATTCCAACCCCACATCTAGTATTTACTGTCTCTTTAACCTTGGGCACTTCCATTATATCTTTATGTCTTCGTTTCTTAGTGAAACGGAGATAAGTGTCAGCTTCACAGGACTGTTAAAAAGATTCAAACAATGAGGTTTTCAGAATACCGAACACAAAATCAGACACCAGATGAGTTCAATAACTTATAGATAACTGTCATTCTTCAACTTTTCTGTTTGCAACTTTATAGATTCAAAAAGTGCATTCTAACAAGTACATCTCTACTATGGACTTTATTATTATTTTACCTTCGTGAAATGAATGAATGCTTTCCTTGTTTTCCTTTTTTTTTTTTTCGGGACAGAGTCTTCCTCTGTCACCCAGAGTGCACTCCAGGCTGGAGTGCACGGGCGTGATCTCGGTCACTGCAACCTCCGCCTCCCGGGTTCGAGCGATTCTCCTGCCTCAGCCTCTGGAGTAGCTGGGACTACAGGCGCCCGCCACCACGCCCGGCTAATTTTTTGTATTTTTAGTAGAGACGGGGTTTCACCGTGTTAGCCAGGATGGTCTCGATCTCCTGACCTCGTGATCCGCCCGCCTCGGCCTCCCAAAGTGCTGGGATTGCAGGCGTGAGCCACCGCGCCAGGCCCCTTATTTTCCTTTTTTAAACTTTCGAAATAAAAGACGTCAAGGGTAAGGCTTTTCTTTCTCACACGATTTTGGTTACAACACTAATTTTTGATTGGTAATTTTTTCACGTTCGCTACTTGAAAAAATTACTCATGATTGTCATTTTTGCACTCGTGGATGCACTTGCACACACACACAACTGCTTAGTGTTTACCAAATCCACTCAAAGTATAATCCTAAACATAGGGAAGAACTCAGCTTTCAGATTCCCAGCAGCTTTATTATAACATAAGCTAGAATGTCAACTACAACTCCAATGATTCTGATTATTTTGTCATTAAAATATTCATAAAATGATATTTCCAAATTAATTTGAAATTATATTGTAATATTTATTCAAACCTTTATGATCATTGTACTATTTTTCATATTAATTTTTACTTAAAACACTAGATATTAGTGTGTGCATGTAGGTGTATGTGTGTGCTTGTAATATTCAGATTGAGCCAATTAAAAGCTGGAGATGTAGCATGCAGAACTAGCCATTGTATTTTCCACAGGTATTCTAGCGTTGCCTCTATGGTACCTCTAAAGTATTATTGGACTATGTGGAATCACTATTGTACCAACTATTTGCAGAAATATAATAAATATTCTTGATGCATTGTCTAGATTAAAAAAATTAAGCAGAAATATTTTTAAATTATATTTAAAAGATACAGATTTATTTGTTTTTAGATGATTTTACATTGTTATTTCAACAATGTTTAGAAACTTTTGTAAGTAAGCTAATAGTACTCTCTCTTCAACCCAGGCCCAGGATAAACTGAGGTGTGATTTCTGGGTTCTGGATATCATTAGCCGAAAACCAGTTTTGTGTGTAAAATAGCCCCAACATTGCCCCTCCGCATAGATTCTTCCATATGTTGTTAATTTATGGTTCAAGGTATAGGAAATCCTAGAATGTGATATATAGACTTGTATGAAACAAAAAATTGTACGGACAGTATTTGTATTTTCAGAAGAGCTTTTTCAGCGAACTTTATTTACTGAATCATAATGTGCATCATACACAGCAGGGATACAATGTATGTACAATGTATACAAAATAACAATCAAAATATTGCTCAAGAGAAATGTACATGGATGTCTGAAACTAGGGAAAATTTATCTGTAACTTTCTTTCAGAAAAATGAACAGATGCTGCATTTCAGTGTAAACACCTGACTTGCTGTGAAGTAGATTCCATTGGAAAAATTATTTTTTCTTTTTCTGGGAATAAGAGTGAATAATTAGGAATTGCAGTATTAATGAATATAGAATGCATTAACTTATGTCTTATGACACAATTAACATAAAAATGACAAAATAAATGGCATGTATTAAATATTTCTTCTGCCATAAATTGAACTGAATTTGACTCTTTCTGGGTATGCTAATCAAATGCTACTTCTGCTACACACCAATTTAATCTAAAAGGCATATGGAACATTCCAAAAGTGTCAGTACATTTTTGGCCATTATTATTGTAAGCCTAGAACCATACCTGACACACAACAGACAATTAAATTATAAATGAAAAAATTCATTAGTGAATAAATGAATGGGCAAAAGAAAAATATTCAATATGTCCACAATGTATATCAAAATCATGAAACATAGCATTGTTTCTTAGATTCTGTTGGACATGTGTGAAAGACATTAATCTACTTCCTCCCTCTCTTTCTTTCACATACAAATATATGCAAACCCACATGGCCTCCAACACATGCTTATATAACCCTCAATAAAAACAAATATTGCTTTGACTGCAGAACTTCAAGAACTATTACCATACTCAACTGCCTTTTTTTCTTTTTTTTTTTTTTTTTCTGTTTTTTTAGACGGAGACTTACTCTGTCGCCGGGCTGGCATGCTGTGGTGGGACCTCAACTCACTGCAACCTCTGCCTCCCGGGTTTAAGCGATTATCCTGCCTCAGCCTCCAAGTAACTGGGATTATAGTCACTCGCCACCATGCCTAGCGGCTAATTTTTGTATTTTATTAAAGACGCGGTTGCACTATGTTGGCCAGGCTGGTTTCGAGCTCCTGACCTCAGGTGATCCGCCCACTTTGGCCTCCTAAAGTGCTAGGATTACAGGCGTGAGCCACCATGGCCGGCCTCAAATAACTTTTTTTCCATAAGACTCAAACATTTCTTGGAAGTTTGGGGGTGGGGGTGCAGGTAGACTGGAAGAACTGACGACACTCTAGTTTCTAAATCTCTAAACTTTTCTAGAATTCATCACTCTTACCACTCATTTGATACCTCAAATATATACCTCTTTATGCTGATATAAATTGTTTTATTTCTATAGCCATATTTACCCTTCTAACAAAACCCAATTGCAAGGGTCGAAATATCTTTTACTTAGTAGACGCACATTTTGATTGCTTAGAAGACTTGAGGATGCAACAAAAGCAAATTTCCATTAAATTAAAAGCAAGAAATAGCTAGCTCAAATCTTATTTCTAGAATTATAATATTCTCATCACATCTCCTATAGCTATGTATGTATCTTCTGGCGACAGATAGGTGCTACTTAAAATTCAACTACTCTCCAGTCTTGTTTGGAACTATTTAGTACACTGCAGTGGTGTTTACCACTTCAGGTCCATCCAGTATGTATGATCATACATCCAGTAAGTGGGTCTGGTTCCAAACCTGACCCACAAATTCACTGGGGATAGAGGAGGAGAGGAGGCTGTTGTTACTTGTGTGAGGTGGAAGGAGGTCAGGAATGTTTCTGGACATTCTACAGTGTTCAGGAAAGCCCCCGCAACAAGGCAACTAAATTATCAATAGTGCCCATATTAAGCACCATGTGTTTTGTTATTGTTATTGTTGTTTGTAGATTCAGGGGATATATGGGCATGTTTGTTCCATGGGTATTGTATTAGTCAGGGTTCTCTAGAGGGACAGAAATAATTATATATATATATATATATAAAATTATGTGTTTAATTATATATAAGTAATAATAATTATATAAAATAATTATATATAAATATATAATTATACATAATAAATATAAATAATTGTATAGCTAATATATATAAGTATGTAGTGTATATATATACACACACACACACAGAGTAGGTAATGTGTATGTGTGTGCGTGTGTGTGCATGTGAGTATTATCTCACGTGATCACAAGGTCCCAGTATGCCGTCTGCAAGCTGAGGAGCAAGGAGAGCCAGTCCCAGCACCAAAACTAAAGAACCTGGGCTCTGATGTTCGAGGGCAGGAAGCATCCAGCACGGGAGAAAGATGTAGGCTGGGTGGCTAGGCCAGCCTTGTCTTTTCACATTTTTCTTCCTGCTTTATATTCTAGCCTCACTGGCAGCTGGCTAGATGGTACCCACCCAGAATGAAGGTGGGTCTGCCTCTTCCAGTCCACTGACTTAGGTGTTAATTTCCTTTGGCAACACCCTCACAGACATACCCAGGATCAATACTTTTCATCCTTCAATGCAATCAAGTTGACACTCAGTATTAACCATCACAGGTATGTAGTGTAATGGTGGGGATTGGGCATTTAGTGTATTCATCACCCCAGTATTGAATATAGTATCCAATGGGTAATTTTTTAACCCTCACCTCCCTCCCACTCTCCTGCCTTGTGAAGCCCTGAGTGTTTATTATTTCCGTCTTTACTTTCATGTGTGCCATTGTTTAGCTCCCACTTATAAGTGAGAATATGTGATATTTGATTTTCTGTTTCTGAGTTATTTCACTTAGAATAACAGCCTCCAGCTCCAACCATGTTGCTGCAAAGGACTTGGTTTCATTTTTTTAATGGCTTCATGTAAAGAATCTTGTTTAATGGGATGGATGTCACGTTGACTACAGTGGCCCCCATCTGCTAGGACCAGGACTCAGACCCTTCCTTATGGTTACTTTTCTACCAGGATGTGTTCATGAGAGCAAAGACAGCTCTTCACTGTCCTTTCTCCCAAATATTTCCCATAGGACTGGCTATATAAATGTATAGGGCCTAGTGGAAAATAAAAATGCAGGGCTCTTTCTTCAAATATCATTAATAATTTCAAGACAATGTCAGCATAATATTAAACTGAGTACAGAGTCCCATGGGACTGCATAGGTCATACACGAGTTGGGCATGAATTGCTCCTCGATGCCCTATCAGTAGTAGGAGGCTAACTTACAAGGAGTTAATTTTATAAAGACCCAGTCAGAAGGCTGAATGATAGATTATTTTTGATTCCACAGTAAATAGTATTATTTAGAAAGACAACTTTAATTTAAAGCATTCTGCTAATTGGGTCAACATTACCATTTATATTATTTTTTGATTTTTTAAAACAGATCTAAAACATGTTGAAAACTAAAAGCACTAATGTAAAATTTCTCTTTATTTTAAAAAGAAAACCCAGAAGAATAATGTAAAAAATACCTAACATACACATGGACACTTGTTTCATTATCTCCTCTTATCCATCAAGGGGAAAACACCTCATACAGACCTTGGAGCTTGTCCTTTGGCATCATTTGCACAAGTGCTCCATTGACAGTGGTTAGAATACTGATAGTGAGAAATAATGATCTATTTCTTCCCTCAGCATCCCCCAGCCTATCGATATTAGCCAGTGGATTTTAATCTTTTTATTTCTTAGAACATCAGAGCTTATGAGGTTAGATTCTGGCTCTATGGACTTATTTCAGCTTCACAGTGTTTCCTAACAGGGTACTGTTGCTGGGCATGCTTGCTGTCACTGTCATTCATTTCAAAATATTAGGATATACCTCTCAAATTTACTGTTTTGATTACTTTTTTTCTTCTCCCTCTTACATTATACCCATCCTACCCAAGTAATCATCAACAGTGGACTCTTTACAAATAAACTTTTTTTTTAACATCTGGCTGGCAGCAGTAGTTCAGAATTTTTTAATCTTACCCATAAATCATAATCTGGTGGCAGAGCAAAGAGCCATATAATTATTTTCTCAACACAGATCCATAGAGATTTGATAGAGGTACAATTTTGACTTAGAGATTATAGAGACATCTGAGCACAATGACAACAGAGTTTTCAAGGAGAGACACATCTTCACATTCCACAAAACAACACTTATTTCTGAAAGGGCTGCTCAGTCTCAGCATGATTGACATCTTGGGCTGAATAATTATAAGAGGGCTTTGTACATTTTAGGATGTTGACCAGCATCCTAGGCTGCTACCCACTAGATGACAGTTACACCTTCCCAGTTGTGAAAAACAAAAATATTTCCAGGCATTGCAAAATGTCCCCTGGAGGGAAAAAAAAAATCACCTTTAGTTGAAAACCACTGCTTTGCCACAACTCTAAAACAAATATATCAGATTTTCAGGTTGAATTTTCATTTGTATTTCCCAAAGGAGCTTGGTGAATTTTTATGCAATGATCTATAAATCTATCTGGACAAATCACATTAGACAAATAAAGTAGAGATTTTATTTTTTGATATAATAACAAGTTTTCCCAGTACTATGAATGTGTTTATTCTTTATATTAAATTTAAAAAGAGTGACTTTGAAAACGATGTGTCCTGGAGTTGTGCCTTAGCATGTTAACTCAAGTATTACTTTCATTTTCATTGTCATATTGCAGACTGTACTAGGTCAAAATGTTCTCTTTTACATGCCAAAATGGGTAAGAAAGGCAGCATTGTCTTCAGAGCTGAATATCTGTTTACTTCTCACACATATTCGTACAATCATGTCATCTCAGGCTCTATCTACTTTACAATACCATCATTTGAACAAAAGAAAAAAATCAAACAGCTGCATAAAAATGAAGAATAACCATTTTTACTGATTTTTTTATGCTGCCTACTTGCTCAGATTCCTGAATCTTTTATGTTTATCATCGAGTTTACCTTCAAAGGGTGAAGCAATCACAGTATTATTCTTGAAGAGTAAGGGAAAAATTAAGTGGTCATTTGGAAGGATTCAATTCTATTTATTGTGTGACCTAGAAATGTGCTTAGATATATTTTCAGGAAAGGTTGAATTACATACATCTTTTATAAATATATTTTCTATTTTTGAGTCTCCTTGTGA
Organism: Homo sapiens; assembly: GCF_000001405.40. Lineage (NCBI taxonomy): Eukaryota > Metazoa > Chordata > Mammalia > Primates > Hominidae > Homo > Homo sapiens. Next base: position 20,902,313 of record NC_000021.9, on the reverse strand, counting down.
TTAGCCTTTATTTAACATATCCCTATTTTCTGTCATTCAAGATAAATTCATTCTGAATCAAATTTCAGAAAACTCCAAAGCAAACATATTTGCACCGGGAAATGAAGGTTAGAGTAGGAAAGACGACTATGAATTTCACACTATTTGTACACATTGTTTATTAGTGGAAAAAAAAAATGACTAATAAGAAATAGCCATTTCAACCACATACAAAGGGGCTTAGATTATTCAACTAGTAAAAGTAGGATTATAAAAAAACTTAAACTTCTTTTTTTTTTTTTTTAATTTGAGACGGAGTCTCCCTCAGTCGCCCAGGCTGGAGTGCAGTGGCGCTATCTCGGCTCACTGCAAGCTCCGCCTCCCGGGTTCACACCATTCTCCTGCCTCAGCTTCCCGAGTCGCTGGGGCTACAGGCGCCCGCCACCACGCCCGGCTAGTTTTTTGTATTTTTAGTAGAGACGGGGTTTCACCGTGTTAGCCGGGATGGTCTCGATCTCCTGACCTCGTGATCCGCCCGCCTCGGCCTACCGAAGTGCTGGGATTACAGGTGTAAGCCACCGCACCCGGCCTAAAGTTCATTTTTAAAGAATCAAGTACTTTGAAAATCATTCTACTTATGTTTATAGGTTGATTGCTTTGTTTTTTTCCCCTCTAAAGTGAAAATGAAGAGTGAGGTATGCTTAAAATATCAATGAAAATATTATTTCTTTATCTTGAAACTTATTGCATGAATATTCATCTGCATTGTACTATAATTGCAATTTGGGGGGAAATAACAATAGTTTATAATAAACATTATTAAGGCTTTGCTCTTAAATGATTTTTTTCCTTCAACATTTATTTTAAGTTCCAGGAACATGGGCCAGATGCGCAGGTTTATTGCATAGGTAAACGTGTACCATGGGAGTTTGCTGCACAGATCAACCCATCACCTAGGTATTAAGCCCAGCATCAATTAGCTATTCTTCCTGATGCTCTCCCTCCCACTAACATCCCCAAGACCCCCTGACAGGCCTCAGTGCTTTTCTGGGGAGGGTCTGATGCAAGATTTGGTTAAAGCATTGGTGTTCTAGTATCACTGACAGATGATCATGAAGCTCTATCCAAAAGGGGTCTTTCTTAATGTCTTATAAATCATATAGCATCTAGAATTGCCTCAGCTTTGAAATATGAAATGACAAAGGATTAGAGTACGCAAATATCAAAAACTACTAGTATATATATTTTCAAGTCACTCTTAGTATTATAGTCTTACCAGTTAAAAGTGAATTATTTCAGAAAAATATTGCAATCAAGACATAAAATATAATAGACAATCAATATGCAGAATGCCAGCAAAACATCATATAAAGTATGCATTTCTCCTTGTTAAAGTCTTATGTGAGCCATGAATTATGCAAAACAACCAAGAGATTCTATTAAAAAGGTGATACATCTTCAGGATCCTAAGACATGAAAGACCATTTGAGCTTTCCTCTCAAGGTTATTATGGAGTTATCAGAATTTCTCAGAGTCTGAAAGTTTTAAATAGAAGTAGGAGAGTGAGGATATATTGCAAATTTTATGCTGGTAGAAGAGAAATGCTCCAGAAAAAAACATTTTTTATGAAGTAATCAAATTATTTATTCAGTAGGCCACTCATTTGTTCAAAAACACTATTTATAAGTACTTTTGAACAATTTATGAAGTGCCCGACTGCATCAATGATATCATTGGATAGAGCATGTACTTTGAAAACGTTTTCATTAATATGCACAACATATTACCCAATAACAATTTGTATTTACTTATCTGGCAGAAATCAGTGCATTTATTAGATGTCTCATTAATGCTTTTAAAGCATGAATTCCAAATTATTGGAATTAATAGCAATAAAACTGCCACTCAAGCATGAGTTAGGAGACCCTGATGAATTATGATAAATCATGGAAGAGTAGGTTCAGATGGTCTGTTATGAACAAAACACTTAACACTTAAGACGGATCCCCTGTCTATAAGCCACTCATAATCTTGGATCAGATAAAAAAGAGTTATATAATCATCTAGTTTCTTTCTTTTTATAACCCTCAGCAATTTATGAGTTTCCTTCCTAATTAACCAATTGTTCTGGCAAAACTAAGACTGACTAATTTCAGTCAGATGCGTGTACAGAAGTGAAAGCATCAATAATCTGATAATCTGGTTAGCCAATGAAAGGAATAATAAAATACCCTTGGGCAAATTTAAACAATATAATTTTTATCTCACAGAACATCTAATTTTAATAGTCTTATTTTAAGCTGCTGTTAAATTCTTCCAAACATACACGCGCACGCACGCGCACACACACACACCCACACACTCCCAATTTAAATAAATGCATACTACATAGCACTTAACAAAGAAAAAGATTAGAAACTAGGACTTTAGGAGGTCAAGGTGAGTGGATCACTTGAGCCCAGGAGTTACAGATCAGCCTGGGCAACAAAGTGAGACCCCATCTCTACAAAAAATATTAGCTGGGTGTGGTTGTGTGCATCTGTAGTCCCAGCTACTTGGGAGGCTGGGGTGGGAGGATCGCTTGACTCCATTAGGTCAAGGGTGCAGTGAGCCATGATGGCACCTCTGCACTCCAGCCTGGGCAGCAGAATGATATCCTATCTTAAAAAAAAAATCAACTCATGATAATCAACTCATTGATTTAAAAAAAGAAAAAAAAAGAAACAAGATATAACATTTAAAATGTTAGCCATTTTAAACATTTGGTAATATTTGATTTAGTGGAATCAGTTTGGCAAAACATTCTGGAGAGTTTATTATACACCACACACACACACACACACACACACACACACACACACACATTTTGATGCTGTACATTACATTAGTATTCTGAGATTATCCTAATTAAATATTTTTACTGAAAATGGTAAAAGGGGTAGCAAAGGAAAGGTGTAACCCATCAACTTGTAACAATCCTGGAGCTTATTAACCCTGAGAGTCAGCATAGATATTGATTAAGGCATGGACTTGGAGCCATAACTAGCTGTGATTTCAGGTGTGTAGCTTGACCTATCTGAGCCTCACAGTTGCTTCTCTTTAAAATAGGCGTAGCACAGTATGTAAGGTTGTTATGATGTATGCTTTCCCTGTGCTTTTAGCTGTTCTGCTTCATCTCACACAGGGGATCTACTCCTGTAGGCTACACTTTCCAGGATCCAGGTCAACTGTTGTGTTTGCCAACGGGAGGCAAAGATCGGGGGCTGTCGGGCTAGAGGAAAGCAGAAGCCAGGGTATAGTTCTAGCTTCTCTCTGTTATATTGCTAGGGCTGCTACAACAAAATACTTATTAATAACAGATTTATTTTCTCACAAATCTGGAAGCTGAAGGTCCAAGATCAAAGTGTCAGCAAGGTGGTTTTCTTTTTATTTTTATTATTATTTTTTCCTCTAAGGCCTCTGTTACCATCTTGAAGATGGTGGCCTCTCAGCCTATGTGTTGTCTGTGTCCTAATATCTCCTTCTTATAAAGACACCAGTCCTACTGGATTAGGGCCTGTCCATATAACCTTATTTTATCATATTTACCTCCTTAAAGACCCTATCTCCAAATACAGTTACATTCTGAAGTACTGGGTGTTAGGACTTCAACGTATGAATTTCAAGGGACCATGATTCAGCCCTTAACACTCTCTCTTCCTTTGTTGACTTCTCTAACAACTGTGCATCATTCATGGCTGCGTCTACCCCTGGACAATGGCTGCGGGCCGTGGCTCTAGCTACTGCTGGATAGTACCTCTGTTGTTCCAGCTTCTGTTGGGTGACTTGGGCCCTAGGCTCTGGCAATCTCTGCTCCTCTTGTTTTTGTCTCCACTCAAAAACTAGTGCAGGTTTCTGCCGTTGCTTACTGGGATGCCTCATCTTCCCTCGTTGAGGTTCTTAGCACTTCCATTTGTAATAAATTCCCTCGATTAAATTATCTTCATTTACAATACTGAATTGAGTCTCTTTTCCCATAAGAGAAAGAGTCAATAGACCCAGACGCTTGAAAGAATAAATGAATTAATGCTTGCAATTTCAGGAGAACATAGTGTAGTAAGCATCATGCGTGCGTTTAGATAAGCAAAGATTTATTTATTCTGTGAATGTTTTCTGAACAACGTCTTTGCCTCAGAGGAAATTACAAACAGCTTCAAAGTTGTTCTATTCAATCCATTATTACTCCTCTCTTTCAATAAATCATTGTTCCTGAAAAATAACGTTTTGGAGTAAAACTTGGGGATTTTGCTAGATATGTAAAGATTCATTTTAACTTTTTTAAGAACATAAAAAAGAATAGGAAGTTTTCTGTACTAGTTACAGCCTCCATTATGCCATTTCTAAATGTATTTTTTCTCTGTCTTACATTGATGAATGGGTTAAAATGAGAAAGTTTTAATTTTATTTTTTAAACACTGTTTTCTAATCCTGGCTGTGCCTCTTTAATAACTATGCTAGTCACTATTTTCTCATTTATAGTTTACAGAGGTCCATATCTACCTGAAATTCAGTGCAAGGATTCAATGAGAGAGCGGTTTCTTCAATTTCACCCTTTTCCTATAATTTTACCATTATCATGTTGCTAAAACTTGAAAAAGCTTGCTCATTCCTTGAGTAATGAGTAATGTCATTATGGTATGCCTCTGAAATATGAATAAAATCTTACTCCAAAATACTTAAAAATTTGGCAAAAGGGAGTTTACACTGCAATTTTATTACTTTCTGATATATTAATACTCCCTTTCAATACTTCACAATTTCTACTGTGTTAACTGGGTGCTGACCCCTGGCCCCTAAAATGCTAAAAACAGAGGGACCTTCTCATTCTCTCTTACTTATTCCTTAATCTATCTAACAGTTTGTCTTTCTCAATCTATTCCCTAATAACAATCAACTGTTCCGGCCTGGTGCAGTGGCTCAAGCCTGTAATCCCAGCACTTTGGGAGGCCGAGGTGGGTGGATCACCTGAGGTTGGGAGTTCGAGACCAGACTGACCAACATGGGGAAACCCTGTCTCTACTAAAAATACAAAGTTAGCCAAGCTTGGTGGCACATGCCTGTAATCCCAGCTATTCAGGATGCTGAGGCAGAAGAATCGCTTGGACCTGGGAGGCAGAGGTTGTGGTGAGCCGAGATTGTGCTATTGCACTCCAGCCTGGGCAACAAGAGTGAAACTCTGTCTCAAAAAAATAAAAAGAAAATCAACCGTTCTGATTTTCCTCCTCCTGATTATTTTTCTCTCAACCTATGATTATCCCAAACACAAACCCAGAAAAAGCAACACCAACCCAACAAGACAAACCATGAATTTATAGCCTTGAATACTTATGTTTCTATTGTGTAAATATATGAATTCTCTCCGATCATAACAAACAAATCAACAAAGCAAATAAAACACATACATCCATGCACACACACATGCATATACATGCATACACACACACACGGATACACATGCATACACACACACACTCATACACACACACACACACACACACACACACACACACAGCCCTTTTACTTTTGCGTGGACCTTTGACTTGCCATTACCAAATATTTCTTTTGCTTTAGAGTCAAACATTTTGGGAAAATCTTTTATTTTTAGTGTTAGTTTTCACTTATTAATCATTCCATCCTCAATTCCAACCGTGAATTCAGGTTTCTTCTTTTGTCATTTTATACTAACTACTCTTGCCAGTGTTTGCAATAGCAAGTGTTTACCCCATAAATATTTTCCAATATTATCTTCTTTGACTTCTCTGTAACCTTTAGTGTTCTCTGCTACTGCAGCGGTGTTTTCCTTTTATTTCCTCCCACATCTTTTCAGTCTTTTTGGAGGCTCCTTTTTTTCTGTACTGAAAAGCTGGTTTTCTGGAGGGTTTCATCCCCCGATTTGCTCCTTCTGTACAGCTTCATATGTGAAACCTTACATACGCTCATGGCATTATTTTCTGCTTATGTTTAAGATTCACAAATACTTATGTCACATCAGTTATTCCCCTTGTCCACTGGATGTTGCCTATAAAATTAACTGTATGTAAAGTATCTTCTTATGAAAGACCCTTTGGGCAGATAAATATATTAAGTACAGGGAAATTAAATCATCTTGTTCTCCCCAAACCCATCCCACTAGGTATGAATGTTTCCAATGTTGAAAAATTATTCTAACCTTGAAATTATCACTTATAATATCTTACCCACCCAAATATTTACTGTTATAAAATTAAAGCTCCCTAAATGTACAAAATCTCCTATCCCCATTACCACTTATGTACCCTTCACTGATATTCTCATCATTCTTTTTCTGGATTCAGTATTTGTAAATCGTCTTGGCCCTTGTCTTGCCTGCCTTCTGCATGGGAAACTCTCCTCTCACCCCAAATCATGCTTCCTACTGCTGTGGAGTGTTATTTCACGAATGCAAATATAATTAGTTATTCTCTACTTAAAATAATTCTAGTAGCTCCCTAATGACTACAGGATGAAATTTATATTCTTACTCTGACTACAAGGTTTGCTTTGCCTTGGCTTATTTGCACAGTTCCAAACTTAATTCACCGCTTCGTTTTCAGATTATGCTCTCTAGCCATACAAATACAACTAGCTTAGAAATAAACAGATATACCACAAGATATTGGTTCGGCAATTTTATTCCTGCTTTTCTCTTTGTCTGGGGGGTCCCTAAGAGTTTTTGGCTACCCTAGTAACTCGAGATGGAGTTTTTGGTTATTCATGTATTTTTAAAAGTTCATTTGATATGCATCCACTGATAGCAGTCCTCTTTGACTACCCAATCTATATACATTTTAAAGACTAAAAGAAGATAGAAGGGTACCATCTGCTATAGTAGATTGGGGTACCAAACCCCTGTAGTAAATTTTCTCTCTTCCTCTGTTACAAAGTCTGGGAAGCTAAATTTCATTCCGTAGATGCCCCTGTGACTGGGGTTATGGGTGTTATTGAGGATCTGCTAATCAGATGCAATTTCACAGTATCTGAATTTGGAGCCTATTTAAGAAAACAGAGAATGCCAATACTTTGTAGTATTTGTGTATTAGTCTGTTCTCGCATTGCTATAAAGTAATACCTGAAACTAGGTAATTCATAAAGAAAAGAGGTTTAATTGACTCATGGTTCAGCAGACTGTACGGGAAGCATGCCAGCATCTCTTTTGAGGAGGTCTCAGGGAGGTTTTACTCATTGCAGATGGCCACATGGTAGCAGGTGTCTTATATGGTAGGAGCAGGATAAAGACAGAGAGAAAGGCGGTGCCACACGTTTTTAAACAACCAGATCTCGCGAGAACTCACTGTCACCACACCACCACCAAGGGGGATGGTGTTAATACATGAAAAACCGCCCCCATGATCTGATCACCTCCCACCATGCCCGACTTCCAACATTGGCGATTACAACTGGATATGAGATTTGAGCATGAACACAGATCCAAACCATAACAATCTGTAATTAATGATCTAAAAGAGAGGGTGTGGCTCTAGAACCAAATACTGAAGCAGTTGCTCTCTGATCCATAGGCCGAAGTGACAATGGTGTATTTCTGGAGACAACAGCTGTATCGATGGCTTATTGATCCCCTAGCTTTCTGATTGAGGCACAGGGAGGCTCAGCCTTCCAAGTTTTTAAAAGTTGTAAGTAGACTTTAGAATATATTGCTGTTTATAATTCTGTAAACACAGTTTTCTGTTTTAAAATAGATTAATAACTTGACAATAATGATAGAAGGTAAATAACATACTCCCCCACTTTACATGGATAAAGAAACAGATGAACAGAAAGCAAATCTTTCAAGATGACAAGTAGTTAACCCAGGAAATGAACTTAAGAAGCATTCTGTCTCAAATTCTACCTAATCTCTCTCTAATTCTACCTAAATCTCTGCCATTTAGAATCTTTTCTATGTTGTCAAATTTGCCATAGTCTCCACTTCTGCAGGTACTGCAACTTGATTCCTTTAGAGCATTTTGGACCTATCTATTTCTAATGGTAGCTTTATATTAAACTAGCTCACATCAGCTCACATCAGAACATAATCTGTCAACATAAAGAGATGTGTAATTTTCATTGAGATAGGAATATTTATCTTGGCCTAACCAGCACTACTTTTTGCCCTGTAGGAGACCTAGAAACCACATAACAATGAAAGTTTGCTTGGTTAGGCCAGGCACAGTGGCTCATACCTGTAATCCCATTGCTTTGGGAGGCTGAGGAGGTGGGAGGATCACTTATGCCCAGCCTGGGCAACACAGTGAGACCCTGTCTCTAAAAAAAAAAAAAATACAAATAGTAGCTGATCCTGGTGGTACATGGATGTAGTCTTAGCTACTTGGGAGGCTGAGGTAGGAGGATCGCTGGAGCCCAGGAGTTAAAGTTTACCATGAGCTATGATTGCCTCATTGCACTCTAGTATGGGCAACAGAGAGAGATCCTGTCTCCAATATCTCAGAAAAAAAAAGTGTGTTTGGTTAGCATGAAACAATAATGAAAAGAATTGAAAAAATAACATATATTATGGTTTTCATCTTTACAAAGTGTGTGGTCTTCTTAAAATTTTTTTTTGCATGAACTTCTAGCATAACTTTTAATGATATAATTAAACAGCCATTGAGCTAGAATATTTAAAACAATTTTACTAAAATCCTCATTCCCTTAAACAGCCCTTTGATTAAAACTATGTGTGCTTCTATGATCCTCTTTTTCCACTGTCCAACCTCTGTTCTGAGTAGCCACTTCTTTAAATATGATCTCTACATTCAGTAACTTGTTCCTTGTATCTTCAGGTTTTTTACCATTATTTCTTTGCGAATTCATTTGTCAACCAAAAGACAATGTTATTTGTCTTACCTCAAAAATTTTAGGAAAACCCTCAGTGTCACTGCCCTTAACCCTAGCAAGCACTTTGTGCCATTAATTCTCATCATCCTAATTGTTATATGTCTCCCTAATTAGAATGAAATATCCAGGAGAATAGAAATTATGTCTCTTTTTATTTGTAGCCTCAGTTCCTAGCACAACACAAAGATCCACAAATACAAAAAATATTATTCTGAATGAAATAATATTATATTTCAAGAGACTTTATCAGTTGCAAATGCATACTGACATAAAATATTAATAGTATAAAGCTTGTTGTTACAAATATACTTTTAGGATTTAAAGACAATTTAAACTTTGTTTGCCAAAAAGCAAATTATTACAAAAAGTTTTATGTTCTTTATTTTTATGCATTTCCATAGTGCTAGCTCCTACAATCTCAATATAATAAATTATCATTTTGAGCTCTGAGATAAGAGGAAAAAGATAAATGCATATTATTTCAACACTTCACACTTCAAAATTACTCCTAAAATGCATTCTGAAAAAAAGTGAATGCTCAATTGCCTTATTTGGCATATCTAAAGATGAAGAAACTGGAGAAAATATAAGATTAATTTGAAATATCTCTACAGAGGTAATAACTTATTTCCACAACTGTTGTCATAAATATGCCATGGCAATCTTATTAACTGATTCAATCTAATTAGTGTCAAAGTCGAGGTGCATGTCCTGAATGAAAGATTGCACTCAACAATAACCATTAGAGCCAATATACACGTAACAAGGCACACTTTTCAAAGAAGTGTTTTCATAGTGAACACTGAAAAGATTTTGTGGGACACCAGCTTAGTTTACTCCAACAAATATTTTCCGTGTATCTATCATTTACACAGTGTACTAAGTTCTAAGCAGGCATAAGCGAATTAAAAACAAACCTATCAAAGAGTTTGAAGTAGGAAAATCAGATATTCAAAGAGAAAATTCTAATTACACGTGACAAGTGAAATGAATAAAACTTTAATGGACTTTAGAGAAGACAAGAGGAGGATATTTAAACCTGCTTTGAGGTTGGGATTGGAGTAGTGACAAGAGATATTGGGGCTTCCTAATTGTGATGGCATCTGAGCTAAATGCTAAAGAACAAGAAATCTAAATCCAAGAGAATGGGAGGGACACAACCTTTTTTTAAGCCAAGAGACTTGGAAAACTCTACCAACATGAAACTACATGGTGGGTCATGGGAACAAAAATAGCTTACCAAAGTTGGAGTATAAACTGTGAGGTGGGGACTAGTGGAAGATTACAGCATGTTTTAGTAATAGAAAGCATCCATGTCATGAAAGCCCTTTTCTGCAAGGATTAAGAGTGGGTAGTGGACACTTCCCAAAATATCATTGCAGATACACTCTTTTGCACTAAGGAGTTGTTCTACGCATGCTATTGCCTTATAAGTCATGCAAGCATTTTGTAAGAAAGACACGAAGATAAAGGTAGCACCCATTTAGTTTGTTTTTAAGTAGTTATCTAATGTGAATCTCCTTTAATGTCTAAACAATATCAAATTTAGTAAAGTACCATAGATGATACTTGAACCTGAAGTGTATAGAGTCAGTGGAACTTTCTGCATCAGCCATTAGGCAGACTTTCACTGGTGGGCTACATTTGCCTCCTATCATTTTATAAAATGTGCCACTCTAAACCTTGTCAAAAATGTGTCTGTTCTAGCAACCAGGCAACCAGACAGTCTAAAAAGTAAAGCTGGGCAAGTGAGGTTATAAGCTGTATGGTAAAGTTGCAAGATCTTGCTATCTCACTCTAGTTGAAACAAATCTCACACAGAGTGTTGCAGTTGCCTCTTTGTCTTCCTCATCCACTATTGCATGCTTCTCTACAAAAAATCTATTTTTTTTCCAATTACAACCAATGACTCTTTTCAAAATATTAATTTCATCCTCAACTTCTACCCTCAACTCAGAACCCTTTGCTGGATTTGCACTGCATTTAAGACAAAAAAATAAACGCTTAACATTGCCCCTTGTGCCCTGCATAACTTTCTGCTCTCTGTGAAAATCTCAGTCCTCATATCGTTCCCGCAAGAACTCCTCGCTCTCTCAAACAAGCCCCATAGACCATTTTTGTTCTGTCTGTCACAACTTAAAACATTACAGAGAAGTTTCCTCTGCCTCATATGTTATTCATAACTCTCCCTATACCCCACTTTTCCTGCTATGGAATTAATTTGTTATCAACATTCAAATCTCAAAGAAATGTTTCCTTACCTAGAGAAGGCTCCACTTATCCTTCTACTCGTCCAACCATCTTTAGAATACGTCTCACAACAACATTCGCTTCCCTTTCCAAGCACCTCCCATACTTATACACTTTATTATTATTTAAATAATGTCTAATTTCCCTTCAATTAATAGACACTAAGCTCCATGAGCACAGACACCATAATTATTTGTGTTCAGAATTGCATCTCCATGATAATGTCTAATATGTAGCACCTATAAAAAAAAGCTAAACTCAAAACTCTTAGCTAAACTATCAAAGTCCAAAATTTGTTTTATCTCAAAAGATTTGCTGGTCCATGTGGAGATTTAAAGCTGTTGACTGATAAATGGTTCCCTTGTTCATATCTATGATGTGAAGTGTTTGAGAGTATGGATAGAAAAGGATGAGTTTTGAGCCACATTTTCAGGAAGTGCCGTTAGCCTTAACCTACTCTCCACTGAGAAAAGAGTATAGAGGAGGTGATAAGGTTCTTTTTCTAACCGTAAGCCTAGTCAGAGGGCTGTTATCTTGGCTGGTTCAGGCTGCTATAACAAAATGCGATAAACTTGGTAGCTTATAAACAACAGAAAATTATTTTTCATAGTTCTAGAAGCTATGAAACCCAAGAACAAAGTGCCAATAAATTTGGTGTCTGGCAAGGGCCTGCTTTCTGATTTATAGATGGTGTCTTCCAGCTGTGTCCTCCATAGCTAAAAAGACTAAGGAGCTCTGTTGGCCTAGTTTTATAAGGATACTAATCCCATTAATGAGGGCTGTACTGCCATCATGTAATCACCTCTTAACATCAGCACATTGGTGATTAGGTTTCAACATACAACTTTTGCAGGACACAAATATTCAGACCATATAAGGTTTTAACTAGGTCATTCCTAGAGCTTACATTGTACTTTATGTAGTTAGAAGGGCACAGACAATGAAATTCTAATTCGCACTTGTGGAAAGTAGTGACCAAAGTCATCAGAAAGGGGGCCTAAAAACTTGAAAGCAGCTACACTACTGTCAGACAGTGGACCAAAGATGTGTGGTTCCTGAAATCAATAGCAACCACTGTAGGGAAGTCAGCCCAAGAGATAGTCTGCTGTGGCTGTAGGACCCCAGCAATAGTAGGACCCCAGCAATAATAGGACCCCTGTGGAGCAGACACTGAAGAATAAAAATCTGAAGTGGTTGCTGACTTTTCCTGTTTTTTGTTGCTGTAACAATATACTTGAAATCAGTTATTTATAAAAAAGAGGTTTGTTTTCACTCATGGTTCTGGAGGCTGCAAAGTCCAAAAACATGGCAGGAGCTTCTGGCCAGGGCTTTCATAATTCATTGTAACAAGGCAGAGAAGAGGAAGAAGGAAGTGGGTGTGTTTGAAAGGGGCAAAACGCAAAGGGTGGCCTTAGTTTATAACAACCCTCTCTCGAGGTAGCTAATCTGGTCTCTGGAGAAGGTAACTTATCTGCTCTCATTTACTCCTGTGAGAAATTACTTAGTTCCAAGAGAGTGGCATTATTCCTCTTAATGACCTAATCACTTCTTAAAGACCCAACCTCCCAAAATGACCACACCAGGAACCAAATTTTCAACATATGAAACCTGGGGGACACACTCAAACCATAGCAGCTGGCTAAAGGAAAAGTGGAGGCCATGTCTTAATTGAAGAATTCAGCAAAGGACTTATGAAAGTACCTGTGAAAGAATAAGCTTTAAATATTTAATAATGAGAAGACTGCAAAGCCATCTTACAAAGCACCAGTGAATTAAACTCTTTGATTTCCTCACCTCTCTTCTCTCCAATCTCTTTGTTCCCTTGGGGTTAAATAGTAGAAAAAAGAAAAATTAACGAGTAATGAGTGAGAGACAAAACATGACGCCTCCTTTACCTTAAAGCAGCTGACAACCATTACAGCTGGATTTAGCTGAGAAAAAAAAAGTCTTATCATTGAATGATCATTGTAGTATCGATTAATATACTGGATGTTTTTAATTACCGAATTGAAACTGTGTTTCTATTATTAAATGGCTGTTGGACTTTTTGTTATTTAATTGTGATCAGAAATGCCATGGAGTCCTTCTACCTTTTCAAGTTTGTTTAAGGGGAAGAAAATCCAGACTGAGAGATTTAAGATGGAAGACAGAAATAAAGTTAATTTTATTATTACACCCCATGAGTACCACCAATTAAATATTGCATGGTACTTAATTTGTTGTGTGATTGAGATATACTTTAGCTTGCCTTCTATTAATAAGCCATATGACCATGAAAAATGCTCGATAAAATTGGCCTCATATATAAGTAAGAAATTCACTTAAATTTCACAATCCGTTTCTAACCTTGAATGAATACTATTCTTTAGTAATCTTATTTGCTTAGAAATCAGCCTCTAGAAAGTGTAGAACAGTTTAATTGAAAGATAATAATTGTTTTGCATTTTTAACATAGACGATACTAAATGAATAGACATTGAGAGCTGAACATTTAGCTGAGTAGCTAGAAATAGATAATTGCAATATACTTCATAAATGTAATAATAGAGCCTGAAATCTAAAGATATCATATGAGACATATTTAACCCCTTTAAAAAAATAGGTATTGGCTCTTTCTATGAATAACCAACATTAAAATAAGGATAATGCCAGTATATCTAAAACTTTGAAGTCAACCTAATTTTGAAAACAAACCTATTATTTAAAACTGAGAAGGTCATTTTTAACCTGAAATTTCTAGATAATCGATGTCTTTGTTTGTTTGGTTTCATGAATTTCTGTGCGTGGGCAATAGATGTTTTTCTATACATCATCCAATGCTTGACCCAGTATCCAATTAAATCTCTTAGTACATAGATTAATCCCACAAAGAAAGGTCATGGTGTGAAATGTTTAATTAGTTGTATAGAGCAGTGTTTTATTGAATACATAGAGAATCATAACAAAGTTCATACCTTGAAGTTGCTTTGAAGAAAATTTAAATGTTTGTCCTCTTTCTTGTTACTTCAAGTCACGTATTTGAATAGTTTTATTTTGGGGGCATTTTTATCACATTTTAATTAATTAGTTATAAGACAGACAACATAAAATGTGAACTATGAGGATAGAGGTAAACTGTTAAGTAGTTTTGTAAGACGAGTAACTTTTATTTTAAAAAACTGTGAGAAAAACAAGCTTGAACTTTGAAAAATGAAATATCATTGCTATCTGGGAAAAATAATATGAGAACAGATTTTCAGTGGGAGGGAACAACCTGGAATATTACAGTGCCAGAAGATACCTAATAGTCACAGACAGTGAATTAGACATTAGACATAATGTGATTTTTTAAAAAAAGGATTAAACACTTCAGTTTTGAATTTTCCCTTCCAATGTATTTAGAATCATGTAAAAATTTTAAATTCAGCTATGTGAATTTGTAAAAGGATAAAAGGTTTAAGCCCCAAATATCTTCTATATAAAATTGGAAATTTACATAGGCCATTGGTCTACATGAGGGTATCCATTCAAATTGAGAAAAAAAATTCAGATAATCTGTTATATTTTAACACAACTAATGTTTTAAGTATTAGAAACACAATCACTGTACTTTTAACAGTAGCAATTAAAGACCTTCAAATATCTTTAAAATATATGTGATATTTTAGAACATTTACTCTTAAGTACCTTAAGACATGAGTGAGAATACCTTTGTAAGTAAAGCTGGAGGCATCACACTACCCGACTTCCAACTATACTATAAAGCCACAGTAACCAAAACAACTTGGAACTGGTACAAAAACAGACAAATAGACAAATGGAATAGAGTAGATCTCAGAAATAAAGCCACACTCTTACAACTATCTGATCTTTGGCAAGGCTGACAAAAACAGGCATTAGGAAAAGGACTCTTTATTCAATAAATGATGCCGGGATAACTGGCTGGCCATATGCAGAAGATTGAAGATGGACCCCTACTTTTTACTATATACAAGAGTTAACTCAAAATAGAGCAAAGATTTATATATTAAAACCTCAAACTATAAAAATCCCGGATCACAACCTAGGAAATATTCTTTTTGACATCAGCCTTGGCAAAGAATTTTTGGCTAAGTCACCAAAAGCAATTGCAACAAAAGCAAAAATACACAAGCGGGACCTAATTAAATAAAGAGCTTCTGCACAGCACAAGAGACTATCAACAGAACAAACAAGCAACCTACAGAATAGGAGAAGATATTTACAAATTATGCATTCAACAAAGGCCTAATATCCAAAATCTATAGGGAACTCAAATCAACAAACAAAAGACAAATGACCCCATTAAAAAATAGGCAAAGGACATGAACAGATGTTTCTCAAAGGAAGACATACCAGTGGTCAACAAACATGAAAAAATACTCAGCATCACTAATCATTAGAGAAATGCAAATCAAAACAACAATAGCATGTCATCTCGCATGAGTCAGAATGGTTATTATTAAAAAGTCAAAAAACAACAGATGCTGGAGAGGTTGAAGAGAAAAGGGAACACTTATACACTGTTGGTGTGAATGTAAATTAGTCTAGTCACTGTGGATACCAGTTTGGAGGTTTCTCAAAGAACTTAAAACAGGGCTATCATTTGACCCAGCAATCCCATTACTTGTATTTTATATACCTATGTATATCTATGTCTGTATCTACATCTACCTATCTAATAAAAAATACCAAAAAAAAATCATTCTACCAAAAAGACACATGCACTCATATGTTCATTGCTGCATTATTCACAATAGCAAAGACATGGAATGAACCCAGGTGCCCATCAATGGTAAACTGAATAAAGAAAATGTAGTACATATACACCATGAAATGCTATGCAACGATAAAAAAGAATGAAATCATGTCCTTTGAAGCAACAATGGACTGAACTGGAGGCTGTAACTGTAAACGAATTAAGGCAGAAACAGAAAACAAAATGCCACATTTTTCAGTTATAAAAAGGAGCTAAACTTTCAGCACACATACACATAAACATGGGAAGAACAGATGCTGTGGACTACTAGAGGTGGGGTGGGTTAGAAACAAGATATCAGATGCTATGCTTGCTATCTGGGTGATGGGATCCATATTCCAAACCTCAGCATCATGGAATATTCCCACATGACAAATCTGCACATGTACCCACTGTATCTAAAGTAAAAGTTGAAATTTAAAATATATATAACATGTATCATATTAGGCATAAGTTTAGGTGTACTTTTAAATTTTAATTAACTATGTAGAGCAATATTCTCACTAAAAATTCAGAAACATATTAATGATTGGAGGTTACAAGAAGTTTGACAACAGAATCAGAAGAAAATGCTAAGGGGCTTTTGTAATAGATTCAGTTGGCCCTGGTACAGTAGGGAAAATAGAACCTAAGTAACCAAGTGGGAAAAATGGAGCTCAAGTAACAGTTTCTAAAAGAGATCAAATTGGAAGATAAATATTGTGAGACAGAAGTTTATCCAAAACAAATGATTTTCTCCCCAGATACTCTTTCTTCAGATACTTTCTAGAAATTGAGAAAAAAAATTCTTTGTAACATACCATAAATTATACAATGCACTTTAAAGTCTCTTTTCAACATGCTTTATGAGAGTCTGTGCAATTCTTCTGATATTGATCAAAATGTAAATACAGGATGGTTGCTCCTAACCAATGCTCATATGTTAGTTTTCACTATGATTATTTTAATGAAAACATCTGCTAGGGATTAGAATTAGTAAGTAAGTACCATGAACACTTACTGTATGTGAGGAAGTCTTGAGTTTTCAGTCAGTTTATCATACATATAACCTGCCAACATCCAAAAAATCATGTGGCAAGAATATAGTACTAATTCAATCTCCATGTCAGTTAAATTATCTCTGCTGGAAATTGTGTGGATAAGAGGTGTTCTTGATGATGAAAATAATCAATCCTATGTACATACTACTACTACTATGTTAGAGTTGTCAAGTCTTTCAACACATGTTCAATTTCATTATCACAACAGCTCTTTTAAGTAGGAATGAAAAATAATGCCTAGAGAAATTAAAAATCTCACATAATACCACAAAACTAAATCCACTAGTCTCATTATTTGGCTTGTCCTTGTCATTCCCTTTGTCAATTAATATAAACATGCTTAACAGAGCCTGTAAGATCCACGCTTTCCTTGGTAGGAGGTGGAACTTCCAAGACTGGCATTATTGCAGTGGTAAGCAGCCTCCATTGTTGCCCCCCTCCATTCTCACCTTGTGGTGGTCAGGCCCTGGTTAGGTCCCTTCCATTGTGGAATCAAGCTAAATGGTGTAACCAACATGATACCAGGGAA
This sequence comes from Homo sapiens, assembly GCF_000001405.40. Lineage (NCBI taxonomy): Eukaryota > Metazoa > Chordata > Mammalia > Primates > Hominidae > Homo > Homo sapiens. The sequence continues at coordinate 20,884,867 of NC_000021.9, read as the reverse complement.
ATTACAGAATATGACTCCAAGGCTAAGTCATACAAGACATTTTGGTATTGCGTTGTTCTATCAGATCACCCTTTGGGGGAACGCTGCTGCTATGATTAAGTCTACTGCAACACTGCAACACTGCAATGGATAGGTCCATATGATGAGAAAGTGAGTACTCCTGCCAACAGGCAGATTAATTTGGTAGTTCTGGGAGTGAGCCCATCATGAAAGCGAATCCTCCAGCCACAGCCAAGCCTTCAAATGACAGCAGCCACAACCAAATCATGACAACCACATGAGAGATTTGGAGCCAGAATTCCTCTGCTAAGCCACTTCAGGATTCCCCAACCACAAAATCTGTGTGAGATAATGAAATGTTTTCTGTTTTAAGATGCTAAGTTTTTGAATAATCTATGTGCAGCTAGGTAACTAATGCAACAGCTAATCATACTGGCACTTTAGCACTAAAATTTTTATATACTCTCTATATTGTTATATTTTATTCTTCATAATAACATTTCTACTTATTCTTCAGATATTTGAGTGAAAATTTTAATTTATAGATGCTAAAGTATCTATACACTCCTCACAATAGATAATTTCCTCAAAAACTGTTAAAAGTCAATAATGTTTTTCTTCAAATTCCTGATATTTATTTCCTCAGAAATAGTTTTGAGAGTCTATCATGTGTTGACAGAGGGATATACGATCCCTTCCTTTTTGTAGACTGCATTCCAGTGTGGAACATAGAAACTATACAATGAAATAAACAAAACTGCAATAGGTGTTACTGAGAATAACAAATTCTTTTACGGTAGGGAAGAGCTTAGGAATGACACGAGCTGACTTATGTTTACTAGAATCCCCAGGGTTGACAAAGCCCATAGGCACAGTGTGGGCAGACAGCACTGCAGACATAACCACCGATGGATGCTGGAGAATTCAACCAATGCGTTTATAATTTCAGCATGGTACCTGATTTTTCATATCAATATTTCCAGTTGAAAATATAGGGCAAGCGATGCCAATTGTTGAATTCAAAGTCATGTGACAATACACTGGTTCTAAGTATGAAGTCTAACTAAGACTGTAAAAGATCTGTGATTTTACTCTATTGTAAACTACCAAGTCAGTCTGCCACAGAAAACACAGACCACGCTGCCATGCTGAATCCGTTCTGCTTTGTTGAATATATAACCTTAGCAGGCTAATATAATACAGATGACTCCTTAGTCAGAAACAAAGACCATTTATCTTATGTTGGTTCTCTGTACATCAGTTCACACAGGGCAACACAATGAGAGCCAGATGTTATGTGTACATTCAGTGGAATACATCACAGGAAAAAAATCCTCAAAATTAGGAAACTCTGATTTTAGGTAGGGCCCCTGATGTCTTGCCGATCCTCCCCTCCAAAGAGAAAAAGAGAGACTGGAATATTCGGTTTAATCTAGAATATAAGCAAATATCTTTGGGGGAGAAGGGAAAGGATTTTCTATGTTTGTTATCCTGAGATGTAAAAAAAATCCTCCAAAAAAATATACTTTACTGTTTTGGAATGTTTCCATATACAATGATTGGCCGTAAATGCTTTTACTCAGAGTACTCAGACTATGTAGGAATGCAAGAAATCCATGGGGAAATGTCTTCCAACACAAGGAGGGGTAGGAAAGTGAATATAAGGCATTTCAGATTTCATAACGAGTTTCAGGCTGTTTTTCAAGAAGCGGAAGTGTCTGCAAACATAGAAGGCAATTCACATTCTGGATGGACAAAATAAATGTAAAATGACTGCTGAAGTTGACCTCTAACACCGGCTGATTCATTGATGTCACAAAGCGAACAGAAACAGACTTTCTTCTCATGTCTCTGTTTTCCATTTAAAAAAATTTTAATGTTAAGCTGTTATAACTATGGTAATAGCAGATGCAGAACTATGTCAAACAAAACAAAATTAAACAACATCAACAGCAGCAGCAACAGTGATAATAATAGTGCATTTTGGAAAATAGAGGAGATACTACAGTTTCCTGTGACTCTATTTTGTGAATAAGAAAACTTTCCTTAGGCGGCTTCCTGTAGAATTTACTTCTGGTTCTACTGGTTAGAATCGCATCAGTTGCCTTTTTCTGAACCAACCTGCCACCAGTGTAAGAGTATGGAATTAATCAAAATTGGCTTAATTAACTAAGATGGATATGGAGATGGCCACCAGAGGGTGCAATGGGAATGGGAACGGACCCAGATTCGAAGGCTCAAGATCCTGAAATACCAAACTAATAGGTTAAGCAGGAACTAAATAATTAAAGGGAAACAAAAAAGTGTGCTAGGTAGAACACAGTGTAGGTGGGCAGGTGTAGGGTTTTTCAGAAACAGAAAAGAGTTAAAATTAAATGGACCATTGATTTCAAGAGTTTAGTTACCAGAAATAAGACCAAAATGGCAAATAGTGTTTAGTCAGCAGGAGCCAAGAGCAAGAATATTTTTTTTTCCTAAGGGCTATATATTTGTATACTACCCTATATAACAATTCCAGTGTTGTTTATTCTATAACTTCATACACAGATCCTGCACTAACATTACTTTCAAAAATTAGAAGGTTTTTCTTAAAATTTATTTATTTTCATTTCTCAGAATGTTAGTCTTCTGTTTCCTTAACTGAGAATTGTTTTACTGTTGCATACTATCTTATAAAAAACTAAAATTCAACATGGGACCAATGTTTATTGGTAATGATGGAATTGCATACATTAGTCATCACGAAAGAGACATGCTGAAATGAATAATGACTTGGTTCTTCAGTGAATTTGCAACCTCATAGTTACAAAAGTCTTTTTTCACTTTTTCATTGTATGTTTGGGGAAGAGGAGAAAAAAAACTGTAGACCATGAACTTTGAGAAAGAAGAAAAGATATAAATATAAAAAAATAGTTTTATGGGTTCTGAATACATTTTTATCTTGAAAAGTTCTGCTTTGCACGTACCTTAGTATGGAGTAGATTCACTCCCAAGGAAGGGAAACGTGATTTGAATTTTTTTGGTTTAAGAAAGGAACATGAATTCACTTGAGGGTTTTCCCTAACATGGCCTGTCTTGCTCATCAGAGTAATATGGAAGTTAAGTATTCAAGAGAGATATTTCAAGTACTAGTGAAAATTGTGCTTTAGAACTGGATCATTTAAAATCCAACTCTAGGAAAATTAGAAGGTAAAATGCACAGCAGACACAGGAACTATAGGGAAAACCATGGTTACAATGTCATCACTTCTTCCTTTTTTCATTTTATATCAGTGATGAGTGTTGAGGACAACTGCAGAGAGAGAGAGAGAGAGAGAGAGCAGAAACAGCTCCCAGGAAGTCATTTTAAGGCATTAGAACAAAATCAAGTTTTAACTACGAAGTATTGAGAAAATTTCACTAACATATTTCTCCAAAACTGAGGTTTTTAAATTCGTACTCAAAATGAGCATCAAACTTCCAATAATAACTAGATTATTAGGTATATATTTGAAAGTGAAAATGAGCAGTTCTATTTCCTTATTTTGTGGTTGTTATTCCTTTGATAACCTCACAATACTATCACCACTTCCATAATTTTCTCTCTTATTATACCTTTACTTCTGAAATGAAACTTCAAAAGTACTAGGTGACAACAGGGTGGTAAGGCATAGCTGGATTTGAAGGTGTAGAGTGCATTCATGGCTAGTAAAGAAAATAATTAATTCTTATTTCCTAACCATTCCTGTCTCACTTTCAATTTCCCAGAAAAATAATGCTGAAAATTGCATTTATGCTTAAGCATTTATAACATATCAACTTCAACTCCTCTTGTCCTAGAAGAAATATGTAAAATGTATATAGCAAGATCCAGCTTCTTCAAATATATGCAAAGTAGAATAATTCATAGATGCATAGAAGAATCACTGACAAAAAGATGTCATAAAAATTCTGAAAGCCTTGGATTTTTATTATCTCTAATTTCCCTCCCTTGAGAAGTTCCATTCAATTACACATTCCTTTATTCTCAGCACATATGTTCTCAATTTGCACCATATCAATTTGCATTTATTGGTAGATTGCTGTTGATAAAATATTTCTTAATGTTGTGTGAATGTACATTTGCATTTCTATCTCCACAACTTGGTTGAAATTGCATGCCGGACAAGCACTTAATTGATTCTCTGTGTTCCTAAGCTACGGTAAGTGCTTAATGAAAGTTTATCGAAAAGAAAAACTTTTGCTTTAAAATTCATCTTTACCACCAAACACAAAAACTATAAAGGAAAAGGTTGACTGATTTAGCCAAACAAATATTTTAACTTTGAGCGTTAAATAATAATCAATAAGCAAAATTAAAAGGTAACTAAAAATTGAGAAAAAAAGAGACACATTTATGACATACAAAGTTTTAATCACTAATGCAAGAGTTTATTTAAATCAATAGTAAATAAAAGCAGTGGAAGATACAAGTGGGTGGGAAATATTATCATGCACTTTGCAATGAAGACTAGAGAGATGATAGATGATAGATTGATAGATGCATAAATACATAGATAGACAAGTATAGTCATATACAGAATATATGGATGCAAATTCTAATCAAAGAAAATATGATTGAACTAAATGTAAAATATGTGTTTATCTCTTAAGTTGGAATCTAATTGAAGAATAATAATGCTAAATATCAGTATATTTGTGGAGGAATCAGGAGTCTTTAGATCTCTGGAAAGCTCTCAATTGCTAAAGATTTTATGGAAAGATTCTTCGCCATGTGAACCAAATATTTAAATATACAATCAAATTTTGGATGATAGTTGTATTTATAAGAATTTTCCTAAGAAAATATTAAGTGTATTTAACAATATAAATTTGTAGACTATGAAATTTATAATCTGAAAGGGGTTTAGTTTTCAGGAAAATTAGTAATATACATAAAGAGATGGCATATTTCTTCACTGATTGCTGGTTGGTACATTGTGTGTAAAAGTATTGCATATGATGGATGTGGATTTTTTTCACAAAGTGAAGTATAGATTGTACCAAAAATGGCTAATTTTCATACTTTTTAAATTTTTATTCAAATTATTACATCACAATTTTTTATTATTAACTTATACCTTGCTAACCTTAGACCTTGCCTTCTAACATATAATTGTTATCCAAAGGCAATCAAAAGGATATAGACAAAACTTTTTCCCCTAATAAGATTATAGCGTATGAAATTGTTCATATAGCTTGCGGCTAATTTTACATGTTTGTTAGAAAATCATATTTGACGTTATTATTTTAGACTCAACCAATTTCAGAAATTAGGCAATATCAAATGCAATGTATGTATTTTTCTTGGAAAATAACTGATAATAATGTTTGGAGTAACTGAATTCAAATTACATATTACATGTTATTTCAAAAATATGACTTCAGAAATTCAGGCATCGATACAAAACTCATGCTTTTGAGGATTTCAGTATTACAAGAGAAAATTAATTTTTCTTGATCATAAGTCATCAGTCTGCAACTGCCCTAGCAATATAGGAGTAGTATAAACAGCTCCTTTCTTGGACAACTGACTTTAGTGGATCAGAGAAAATGGTACTAACTGCACAACATGCTTATTGTTGCTTTCTTGGTCTTGCATATTTACAAAATGTTTTTGTGATAAAAACATCTGTTTCCTTTGCTTGTGGTTATAATACTAATGAAAATAAACTAGACAGAGGTACAGGATTTGTTGGTTGTATTTTTCCAAATGTGAAGGTAAAGTAACAATAAAAGTAATAATTATGTTTTAAAGTAGCACAACATAAGACCACTTAAAGTACTTTACACGTAGCAGGATGACCATGGCCATTTCAGCTGGGTAGCTACAGGGTATATTGGAGAACACCCTCAGGAAATATTGATGAAACATGTATTTTAGGAAAAATATTATAATCGTAATATTTAATTTACTTATTTATGAAAAGAATAAATTTAACTTACATATTTATGAAAAGAATAAATTTCAAAGCAGTATTTGCAGCAATTCTAAAGGCCTGATTTGTTTATGTATAGTGGATCCTATTCCTATTCCCGATGACTCTTAATTGTAATTTTTTTCTACTTATAATTTTGAGTAGATTTGTAGATACACACGCACACATATTTTATATATGTTCAATATTTGTTTTCATGGAGGCAAGCTGCTCAGGTTGTTAACTGCAGTTGAAATATTAAAGATTTATAAAACGAGTTAATAAGTTATAAATAACTTACTTGCTAGAGATAAAAGAAAGATTTTCCCAGTTTTCTACAGCGGCTCATACCAAGCCTCCAAAGACGTGCCATGAGGAGCCAACTCTACAACCCAGGATAAATGGTGTCACCACTCGAGTCCCTGAACTCATTGTGATAGCAACCTTAGCAGCTAAAAATAAGGAAATGGTGGGCCCAACAATATGGCATTCTGGAAAACGCACAAGTAAAGATATAGCAAAACAATCAGTAGTTGCCAAGGGTTCAGTGGACAGAATTGAACAGTCAGAGCAAGGGAGATTTTTAGGGCAGTGAAACTATTCTGTATAATACTGTAATGGTGGATGTATGCAGGATACATTTGTCAAGATCCATAGACTATACAACACAAAGATTGGACCTTAATGTAAACTATAAACTGTATTTATTACAATTGATAAACCAATATTGATACATTATTAACTAATCATTAATAGCTAATAATTATAACAAATAATAATTCTTTATTATTAACTAATAATATATCAATATTGGTTCATCAACTGTAATGAATATCCCACACTAATGCTAGGGCGCTGACAAGTTCATCACTTATACCCCCCCTTATATCCACTCGTGTCTCACAACATATTCTCTCTGTGCTGACAATGCTTCTTTGTGAGAGTGGTAAGGCATAATTTTTAAGGGGGAAAAAAGTGAAAGGAGTAGTAGCAGGCCTATCTGTAGTAACCATGGCTGAAACTGGTACTAAGGCTATCAATAATACTCAATATATTCTTCCTCTATATTTGATCAGGTCTGGGTTGCTCATCTCATAAGACAACCCAGACTTTCATTCTCAAGGAATTGAGAACTTGGTTACCATGCCCTTGTCAGACTATGATTTCTTATTATTTTTACCAGACATAGACATGCCAAGGTTACCAGAGAATCACCTCAGTTCCAACAATCCTCTCTCCTGCACCTATTGTGTCACAATGACTCACTGTTCTCTTGATAATCAGAGTCAATTGTACCTGTAAGAATGATAACTTTTTTTGTGCTTGCTGTTTCACTATAATATTGAGGCCAAATGACCAGGAAGCACCATTAACGTTATATTTAGTGAAATTCTACACAAGGTTTAGTTGACCTAGGATGGGTTTGGCTGGAAGTCTCTGCGTGGCCAGGCTCTGTACTTAGAGGTTGGGACCAGGTCTTTATTTGTTTATTCTGGAACCCAAACAGGGACAGTGACTGATATATCATAAAAGCCTAAGAAGTAAGCCAAAACATGCAAGCACACTGAAGATCTCTTTTCTGGTCAATGTGTTGTACTTGCCAAAGCAAGTCTTAAATTCAAGCCCAGTTTCAGTTGGGTGGGATCATATACTGGATCATATTCTCATTCACAATGGGTGGAGGAGGGAGGGAATATTTGCTGAGCAAAATTAATCTGAATTATTCCAGGGATTCTAGAGTTTTTAGATAATTAAATGAATTAATATTTTGGCCTAGTAGGGCAGCACCTGACCCAAAACATGGTATGTAAGAATTTTCTTGGCCGGTCTCAGTGGCTCATGCCTGTAATCCCAGCACTTTGGGAGGCCAAGAGAGGAGGATTGCTGGAGCCCAGGAGTTTGAAACCAGCCTGGGCAACAAAGTGAGACCTGTGTCTCTATTTCTGAAAAAAGAATTTGTACATTAAAATGCATAAATGAGTAAACCAGTGATCACTTGTGAATTAAATAACTTTTCCAGTAATATCTATTGCTATAACTTTTTCTTAAAACCATCAGAAGTAACTAACTATATGATAACTTGGTAGAAGTAGAAAAGGAAAACCTTATATATGTGTGGTATGAAAATTACACTGTGGTAGTAAGAAACTCCAGAATATTAAATGCTTATGTTTATTCTCCTTAAATACAATTTTTTAAAGCTAAAGTCATATGCCAAGTTCATTTCATCCTGCCTAAAAGAAATGAAAGTTCATTATTGAAGAATGTCAATGAAGCAGAAGGTTGGAATCTAACGAGCTGAATATCCAAATTGAAAATTTTTAAAGCTATTGATTATATAAGAGTGTTGGCAGGGAATACAAATCAGAGGGCAGTGCAGTCATTCTGTACATGGAGAGGTACCATATCAAAAGGTACCAAGTATATTTTTAGATAATTTGTATAGTTTATGTTTGGAACTCAAAGTTAATATGCTGAAAATAATGAAAAAGAATAAAGTTATGAGTAATTCCCCCAAATCTTGTGCTCATTGTGATAATCACCATTAAATAGTAAAGTATATCCTTTAAATACAAATTTATATGATAGAGTATATTTTGATTTTAATCATTTCTATAAAGTCTGTTGTTCCTTCCATGTATAGCTATGTTTCATATCTCTCAGTAAGGTAGCTACTCTGAGACAGTAATCATAAATGGTTTTCTGATGTACAACTATCCACAAGCTGGTTTCCATGTATGGCTCAAGCAATGAGACTCTGGAAACCCTGAATGGATAGATTTTGTTTTCTCTAAGTACCTAATAAAAATTAAATTATTAAAGAAATCTGCTTTCAAGAACTTTTGATGATCTCTTCTTTCTCCCAATGTAATCCAACCTTCCTATTCAAACCACTCCCTGGAATAACATTTGAAACATACCAAACAGTAGAAATCCAAGCAACAGAAGTTAGATGTGGACATTGCAGCCAGTAGATGTTGCTGTTGAACAATGTGACAGAGAACCACCTGCCAGGAGTGGGAATAACAGATTGGCACTTTGATTTTAATAGATATGAGGTAAGTAAATATGTTTGGAATTTAAACTAAGTTTCTAGCAAGTAGGACTTCCACTATATATTATTATCTTCTAACCTATCACAGTAAATCCCATGGTAACCCATATGTTATTTAAAATACTTTTCACAGATTTATTAGACAAATATATTATTCTGCTTAAAAGATTTAGGACTTGATGCTCCATTTTCCAGTGTTTTCCCATGTGTACCATTGGTAAGAGGAATAGCAAGGTCTTAATCGAATATGCTGTTTTCTACTATATTTTTAACTGAGACATATATGCAAGTTAATGCTCTCTGCTTTTTCCAATATTAAGCTATAAATAAGTAAAATGATAAATGACTTATTTTAACTGGAAAATATCTGGATTCAGTCACACTAATGTATGAATTATTTTCTCTCAAGTTGAGTCATGCAAACAAAATTGTGTTTTCTGTTGGATGCTATTGGATCTATAAAAACATTACTAGACATTATGTCACATCAGTACTCCAGCATTGTGATGGTAATGGATTCCTCTTTTTGCCCCACTTTAAAATCTGCTACAAGACTGAAAAGAAGCATTAGGATTTGTGATATTATGATATATAAAGTGAAGTCACATAGACTGAGTTCAAAAATAAATTGATCAAGGCCAGGCGCGATGGCTCACGCCTGTAATCCCAGCATTTTGGGAGGCCGAGGCAGGCGGATCACAAGGTCAAAAGATTGAGAGCATCCTGGCCAACATGGTGAAATCCCGTCTCTACTAAAAGTACAAAGATTAGCTTGGCATGGTGGCGCGCACCTGTAGTCCCAGCTACTCGGGAGGCTGAGGCAGGAGAATCGCTTGAACCCAGGAGGCAGAGGTTGCAGTGAGCCAAGATCGCACCACTGCACTCCAGCCTGGGCAACAGAGTGAGACTTCATCTCAAAAAAAAAAAAAATGTTGATCAGATAAGATACTATGTCCTGAGTAACTACCTTAAATTACCAACCGATGGCTTTTGCCAAAGCAAGAAGAATTTTATGGAGACTAGAAAGTTTAAAACTTTGCACTAACACACACACACACACACACAAACTTGTCATATATGTGTGCATATATATGGACATCATGCATTTAGAACAGGTATGTATGTATGACATATATGATATATATGACACATTACATATAATATTATCAGTATTATAATATATCTACCACTTTGCGCAGAAATCACTAATCCAAATGCTTTTGGTCTGGGGTTGAATAGTGTCTTTGCTACCTATAATATCCTAATGCTGAATATCTCAGAATGTGATCTTATTTGGAAATAAGGTCTTTACAGAGATAATCATGTTAAGATGAGATCATTAAAGTGAGCCCCAATCCAATATGACTAGTATCCTTATAAAAAGGGAAAACTGGGACAAGAGATGACACACACAGAGGGAAAATGACTTGAAGCCACACAGGGAGAAGATGATGGCCATGTAAGTGGACTAATGTATCTACGAACTAAGAGAAGGCAAGGATTGCAGATAAACAGCAGAAGCTAAGAGTGGCAAGGAAGAATTTCCCCCAAGAGCAGTCAGATTGATCATGGCCCTGCTGGGACCTTGATTTCAGACTTCTAGCCTGCACACTGTGAGCAAATAAATTTCTGTTATTTTAAGCCACCTGGCTTTTGGTACTTTTTTATGACAACCCCAGGAAATTAATACACCTTCATATATATTTTTTTAAAAAGCCTATACTGGCTAATGAAAATGCTCATGTAGATCTAATTTAGCCCTCAAGACTTTGTTTTGCATCCTTAAGCAAAGATGCATTTTATTCAAGTTTGTGCTTAACACAAATCTGAAATTGCTGCTTAATATCATAGATGTCAGAATCAAGATTTAGAATTATCTCAAGAACCTGGAAACATGGGTTGAAACTAATAACTATCATCTTAATGGGGATAAATGAAGTGTGAAAATGCACAAACTCCAAATGATGTTAAAAATCGTGGAGTGTTTGCTAGTCACAAGTATGTGGCAACAGGAACATAAATTGCTAAAAGAAATTTGACAAAATTTTAGAAGACTATATACAAAATATTGCAATCATAGCAGTGATTATTATTTCAGGCTGCATGAAATGATATATGGAATCATATCTAATTATACATGTCATATTTTAACTGAGATTATGCAGGTTCTGGTTATCAGGGGAGAGGCTGTGTAGGAAAAAGGCAAGAAGCACTGGAATCAGTTAACTGGCTTGCATTTTAGTACAAACCTGGCTGCAGACTATCTAAGTGGTTTAAAATAATTCACTATCGTCTTGTGGCTCAGTATCACATATCAAATAAGAGCTTTATATTAAGTGTACAGTGACATGAGATCATTTGGAGCTACACAATACATCTGTTTATTCATTAATTTCACTGCTATTTCTTGAATATCTACTATGCGCCAAGAATTGTTGTATATACTAGGGAGTCAATCATGAAGACAGTAGATGATTATGATTTTGCAGGGAACTTACTTCAATGTATGAAATGAGACAATAAATAAGTAATAAAATAATTATCATAGTTCTAGATACTGTACAGAGAGGAAAAACTATTTGGCAATAAAGATTAAACATGGCATTAGGGTTCACTAATTTACTGAACTCAGAGGGAAACATTTCATGAAAATAGTTCACTGAATTGTGAATACCAGCTTAAAAGAAAATGTTAATATAAGAAATAATAGTACATTTCAAATATTTGAACACATTTTTCAGACAAAATCTTGTTTTGGATGTTTCATTAAGGCACAAATATTACTATATGGGTAGGTGGAAGATAATAATACTCATTTTTGATTTGGAAGAAAAATGTTCTGCAAATGGAAAATTAACATGGACTGAGTGCAGAGGCTCATGCCTGTCAACCCAGCACTTTGGGAGGCTGAGATGGGAGGATTGCTTGAGCTCAGGAGTTCCAGATCAGCCTGGGCAACATAACGAGACCTCATCTCTACTAAAAATTAAAAATTAGCCGGGCATGGATTTGTGCCTGTAGTCCCAGCTACTCAGGAGGCTGAGGCGGGAGGATCACTTGAGCCAAGGAGGTCAAAGCTGCAGTGAGCTGTAATTGCACCTCTGCACTCCAATCTGGACAACCGAGCGAGACCTGGTCTCTTAATAATAATAATAATAATAATAATAATAATAATAAAGAAATAAAAATTGAGTAGACTATCTTGTGACCATCAGTTCCCTGAGGACTATTTGACAGGATATTATATTTGGTATTCCATTACTGACTATGGCATCTTCAATGTCTGCCGTTTAGTATGATTCCAATAACATAAATAATATTGATTCCTAAATGCGAACGATGTGCTAACCACTCTGGAAAACTCTCAGGAAAACAAAATCAAACCAACAGAGATTTTCATTTTACTTTTAAAACCTAAGAGAATAACATAGTTTCTCTAAATGTTGTTTGTTTTACCTAAGGGTGTTGGAGTGAGTGTGTGTCTGTATATGTGTATGTGCTTCCCTTGTAGCTATATTTTGTTGTTCCAACATATTTTTATAGGTAGATAATTAGGTAAAAAGTGGGAAGGGAATTGGGGAAGTATCAACTTAATTTTGGAATGAAGACATTATGAGCAGAGAAATTGGGAGTGGAGGGTGCCTGGAGGATTGGAAACAGAATGTCAAAAGTCTATTAGTGTTGTGTTGAAAGTAGGTAATCTTTCTTCTGTATTCTTGCTTCTGCAGGATATTCATGAATCCTCCCTCCAGAAATGTCAGCCTTAGAGATTTAAGGGTGTGAGAGTAAGATTATGGAGAAAAAGTCCAGGTAATAGTATATCTGCTATATCCTTATTGTAAGTTTACTCATAATATAGGTTCGTAACAACTCCAAAGACCAATTTTGCATGTTTCATTCAAAATCTTCTAAACAATTTTTTTCTCATACTAAATTTTGAAATTATTTTGAGGTACTACATCTTATTTTTCAACCAAAGCTACTGAGTTTTATTCTTGGTTTTATTTCTGAATGCCTGGGAGGCCATTTCTTATTTTCCCATCAGCTCAGCAGCCCATTTATAAATGGATATAATATTTAAAATAGACTCAAAGGACCATGCTAAAATTAATTCATTTTACATGGTACACTGAGATTTTTGCTTACTGCTTCATTTAAGAAAAAGAAAATCTCAGCTTAAGAATATCTTTATGGTATTATGGTATTGTTCAAAAACATTTAAGTGCCAGCTCTGTCCTAGTAATTTTTCAAAACTAAGTAGATATATGAATTTGGGCTAGACATTTAAAACCCAGTGTATCCAATATTGTTTTATAGTTATAATTAGGAGACAAGCAATTGCTTACAGTGTGGTTTAGCTGGTGTGAGCAGTGGGATGTTCTTTCTTGATTTCTAGAGAAAACCCCAGTTCATATACATCTTTACACTGGCAGAGTGTGCAACACATTAACAAAAAGGAGAGCGAGCAAGAGATTACTTAGTTACTGTACTTTACAGTCTGATGGGAACTCAATGAGGTGTGAAAGATGGTGGCTAGCCCACAGCCATGGAATACCAGCTGGTATAAATCGACATGAGCCTATCTCAGTGATGCAGTGGAAAGTTATGAACAATTATCCCACAAGACTGTGATGACAGAGATTGACATTAGCATTGGGCATCCAAGTAGGGTTAGGATATTTTCCTACTATCTTGTATATTGCCCTCGAAGATATGCTTACATAAAGGAGTTCTATTCGACATTTCTCTAATTCCATTTAAAGAAAGGAGAAAGTGTTAACAGAAATTACCAAACAGTTACTACATTGAAAAAATACGTGAATTTATAAAGGTAATATGCCCGTACATTGCCATTGATCCACATTAGTGAGAGGACACTGAGTTAACAAGGTAAAAAATGGTTACAAATGAAATCACGCAGGCCAAGTTTATGGTTATTGGAACTAAGTTAATTCGAGTGCAGTGTTCGGTTACATCAATTTAATCTATTAATAAACCAAATTCAAGTCTTGATATACGTTAAGTGTTTTATGACTTAATCATAAATAAAATGATAAAAAACTATGACTAGTTGGACAGTGAGTTTTTAGTTTGCTTATTAAATTAAAAATAAATAATGAGTAGAGTTTAATGGTAGTCTTACATGGCTATACCTAATCATATATCTTGTTAAGCCCCCAGATTCTAAACTTGTTTGTACATTCCTAGAGGTCCCTCCATAAAATGGTATTAAAATACATTTATTTTAATCCAAAAACATCATGTGTGGTTTTTAAAGGAAAAAAATATGCTGGTATGTTTAAAATTGGGAGTCGGTGTTCTTTTAATCCTTCCCTAGTCATTTTATATCCCAGATCTATACTTATTTCTAATAATGGTAATGATCAGTTAAAGATCTATCAAAGATTGACTGAAAAATATGGCAGGCTTATGAAGGGAAGGATAAAGTTCTCCATAGGTATCTTTAATAAAAGAACATGAAAGCATAATTACAACACAATGATCCCCCAAGGAGAATAATACTGAGAGTTATTTAAAAAAATCAATGTGTTGATTTTCTGTCATTTAAGTCTTACTCCAAAATACTTATATAAAAAATGATATTTAAACATAAACGTGAAGAACAGTCAGGGCTTAGCCAAGAGAACATCACGGGGAAAAAAAAAATTAGCCAAGAGAACATCATCAGAGCTTAGCCAAGAGAATATTATGGACCCCACCATGGGGATCATCTCAGAAGACCTTAACATTGGGAGATGTCTGTTCAAACAGAAGCAAGGAGGCCCATGTGGCTGGGATGGAGTGAGAATAGCAGGAATGAAGATAAAAAGAAACAGAGGGCGTTGTAGGTAATTGTAATGATTTTGGCTTTTACTGAGTAAAGTGGGGAATGATTCATGGGTTTTGAGAAAAGGAGCATATAACATTAACTTTTAAGCAATATCTAATATGCTAGGTGTTTAAAAGAATTGAACAGCTTAAGAAAACTTCAGTTGGGTGTAAAGAAAAGTAAAATTGGAGAAAGCGCTCTGCTTCAATAAAAACAAATTAAGTCAACTATGATGTTATCGTGACTTCAGGTTTCATTTCAGTGTGTTGACGAGTGACTGAAAGGCATGGGTAGCAGCTGGGGAACTTGTTAAAAATAATTTATTTTTAATTTAGTCTTTTAGAGACGAAGTCTGGGTCTTGCTGTGTTACCCAGGCTGGTCTTGAACTCCTGGCCTCAAGCGATTGTCCTCGGCCTCCAAAGTTACTGGTCCAAGCCACCATTCCCTTGTACACAGACAGAGGAATACTGGAGATTGAAACAGGCTGAGTCAGTGCAAGCAGCAAGAAACAATTAAATTCTGCTACATTTTGAAAGTAGAAAGAATAAAATTTTCTGGGAGGTTATAGATGGAGTGTAAAAGAGAGACATAAATGATAACTTCAGGTTTCTTATCCCCAGCAGCTGGATGCATGGAGCTGCTATTGACTTAGACGGGGATTCCATGGCAGTGGTGTAGCAGGATTTTAAGAAGAGAAGAAAGAGCAAAAGTTTAGGTTTTTTCCCCCACTGGTAACGGATATGTGTTAATAAACCCAAAAAAATGAATATTAAACAATTATAATAACTGTGGTATCCATACATTGCTCATCTAACATCTTCCCATTAACCTATTTAGATCTCTCTGTTATTTTAAAATAATATATAAAACTTCTTTAAGCAATAGGATTTGTACCTAAGCTAGTCCCTTTGATTGGAAAATGCTTTCTCAGTGGGTTTCCAATGCCCTTCATGAGAAATTATAAAATACTTTTAATGAGCTATACAAATCCATTTAAGTTCTTGCTCATATCATCCAACACAGAATGTTCTCTTAGCATTCCCTGTATATGTTGTATTCTCTAGTTTTTCTGTAAAACATTACATCTTCCAATAACTCATCTCTCTATTTGTCACTTATATGCTTTTGTACATGGTGTTCCAGCTGCCCATAATGTCTTACTGTCATACACTGTCCCTCAATGTATTAGCATGTACACGTGTGTGTGTGTGTGTGTGTGCACGTGCATGCATGCACACATATTAATTTATGTTGGGATTTCCCAGAAGCAGATTCTGAGAAAAAGATATGAGTGCAAGTAGTTTATTTGTGTCCTCAAGAGGTAACTCAATGCCTGTAATATAGTAGATGTGATACACCATATATTTATGAGCCAAGAATGATAGCATACTATGGCAGCTAACAATACCTTACTAATGTTTGCTTAGTGTACTTATATTATTACTAAAGTGTTTTTACATGTACCATATCAATTAAACCAGTTGAAGTCAATTTCCACCCTTTTATTTAAGGAAAACAATTAAATTGAAAATGTAGACATTATTTTGGAAATTTCCAGCTATGCAGCTCTGTTTCAAGAAAGCAGAATTTGCTTGGCAAGTTTGTAGAATTAGAGCATATTTAGCATCAGTTTTCATATTCTTTAGGCTTAGTTTTACAAAACCAGAGAAATCCCAGCTCCATGTAGACCCAAGTCAACTAATTGAGAAGATAATCTCCAGAAGACCCTGCAACATCTCCTCTCAATTGCTAGTTTAAGTGTTGATGTTGTATGAGGAAAAATAGCTAATGGATGCTGGGCTTAATACCTAGATGATGGGAAAATCTGTGGAACTAATCACCATGGCACACGTTTATGTAACAAACCTGCACATCTGCACATGTACCCCTGAACTTGAAATAAAAGTTGTAAATAAAAAATAAATAAAAACTCTCCCATAAAAAAAAGAGTTGATATTGTACCTTCCTAAACTACTAGTTTTATTAGAATATTCTGAAAACTTTACTCTCTGACATCCTCATTCTGCACCATTACTCCTATTTGCTGTGTGTACTTAAGCCCTAAATGATAGATCGTAATGACTGAAAGAGACTTTGGAGACTCTACAGTTCAAATGTCATTTCACAGTTGAAAAACTGAGGTTGAGAGATAATTGGTTTGCCCAATATCACCTAGCAGAGGAGGGGGTGATATTTCAAAATATTTAACAACTTGTAAAGCAAGGCATCATCCAATCAAAATGAACATTACTCATTCAGAATGGGCATGGGTCATTCAGAACACAGTCATGCCAGTGCATGGAGCCTAAATACGGACCCTTGAGTAGAGGTGGAACCATAACTATGCAGCTCATGATGCTGCTGATTATTAGGCTCCACCTCAACATGTTCTCCACCTACCCTACTTGTACATACTTGCATAATAAACACAACTGATATACTTAACACAAGTTGTTCACTAATTTATATTCATTTTCTTTTATTCAAATATGATCCTAAAGCAGGATCAACCTGGACAGAAGTATGTGCATACATGTTGGTAGTGGTATAGTAAGGGTAGTGGCAAGATATGTGTTTTTCACAGTTGGCTCATTTCCAAACTGCACAGAATGTTCTTTACGACACCTAATAGGGCCTCAAAGTCTAAATAAAAGCAGAAAGAATGAAAAAAAGAAAGGGGGACAGAGAGGGAGAAAGGAAGGAAGGAAAGAAAGAAGGAAGGAAGGAGGGAGGAAGGGAGGTTGGTTTCTGAGACACAAAAGTAATTTGACACATGATGGCTCAGGTATAATCAAACTGAGTACCATAGTGGCATGAAACTCTCATCAAGAAACTTACTATAGAATGAATGACAGTGAAAAGGGTTGTCTTGTATCAATAATAGTAATTTAATACTATTTCTGAAATTCTTCATTGTATTTGCTTGAAATACCTCTGAAAGTTTCTACTAAATGAGCCTCACTACATTCTTCATCTTTGTGTAGATTAATTTCTATAAACATCTCTAACACTTTAAAAAGTGTTTAAAAGGAAAAAATTAAGTAAATACATCCCAGCCTATTTTTGCACTAATGCTATGAGAGTTTTAACTTTGAACTTAATGTGTAATTCTTTATTTTAATGCACCAATATTATTTTTTGAGGACATCATTTTAGGAGCTCTCATTGGAACATTAATTTTCATAGAGTTCTATATTATCACATTTGTTAGCAGGAAATTCAGCCCAATGTAGCTTGGAAATAGTCATTGCTTTCTGACTGGAAATAAAGATGGTTGTATTTAGAAATTATTCCTTCCCTATAGTAATTCTTTAGCCTAGCAACTCCAATTATAAACTCTGAATGCTTGTGCCTTGTTTTATTAAAGAAAGATTAATTTAACTTTGATATTGATTCTGATGAAATTCTCATTTTTCTTTTAGATTAATGTAGTTCCATCTATTGATTCTAATAAGATAATAAATGTAATTATTTTTTAAGTTTGTGTATGAATTCACACACACCCATACGGATCAAGTAATTTTTTTTTTGGCAATTAAGAGTGAAACTATTAGGTAGCAGACTATGAAAATATTTCACTCATGATAGAGAAGCCTTGAATTAGTTGGCATCTTGTTTGTTTGTAATCTATCTCCTTAGTTGAATGATAGTCTTTTTGAGGTCAGAAGGCTCTGAAATTACTTTATTACTCTTTGGTTTCTCTTGCACCTGGCAGAATGGATTAGCATATTGATGGGTTTAAAACAATAGTATCATGATTGAAATTACTGAGTCTGTGTAGCCAACAGTATTTCTCTATGAGAATTTGAGATTACATGTGCAAAATGCTCACACAGTGATTGATGTGATTTATAGTAGAGACTATTATTAATAATAACAATGGAACGCATTCTGTATTACAGAAATCTCACGATTATTCCAACATCTGTAAAATATTGAAAATACTCCACAGAGAAAACACCTAATAATTTGAATATGTTGTGATAGAGAACTATATTTGAAATAGTAGACCGTTTTACGAACTCTTTCATTTAAGAGTTTACATAGTGTATGAATTTTGTACTGCATATATATCCTAGCATTTTCAGAGGAATGGCATGTTTATTATTGAAGAACTCTTAGCATATTTATTTTGCATTACTATGCATATTAAAGTGTAACCATGTAGAACAATAATCAATAATATGGTGGCATTCATATTTTTAATTCATGCCAGGCTGCCTGGAAGTAGTTTATATTTAATATTGTACAGAAGTTAATAATGGATGATATGCATAAGTATGCTCATCTGGGAATTATATTTAGCCAGTACTTGAATTTCAACATAATCAAGTAGCTTAACTTTGCAAAACATGATTTCTGTAAGAATGTTGCATAGAAAAGTCTCTTGCTTCTTCCAACATCCCTGTTGTAGAGGCTGGGACATACAATAAACGTAAAAGTGTCCAGGAAAACCTGCTCAGCATGTTCTTCCTTTTTCTTGTTTTACCCATATCAATTTTACCACTAAAGTTTATATTTTTAATTTTCTATGCATTACTTGTTTTACTTTTTTTTAAAAAAAATCAGTAAAACAAAGGACAATAATGAAAAGTACACAAATGAAGATAAAATTGGGACTAAGAATTTTTTTCAATGACTTACACATAAGCATGACTGATGGTGGATTAGTCCAAGGTCTGTTGTAGTCAGTCTTTGTGGATGATCTTCACTTTAAAACATTAGAAAATACCCGCAATTAAATATTTAAACTCAAAAATGCCCTTTAGAGTTGATGGGAAAAGTGAAACAGTAATAAGTAAATAGAAAACTTGGTAAAAGCATGACTATAAACCATGTACGATAAATTTCTGTAAATATAATGTTTAAGGAAAGTGACACCACTGAAAAGAGAGTGTTCTGGTGAAAAACAAAAAAATGAACAAAAGCAAAAATTGACAAATGGGATCTAATTAAACTCAAGAGCTTCTGCACAGCAAAAGAAACTATCAGCAGAGTAAATAGACAACCTACAAAATGGGAGAAAATATATTGGCAAACTATGCATCTGACAAAGGTCTAATATCTAGCATCTATAAGAAACTTAAACAAATTTACAAGAAAAACAACCCCATTAAAAAGTGCACAAAGAAAATGAACAGTCACTTTTCTAAAGAAGACATGCATGCAGCCAACAAGAATATGAAGAAAAGCTCAACATCACTTATTATTAGAGAAATGCAAATCAAAGCCACATAAAGATACCATCTTGCACCAGTAGAACAGCTACTATTAAAGAGTGAAAAATAACAGATGCTGGCAAGGTTTCAGAGAAAAGGGAAGACTTAAACATTGCTGGTGAGAGGATAAAGTAGTTCAACCATTGTGGAAAACAGTATGGTGATTCCTCAAATCGCTGAAAACAAAACTACCATTCAATCCAGCAATCCCATTACTGAGTATATGCCCTGAGGAATATAAATTATTCTACCACAAAGACACATGTGCATGAATGTTAACTGCAACACTATGCACAATAGCAAAGACATGGAATCAACCTATATGCCAATCAATGACAGATTGGATAAAGAAAACAGATTGGATAAAGAAAAAATATATATACACCATGGAATACTATGCAGCCATAAAAAAGAATGAGATCATGTCTTTTGAAGGAACATGAATAGAGCTGGAGGCTATTATTCTTAGTAAACTAATGCAGGAATGGAAAAGCAAACACCACATGTTCTCACTTATAAGTGGGAGCTAAATGATGAAAACTCATGGACACAATAGACAATAGGGACTACTTGAGGGTGCAGGATGGGAGGAGGGCAAGGAGCAGAAAAAATAAATATTGGGTACTAGGCTTAGTACTTGGGTGATGAAATAATCTCTACAACTAACCTCTGTGATATGAGTTTACCTATATAACAAACCTACATATGTACCCCCGAACTTAAATTAAAAGTTAAAAAAAACACAAAAAATGAGAATCAGTAGCTCATAAACAAAGTGTTGACTAGTGAGTAACAGACTAAACTTTCTAAAGTGTTGACAACAAATTAACTTTTGAAAACTTTATATTAAAATAATTATTTTTATTTCAAATTTATATGTATATGTGTGTATAGAAATACACATACATATACATAGATACACACACCTACATACATAGAGAGTGTACATTTTTATCCAAGGTATCCATTTAGAAAGTGAAATTTCTTATTCTTCAGCTGTGCCCTAAATTTCAGCTGTGAGGCAAGTTATATGGCTGAGTATGAAACTATGAGCTTCGTAATAGGGAATTTGACAGAATTTTAATAATCCTCGTGTCATTTGAGTGCTATTGTAGTTAATTCTCTTATATACTGATAACAGAAGCAACAGTAACTTTTAACCTACAGCTAACATGTTTCTATTTACTTCTATATTTTTGATATTTTATTATAGATTTTGACATCTTATTTTGTTGATTCCCTTTCTGTAGTCAATGTTGATTTATTTCAACACATTGAGAAAGGATATTTTCTATTTAATTATATTACTTTCTCCTCCCTTCTTCTCTTATAGGAACATTCCATTTTCAGTTACCTCAATGCATTATACTCACTCGATAAGTGATATCTTTAGATAGGACCCTTGGCTCAATGTAGTAGGTTGTGTTTATATTATAGAATTACAACTTGGAACAGTGTGAGATAACCATGTATCTCAAAATATTTCTTCTTAATATTGCCATTTCTAAAGTCTTTTATAGTGAATCTTTAAACTCATCAAAGTATTAACTAAATACCAAATGTTGACTAGTATTCTATTAAAAATATCTCTCAAGTTAGTTTTGAACTTACAAATTTCCAGAAGTACATATTGTGTCTCTAATACTACCTGAGCCACAGGTTGGACTCAACTGTGGTGAGAACAGGACCATGTCATATGTTAATATTCATGGACCTAGTTCAAATTTGTTTTGTTAAAAGAAACGTAGGAACAAAAGTTCATGTGAATTTTGCAATGACCTACAGAGCATGGTGAAGGGCAGTAATTATTTTGCTTTAGTTATGGAAGTTACATATTGTGAGGGCATTTCAATTAATCACTACCATTCTCTCTCCTCATGTATTGTTATCTCATTAACCTCCTGCAACTCTGACTATACCATTTCATCATTCAATTATGTTCCTGTTACTTCAGAATAGTATTTGAATTTCCAAGCACTAATCCAAGATTTGGCTCCCTTTTCTTTTTAGGTCCTATTTCCAACTATCCCAGTTAAACTCATTCACAGGTCACCTTTGAATTTCTTTCCTTCATGCCTTTACTAAACCTGTTAAATTTACTTGGTGAGAAAAAGCATAGAGTAACTAAAACACTTGTAAAAATCGAACAGAGTAAAGCTCAAATGCCACCTCCTCCAAGACATATTCCTCACCCCATCAAAGAGAGACTTTCTCTTGCTTCATTATTCAATTCACTGAGATGGCATAATGAATCTGCACTGCAGGGATTTGAATCATGCCTTCCTTGGGTACCAGCTGTAAGTATGTTACTTTACTCTCTGTCTCAGTTTCTTCCTCATAAATCTCGGTGGTGAAGATATTGCAGATCTATAACCCCTTATCCAATTCTGAAATCCAAAACTCTCAGAAAAACGAAAGCTTCTTTTGCAATTCAAAGAGCTGCAAATTGTGCCCGACCTTAGCTCTTTCGGAAGAAAAAGCTGACTTGAACTGTGCATACTTAGTGTTAATATTTATGTTTTAATGCAAAAATTACTCGTTAACTTACATGTTGCTCTCCCAGATTCTCCTGAACATGTTTAAAAAATGCAATTTTGCATCCTCTATAGTGATATGTAAACAAATGTTTCTGCAGCCCGAACAATTTGGTGGTGACAATATCAGCCCAGCCGAAATATGTACACCCAGGATATCTTCCACCCGTTCTGGCCCTGCATTTTCCAGAACTTGTACATTAAATTTAAAATGAGTGCCTAGATCAGGTACTCTCTATCTTGGTAAATATGCCTTAATAACAAACTTGATGGAAAGCAAATCTAACATAGCTCTAAGGGGATTTAACCTGAGGTTCTCTGTTTATTTAAGGACAAAGACAGCATATGAAAAATGATCTTTTCCATCAAAAAGCCTTTTCAATTAGGAGAGAAAAAAGTGAGTAGAAGTAGGTACATTAGAACAAACACGAGGAAAATCCAAGCTGGGGTTAGGCTTAAAAATCACCTTTCTCTCAAATTTGGACCATGAAGTTTACTATAATTCTGATTGAATCCTTCCCTTTTAAGCCCTCTTCAACATTCTTTCATCTTTTATTAAAAGGTTCTCTGTTTTCTCTGTTTTTTCCTTGTACAAGCCAGAGAGATTTTATATTGAGCCCATTCAAGTTACCACACATCAGTCAACCCATAAGTGGGGCATAGGGGAAGTCTAAAGTGGTTCACAATTATCCAAGAATATACACATAGCATATGGCATTTTAAAAGCCCGGGGACTGTGTGGCATTCAGCCTCTTCATTCAAGGAGTTGAGAGGTTAGCTCCATAATTAGAAAAACAGAGAATTCTAAACACAGAGGCAGATGGAGTGAAAAAAAAAAAAAAGAAAAGAAAAGTAAAGCTCATGTTTCTCCCAAGCACTCGCAATTGAAACTAGCCAGCATGGCAGGTAAGTGCCTACAAATGCCCGAATACTCTATGTAGTAGTCTGATAAGGGCTGTCATAATAAAGTACTACAGACTGGATGGCTTACCCAACAGAAATGTATATTCTCACAGTCTGCAAGCTGGAAGTCCAAGATCAAGGTGCCTGCAGGGTTGGTTTCTGGTGAGGCCTCTGTTTGTGGCTCGCAGATGGCTGCCCTCTCACTATGTCCTTGCGTAGTCTCTTCTCTGCAAACAAGGAGAGAGAAAAACACTTAGACTCTCTTTCTTTGCTTATAAAGACACCACTCCGATGGGATTAAGATCTTACCTTCATGACCTCACTTAACTCTTATTACATCCTTATAGGCCCTATTTCAAAATACAGTCACATTGGAGGTCAGGCTTCAACATTTGAATTTGGGAGGAAATTCAGGAAAAGATTCCATGTATGACATTTCTGATTGTTAGAGACATCTTCTTTTTCTTCATAAAGAACCTTGATTTCATTCAGCTCTATCCCTTCTTCATCTTGCACATGTGCCCCCAAAATGGCTGATCACATCTCACATTTCAGGGTTTGACCAGATTGATGTTAGTTGGAATAGTGACATAATTTATTATTTAAACTGGGTCAGTTTTGAAAGTGAAAGAAGGTACTATTTAATTACAACAGAGTAATAGGTAACAACACTTTTGGGCAAACTGGGATGTAAGGTCACTATTTGTCATGTTTGGGTAAAAAATGAGCCTGTGGTCCAATACGTGACAGTGGATTGTAAAGGTATTTACTGGAGACTTTAGGAAGGTTTTTTTCTTCTTATTCTCCTCTGGACATTTTCTCCCTCTAGCCCTCTGTGAAAATGTTAAGAGGTGTTATCGTTTTGTTACCACCTGAAGATGAAGTGGGCACTTGGGGAGAATCAGGGAAATAGAGCTAGAGGCATGAAAATAAATCAGTTTTTAATCTCAAAAATATTCCAGCACACACATCTGCATTAAAAAGTTCCTTATGATTTAAGTTAGTTTGAGAAGGGCTTTCTGTCGTAGCAAAAAGCATCGTAAATAGTTTGGATTTGCTTTGAATGATTGTGAAAAAAATTGTTACTTTTCATTGTCAGTTGCAGACTCCTACTTATTCTGAAACCCACTGTCTATATTTTTCTTCCTTCTTTCTTTCTTTCTTTCTTTCTTTTCCTTTTTTTTTTTTTCTTCTTACCACTTCCATCATTTCTCATGGGTTTGGCTCAGGGGGTTTCATTATGGTCCCGAGTCCCTTCCACCTGTCTTAGGTCTTAGAGCTTGTTCTTCAGATCACAATCATAAGCCCTTCTTCAAGCTCCAGCATCTTCACACTCTCTCTCTCCTCCCTCCCCAACATTCTGATAGTGTTTATTCTTACTGTGACAGTGGCTGCTTTTAATTAAGAATACCCAAAATTGTCTCTTACAGAGAAAAAATACATAGACACACAAATATCTTGAGGAGTTTGGAACTTAGAAGAATGAATCACTGTAAGAATAACACAGAGTAACCCTAATTAGTGGTTGCATTTCATTAAACTAGTGGTTTAAATCAGAATACCTACAAAGAAATATTTTTAAGGAATTTAGGGTCAGTTGAAATATGTTTAACCTGATTCCAATTTCATAGATATCTCTATTACTGTCTCTCTCTCTCTCTCTCCTTTTCATATGTATGTATGTATGTATGTATGATGTAAGATAATGCATACTGTATCTTACATCAGTTTGTTTTTGCAAAACCTCAATATATTATAAACGACCCAAGCATAATAAGAAGACGAGAGCATCATTTTGAAAAATGTGCCTAATATTGTAATTTGGTAACTTTTACAAAAATAACTAAATATGGCTGGCCTCCAAGATTTAAGTCACAAAAGAAATAGGCATAGGTATAAACATAGCTTTTTAGACAACTGATTGTAGCACAAATTATAACATTCTGAATTCAACTCATTCTGTTATTCTTTAGCCTCTTCCACGAGATTAAAATAACAAAACCTTTGCCAGACATCTGGGTGACAGATACATCTTCCCATCTCCCACCATGTATTCTCTGTTTCCTCCTTTTAATCAATGAACCTCCCACCAGAGTTTGAACTGACATCGCCGGAGACTGTGCTTCACAACTTTCCTTGCAGTCATGAACAGTCACGTAAATTAGCTCAGGCCAACTGGGGGCGGGCAGAAATAATGTGTAACACTTGCAGGCTTTAACTTTAAAGCATTATGTGTGAGGTCTTCCATTCTCTCTTTGTCTTGTTGTGGCCTGGAATTAAAATATGGCTATGCTGATACTCAAAGATGAAGAATAGGACCATGCCCTATATGATGGTGAAGGAACAAGTTGAACCCTTGATTCACTTTTTTGGAATATCTCTGAAATACCAAACATTTCTTACGAGCCACTAGAACCTGTTATTTTTCTTTTGCATAAACTTAGCTTTCATGCTACCTTAAGAATTCTGTAAAATGTATTTCCATTTTAGAACAAATATCCAAATGCTTGCATATGGTAAACAAATCATGTCTCTATTCTTCAGCTTTAATTTTGTGATAAGTCCCATATAAGAAAAAAATGTAATCTTTTGTAAAAATATTAATCTTAAAAATTAAGCCCAAGGGAACACATACATACTCCCATACAAACTAAAAACATAACAAATCTTAATTATTTTTATTCATGTAAAAAATTCTACTTTTTTGACTACATCTAATAAAAATTTTCTCTTCATAGCCCACCTATAAGATGATTTTAATTTCTACAATCATAAGGTAGGGGACTTTAAACTCTTTTACCATAAGGTTTAAGAAGATTTAATTGAAACGTTTATTTCTAGGATAGGCTTTCTGAAATCCAAATTATAATGAAGTTTTCAAAATCGTTTAACCTTCTCAAAGCATCTGAAAATACGTGCTTATGAGAACGAAAAGCCTGGCACCCTCCCGAGGCATTATATCAACCCACACTCATTCTTTCTGTTTTCATGTTCACATGAAATATCTGATAAAAATGTAGTCAACAAAATCTTCTTCAGTTATTGATGAACAATAGTGATGTATGCATGCTGAAATTTGATCAAGCTGCACTTAATAAAAACTTGAATCTCAATGTCTGTGTTAAGTTAAAAAAGCATTAGATTGTAAAAGGAAATTTTTTCTGTTTCATTAATTTTATAGTGAATGGCAATTTCCCACACATCTCATCCTACTGAATAAATTTGTTCACCAGCAGAAAAATAATAATTCATATGCTCATCTAGGTGAATACTCAATTTTTATGTGCAGTATGGTACATTTCTAAAATTTATTTAATATTTAAAAAATAAGTTCCAACCATACTTTTGATTTCTTTTGTGAAGTCCATTCAAAGACCAAGCAGAAGCTAGATATTCTGAATTTCTTCAAGATCTTCTATTGCTATGTCATAGTTGTACAGATTGTGAGGGTATATGCGATATTTCGACGCATGTATACAATGTGTAATGATCAAATCAGGGCAATTGAGGTGTCTATCACCTCAAACATTTATTTTTTCTTTGTGTTGGCAACATTACAATTCTTCTCTTCTAGCTATAGGTGTTCTGATTTAACAAGAACAAAAAAGAAATATCGAGCATGGAAGAAAGACTACTTAATACATAATTTTACATAAACACAAATAGACATATTTGCATTTACTCATTATGCGTGTACCTATACGTGTATATGCATATATACGTGTATATGCAAATAGTTGTCTATGTAGACAGATATACATGTGTGCATCTATCTACATAGACACCTATTTGCGTATTTGTTAAATGCCTGGGCAATGCAACAACATCGAAGGAAAAAAATAAAAATGTCATCATTAATCCTAAATTTTCAAGCATCAACTATTGTGATAGGCTGCTAATGATTCTAATAAACATAAACAATCTTCATCTTCAAGATTTTTCCAATTTTAGAAAGTTTTTTATTTTAATTCATATACCTTTAATAATTATTTATAATAATTTATAAATAAATATTTATTTATAACACAGTGTAATTACCATTATCATACAGGTAAAAACTGAGTGTTTTAAAATTTCCTGTAACAGTTGCTTAACAGGTCTGATGTGGGAGAGAGTGGCAGAGGTAATATTTCTAAAGTGGACACTGTTGAGATTGCCTTAATTGCAAACAGGAAATAGAGAAACACGCACAACAGATATTTCAACATGTAAAACAAACGTCTCTGCAAAGACAGAGCAATCAGGGACTGCATGGGGATCGTGATGTTTGCAGAGTACTGTGCAAATAAGATAAGGGTCATTCTTGGAAGCAGATGCTTTATTCCACCCCCGGCATCTCTGTTTTCATCTTACCAACAATAGTTTTGGTAATACAAGCAACCATCTTAACGAGGAGGATAATTTTGTATTAAAATAAAAGCATGAACAAAAAGACTTGGAACTAACAACCAGTATGATTGGGGATGAGGTGCGAAGAATGGGATAAAGTTTTTCAGTAAGAATTATTTTTCCTTGTCAGTTATCAAGATACTTTACTTGTTGAATTTATCAAAATTATTAAATAACAGTAACCAGTATACAAAGAGAAATATGCCTTTTACTTTGAAGGGACTATCCCATACCAAGAAAGTTGCACTGAATAATTTCCTGTGATTTTTTTAGATTGAAGTTGCTTCTCCACACTCTGGTGTTTAAAACATAAGGATATGACTTCTGTTTATGTTTACACTGAGAGCATTTGAAATCCACTGAGGTCCACACCGCAAACTATAAATACATTTTCTACTTTAAATTGCAGAGTATTGTGCTTAATAAATAGTTTTTTCTCAAGTCTGTTTTCTTATTTACTTTTCTAAATTTTGCTTTCAAATTGCATTCTAGAGAATTGCCCCTTCATCCTAAACTTTGGTTGTACCTTAAATATAATTTAAGTTTAGTATTTATAGATTGAATGTCATATGGTTGAGTATTATAACAGAAATGAGTGGTTTTCAATTTAATTGCTCATATTTGTAAATGTTATGTGCCTTGCAATTCACCCCACATGTAGCAAATTGCCTTGTAATGGTCCACCTTTACAAACAAGAGTAGAGTGTGCAGAGTCACAGAGATTTTTAATAGCTTTTGCCTGTGGCATATTTTTGCAAGGGATGAATTGCAGCTTCTGCCTAATTAAAATAAATAAAATGTTAGGTATTTCAGGTACCCAGGTTTTCTGTGAGCCTAAAACAATTAAAAATGAGAATCATTTATTATTGCTTCTATTAAAGACACAACAGGCAATGCTATGACTTCAAAAATGACTTAGAGTCAAGTGTCAAAATAAAGTCACAGGTAGGAAGAAATCCTTGGGGAGGTTAAGTGACCAGGTTGTTTGGATACACCTCAGTACATTCTAGTACTTTTCTTTTTCTCTACTTCTGTCAAGAGCAATACTTGATTATCAATTGATTACTCTGGCCAGTAGGGTGAAACAGTAATATCCATGTTCCAAAAGTCTCAGGGCAGATTTAAGTTTGAATAACTTCAGAAGTAGAAATACTATAACCTTAAAAATTTGAAAGTTGTGATTTTACTTTCATCTAGTGTTATAAATTTTGAATAACAAAAGTTTATTATTTTGTTTCCTAAGGTTGAAAATGGCAACACTGACAAAAATACACAGAATTTAAACATATATATTTCAAAATCCAAAGCTATCTTTTCTTATCTTTCACAACCTACAGACCTGGGTTACTATCTTACTTCTGGTACTTTTGTGGGTATTCAGAGAAAAGATTAGTTGCCTCAGATGAGAAACTGAACCAATCATGGGCTTTTTCTTCTCTCTTTTTGTATTTCCAATACTCTAGAATAATGTAAATCAATAATAGAAATTTTGTTGGATAATTTAATTAATGAACCTTATAAGTCTAGATTCTTCAGTCTCTTAGCTGTTCAAAATACTAATATTCATTACTGAAGATCTCACTTTTTACCAGTGTAAGATAATGGCAACATATATAAAATCCTAATGTCTTCTCTTGTCCTGACACCAGAAAGTCAGCAGCACAGAGATTTTTAATTTTTTTTCCCACTGTTTCGGTTTAAATCTCCTTACGTCTTGGAAGCAAGCACATGTGTAGAGCTTCTCAGAATTAATTTAAAAAATACTGTCTTCTCTTAGGTTTGCTATTTTAAAAAATGAGGCTGAGGGAAAAATGGAGGAGGAATGTTTATACATTCTTAAACACAGAGCTAGATGCATAATAAGTTCTCAATAAAAAGACTTCCCCATAAAACAGACAGGGTTCCATATATATATTCGTCTCCTTTGTCATTTACAGATGCAAGAATCTGTGTGCTATTTGAGTTCCTGAATTGGCATTCATTTTATAGATAAGGGAACTGAGATTGGAGAGGTTAATTAACCTGTCCATGGACACACAGCTTGTACGGATCAAGCTGAGGTATTCTGGCAATGACTAATGGTACAAATTTGTAAATGACCACTCTCAATCTGTTGCTTTTTTTTTTTTTTTTTTTTTTTTTTTTGAGACAGAGTCTCACTCTGTCACCAGGCTGGAGTGCAATGGCGCGATCTCGACTCACTGCAACCTCTGCCTCCTGGGATCAAGTGATTCTCCTGCCTCAGCCTCCCTAGTAGCTGGGAGTGCAAGTGCACGCCAGCATGCCCAGCTAATTTTTGTATTTTTAGTAGAGACGGGGTTTCACCATGTTAGCCAAGATTGTCTCGATCTCTTGACCACATGATCCACCTGCCTTGGCCTCGCAAAGTGCTGGGATTACAGGCGTGAGCCACCGTGCCCAGCCTCAATCTCTTGCTTATTATATCAGAGACCTGAAACCATTCATACAATGACAGTGAACCACAATTAGAGTAAAGATTGCTCAGCTATTTCCTAGAGTCCATTCTGGGGGACAGTAGACTACAGAGTTACTTTTAATAAAACATTTTAAAAAATATTAGCATGGAAAGCTTAATATCTCCTAACCCTATACATGTAGAAAGTTTCTCAATTTTTATCGTGTTATTTGTTTCCTTTTTTTCACTTCAGACTCAAAACTAAACGGTTATTGATGTGAAGAAACACATTTACACAGAGAATACTGGATTTAGTTTAAAGAATAAACTATCTCCTCATCTCTTCACATGCTTTAAGAAGGTTCCCCTTGGCCAGGATAACTATTTGTTATCAGGGGCTGTTCGTGGATTGTAGGATGTTTGGAAAGATTCCTGGCCTCTACTCACTAGGTGCCAATAGCATGCTCCCATTTGAGAGAGCAAAAATTATCTCCAAAAAATGTTGGCAAATGTTCCCTGGGGAAAATATTGTGAACAACTGCTTTAGATTACGAATCAGGACATAATCCGAGAGTGACAATCAAAATTTGGCATGCATCAGAATAAACAGGAAAACCT
Source organism: Homo sapiens (assembly GCF_000001405.40). Classification (NCBI taxonomy): domain Eukaryota; kingdom Metazoa; phylum Chordata; class Mammalia; order Primates; family Hominidae; genus Homo; species Homo sapiens. The sequence goes on along the minus strand of NC_000021.9, from coordinate 20,853,966 downwards.
TGCTATAACACCCCTATCTGGGCCCCATATTGGGAGATTCTGAATGTTCTGAACGAGTAGGTCTGCTATGCGTCCAGAGAGTCACTTTCATACTAAGTTCCTCAGGTGATTTGGGAACACACGGGAGTCTGAAAAGGCTGCCACAGAGAAGAGGGAACACACAGCTCTGCTATTACAGGAACACAAGGTAGACTCTCAGCAATGAAGGCATCATAGGAAGTTTGCCTTGGTGGCTGCACATTATCGAGGACACCTGAGCCAGAAAGATATTTCTGTCACTAAAGGAGCCTGGGGACAACCGACATAGACATTGTTAACATTACTATTGATGTACACACTAATGAGGGCCGCCAGGTCATCCACACCTAGGGAGCCCATTTCAGGCTGGACTCAGTATTAGGATCCTTTTTTCCGGAAATAAGAGCTACACTGGATAATCCAAGATTTTACATTTGGTGCTTTTATTCTCCTCCAACTAACATAAAGGCAGAATGATACAGTGGCCAAGAGTGGGAGACTCACTGTATTTGATTTCAGGCTTCACTGCTCACTAGTTGTATAATCTTAAACAAGTTATTTGATCTCTTTCTGAACCTCAGTTTTCTCATTTATAAAATGAGAATAATAATTATCTGTGATAGACAGAATAATAGTGCCCCAAAGATGCCCACATCAGAATCCCTAGGATCTGTAAATGTGTTACCTTCCATGGTAAAAGGGACTTTGCAGATGTGGTTAAGTTGAGGTTCTTGAGATAGGGAAGTTACACTGGATTATCTGGGTGGGCCTATTGGATCAACAGTGTCCTTATAAGAGGGAGACGGAAGGAGACTGTACTACAAAAGAGGAGAATGTGATGTGACAGTAGAAGGGGATTTAGGGTATGTGGCTGGAAGCCAAGGAATGTTGGCAGCGTCTGGAAACTGGAAGAGGCCTGAGGCAGATTCTATAGGGAGGCCTCCAGAAGGAAACCAACCTTATCAACACCCTGACTTCAGCCCCATAAGAATCATTTTAGACTTCTGACCTCCCAAACTATAAGAAAATCAGTTTGTGTTATTTGAGGCCATTAGGATTATAGTAATCTGTTACAGCAGCAACAGGAACTAGCACTTTATCTCATAGGGTTGCTGTGGGCATTACACGAGTTATACATGTAAAACATTTAGAAGAATGGCTGTCACACAGGAATAATCAACATATGTTAGCTCTTATTATCCATAATATGTTGTATGCCTTTAAATCACAATTTTAAGTAATTTATCATTATTAACACATTCCGTAATGGTTTCTCAAAAAAAATACTAATAATTTGCTTGCAGGAACAGATAAAGTGTACATGATTCTATCATGCATGATACAATAGCCTCAGAGCTTCCAAGATTGGGGAAAAATTTGATCCAAAACTATATTAAGCCCGCTTTTCATTTGAATGAAAATAAAGTTTTCATGTGAAGAATTGGGAAGTTATTATACAAGTTAGAGATGTAGGGCCCAACCTAATCAAGAACTTACATTTATTAATAAATCATGCTATTTATAATATTGGGTTCCTAATTTCAAACAAGATTGAGCTCTATATGTAGATTCTTATCATCTTTGCTTAAAAAAAATCCTGACTAGAAGTTATTTTTGAAAATGTTCTCTTTTTAAAATTGTATGTTTTGTCTTTCAAAAATAGAGGTGGTCATGAAACCGCCTTTGCAAAAATTATAACAGTGAGAAAATTATGACAGTGAAAAAGATCTGACCTAACCAACTCCATCTTGCTTGTAACCTCCAAGCTGTCCTTGTTCATTCCTGGTAGTATGCCAAACTAACTTTGGGAGGAATTTGGTTTATAGCTTAACTTTGAAACAAAGATGGTTACAGCCCTTTCCTGAAACCACCCCCATTCTTGCCTGGGGACAAGACTGCCTTTGTAGGACTAACAAATTAGCTACAAGAGTAGAAATTATGGGTTAGGAGTCATGCAGCTAGAGGCCACAAGATTCAAAACCTCCCCAATTGCTGCTAGGGAAAACATCACTGTTGCAAAACCTAGGATTGTTGCTTGAGCTATTTTTCAGATCCTACGCTCCATGGATCAGCTGGCACCACCCAGATCAATAAACTGGCTCATGTGGTCTTGGGGCCCTACCCAGGAACTGATTCAGTGCAAGAGGACAGCTTTGACTTCCTATGATTTCATTTCCAACCCGATCAGTTAGCAATCCCCATTCCCTGGCCCCATACCCACCAAATTATCCTTAAAAAACCCCACTCTCTAAATTTTGAGGGAGACTTATTTGAGTAATAGTAAAACTCTGGTCTTCTGTTCAGCTGGCTCTATGTGAATTAAACGCTTTCTTTCTCTATTGCAATTCCTCTGTCTTGATAAATCAGCTCTATTTAGGCAGCGGCAAATGAACCTATTGGGAGGGTCCAGTCATATAAACAAATCACACATATTATAAATATTATAATTGCACATATTATAAATTATGGTGGCCACTAATGAGGGCCACCACACAGGAGTGAAAACCATGTAAGTCCACTTTGCCTAGACAGAGCAAGTTCTAAGGATGAAAACATATGTACTTCACTCTGATCAGATCGTTACTACATTACAGCATGCTGCTGACTCCTGCTGCATAAATACTTTTATTCTTAAATCAAGGAGAAACGAGAAATATATATGTGTTAATCTGTCATATAACATGTATTATTTGTTATTTTTAAAAATGGATTAAGCAGTTTTTTTAAGATTTTATGTAATAGAAGCCAAACAAACTTTAAAAATGGGGTGGAAATACTCTTGGGATTCCACAAAGATGTCAGATTTCATACACAACCTTGCTGACTTTTTAATAACTTTGTCATGTCTACTGCTGGTAATTATCAAGTAAAGAGAAGAACTTATTAAACCTGCTTAAAATAATCATAGAAACAAAGTGATGCCTATGGCAGCAGATCTATTATATGATAGTTCACACACAGTTTTAAAAGCAATCATCAAATGGAAATTTGATGTTCCTTTCTCTGTTGCTGTTGTTCTTACTTATCGGTTTAACCATAACAGTGTACATCAGAAGGATTTTGCATTTTTCAAGAGAAAAATTAAATATTCATTGAGAAGCTTTTTTCCTTTGTGAAGGATTACTCAATTCGCTGTCATGACAATTTCACAGGATGAAAGACATTGCTTTAACTAATTGAGCATATCCACATCAAGCCTGAGCAATTCACAATTTGCTCCCCTTTATCTCCTCAATTCTTATTCATTCTTCTTTTCTTCCATATTACTCTTTGAAAATATAATCCAGAATCCTAGGTTATTGATGCTAATGCCTGCACTGGGAAATTCTGCCATCAATTACTTTTTTTATAATTTTAATTCCTCATCCATTGCTTTCTTATCCTAAATTGAAGGAAAAAAAATCACCACTTGGCTTCACCTCTTTCTCAAGAGACACACTTCCAACACTATTTGTAGAATTATGAATAAAGTCTTCAGCTATGGTGACAACCACTGACTAAACCTTATGAATATCACTAATCATTACTTCATTCTTACATTTTATTTGACAGCTGGTTCACTTTTAATTTTACTTTAAAGATAAAATTTGCTTGATCTGTATTTAATTTTGTTTTAGATTGTCCTTGGAATGCTTCCCATATTCTCTGAGCATTTGAGTTTTCTACTCTAAAGTGAGGTATCTTTCACCCGATGTATAGTTAAATTTATAAAATCATGCATTATCAAACTATACTTTGATACTGAGTTCTGCTTATATAGGCTGAAAACTCTGAACTTCCTTTTCTTAAATCCGTGGATTAGAGCCAAGTCATTATGAGCATAAACATCAGGTAGATGCCTGGACTTATATCCTTATTTTGATGATGTGCTAGTTGCATGATCTTGAACAAGTTACTTAAGACCTCAGAGGTAACAATTGCATCTCAGGGGTAAGGTCTGCAGTTTAACTGAGCAACTATTACATTTTAAAACAGAAGCACAAATATAACTCTAATTAAACAAATATCAGCGTAAGTAAGGTTGGTGATATAATTTGGATACTTGTCACCTCCAATCTCATATTGAAATCTGATTTCCAATGTTAAAAGTGGGGCCTGAGGGAAGGTATTTAGGTCATGGGGGGTGAATCTCTAATGAATGGCTTAGTGCTGTACTTGAGGTAATGAGTGAGTTATCGCTCTGTTAGTTCCCACGAGAACTGATTGTTAAAAAGATCCTGACTCCTCCCTCCCTTCTCTTGCTTCTGCCCTTGCCAAATAATCTCTGCATACCAGCTTCCCTTTCCCCTTACCATGAGTGGAAGAAGTCTGAGGTCCTCACCAGTTGCAGATACCACTGCAATGCTTTTTGTATAGCCTGCAGAAGAACCATGAGTCAAATAAACCTTTCTTCCTTAGAAATTACCAGTCTCGGGTATTCCTTTATGGCAACACAAATGAACTCTGGCTTTTGTGGAAACCGTAGATTTATGAAGTTTGGGTGCAAATTATTAAGTGTGAATTTCCAGCGGGACTCCTACGTGTTTTAAAGTCCAAATTCACAGAAAATATTTTGGACTATAAATGTCATAAATAATGTAACAACATTAGCAGTTATTCTCCGTTTCAAGAAAATTAACATTTTGCACCCCTTTTATTTGAAATATATGTTTGCCATCAGGTATTTTTATGAATAAAACTATTTATATGAATAGTTACCTGCTTAAATATTCAACTATCATTCTGTTTTCAACTAAAAGAGGTTTCAAAAATATTTAATATATTTTTTGTCAATAAAGACCTAAAACATAAATCTAGCAAACATTCTTTGAACTCCAAAAAAAGTAGTTCCTTTTCTTTGAGAATAATACTTAGTTTCTGTTGTGTGTGTTGCATTTATCCATTTTGAAAATGCATTAAGAGAACTCTGTTCTCATCAAAACTACTTAATGAATGCAGTCTTCCAAGTGACTTCAACACTATCAGTCCAAGATTGACATCAACCAGATTTACCGTTACTCAGAAAGAAGGGAAAAATCCTTTAAAATTTAAAGTGCTGTTCTTATAGATTTTAGAAATGCTCTCAATGCTGTCAAGCAGTTTTAGATGTCAGGTGATTTACCTTTGAGAATGGTCAGCATCAGCACGAGGGTTGAAGGAGTAAGAAATGAATGAAATGTGGAAAAAAATTCCCTGAAGGAAACATTACAGAAAAACAAAAACATCTGTACTATTAAAAAAGAAATCGTGAACTAATAAAAGAGAGAGGGTTTAAATACCAAATGATAAACCTATTGTTTAGATTTTAAAAAAAGGCAAAGACAAAGGGAACAAATCACATATTTTCTTCACCACAAACAAACAAACAAACAAACAAACAACAAGCCGTGACATATTCAGTCAGGTTAACAGGTGAACACAGGTTTTGTATAATATCAGAATATTACTAGTCCTGCTGAAACCTTTCCAGGCCCATGATGCTCATGTCTCAATACAAACGTGAGATTTCATCTCACCGGTTATGTGTATTTATTTTGCGCAGTCTCTAGTTAGTGGCAAGACCTTGTTATATTTAGATGTACACAACTTGGATCAAGATCATTTTTGATTCTCTATTCAGATGAACTGCTAAGATATTGCTGCTCTTTCAACGGAATTCTCTACTTCCAACTTTTGCTTGCAGCGAGATTAAATATCAAACTTTCCACAGTGATTTTTGTCCAACAGCTCCTAAGACCTTAGGATCCATTATTTCTTTATAAAATGCTTTATATGGACAATGATGTCCAAAATTCAATTACCGCAGTTTTAATTAGCTAAAAAGCATAATTATCTAACATTCATGTAGAATGAACCTTAAGGATAATGGCTGATAATTTCAAATTATTCTATATCCTGCACAGTACTAATTGGCCAAAATTAAAAGTTCATTATTATTGAAATTATGTAGGATGAACTTAAAGTCTGAAAACATAAAGCATGTAATATCACCTTGTATTGTAGCTATGTTGTAGTGTACATTTTGTAATATAACCACTTGTGTATATTCATCTATTCTAGACTTTATTGCCACCCTAAACTCATCATGTTAGGTTCATCTGATATACGGAAATATTTGTAAGAATGTTGGTGACTTCAAAACCATAATGATGTGGAATTAGAAGGAATTTTGGAGTTACTGTGATTTGGTTTCCTTTCAAATATGGGAACTCTTCCTTAAAGATTTCTGACAAAAAAAACTTATCCAATCTTTACTTGAATAAGTCCAATGAAAAGAAGATAAAGAATATTTAAGGCAACTTATTAAATTGTTTGAAAACCCAAGTTGCTAGAATCATTTTTTTTGTTTTACTAATTTAAAATCTGGAAGCCAGAAATGGGACAGAATAGAAATAGCTGTGGAGAAGACAAAAAAACTTTCGATTCAGGAGGAGCTATAAAGGGGATAACCGGCAACAAGCCCCCTCTTATTTTCCTAGAAGTATTTTTCATGAAATCCACTTCCTAGATAAAGTGTGACTGGATAAAGCGAAAGCAGTAAAACTGTCCTTTCTTTCCTCATAAACAGGAAAAAATCCTATTTACATTGCCTAACTGGTAAACTTTTTTTTAGTCTGCAACCAAATTTAATTTGAAGCAACATGTTGATAGAGGTTTTGTAGTTTTTAAATGAGAAGTGAAATAGAAGAACTACAATAATAAATAGTATCCTAGCAAATTTAGCATTTACATCTGTAATCTTAAAGGTAACTTATTACCTGCAGTCTTTGTCTCCACATATGCAGAAATTAAAAGTATGTGTTTTTAACTAGAGACTACTAATTCACAGGCCAGACAAATAAAAGTTTAAAACATAAACAGCCATAGATAAAGAGGCAATTTATAAGTGAATTCCAGATCAGTAGTTGGAGGAGATTGACAAATTGTGTGCTGATATAGCTACTATGCTTTGGGTATATGCTGGTATACCCACTATACCCACTAATTTCTCACAGAATTATTATTAATTGACCTTTGTAATGGGAAACACACTAAGTTCAGCTCTGAAAAAAATTGTGTCTCCAATTTATGTAATACCATCAACATTTGACTGAAACAAGGGCATTCAAAAGTATACCGCGGCCATGCACGGTGGCTCATGCCTGTAGTCCCAGCACTTTGGGAGGCTGAGGTGGGCGGATCACCTGAGGTCAGGAGTTCGAGACCAGCCTGGTTAACATGGCGAAACCCGTCTCTCTTAAAAATAGGGAAATTAGCCGGGCATGGTGGCGGGCACCTGTAATCCCAGCTACTCAGGAGGCTGAGGTGGGAGAAACGTTTGAACCTGGGAGGCTGAGGTTGCAGTGAGCTGAGATCATGCCACTGCACTCCAGCCTGGGCAACAGAGAGAGACTCCGTCTCCAGAAAAAAATAAAAAATAAAAATAGAAAGTATACCCCTTGAAGACATTACCTATTTTATCATGAAATTAGATTATGCTAATAATAAAATGAAGCTGTTGGTTACAAAAAGTGAAACTCTAGTAAAGATGAACATATTTTATGAAGAATAGCTAAATATATTTTTCTGTCATTACAGGTAACATTTTAAAGAACCTAACATTCTGGCTAAATGATGGCCAGACTATCTTTGAATTGTAGAGAAAAAGGTGTTTACAGTAAATAGCAAAACTATTCCTATACCACACGAATAATTTTTCTTTCATTACATTATATATTTTAAGTTAGTTAACATAATCAATGTTTCATTTCCTCAAACTGCTGCTACAAAATGTATGAGAAATGTGAAATAATCTAACAGGTGATTAGAACAACATTTTTCAAATTTAATCCACAAATACAGCGACATTAATATTTTTAAAGTGTTTTTTATGACATTAATGCACTCATATAATTCAAAGCGTAAAATAACTCCCCAAGGCTTCTCATGAAAACCAGTGGAGGCCGGTCACAGTGGCTCATGCTCGTAATCCCAGCACTTTGGGAAGCTGAGGTGGGCAGATCACGAAGTCAGGAGATTGAGACCATCCTGGCTAACACGGTGAAATCCCGTCTCTACTAAAAATACAAAAAATTAGCTGGTCTGTGGTGGCGGGCACCTGTAGTCCCGGCTACTCGGGAGGCTGAGGCAGGAGAATGGCGTGAACCTGGGAGGCGGAGCTTGCAGTGAGCCAAGATCGCGCCACTGCACTCCAGCCTGGGCAACAAGAGCGAAACTTCGTCAGAAAAAAAAAAAAAGAAAGAAAGAAAGAAAGAAAAGAAAGAAAGAGAGTGGTTTCTGTTTCTCCACTTCTTTTTCCTTTCTCTTCTATCATTCCTTCTCCATCAGTTCAGTCTTTCAATTTACCTCCTCACTGCTAAATTTTGTGATTGGGTTGGTAACTTCTGATTTTTTAGGTTTAAACATTATTGATTTTTGACATAGAAGAATAATTAAATTTTAGTCTTCCTCGCCCATTACTTACTTAAATGCTCTCGTCTTCTCAATCCTGTTACATGGTAATTTTGGTTAGATCAATGTTTATATTATGAAAACAATGCAAACACTTAGCTAGTTATGAAGTAAATTATACTTTGATTTTTCTGTAAATTTTCTATGATTTCTGTAATTCATAGTTATCTTTTGTGGTGTTGGTGGTGGTGATTTGCTTAGCTTGTAATGTACATGCTCCACAGCACTTGTTTATATCTAAATCTCTTCTTGCAACATTCCTACCCATCAGACGTTTCATCAATTTCATCTTTCTAAAGATGCCTCTTGGAGCACTTGGGGCTGATCTGTTCTGACCTGGTTACCCTCCATGTCTGTTGCACAGATGAAATCTTGAGATTTCCTTTAAGAATTATCCTGGGGACTTAATATCTAGTTCATATACCCCAACGTTTCCTCTTTCTTCTTTAGCTACTTTGTTTTACTGGATCACATACACCAGAACCATCTAGAAGGACAAATGGGAGAAAGATATTTAGAAATGTGAAATAAAAATGTAATTATTCTTTCCTGAGTGTTTAGTTTTGGATTAATATTTAAAGTTGAAAGCAACTTGGATCCAACATTTTGAAGGCATTGTTTCATTGCTTGTAGCTTCTAGTGTCACCACTGAGGAGCCTGAGGGCGTTGTGCTCCCTTGTTATTTGTATGTGACTATTTTTTCCCCTCATATCTTACGGCATTTTCTCTTTGTCCACAATGTCCTGGAATTTCATCATTTGATTGTAGTTCTATTTTCTTTTTATTTTTTGAGATGGAGTCTTGCTCTGTCACCCAGGCTGGAGTGCAATGGCATGATCTTGGCTCACAGAAACCTCCGCCTCCTGGGTTCAAGCGATTCTCTTGCCTCAGCCTCCCGAGTAGCTGGGATTCCAAGTGCGTGCCACCATGCCAGGCTAATTTTTGTATTTTTTAGTAAAGACGGCATTTCACCATGTTGGTCAGGCTGGTCTCGAACTCCTGACCTCAGGTGATCCACCCGCCTCGGCCTCCCAAAGTGCTGGGATTACAGGTGTGAGCCACCGTGACGGTCCCGATATAGTTCCACTTCCAAACATTATGCAGGACGTGTCAAATTATGTTCTTGTATTATGGAGACATTCTGTTTTATTTTATGTATATTATTCTCCCCCTCTCTATTCTCTTTCTGAAATGGCATGTGCTTAAATACTGGGTTACCTGGAGCAGTCTTCTGATATCAAATCTTCTATTTTTCTTATTTTAAAAAGTTTTCTCTTTCAGGGAGATTTTGTCAACTTTATATTCCAATTTGTCTGTTTAATTTATTAATTATTTTACCCTTGCTTTATGTTTTTATGCTTCAATTACCAAAATATTCTTTGATCTTTTATATAGTATCATTTTTTTCATGGTTGCCATGTGTTATGTTTTCTTAACTCTCATAGTATTAATGCTAGTTTATTTTTAACTTTTCCCCTTTTTACATAATTTTCACTTCTCAAATTGTTTTCTCTTTGTTTTGTTCACCTTTTTCTTAAAGAAGTTTTCCTCAGATGTTTCGTAATCCTTTGTTGTCTGTTTACATTTAAAGTGAAGAATGAAAACCTGAGTTTAAATCCTAGGCTTGTGGATGTCACTTGCCTCCTGTGTGCCTCACTGTAGGGTAATGTGGTTCAACTATTTAGTTGGAGAAACTTAGTTATCAGTGTCATTGGGGCTGATTAGATATCCCAGCAGCGCATTCAGATATTTCCTATCTGTAGAGAATAGTTAGGGCTGCTGACAATTAAGGTATCCTGTAGAATTATGTCTGGGTATCTCAGAGAATATCCACTTAATCTTATTGTTTCAATAAGGGTCTAATTAGGAGACAGAAACCACATAGTAATTTGAACAGGGAATGTATACTTTTAATTTGTGCATATGTGGAGACAAAGACTGCAGGTAATAAGTTACCTTTAAGATTACAGATGTAAATGCTAAATTTGTTAAAAATACATAGATTGTGAAGCTCTTGTGAATGGGATTAACAACTTTATAAAAGAGGAACTAGGAGCTGTTCATCACTTCTGTCATGTGTGGATGCAGCAAGAGGCATCATCTATGAAGCAGGGATCAAGCCCTCACCAGACACCAAATCTACTAGACCCTTGTTTTTGGATGTCCCAGCCTCCAGAACTGAAGAAATACATTTCTATTATTGAAAAATTACCCCATCTAAGGTATTTTGTTAAAGCAGCCTAAATGTATTAAGACAGCTTTTCTAAAAACTCTTTCTGAGTATTTTAATTAAGATTAAACTAGTTGTTTAACAATAAATTGCAAAATTCCAACCGTTTAAAACAATGTAAACTCTCACTCATGGAAAGCTCAAAATTAATATGCATCATTGACAGGCAGATTGACTTCAAGTGGCAAGTTAAGGCTTGTGTCACCCTTTGTATTTTTGGCCCTCTCATCTTTAAAGCCTGGCTTCCAAGGTCACAAAGTGGGGGTGGAGGTGAATTATAGTTTGTGGGAAGTTTTTTGGTGTGTGTCACGTTACGTTTTATTTCAGGTGCAGGGTGCAAGCTGCTAGTGGATCTATCATTCTGGAGTCTGGAGGACAGTGGCCCTCTCCTCATAGCTCCACTAGGCAGTGCCTCAGTGGGGACTTTGTGTGGGGATGCCAACCACACATTTTCCCTCTGCACTGCCCTAATAGATGTTCTCCAGGATTCTGCCTGGACATTTAGGCTTTTCCATACATCTTCTGAAATCTAGGCGGAGGCTCACAAGCCTCAATTCTTGCAGTCTGCGTTGAAAGTTTTAATACCACATGGAAGCTGCTAATGCTAGAACTAATTGGCTGGAACTTAACCATATTGCTCCTCTTAACTGTAAGAGAGGATGTAAAATATAGCTTGTGTGCCCAAAATGAAGAAAAATGGGATTGATGGTTAGCTAGCAAACTTTGCCACACCAAAAATAATTGTGTCAAAGTTCTTGGTTCTTATTTGATATTAAACTAATCCCCTACAACTGTTCAATTTTCTATGATTTCTGGTGGCTTTGAAATATTCATTGATTCCAGTTGATAATGTGTAATTACCTTAAAATAACTAAATATTCTTACTATTTTTCTCAAACATAAAGTTAACATTAAAACAAATTATTACATCATCAATAGAACTTTGAGTATACATATTCAATGGTATGATAAACACAATTTTATATTGAACACTGTCTTTCAGTGACACATACTTTAAAGAAAAGCATTGGGCTAAATGAGAAATATAAACTGCAAATCTCATTCCGTTGCCTTTCATAGCCACTTTGTTACCAAACCCATTAGTTTTTCACAAAGTGAAAGTTGATGCTGAATATCTGATTACAACAGTTCTGATGAATTGATTTATTTCCATGAGCTTTCATCAACACTCCTGTGGTACAAAACTTCAAGTGGCCAGCACCAAGATCAAGTTAAAGAGAAGGTAGTATTGATGAAAGAAGCAGAGGCACTAGTGCCTAAGAACCCATCAAATAAAAATGAGAATTAATGAGACAGCAAATTGGGATGCCCTGAAAATCACGTCTCCATGATTTTGTATTAGGGCAAGAAAAGTTAGGGTCAATCACAGCTACTTCAGTAAGGAAAAGGGGATCTGTTCATTAATCCAGCTGAAACCAGAGTGGTTGAAGTTCTTCCTCTCATTAGAGGAAGAGCGCAATAGTTTCTTTTAATGTTCTAGTTGACTGAATATTTCATTCTCTAATGAGAAAGAGGTTAATGAAATCATCCCAAAATTCTATTGCAGATTGAATGTTGTAGAGGCAAAATTAGGTGAGAAAACTATACTTCTCAAAATCCCCATTATAAAGTTTTACAGAATACATTTTTTTATCTGCCTAATCAAACCAGCATACAGGTACTAAATCTCAGTTTGAGTATTAAATTTTGACAGTGTTTTACACTTACAATGAGATATTGGAATATTAAGGGGATGACAAATATATATTTAATGCTTTTCTATAATTATACTCAGAATAATCCTTGAGTTTTTGACTGAAAGTTTAAATATAATAATTATACAATGATAATCTCAAGATGTGATCTTTCCTGATCATTCTGAAATGTGTATTTTAAAAGACATTCAGTTTATTGTTTTATACACATATCACGGAGCCACTCGAATTTTACCAAGTCTTTTTTCTTTTCACTATCTTGAGGTATTTTTATTTATTCATTTATTTTTAATTTTTGTAGATTTTTTTTTTTGAGATGGAGTCTTATTTTGTCACCCAGGCTGGAGTACAGTAGTGCTGTCTCAGCTCACAGCAACCTCTGCCTCCTGGGTTCAAGCGATTCTTCTAACTCAGCCTCCTGAGTAGCTGGGATTACAGGTGGCTGCCACCACACCAGCTAATTTTTGTATTTTTAGCAGAGACGGGGTTTCACCATATTGGCCAGGCTGGTCTCAAACTCCTGACCTCAGGTGATCCGCCCACCCTGGCCTCCCAAAGTGTTGGGATTACAGGCGTGAGCCACCATGGCCGGCCAATTTTTTAATGAAGGTAAAATACACATATAACATTTACGATCTTTACAATTTTTAAGTGTATAATTAAGTGATATAGGACTTTATTTACTTAAAAAAAAAGTTTTTCAGTGATAAAGTGTCACTATGTTGCCCAGGATGGACTTGAACTTCTGAGTTAAAACAGTTCTCCTGCCTCAGCCTCCCAAGTAGCTGGGACTACAGGCATGCACCACTACACCTGGTTCTCTAGCAATTCTTTTAAGTAGATATTTTATAATACATTATTTTATCTGGTGTCTCTATTTCCTTTTTCACCTTCTTTCAATACAAATCACATTGATATCCCAGGTTAGTTTTGGAGAATATCCTTTAAAACACCTTTCTTCTGCATAATTCAAGAATCTCCAATGACCTTCTATTGCCCAAAGCATTAATATATTCAAGGTCTTCAGAATTCATTATCATTCATCAGTATTTTTAATAGATGCCCAACTGTTCTTCTCACTAGTACAACATACTAATCCATCTATAGTCATGATTTCTCTTATGCCATTCTTAAAAGAGTCATGCTCTAAATACTTTTCTTTTCCCATTTAAATCTTACTCCTTTCAAGTTTTGGTTGAATTCTTACTGTTTCCACAGAGTCTTCTAAGGTTTTTGCAGGCCACACACCTCTATTTATTCTCCCTGCTTTTTTTGTATTGCGTTGTTCTGCAATGATGTTTATTCTTTAGTACCACTTTATTGTAATACTAAGCACTCTATTAAATTGTCAAATATTTCTGATATTAAAAATTCGGGCTTCAAGACATCAGTCTGGGGAAATAGTTTATGAATAAGACCTCAAAAGCACAGGCAACAAAAGCAAAATTAAGCAAATGGGATTTTATCAAACTAACAAGCTTCTGTAAAGCACAGAAACCAATCAACAGAGTAAAATGGCAACATACAGAATGGGATAAAATATTTGCAGACTATTTATCTGATAGAATTTAATATCCTGAACATACAAGGAACTTAATCATCTCAAAAAAAGAAAATACAAACAAACCAGGCATCCAATTAAAAAATAGGCAAAAGATCTGAACAGACATTTCTCAAAAGAAGACATACTAATGACCAACAAATATATTAAAAAATGCTCAACTTCACTAATCTTCAGAGATATGGAAATCAAAACTGCAATGAGATATCATCCCACCCCAATTAAGATTGATACTATCAATAAGACAAAAAATATCAAATACTAGTGAAGATGTGGAGAATAGGGAACTCTTACACACTATGGGTGGAAATGTAAACTAATACAGACACTATGGTGAAAAGTATGGAGGTTCCTCTGCCAACTACAAATAGAACTACCATATCATCCATTACCGAAATACTGAACATTGGTTCAAAGAAAAGGAAATCAGTACATTGAAGAGACTCCTGACTCTCAGTGTTTATTGCAGCACTAGTCACAATAGCTGAGATATGGAATCAACCTAGGGATCCAACAACAAATGAAATATATGTGGCATATACACCACATTTGAATACTATGTAGCCATAAAAACAAAATTCGATCATTTGAGATAACAGAAGTGGAGCTGGAGGCCATTGTGTTAAATACGAAAGCCAGGAACACAATGAACAATGCATGGTGTCACTCATGTGGAAGCTAAACAAAGTTGATTTTGTAGAAGCAAAAAGTAAAACACAATATGCTGGAGTCTGGAAAGATAGGGGAAAAGGGGGATAATGCCAAGACCAGCTCAGTCTGGTAGACCCTAACCCAGCGGTGCTAGGGGAATTAAAGACACACACACACAGAAATACAGAGGTGTGAAGTGGGAAATCGGGGTCTCACAGCCTTCATAGCTGAGAGCTCCGAACAGAGATTTACCCACGTATTTATTAACAGTGAGCCAGTCATTACCATTGTTTCTATAGATATTAAATTAACTAAAAGTATCCTTTATGGGAAACAAAGCGGTGGGCCGAATTAAAGGCATAGGTTGGGCTGGTTAACTGCAGCAGGAGCTTGTCCTTAAGGCACAATCACTCATGCTATTGTTTGTGGCTTAAGAATGCCTTTAAGCGGTTTTCCGCCCTGGGCAGGCCAGGTATTCCTTGCCCTCATTCCGGTAAACCCACAGTCTTCCAGCGTGGGCTTTATGGCCATCACGAACATGTCACAGTGCTGCAGAGATTGTGTTTATGGCCAGTTTTGGGGCCAGTTTATGGCCAGATTTTGGGGGGGGCTTGTTCCCAACAGGATAGGGAAAGATCTGTTATAGCTAGATAGGAGAAATAAGTTCTAATTTTCATAGCACTGTTATATGACTATAGTTACCAATGATATATAGTTTCAAATAGCTAGCAGGAGGATATTAAATGTTCCCAACACAAATATATGATAAATGTTTGAGATGATTAAGTGTACAATTGGATGACGGATATGGTAATTACTCTGATCTAATCACTAAGCATATATACATAGTATGAAGATATCACTATGTATCCCATAAATATGGACAATTATTACATGTCAATTAAAAATAAAATTTAAAAAATTAGAGCATGGAAAATAGTATGAGATAATTTTTTAAACCATGCAAGTTGCTGGAGATAATATAAAGTGATAGGACTTTCTATATTATAAATTTGAAAATTTATCCCCTGAGCTGAATAATATCCATGTACCAATCAGTTTGTGAAAGTCCGTGCTCTTTTTCTTCAGTCTTAAACACCTGAAACACTTGAATGATGCTAGTTAACTATAATTCCTCTTATATCATAAATATTTTATTTATTCAATATGTGAGGAGCTTGTACAAATTGTAAGGAACAGACCAACCATCTGACTTTTAAAATTGTCACATATGTGAACAGACAGTTCATGGAAAAACAAAGTGACTCAGACTTCCGGCCGGGTGCAGTGGCTCATACCTGTAATCCCAGCACTTTGGGAGGCCGAGGCAGGCGGATCACCTGAGGTCCAGAGTTCGAGACCAGCCTGATCAACATGGAGAAACTCCATCTCTATTAAAAATGCAAAAATTAGCCGGATGTGGTGGCGCATGCCTGTAATCTCAGCTACTTGGGAGGTTGAGGCAGGAGAATCACTTGAACCTGGGAGGCAGAGGTTGCAGTGAGCAGAGATTGCGCCATTGCACTCCAGCCTGGGCAACAAGAGCGAAACTCCATCTCAAAAAAAAAAAAAAAAAAAAGAAAAGTGACCCAGACTATTAAAAAAAAATAGCTTGATGTCAACCTTAATGAAATTAGTGAAAATTGAAACTAAAGTAAAAGAACATTTGTTTCAGTTATTAGATTAACAAATATCAAGAAATTGATTAAATTTCTGTGATTGGAAAAATGAATGGAAAGAATCATACATTGCCGGTGGGAGTACAGAGGGTCATTTGCAAAACCAAAAATGGACATGCCCTACCCCTGCACAAAAAGACATATCAATAAGGATAATGTAAATGACAGTTTCAATCTCCCTATTTATATTCTTTCTACATCTTTACAAGAAGAAGGCTACTTCATGTGAAAGTCTGCATTTTATTTCTGAGGATTTTTTTCTGACTCTGAGAGCATGGTCAGACCATACACAAAGAAATCCAAAACTACTAGAGAGCAAACCTCCTGTAGGCCTCCTTTAATTAATGTTGTAGTGGATGGGGAATTATTGGATACATGCTTAGCTTTCTGGCCACTGAGTTGGAATAATCCTAAGGCATGTTCTACCCTGTCTGCCTCAGTTCCCCAGCAACACTGAGCTGCAGTTTCCCACAGTGGTAAGTGTCTTGAAACTACACTCCTTATTAGATTCTCTCTTTTCCGCGTGTGTCTTCCTCAATCCCTTTCATGTGATTCTGAGATGACTACCAAATAAATTATTTGTACCCTAGTCCTTTTATCAGGTTCTGGTAGAATCCAAACTAATGTAGATATCCATTGCAATTTTGTCTGTAAAAGGAAAACTTTGGGAAAAATACTTCATATTATTTTATTTATAAAGAGTCTTTCTATGTTGCCCAGGCTACTCTCAAACTCCTGTGTTCAAGTAATTCTCCTGCCTCAGCCTCCTGAGGCAAAAATATTTAAATGCTTATTTAAAACACATTAAAGTTCATTCTTTCAATGAAATACTAAGCTTCCTTTAAAATAAATGACAGAGCTTTCTACATACTGATAGTATATTATATCTAAGCTATGATACTTAAAAAGCATTAAATATTATAGTACTTAGGCATATATTTATAAAAGCATATTACATCTCAGGAAAAATAGAGAGGAATTGATAATAAAATTTATCTATGATATTAGAGTCTAGAAGCTGTGGGATACCGATGAAGAGACTCCAGCATGTTGATATAGCCCTGTTGGTGCCTTTTGATATTTATTCCATGTGCAGTTCTATCTGTTCAAATATTGAATAATGAAACTTCACAAAAAAAGGACAGATCACTTTCTGTCTATGCAATTGTAAGTTGAATCTCACTTGTTAGTAAGGCCTTGAGAAAACTGACCTTGATGGAAAAGTAAATATGTATTCCAAGCCTATTGTGCTAAGATTCTATTAATTCTTAGTAAGCTTCAATTTGCAAAAGGTATTTCATACACAGAATACTCTGCATGACTGGCAATCAAACCAAAACAAAACAAATCTACAAAATAATCACTTTCTAACACGTGTAAGCTCACATTGTAAATCTATATGGCAACCTCGAAGGATTTTAAGACTTTTTTTTTAATGGGACATAAATTGGGCAAGAATATGAAGAATATTCAATGAGAAGCTATAAAAGTATTAGCTTGTATGCAATACAATCTCGGCTCACTGCAACCTCCACCCCTGGGTTCAAGCAATTCTCCTGCCTCAGCCTCCTGAGTAGCTGGGAGTACAGGTGCCCATCACCACGCCCAGCTAATCTTTGTATTTTCAATAGAGACGAGGTTTCACCATGTTGGTCAGGCTGGTCTCAAACTCCTGACCTCAGGTGATCACCCGCCTCAGCCACCCGAAGTGCTGGGATTACAGGAGTGAGTCACAGAACCCGACTATGCAATATATTTTTAAAATCCTGTTTGTACAACAGCTCTAAAATCTGCCTGTGAAATAGAAGTGTATATTTTCAGGTGTTCGTAATTTTTACATAATTATTAGGTTCATCTTTCCCAATCAAGTAAGAACAACCAAAACAAATACTATAAGAAAAGAATTATTGTAACAAAATTATTTGTTAATTGAAAATGCTGGCCTGTCATTTGTTGCTTTCAAATTAAAACCCCACATTAGATTGTTCTATTTAGAGTTCTTAATTTGTTCATTTCCTCTCCCTTCTTGCCATACATTTCTAGGTATTGTTCACTTTGTTTAATAATTAGGGAAGTTTTATCCAAATGATAATGAACTTTTACCATTTTGGCCTGTCTGGCAGTCTCTGAGACCACATCACATAAGAAAGGACTTGTCATGACAAAGTGCTGTGAAATGTACTTGAAAATGAAGTTTAATTTCAGTCAGCATCTCTTAGGCCACTGCTGTTAACAGCTCTCTCACTTTACAAAGGTGACAAGAGTGTATGGGGTTGAGAACGTAAGATGAAGTAACACATTTTGTAATATAGGATATTCTCTATATGCTGATCTTTAGTACAGAAGAAAAAGTTTTGCTATCAGACCAGAAGGTATGGAGAACAACCATTATTTTGAAAGTGGCAATGCAAATTAAAACAGACACAAAATTATAAAAAGATTCCATTAGGTCTAATCATAATTAATGCCAGTAACTATTTGCATATATTTTAAAACAAGATGTTTTGGTCTTAATTTTGATAAAATACACTTGCTCGTTGTTCTCACTTAAAAGTGGGAGATAAATGATGAGAATGTATGAACATAAAGCCACAGACACTGGGATCTCCTTGAGTACTTGAGGGTGGAAGGTGGGAGGAGGGAGAGGAGCAGGAAATATAACTATTGGGTACTGGGCTTAATTCCTGAGTGATGAAATAACAAACACCTATGACATGAGTTTACCTATGTAACAAACTTTCACATGTATGCCTGAACCTGAAATAAAAGTTAAATATGTGTGTGTGTGTGTATACATATACCTGCCTGATATTTCTGTAGATATATTGAACTAATAAGGTCTGGTTGGTTTAATCTGGTAGAGAGAGTAGTAAATATTCTTATAAGTCTGTTTAATTAGAGTGAGATAAATAGTAATATAACCACTCAGACATTCAGAATGTGATTTTCTAAGATTTTCAGATTGTTTCACTAAAAGGAAAATCATTGGCTCTTTATCAAACCATTTTGACTGAAGCTATATTTCTTTGCCTTTTCAAACTGTGCTTTCTTGAAAAAAAAAACTCCACTTCTGAGAGGTTAGCCCTAATATGGTACATCAAAGTCTGTGCCTTTAGAATACCTGTAACAGCCACAAAAGAGACTTAATAGATAATGTGAAAGGGGGAGCTATTACTCCCCTTTAAGATACAAAAGCATTTCTAGGTAGTAGGGAAGATACAATTCAAAACACATGTGTTATGCATCTCCTCTAATATGAGAAAACTAACATGAATCAGCATAAGAGAACCTAGCCTGCAACAATTATGACAAGAAAAAAAAATCTCTAATGAATTCTCATGGTAACTCCTTTACCAAAATTATACAAGACAGCAACAACTAAAACTAAAACAAAACCGAAAATGTGTTGGATCAAGTAAAAACTTATCTGTTGCAGAAATTACTGTAGCATGCAACCTCTGTATATTTTCAGAGTGAATTCCAAAACATTTAAAGGAAAATGGTAAGTGATGAGTGGCACAAACACAAAATTCATTGGGTCATTGATGATATTCTAGTCTGAGTGAAATACACCTAGGCTTTAGTTCAATTTTTCAATCCAGAAAATGTATTTAGTGACACTGTGTTTGGTGCTACATATTAAAAATGCTTTTAAAAATAAAAATAATAGCTTAATCTATAAGTGCAGAGATGTAAGAATCCCAAACATGTGTATGTTTGTGTTTTTGTGGTGTGTGTTCTGCGTGTCTCTGTGTGTGTGTGTCTTTGTGTGAGAAGATTGCGGAGATGTAAGAATCCCAAACATGTGTATGTTTGTGTTTTTGTGGTGTGTGTTCTGCGTGTCTCTGTGTGTGTGTGTCTTTGTGTGAGAAGATTGCAGAGATGTAAGAATCCCAAACATGTGTATGTTTGTGTTTTTGTGGTGTGTGTTCTGTGTGTCTCTGTGTGTGTGTGTGTCTTTGTGTGAGAAGATTGTTGGGAAGAATCTCCTTAAACTTTTGACAATAGCACGTTTTCTTAGAATTCAGTAAGTTAATTCTTGTTTTACTTTACTAGAGATAATTCTTAAAGACTATTTCAGACACACACATAAGGGTGGCTGTACACCAAATTATGAACTCTTGGAAAAGAAACAAAAGTGTGGTATAAATTTTCCCCAAGCTGAGATCAATATTCTGCAAAGAAGTAATAATAATGAACGGAAAATATAGGAGGTGTTTTCTCACTTACTGCAAATATGACCTTGGACAAACTACATATCTTTTTTTCCATTTTTTCATCGTAAATCTCATGTATCCTTTAAAAAGGATTAAATAAAAATTACATAAAAATACTTTAGGGAAGGTGTTTAGAAAAAGGCCCAGCACATGATTAGTGCTAATCACACGTTAGCTTTTACTATTTCCAGAACTATTATTAGTTTTGATATTACTATTGTTGTTAGTTAACTCATATTAGGCTTACCAAATGTAAATGTCCCATAATCACTTACTACCATTCATTGTTACCAAGTATTATCTTTTTTACCTACGTATCTGTGAGTTTGTTGTTGTTGTTGTTGTTGTTGTTGTTGTTGTTGTTGTTTGAGACGGAGTCTCGCTCTGTCGCCCAGGCTGTAGTGCAGTGGCGCGATCTCGGCGCACTGCAAGCTCCGCCTCCCGGGTTTGCGCCATTCTCCTGCCTCAGGCTCCCGAGTAGCTGGGACTACAGGCGCCCACCACCACGCCCGGCTAATGTTTTGTATTTTTAGTAGAGACGGGATTTCACCATGTTAGCCAGGATGGTCTCGATATCCTGACCTCGTGATCCGCCCACCTCGGCCTCCCAAAGTGCTGGGATTACAGGCATGAGCCACCGCGCCCCGTCTATCTGAGTTTTTTTTGAAGGAAAGCCCATTTTCTTAACGTATCTTCTGAACAAAATAATTAAGAGCAAGGACTGTGGAGTCAGACTGTCCAGCTTGATAATTTGATTATATTTTATTTATTAGAATATTTTAGTGTGTACTTTCGTTGAGGTTTTCTCATTAATATTTTATTCCAGTTCTTCCCTGGGTTTCTCTGGAAGAAATTATACTTACATTTGAAATAATAATTACATTAAGGTTTCTTTAGAAAATATGCATTGACTTGCCAAAGACTCGAAAAGCATATTGTTGTTCAGTATAACCATAAGTGGAATACGTTGAGTTATTTTTTAAAAATAATGTGCAGATAAAAGGACATAGTGTAATTAAGAGAAAATTATTTTTATAGCACTTTGGACTACATTATAATTGAATATTCTAATAGTGCCAGGAGTTATGGACACTGAAATTAAAATAAATAAGCCAATACAAAACTATGCACACATTGATTGAAGATTCTTCCTCATCTACCCTGGGGGCATCATTTGCAGAGTGAATAGAGCCAAAGTCTTCATTAGTATTAATATCAGAATACAACATGTCTTTCATTTGAACAGAGAAAAATAAATCTCAGTTGTAAGCCTATTTTATGAACCCTATTGAGAGTAGGCCAGGGGGAGCATGTCCACACAGAGTATACTGGTTTGTTGAAAGGAAACATTGGACATGTCTCTAACTTCAAAAATAATTGGAATACAGGTGTCCTATCATCAACAATATAGTGCAGAACAGGGTTGATGCCGTGTAGTAATTGATATTAACTGCAGAGATTAGTAAATAAGAGTTACAGCAGGACATTCTATTTGATGTGCATGTCCATTGTTGCAGTTCCCATTTCAACACTTTTGAAGGGTCCTGTAAGAGCTTAATACAGATAATTTCTATTAATTGGCAAATTTATTACTTTCTGGCTTTTTTCCATTATCCTTTTATTGTGTTTCTCAGTCTCTATCTTTTAATACAACTTCCAGTTATCTGTTAAAGTGAATTAAAATTATTACAAAGAAGCCACCACTTCATATTTATTGAAGTGATCACAGGCAAGGTGTCACTCAAATTCTCCTATTGTATATCATTGTTCAAGCATTGCATGCAACAGGTATGGTAACGTCACTGCCTTTATTCACGGTTGTCAAGAAAAATTTCATCAGACAATGTTAAACAGGCAATTATTATTTTATTCAAGACTATTGCAATGGGGAGAGAGGCAATAATTCAGTCTGAACTTACCTCTTCTGTAACAAAGAATGGTAGGGTTTTTAAGAGTTGTGGTGAGTTAGTGGAAAAGTAACAAAGGATGTTGCAGGGAGATTGATCAATGGGGTGTGTCAAGTACATTAAGTTATATATTAAGTTTGTGATTAGGGCCTCTTGCTTGGAATGTTTTGCTCTGTGATTGTGTAACCTGGGTTCTGTAAGGGATAGGGGGAAGGAAGGTCAGGATCCTCTGTGGTTAGCCCACCTGGTCCAGAGTGAGAGGGAGGTCAGTTACCTAGAGACAAAAAGAAGCCTGTATAAAGTTCAGACAAGCTAAGGGGAATTTTAAGGCCATCTTGTTCAATGCCATTTACCCTAAGCCACCCTCAGAGAAAGCACCAAAGCTATCCTAAAATAAAATAAAGAAATATCTCAGACTCCTTGGAAAGTACTATTCCGAAAGCTCTCCGGGTTCAAGAAAGCCTCAAGAAAACCCCATTCTTCCAAATGGGCTAAGATATGCTGAAAACTCACAGCAATTACAACTCTTAGAAATAAGTGTGAATTTCATGTTTCCATGTCTTTCTTGGATTAGTATTGGGCTTTCTAAGGCAGAATGGAATATCTGGCCGAAAGATGGATTTAATAGCTCATATCACTTGCACCAAGGTAAATTTTCATGAAATAGCCTTCGTATAAATGCCACTATATCCTCTTTTGTAAGAAAAAAAATCAGAAGAAATAATAGCTAGAAGCTTAGCAACACAAGGACTGGTAAGGAATGATACTTGTTGAGAGAACCACGAGAGTCAATGATGAGTTGGCTACTTTGGAATTGTGATATAGACATGGGTTTATCCATTGCCTTCTGTGAACAAAGGAGAAAAGAAAAAGCAGGGCCAGAGGATGATGATATCAATTGTGTTTGGAATATTTAAGCTCCCTTCCTCTCTCAATATGATGCAACAAAAGAGAGAAGTAACAAATTAGCAAATAGGGTAATGTAGATTTTAAAAGATACATGCTGTTTGAGAAGTTGAAGCATTTTATGCTTTTAAAGACGATAGCAGCTGGCATTTATTATAGTCAAAATTGCTGCCATGGAAAATTTGCAATGAAGCTTTAAGAAATCACCAAGATTATGATCCAGAATTCTAATGGGTTCAGCTTTAGGGGTAGATTACTTCAATCTGAAAGATAAAACATTGTTATTTTTAGACTGATTTTACCACTAAGAACACATACAGTCGGTAAATACGGTAGCTTTGTTGCAAAGTGAAAACTATTTAGATGAGGAAGGAGGGCATATTTCATATAAACTAGGAGGCCTTTTTCAACTTTACAAGGTCTAGAAAATATTTACTTAAATTTCACAGTGGTGAAACTTCCAAGAATAAAACCACGAAGGCTGATCAGTACTGAAGTTATTTCTTGTTTGTTTGTTTTGTTCTTATTTTTACCCAAAGCTTCATAGCTGGAGATCACATGAATAAATCACCTCTGAAGTGAGCTGAGTATGTGAATATCAGACAGAAGGTATTTGCTAATACAGGCAGTATCTTCTATGGCACATGTACTCTACTTGTCAGAAAGAATGTGAAAAATATAATTAAGATGTTAATTTTGGTATACCTAAACAATTAACATGTGTTTCCAACTAAAAGTAATAGTTTGAAGTTGGAAACAATTTGGGTTTGCCTGTGTTTCTGAGGCAAGTTTCAATATGATGGGGTCTGAAATTAATTAATTTTGAGTTGTTCCTTAAATTCATAATTTAATTGATTAAAAGATTACTCTTCTAGAGTTTATAATATGAAAAGACTTACTAGAGAATGATCGCTTCGCTGATGGAGAGCAGAGGAATTCAAACTTGGAGAGATGCAGACTCAGCATAACAGTGCTGTACGCGAAAACAATACAGAATGGGTGGTAGTCTTTGTTGCTGTTTTAATAAATGTTATGTATATTTACATTCATGGAATGTAAACAAGGTTTGTCTAGAAATTCATGGTAGGTCATTGCTTCTATATTTTTATGCTTCTTCTTTTTAAAATGAACAGCTGAAATAAAAATGGGTGAATATATTTTAACACTCCTTTCTCTTCCCGGCATCTGATAAGCAAGCATGTGTTAATTCGTGTGACCTATTATCCTCAGCATCTTTCTGTTTGTTGTACCCTCTTTGAGAAGAATTGACATTCATTATAACAGTAGAAATCATTTAAAATGTCAGTTCAAAATTTTACTGCTTGAAACAGCTCATCCTTCAATAATGAAGTCAATAAAACTAACTTAATTTAATTTAAACAGTGATGCTGTATTTTAGGCCTGGTGGAGTCATTACAATTAGTAATTCATAATTAGAATTTTACTGATGTCCATGCACCCTGTTGCCGAGCATCATCAAGAAACCGTGATGATTGGTGGTAATTTGATAAACATTCAGAACCATTGCATTAATTATGTGCCTTCCAATTACATCTGAAGTTAATGAATGTATGCAGATATTGTGGAGATGAATTCAAAGGACAGCTCAACCTGAATTTTAAGATAGTATTTTGTAATGTTCTAATTATAACTTTCCTACTTATCAGCTTTTAGACAAAATGAGGCTTATGTAAAATATTAAATGTGAATATTGTTCATACAACAATCTGTTTTCTAAAATCTTAGTGATTAATTTGAAACAGTAGTCAATGTACTTTCCATATAATATGGTGAATAAAAAAGCTACAAAGCGTATTTTAGACTGAATTAACAGCAAAACAATCCATAAATATGGTGACTAGAAAATCTCAAAAAAATAACGTAAATGACCTTCCTAACTTTGCTTCTGTTTTCTCATATAAAACATAAGTAATGCCAAATTTAACTTTACTTAATTATTGCCAACAAATTAAAAGAATTACTATGGCTTTGCAGATGCCACCGCTGCCAGGAGCCCCGTTCTATCAGCCATGGTCAACCCCACCAGGTTCTTAGACATCATCGTGGATGGTGAGCTCTTGGGACGTGTCTCCTTTGAGCTGTTTGCAGACAAGATTCCAAAGACAGCAGAAAATTTTTGTGCTCTAATCATTGGAGAGAAAGGATTTGGTTATAAAGGTTCCTACTTTCACAGAATTGTTCCTGGGTTTATGTGTCAGGGTGGTGACTTCACACAGCATAATGGCACTGGTGGCAAGTCCATCTACGGGAAGAAATTTGATGATGAGAACTTCGTCCTAAATTATACAGGTCCTGGCATCTTGTCCGTGGAGAATGTGCTGGACCCAACACAAATGGTTCCCAGTTTTTCATCTGCACTGCCATGTCTGAGTGGTTGGATGGCATGCAGGTGGTCTTTGGCAAGGGAAGGAAGGCGTGAGTATTGTGGAAGCCATGGAGTGCTTTGGGTCCACAAATGGCAAGACCAGCAAGAAGATCACCATTGCTGACTGTGGACAACTCTAATAGGTTTGACTTGTGTTTTATCTTCACCACCAGACCATTCCTTCTGTTGCTCAGGAGAGCACCCCTCTACCCCACTTGCTCACAGTATCCCATCATCTTTGTGCTCTTGCTGCAGTTCCCTTTGGGTTCCATGTTTTCCTTGTTCCCTTTCATGCCTAGCTGGATTGTAGAGTTAAGTTTATGATTATAAAATAAAAACTAAATAACAACAAAAAAGAATTACTACAAAAAGAATGCATATTCTCGTAGATAAAAATACATAAAAATTACATATCAGTGAAGACCATCAATATCTTTCCTTCTCTTTACTGATGGGGTTGAGGAAGGAGGGCAGAATCACATTTGGTTGGGCCTATTTAAACTTAATTAGCAGAGTGTATTTTGCATAGCCATTACAAAAAATAATTCTCTAGAAAACTGATATATACATGTTTTCAATTTGAGTGTGATATGGTTTGGCTGTGTTCCCACCCAAATCTCATCTTGAATTGTAGCTCCCAGAATTCCCATGTGTTGTTGGTGGGACCCAGTGAAATACAATTGAATCATGGGGGAGGTTTCCTCCATACTGTTCTCGTGGTAGTGAATAAGTCTCATGAGATCTAATGGTTTTATAAGGGGAAACCGTTTCTCTTTATTCTCATTCTCTCTTGCCTGCTGCCACATAAGACATGCCTTTCTCCTTCCACCATGATTGTGAGGCCTCCCCAGCCACATGGAACTGTGAGCACATTAAACCTTTTTTTCATTATAGATTACCCAGTCTCGGGTATGTCTCTATCAGCAGCATGAGAACAGACTTATACAGAGTGATATTGGAAACCTGGGTAATGTCCATAGTGTTTTGTCTGTAGAACTGAGATGTTGTGCCTCTTCAGACTACTGTCTATCAGGTTGCAAAAACATCTAGTGTAGTTCAGACTTTATGCTCATTGGTAGCCATCAAATCTGTTGTTGTGCCTGTAATTTTACTACCTCCTGATCTTTCTTTACTCTGCCTAAGACTCTTTGATTAAGGGGCCACTGAGCAGGCAAACTAACATAATAGTCTCAACAGTTCTAAAAAAATGTGGAAAATGGGCTGGGCACGGTGGCTCACGCCTGTAATCCCAACACTTTGGGAGGCTGAGGCGGGCAGATCACGAGGTCAGGAGATCGAGACCATCCTGGCTAACACGGTGAAGCCCCGTCTCTACTAAAAATACAAAAAATTAGCCAGGCGTGGTGGCGGGTGCCTGTAGTCCCAGCTACTTGGGAGGCTGAGGCAGGAGAATGGCGTGAACCCGGGAGGCGGAGCTTGCAGTGAGCCGAGATCGCGCCACTGCACTCCAGCCTGGGTGAAAGAGCAAGACTCCCGTCTCAAAAAAAAAAAAAAAAAAATATATATATATATATATATATATATATATATATATGGAAAATGCTGTTCCTATGAAGTAGAAAGAAAAAAATTTTTAAATGGAAGAGAGAAAGAAGGCAAGGGAGAGAGAAAAAAAGAGAAAAAGGAACAAAACACTGTGATATTATTGGGCTGTGTCCCGCCCAAATCTTATCTTTGAATTGTAGTTCCCATAATCCCCATTATTGTGGGAGGGACCCAGTGGGAGGTAATTGAATCATGGGGGCGGTTACCTTCATCATTTTCTTGTGATAGTGAGTTCTCACAAGATCTGATGGTTTTATAAGGGGCTTCCCCCAACCGCGCTTCACCCTGCACTTTTCTTTGCTGCTACTATGTGAAGAAGGACGTGTTTGCTTCCCCTTCCACCATGATTATAAGTTTCCTGAGGCTTCCCCAGCCATACTGAACTGTGAGTCAATTAAACCTCTTTCCTATATAAATTACCCAGTCTCAGTTATGCCTTTATTAGCAGCATGAGACTGGACTAATATACACTGAAATTTAAAAATATCCAATGAACCTTATTTTTCCCAAAGTAAAAAATCAAATGCTGTTTCCTAGTATATAACTACAACCAGAACCAGAGTTATTACCTACTAACTAGAATTTAATAATTTTTCAGGCTTATTTTAATTGATGATGTGGTTATGGTACTGGAAATTGAGGGTAAGGATTCATAACCAGGTACTCTGTCTAGATGTGTAATTTTGAAATAAGTCACAGAACTTTCTCCAAAATTAAGAGTTCAGGAGAGATAACTAAAAAGTGCCTTACTACTCAAAAATTCTATGAACCTATGAAAATATATCAACAAACATCATAGTTTATGCTTGGAATAACATATAGTTCTTGCACTTAAAAACCTTAATTAAGAAATATACTCCTAGCGTTGAATACTTAAAAATATAAAATAAACACAAATAAAACATTACTGCCTTATTAAATCACAGATTTTGATGTTCATTATAAACAGCTCTATTTTTGTAATATTTAACTTTATTTCTTTATAATTACCTAGGTTCTTTAATTATAATTACCTAGGTCCCTCGGGGGACCTAGGCTGTGTCCCCACCCAAATTTCATCTTGAATTGTAGTTCCAGTAATCCCTGAGTGTCAAGGGCAGGACCAGGTGGAGATAACTGTATCAGAATTATCAGAATCCCCCATGCTGTTCTTGTGATAGTGAGTGAGTTGTCAAGAGATGTGATGATTTTATAAGGGGCTTTCCCCTTCCTTCGACACCCACTCCATTCTGCTACCCTGTGAAGAAGGTGCCTGCTTCTCCTATGCCTTCGTCCATGACTGTAAGTTTCCTGAGGCCTCCCTAGCAATGTGGAACTGTGAACCAATTAAACATCTTTTCTTTATAAATTACCCAGCCTTGGGCAGTTCTTTATAGCAGCATGAGAACCGACTAATATAGTTCTTACTAACTTTCACCTTACTTACATGCTGTATTAGTTTCCTAGGGCTTCCATCAAAACATTACCACAAACTAGATCGCTTAAGAAAAAGGAAATGCGTTTTCTCACAGTTCAGAAGGCTGGAAGTCTGAAAGTAAATTGTTGGCAAGGTTGGTTCCTTCTGGAGTCTCTGAGGGAGAAACCATTCCAAGCCTCTCTCTCTCCTGGCATCTGGTGGTTGACAGCAACTTTGACTTTAGGGATAAACCTAAATCCAGTATGATATCATCTTGAGATCTTTAACTAATCATATCTGAAGAGGAAAGCAAAGACCCTATTTTCAAATAAGTTTCCATTTTTAGTGTTAGGGTTCAAAAACCGATACCCCAAAATGGGGTTATTTGACATGCTCAACAGAAAAAGATTCAGTATCTCTCTGCCCACAACACACTTCCTGGCTCTCAATCTTCTGTGTCTCCCAAATCACAGGATCAAATTGTTATCTGAAGTTCCCTTATCTGCCTAAAATTTGGACTTACTAAATAAGAAAACAATTACCTCTGGTATCTTCCCTGAATTTTCATTAACCGAAATCATACGGTGGGAAGAAAGACTCAAGTCTGTCAACACATCCAGACAGACTTTTGTTACAAACCGTTGTCTGCCCAGGAGCTCAACAGACTTTATCCCACATCACTGTATGTTGTTTAAGCCCATTGAATTCCCCTGAAAATTATTTACTACCCCCTAAAATCATCCGTACTTCTCCATCTCTTATTCTCTAAGAAGGAGGCTATATAACCATTGGTTTCCTATTGCATGGTGGGAAAATCACTCTGTAATTCCCTCCCACACCCACCCCCAGGCATGCTAATACATTTGAATGCCTTTTCTTCTATTATTCTGCCTTTGTGAATTGATTTTTCGCAAAAATTCAGGAGGTAAAAGGGAAGTTTACCCTTGGCAGCTACCAGGCAGGGTTGAAGCTGCAGTGAGCTGTGATTGTGCCACTGTACTCCAGCCTGGGAGACAGAGAAAGACCTTTCTCAAAAAAAAAAAAAGATTACTGTTACTACTGCTTATGGCAACCACAAACTCATTCTCTGCATTAATTCAATCCCAGTTATGTCACATTTAACTCAGATCCAACAGCCAAAATACGTGAATTATTATTTTTTAACTTTGTATTTTACATCACATCTTTACATAAATACTAATTTATTCATTCTAGGTGGTGAGTGACTTCACTTCCATGCATTATTTTTCTGTAGTAACTGTTTCCAAAAGGTTTTCCAATTTGATAGGGTGTTTAAATGGTTCTATGGTTTTTTAAATGGAAATTCCTTAGCATATCAAATGTTTACATAATACTAGAATTACAGACACTCTTCTCATCTCTTGGTAGTCTTAGAAAAGCTTTGTATTTGCTGCGGAAGACAAGCCACAGAACTTCCAGAACCATTTGTGATTTTCTTTCATATTAAAAAAAAATAATTCAAGTAATGAATCTGTAAGGGAGCTTTTTAGGTAGACTTGTGTAACAAGGGCTAAGCCTCTACCTGCCACAGGGAGATTGACTGTGTCTTGCAATTCAAGGTTATATTTCAATCCTGAATCAAAGGTACAATGAGTTTGCAGGCAATTGGCTTACGTGGCAAGAAGGTAGCAGAAACCATTGCCTTGGAGACTTAGGTTTACGTAAAAGATTGTAATGTTACAAATAGACTGCAAAATGTTTAAATGAAAGCATTTACCATGTCCATAGAAAGCTACATTACTGAGAAATTTTGTGAATAATATATTTGAATGCAGTTCTTTAAAAGCAGTACCTATATTTGTATAATCCAAAAATGTGAACACAATATAACAACTCAGAAATTCTTATTACCCTAATTGCCATTTGTGATATAAACATAAATGTTTACGAGCAGTGGTGCATGCTTTTTGTTGTTGTATTTGGATTTTAAAAAATCGGTTTTTCACCAAACTGATGCTTTTGAAAGAAAAAAAACTGAATATTTTGGCTTCAAAGGCTTGAGAAATAGTTTTAATTTTTCTATGGTTGTAATAGTCTCTGTAGGAAAATCTAAATTAAGAGTCATATTTTAGCACAAAACAATAATTTCATTTTGTAGAACTCAGAGTATTTTTTAAATGCCCAGAACAGAAATTTCAATGACTATTTTTTTAACCTCAAAATATAGCCTTACGATAATCACTGGGACAAAAGCCTGCAAAATATACAAATATCGTATGTGCCAGTGGGCCAGCATTCCTCAAGTTGCTCAATTGTAGTCTGACATAATGGGTGCAGGGAGCTTTCTCCATAGAGTTACCCCCTGGAGGAAGGCTTATTATTCAGCCCAATGATGAAAGTGTTTGTGTCATCCCTGCTGCCAGTGAAAGATGTTGCCCACACAGAGTGGGAGCTTTGAAGTCTTAGTATTTCAGTCCTCAAGTTTCCATGTGTCAGTTCCGAAAACAAAATGTAGAAAAAAGACAGCTGCAGAAGAATCTCCAGGAATAGCCTGAGTCAGTGGTAAATGAGCAGGCATTCTGTTGGACATATTGATTTAGTTTGTAATTTTCCCACTGCTTGTTAAAAACGAGAATGTGCTTAGATATTTCTTCTCTGTAGAGCATAATAGGACATTGATCTTTTCATAAAATGTATTTGTTGGGGGAATGTCTGTCCACTTGAGCTTTTACAGGGGACAGTTGGTTTCAAATGCAAAGCTTAATAGAGATGCATGCATAACCGTATTGAGTGAACATACGAATGAAGGGAAAGAAATGAATAATAACTTATTCTTACCAGATTTCCAGAGTCATGTAATGAAAATGCAAATGTGAACAAGATGAGCTGGAAACTGCTGGTTGTAATCCCAGCCCTGTTTGATAAGGGGAATGTACTCCTGTCACTTCCTGCTTATGAAACTTTCACATTAATAATTAGGACTCTTGCTTCTTAGAGCCCAAAGTTATTTGCATTGCTTCAATATGGCATTTATATTAAAAAATATTAATTACTGTGATGGAACGAGAGAAAGGTAAAGAAAACAGCACAGGAAAAAAGACAATAAAAAGGAACTGTCATTTAGTCTGTAAATGGAAACAAATATTTACTAAATGTTGAATATGTGCACTGTATGTTTGGGGTTACAGTGGGAACGGGCATTGGGTGGGAGTATAAAGATACGTAAAATATTCCCCGTCCTAGAATAACATAAAAACGTGTTTAAATAAATACTAAAAGCTTAAATTGGGAATGTAGATTGTAAAAGAGTATAGAAAATGCAACATGGAGAGTTACGGTTTACAAGTGTAATCATAATTAAGGGAGTCATTAGGACATGTAAGCATACGCTTTCCAAGAGGCCAGGTATGTGCACAAATGCTCAATAGCACTAACAATCTGAGAAATGCAAATAAAAACTGCAATGAGATATCAACTTATCCCTTTTAAAATGGGATTTATCCAAAAGACATTCAATAATGTATGCTGGTGAGGATGTGGGAAAGCAAAGCCCTCATAGACTGTTGGTGGGAATGTAAATTATTACGGCCACTATGGTGAACAGTATGGAGGTTCCTCAAAATCTAAAAGCAGAACTACCATATGATCCAGCAATTTCACCACTGGGTGTATATCAAGAAAAAAGGAAACCAGTGTATCAAAGAGATATCTGCACTTCCATGTTTACTGCAGCACTATTCAAATAACCAAGATTTGGAATCAACCTAAGTGTCCATCAACAGACAAAAGGATAAAGAAAATGTGGTACATATCCACAGTGAAATATCTTTTAGCTGTAGAAAAGAAAATCCTGCCATTTGCAGCAACATTAATAGAACTGAAAGACATGTTAAGTGAAATACTCCAGGCACAGGAAGACAGATATTACGTGTTCTCACTCATATGTGGGAGCTAAAAACTAAATCAAACTCATGGAGACAGAGAATAAAATGATGGCTACCAGAGGCTGGGAAAGGTACTGGAAAAGGGAGGATAAAGAGCGGTTGGTCAATGGGTACAAAAATACTGTTAGAAGAAATAAGATCCAGTGTTCAGTAGCACAATAGAATGACTATAGCTAACAATAACTTATTATGTATTTCAGAATGGTAAAAATAATAGAATCGCAATATTCTAAACACAAAGAAATGATAAGTTCTTGAGATTATGGACATCCCAATTACCCTGGTTTTATCATTACACATTGCGTGCTTGTATCAATATATCACATGTACTCCCTAAATATGTACAACTATTTTGTATTCATAAGATTAAAAAGTTCCTAAAAAGGCTAGGGTAGGAGGACAAGACACTAAATAAAAAATGACAGAGACAAAAGGAAGGAGAGGTTTTTAGGAGATTAGTATTTCAGGCAGAAGGAACATTGTGAATGAGAACATGGAGGAATAAAATAAGTAGAAATATTTGAGAAATATTTGGCTGGAAAGAAAAATTGGGGAAAGTCAGAGGTTGGGTGGTAATATTACTGTAATATATAAATTCTCTTTGTAATCAAGAGAAAATAGAGTTTCAAAGGAATACTTTTCACAGATTTGTTGGTCTTTTGCAAAGCAACCCAAAGTAATGTCTTGTGATTACTTGCACTATCTTTTTTTTCTAAACTTTTTAAAATAAAACTTCCCTTGACTCATTTTTGTTTGGCAAAATCCCCATTGCAAAGTTCAGAGAAAATCATTACTCTGATGAACTGAAAGCTATACCTGTATTTGTGCAGCTTCGGTTCTTGATTTTGAATACCAGGAAAAAAAAAGTGGAGTTTCTTCAGGGGCAATGACACTCTCTGTTTTTCCATTTTTCACATGCACTGAACATCATCCAGTCAAAGCCTCTGAGATTTCTTTCACCTTCTGAGAGACATTACAAGAGAGAAGACATGGTTTTGAACTTTTACTGTAAACTTTTCAAATTTGTTCTCAAATGAGGCTTAATTTTTACATAATTAATATTTTAACCTTAAAGAACTACTGTCTTATTTTAGATAAATGTATCCTCAATAAATTTGTATATTTAAGAGGGTAGGTTTAAGAATCCTATTAAAGATTTAGAGCTTGTAAAAGTTTGAGCTGAGATATTATACATATCTCAAAGCTACCCAGTGAGTATTTTTAAGATTAGGCAAATCCGTACAATTTCAGTTCTTTCTAAGATCCATGTGAGAGAGCTATATTAACTGTACATCGGATGACTAAGTGTTCTAGATATATATTTAGAAATGACATTATTGTAAAATTATATGTGTTTTAAAAACTCTATATAAAGAAAATCTTTTTTTTAGGTCAAATGTGTCATTTAAAAATCTAAAAAAAAAAAAAAAGGGACCCTGTGAGTTTTCACTGAACTAATATCCTGGAAGAATTATGTTAAAATATCTCTTCTGATGGGACAGATTGACTACATATATCTGTCAGTAGCCAAAATTTGTATCTGTATTAAAAAGAAAAGGTGAAAAATTAATATCCATATAAAAGAATGAGCTAAATATTAAGAGGTATTGAACAAAAAAAAAATCAAGTAAACATCTAAAGTAGAGATCTTAATCTTAATTTTTTTATTTTTAGGGTGTAAGCTGAATCCACATAAAATATGAAATATGTGCAAGAGATTCAATGTGCACATATCTGTATGATTTGGTCAGTCTAGTTTATCATAGCCAGTTTCTATGCTTTTTTGGACAGCAAAACATGTAAATAACCCAAAACTGCAGCTGATGAAGTAGTATGAGACTTTGTAAGTGGACCAAACTTTGTAATCCTATGTTATTCTTCTCCTAAGTAGGGCTGCTAACTTTTTTCAACATTCATAAGTTACCCATGAGGATTAGGTAAAGATTTCCTCCATTCACACCATCATGGAGATGGCTGGGATTGAGGAAGAAGTCAATGTGCCAGAGATGTTCATGATCCGAGATGGCTATACTGGAGTGTATGAGTTTTCAATGTGTATGCATTAGAATTAGGACATTCAGAATATCTAGAGAGAACCATCCTTCAGAAAGGTTACTCTTCCTGAGACAAGTCTGACTGTCAGTTTATGTTCTAAGCATGTCTGTGTGGCCAGTACATTCAGAGTGGACAGTCTCTGAGCTGTTAGTCTTTCCAGAGAGGGCTCTCTATTCAGATGGTAGTGGAATAGAGTATTCAAAACATACATGTTATTCAGAGGGTGAGAAATATCTTTATGCTTTTCCCGTGCTTTCTTCTTGGCCTGGAAACAAATCTCCTGTTTACGCTTCGATTTGATCAGACTTTGAATGTGTGTGAACATGATTGATGAGAGGCTTAAAAAAGCCTCCCAAAACTCAGGAGAGGGGGAATCTGTTCTTAGCCCACTTCTGACAAATATCAATATCTGCTTCCTCCCCATTTGGGATGCTCCTCAGACAAGGGTTAAATGTAGTGGTAAGAAACAGGGTGTGATTGGGTGAGGGGGAAATTGTGCTTAGGTTCTAGATGACGTGGATTCTATTTCCCTCAAGTGTTTCACTTGCAAATCTTTGTTTGTATCTGAAAGGTCCCCAGGCCCCAGTCTTCTCTCCCAGATCTTTGCAAGTAAAGGCTGAAAAGGGGCAAAAAGCCCATTGATTTTGGCTATACTGGTTGTGTTCCCTGTCTTACTTTAGTGTCTATGTGAACTTAAACAATTTAATTACCCAAACTAACCATATATCCTAATCAGGAAAAAGGGGTTAATAAGAGAATGTATCTATATCATAATTTCCTATGAAAATTAAATAAGAAAAATCCATTTAACTAAAGTGTCACACAAATCTTTGCAAGCTATGCGTCCAACAAAATACTAATATCAAGAATCCACAAGGAACTGAAACAACTCTACAAATAAAAAACAACCCCCATTAGAAAGAGGGTAAAAGACATGAACAGACATTTCTCAAAAAAAAAAAAACCATAAGTGTTTAACAAACATATGAAAAAAAAATCAACATCACTAATCATCACAAAATGTAAATAAAACCACAGTGAGATGCTATCTCACACCAGTCAGAATGGCTATCATTAAAAAGTCAAAAAACAACAGGCGTTGGAGAAGATGTAGAGAAAAGAGAAAACATACACACCCTTGGTGGGAATGTAAATTAGTATAAACTCTATGAAAAACAATATGGAAATTTCCCAAGAACTAAAAATAGAATTACTATTCAATCCAGTAATTCTATTACTAGGCATCTAACCCCATGCACCACCAAAAAGGAAACCATTATACCAAAAAGACACCTGCACTCATATGTTTATTGCAGCACAATTCATGATAGCAAAGTCATGGAATCAACCTAAGTGTCTATCAATAGGTGGCTGGATAAAGAAAATGTGGTATACATACATCATGGAATACTATACAGTCAAAAAACAAAGACTGAAATTGTGTCTTGTGCAGCCGCATAGTTGGAGTGGGAAGTCATTATTCTAAGTGAAATGACTCAGAACAGAAAATCAAATAGTGCATATTCTCACTTGTAAGTGGGTGCTAAATAATGGGTACACATGGACATACAGAGGGGAATAATAGACCCTGGGGACTCCTAAAAACGGGGGATGAGAGGGAGATGAGGGTTGAAAAACTACCTGTTGGGTATAATGTTCTTTATTAGGATCAGGGATACACTAGAAGTGCAAACCTCACCGTTATACAATATGTCCATGTAACAAACCTGCGCACGCACACTCTAAATCAATAAAATTAAAAAAGCATAAATTATGGCAATCCATAATATAAAAAATAAATAAAATAATAAAATATTAGTTATGTTCTTAATAACAACATATTCTTATACATATTTTTAAGAAGTTAACCAGGTTTGACTTCCAAGTGATTCTTAGATATTTATCTATTTATTGGCTGACATGTTATTTTAATTTTAAAAATTCTAAATCAGTGAAATGATATCCACCTAGAACTTAGGAAATTGGAGCTACTGTTAGCTATAGATAAATTTATTGTGCATATACTATGTGTCAGCCACTGTGCTAATGTGTCAGGAAAATACAAGTTAGCCAAAGTGTTTAATGGTTTTAGATGCCATAAAAAATACTGTTGAAGGCCGGGCGCAGTGGCTCACGCCTGTAATCCCACCACTGTGGGAGGCCGAGGCGGGCAGATCACGAGGTCAGGAGATCGAGACCATCCTGGCTAACACGGTGAAACCCCGTCTCTACTAAAAAATAGGAAAAATTAGCCGGGCGTGGTGGCGGGCGCCTGTAGTCCCAGCTACTCGGGAAGCTGAGGCAGGAGAATGGCGTGAACCCGGGAGGCGGAGCTTGCGGTGAGCCGAGATCGCGCCACTGCACTCCAGCCTGGGCGACAGAGGGAGACTCCGTCTCAAAAAAAAAAAAAAAAAAATACTGTTTAAAAGGTCAGATTGACAATAATCAAATAATCGATTAAGTAAAAACTTTACTTGCTTTAGTGCTAGGAAGCAAAAGTGTATAGCATCATAAGGATGTATACCATGGAAATCTGTCCTGAACTAGAATATTAGGAAGACTTACCCAAGAAAGCATCCTTTGGGCAATATAGCGCAACTACTGCAAGTTTGGAATCAGAGACCAGAATGCCTGTGTTCAAGAATCGTAGATCTGCCACATACGAGCCTAGTGACCTTGGTAGATTTTTCATTTTACTAATACTCAGGTACCTCATTCATCAAATGGGGTGAATAACAGTACCTGCCCATAGAGTTATTGGGAAAATCGAATGAGTTAATATTTGTAAAGTACTTAGCATTGGCATGCATTATAATAGTATGTACTCTATAAATGTATTATTACTATTAATAACCTCACTTTGCTAAGTATTACTTTATGTGATTTGAATGTCAGTAGAAGTTAACCAATGAAATGTAGGACTTGTGGTGGGAGAAGAGCATGTGCAGGAAAGGCGCAGGGTCCTGAGTTCTGGAAAGCAAGGGCAGTGTAGTAAGAAATTAGATTAAAAGAGAGAGAACATACAGGGAATCACAGGTCAATATTAAGGATTCCAAACCCAAATACTCTTTGGAGAAGATATTGGAGAGGGAAGAGATTTGAGGAGGGGAGTATGGTGAGGAGGCTGTTGAAGTGGCCTAGATGGGAAATGATATTTTACAGTATAAATATAGTGGTAGAAACAGACACACAACTAATCCACTTGCCTTAGCCTCACCCAAAATTAGGTGTGGGGAATGGACTATGCGTTGAAGTGTGACATTTGCAGGCCTAGATCACAAAAGCTTCCCTCACCCAATCCTTATTTTCATGTCTAATTAACTGATCAGGTGAAAAGTAATTTAAAAAGCCCAAGGAGAAAACAAAAACAAAAACAAAAACAACAACAACAACAACAAAAACACAAGATGGAAGAATCCTGGATTCCTGAATGACCATTTGGAACAAACTCTCATTGCATGTCCCTTTTGATGCTTAAGAGTACATGAGGAAGAAAAAATAAAAATAAAAAAGAAGTAAGAAAGCATGTCATCCTCACATACTCTGAGTCTCGAAGTAGGAAGATCCCATTCTGAGACTGTCCCATTCCCATAGCACCTGTCAACCTCTTACGGTGTTTTAACCTTTGAAACAATTAGCGTACTCGTTCCTTTACATTTGTCTGTTGTGTTTTTAAAATTTCCTCTTCTTCAAAGCAGTTTTCCCACCATTTTCTATTCTGTGTAACATGTTATTTGTAAATAAATCTTAACTGCTTCCCTAGCTAGAGTTGGATTATAAGACATGTTAACCAAAGCTTTGAAGTAATAGAGACATGGTTTCCGTGAGGGTGTCATCTATGACCACGAACAGGCTCTCATCAGACACTGAATCTACTGGGCCCCTGACTGTGGACTTCTCAGCCTTAGGAAATGTGAGTAATAGATTTTTGCTGTCTATAAGCCACTGAGTTTGTGGCATTTTGTTATAGCAGCCCAGATGGACTAAGACACAGTTTTCATCATACCCTCTGCTTCTGTTTATGTTCTTTCTACCTTCTTTTAACTTCCGTAGGAAAGTGAGAAGAAAGGAAAATTGTATAGACCGAAAAACCACAGGAGCAATAACAATAAAATGCAGGCTTGTCCAATGCTATAATGACAGGGGAAGCACATTGAGTCTGGTTCAACATAGTCTTAACGAAGTACCCACTCCATGTGAGTAGGAATACACAGCTCTGGGAAACTCGACTCACAGCTCTCCAGTTAAGTATCATTTTAGGCTATTTATTGTTCGTTTCTCATAGCTAACTGTAAAATTCTTTCTATGGCAAAAATAGCAAATCCTGTTTGTGTAATTATCTTGTTCCAAGAAATTGAAAGTATCTTTATGATATTCTAGCCTCTCATAAGCTTAAAATTTCTGTTATTTGGATTTTTATTTATTTTCCATATGTGCACATGTGATGATGGTAGAGTTTGGAGTAGGGACCCAGTAGACTGAAAAGTTGGAACAGTAACAAAATGTTTACCCTTAGCACTTAGTTATTATAACAAAAACTCTCTTTATTCATATCATGAACAATTATAATCAGTATGTCACATTGCTGATCAATATTCTTAATGAATTGGCAACTGACAAGTCCAAGTTTGTGGAAGTTGTGTTTATTTCCCGTCTTCCTCAGTGTATACATGATGCCGGCAGTTGGGTAACACAGTGAGAAGTAGACCAGGCCAACCTTAGCCATATTTACCATTTTCTGGATCATTGTTCCTCTCTGGTTGTCCTTCTCACACAGCCCATTGCTGTTTTCTAGCTCTGCCTTTTCACCCTAGAGACTTTCAATTTCCTACCACTTACCCAAATACTCCAATCTAGTACTGGCTTTTCTAGGAATGAAACAAGAATTACATGGTCATAAAATACTTGTACAAGCAAATGATGTTGTGAAACAAAAAGGGCTGAGAATTTCATGCTTTTTCCATGAAATCCAGGGGTTTTTTTTTTTACAACGTATCAGAAAATGACAAAAGTATATTTATGTCAATATATTTACAAATAATTGGATTTGCTGTGTCAGCACAGAAGTATGAGATGTTTTTGCCTGATTTAAATTGCAAGTACATTTCAGGATACAAATCACATAACACCTCAAGTTATTAATTTTTTTTTCATAAAATGAGATCATTGGACCTGAAAACTTCCTATTCATTTACCTTTAGTATGAGGTAAATCTAAACAGCTAACACATATTTACTTAATCTTATTTATTTGCAATAGATTGTGTCCATTTTAATCAACAGAAAATTGGAAAATATTATTTTAGAACTCAGACATGTAAGTTGAAGATATAACATTTCTGCCTGCATAATAAGTAAAATAATGATATATTTTAGCTTACCTTAAATATATATGTCTTACAATTTTTCATAGTTTAATAATTATATGGTCTGAAATTGCAATGCAACCCTAATGTTACATTATTACAGCAATTTAATATGACTTTTGTATTCAAAAAGAAGGATAATTAAAGGAGAGAAGAAACTTTCTGAATATTTTATCACATATGCTGGATTTATCTTTTTGTTTTTATTCAGGTTAGTACTATCAAATCAAATCTCGAGGAATTTAAAATTGACACTGCAGTTTCCTCCTCCATTTAACTATGTTCAATATATGTGTAGTTAAACTAAAAAAAAAAAAAAATGGCTAAGCTAAAGTTTTACAGAGATTTTCAAAGGACAAATAACCAAGGTTAAAAAAAGGGAGAAATAGGAAAATGAATTTCTTGACTGGAGAGCTTGTTAAATATGTGAGTTCCTGAAGGAGTTTGTAGAACTAGAGGATTTTAGAAAAATAAAATATTCTCCTAGCTACACTACAGGTGATGGTTTGGGTGAGATTATGACTAAAGGCAAAATAATAGATCTGATGAATATAAATGACATTTTCTAGCTCTGTGGGTTTAAGATTTATTTTGTAGGCTATGATAAAATCAGATTTAAAAGTCATACCTCATTATAAAATCCAGCTAGAGGAGGAATTTGATTTTGAGATATTTCTGAGCAAGAAAAATGAGAGGAAATTATTGTCTACTTCACGTTAACGCAGTCAGTCTCTACCATATACAAAACAAGAGTTTTAAATTCCAGTAACACTTGTGAAATATTGTGGGGAAAAAATATCGTGGCTACATACAAGTGTATGCAGCCAAGAGGGGGAAAAAAAAGAAAGTGGTAACAGAATTTCTCTTATGCAGAAAGACTCTCTGGGTTTAGCAAAATATTTTCATGGTCCACTTTGGTTTTAGAAAGCTAACAGACAGAATAATCCCTGTGGTCCAAGAATGAGGCAAGTACACAGATCACCAGGAAGACATTTGGATGAACTGCAAATCAGTCAGGGAACGGGTGGGAGAGTCTAAGTGGAAGAAAGGGGACCCAGAACCCGCATAGACCCAGGATCAGCGTATGTGTCCTGCTCGCCTTGTCCTCAGCATTCCCCTGCCCTTCCTTGAAATGTTCCAAGGCCTTCTCCAATGTCTGGGCCCTGCCATTACCTGCAGTTTTTTCATGCAGCCCTGTGACGACTGAGAAGGATCTGCATGGGTCCAAGGTCCTTTTCTCCCCTTTACAGCCTCTCTGGCACGCTCATAACCCCCTCAGTAGAGTCAGCCAGATGCCCAGAAGAGCTCCAGGCTCATCCCTATGGGGAGACATGAAGTCCTTTGGACAGCTGGGTTCCAGGGGGTGGCACAGGGAACCAGTCAGTCCACTAGTCAAGACTATATTATTCCACAGGATCGTAAGTGATGGGGATACTCCAAAATGGTGCTGACTGCTCATTTAGGTGACTCACAGTGCAGGGCTCTGGATTATTGACATTTCATCTCTTGATCTATGGATTGAGTGATGAGTTAGGGAGTGAAGGTGTGTGTTCACCATGATTGTATCTCTGGTCTCTGACACTGGAGGGCACAGGAGTAGCAGTAAGCATCCCTTACCCTGTGGGCCACCACTGCTGGCACCTGGGCAGTGACCTCACTACTGCTTCAGGCTCCTGATGACATATCTACCAGTTCTCCAAGGGTGGCTGCACCTATGTCCTCTGAGTTTTTGAGATCATTGCCGTAACACAAAAAAGCCCCAACATGTGACAGATATAGATAAGCGTCATACATTCTTTCTTTAGCCTCTCCGCTGGTAGTGGTAGACAGATATGTGGCCAACATTGAGAAAGACCAAATTCTAGAAATAGAATGATTGTGACCTAAAGAGTTCAAGAGAAAATACAGATGACAAATGTGTCGTTGAGATTTACTGCTATAAAATACAGAACATTATATTTAACATGATCTAAAACTGTACTATCATTCACATTTTTCTGCATAATCTTGGTGAGACTTTTATTTGTGGCCATCATCAACAAAGCACAATAGCAACCTCTGAAGGAGTCACTAGAGGCCAGTGTTCGTGGGTGGCACAATGCTTGATGCAGCGCCGTGCAAAATGATGAAGTCAAACATTTAAAAATATGCTTTTAAGGAACTGTAGAGGCGATAAGATCGCTACTGTTTTAGTACAAATCACTTCTACAGAGTGGTCACATATTATCACTACCTTTTTCTCATTGTGGTGGATATAAAGTCAGGCAGTGTGGTGAGCAGAATTCTAAAATGAACCCCAGTGACTCTTGCCCTTAAAATATCCCCTCCTCTTTGAGTGTGAGTGGAGCCTGTGAACACAGGAGATATTATTATTCCTACAATTATGTTACATTACATAGCAAAAGGGAGATTGTTATTGGTGGGCCTGACATAAACTGGTGAGCCCTTTATGTTGAGTGTTTTCTCTGGCTGGGTGCAGAAGAGGAAGTAAGGGAGATGTACCTGGTTGCCTTGGAAAAAAGCAGATATCCATGCTGTGACCTGTCTATGGAAGTCACATGGTACTGAACTCCAAGTGGCTTCTAGTGGCGTAGGGCCATCTATACCTAACATTTGTCAGTAAAACGGGAGCTCAGTCCTGTAACTGCAAGAACATAAATTCTGCGATTATACTGTGAGCTGGAAGAGGACCCCTAGCCCCAGATGAGAGCCATAGTCTCAGCCAACACCTTACTTTCAGCCCAGCCACAGCTTCAGCAGAGAACGAAGTCATAATGTGTCTGCAATTCTGACCTTTGGAAACAGAGATATAAACTTATGTTGTTTTAAGCTGATAAGTTTGCAACAGTTTGTTATACAGCAATAGAAAATAATATAGCCAGGAACAGCATAATTGATGAACTATGTGATGAAATGATTTATGGACCTGCATAAGAAGAGATAGTGCCTGGACATTACGACAAATCTTCAAGTGCATTGTTGGTACAATAAACAAATACCTATGGACCTCTTCTCTATCAGGATACACAGTCATCCATAAATCACCACACCTCATATGGACCATGATATTTTAAGACTTATTTTTTTAAAATCAGATTGTTCATACGGACAAGGTCTCTGCCAAAAATATTTGCTCAGAACTATGTACACCACAGAAGCAAACTATACCCTGTCCTTGTATTAATATTTCTTGTTCTGAGAATAAACCATATCATTAAGACATGATTTGAGTTTTCTGTTATTTGCAGCCCAAAGCATACTAAATAGGATACTTTTTATTGAAATATATTTAAAAGTTTTAATTTAGTAATTAAATAACAAATTGATATTATTTAAGTTAGAGCATCCTATATTGTTCAACTCTCAATTTTGCCAATATGAATATTCAATCTGTGATCAGCTGTACATTTTTCTGATTTTTCTTTTCATCAAGATTTTATGATTTTACTATTTATGATTTCATGGTATTAACATAGCCCCAAACATATAGAGTCATGAACAAATGTAATGACTGAATTGTTTGTGATGTCATGTAGGCATTTGCAGGGGTTGATGATATGTTTATGTATCATTTGAGACACTTTTAAAGAATTCCTCTTATATGGCCAAGGCATTGCATCTTTATTTCTTAAATTTACCAAATAGTTTCTTTGAATCAAGACCATGTAATTCAGACAATCTATTTCTGTTATTTTCTAAGGACAGTGGGGCCTGGTTAATTAGGCCATCATTATCAAAGATGGATACGTGAAAGAAAATGTCAAATTCTTGAAAACCAATTTTGATTCAGTTAGATTTCTAAAATAGTAAAAATGTAACAAAGGCTTTAGTTGCAATATAACTATGAAATTTCTATCTTTTTAAATATTCACAAGTTATTCTTAATAGCTTATTGTATCGGCTATTTTAACACTTCATATGTATCATTCTTTGTTTCATGAATAAATGAAAAACACACTGAAGCCCTTCAAATATTAAAATGCTCAACAGGCTGTAAAATATGATTTTTAAGTACTTACTCTTCACAAATGAGAATTTTAATGTGATATCCTTATACACATAAAATTTTAAACAATAAAATTCACATAGTAAAGAAATTCTAAATTCTGGTTTCAAAATACTCTCACCACAGCATGTCTCTTTCAGAGATATTTCTTGTTCACATATTGTTATAGTATTATTTATATACTGAATAAGACATGTTCAAATAAATTTGCTGCTTGCTGTACTTCTGACATCCTTTTGCCATCATAGGAAAAGTCTGCAAATATAGAAAACATTTTCTTTTT
Source organism: Homo sapiens (assembly GCF_000001405.40). NCBI lineage: Eukaryota > Metazoa > Chordata > Mammalia > Primates > Hominidae > Homo > Homo sapiens. The sequence goes on along the minus strand of NC_000021.9, from coordinate 20,809,690 downwards.
TTCAAAACAAAACATGTTACTGATATTCACATTTGACACATCTTGTAGATGCTCCATTGCAAACAGTCTCAGATTCCAGATCAAAACTGTGCATTTTTTCCCAGTTAAGTGACCATCAATATTTTTACCAATCTCTATTCCAATTGATGAATATTTGTTCATCAGCATCTTATTAGCTTATTTGTTAATTAACATGACAAGACATTCATTATCTCATCTATGAAATGCCTGGAGAATGTTTATGCATTTTTTATTATTAAAGAACTTATAGTTAATTCTAAAATATAACTGTGCTGTATCATAAATTCCCATCTATATTTTATTTTTTAATTTCTAAAAATTTGATTTAAATTCCATATTAATGAACTATCACCAGTGACCCTGCTAGAGCTTTTCCCCATTCTTATTATAAACAATATAATTTACTGGAAGATACGAAATCAGGCTTCCATCATTAGTGTTATATGTTGAATACTGTGCTAAGCAAAGGAATCTAATAAAAGGACCTTAACCCTTCTGAAGTCATAATCTGCTAAGGAACACAACACTTTCAGGTGCAGAGAAAAATAACAATGACACAAGTCAGCACTATTAAAATATTAGAAAATATTCGTTTAATGAGCGCTATTAGTGAAGCAGTTCCCAATCCTTTTAGCACCATTGACCGGTTTCATGGAAGACAATTTTTCCATGGATGGTGCGTGTGGCAGGAGGAACAGGTGAGGACGGTTTCAGGTTGAAACTGTTCCACCTCAGATCATCAGACATTAGATTCTCATAAGGAGTGTGCAACCTAGATCCCTCACATGTGCAATTCACAATAGGGTTCATGCTCCTACGAGAATCTAATGTTGCTGCTGATCTGACAGGCGGCAGAGCTCAGGTGGTTATGCTCACTTGTTAGCCCAGTTCCTAACAGGCCACAGACCGGTACCAGGTGGCAGCCCAGGGGTTGGCCACCCCTGCATTAGCATATTAGAAAATAAGTGGTATGTGTTGATAAATGAATGAGTGCACAGATATAATCAGAAATAACTATCTGACAAATAGGGTTTGGAAGTAGCCTTTAAATATGAAGAGTGAAGAAATGCAGAGGAATAGAAGGGCCATTTCACAAGGTCAGGGTCGCATATTGAGGAACTAGACCTGTAAATGCAGATAGTAGACTGTGGACAGTGAGTGGGCCACTGAAAAGTGTATATCTGTTGCTAGTAATACAACAAATTCAAGCAGGGTCAAAAGTTGTAACTTGTAGGTTCTCTAATGATATGCTGGTTTAGAGATTAGCCATTCCAAAACCTTGAAATGCTTACACTTTGCACCCACAGAGGTGCCTCATGATATATAGTAGCAACAAAATAATGTTCAGGGAGGTTTTATTGCAGAAGCAAATTAATGCTAATGAAACAAACGTCATAAGTATCAGACTGAACTATTTAAAAAGCTTAACTGAGCTCATGACTCAACCTTCAACATTATCAAAATGTTTTATCACAGAATAGCAAATATGTGTTTCATTTGTTTTACAAGTGGAGAGTTGCTTTAAGCTGGCTTGTTCACTCTGACAATACAGAAGATAATTCAATATGTAACCAATATGCCAACTTGCTGTATGTTCCCAAGTTCTCCAGGTTGCTTGCTTGTGTCACCTTTTCCTTTATTATTTAAGTAAAATTTGCTTAAATCAGCTCTCCATAAATGGTGGGGGTGGAGGGAATACTTTGTTTCCCATTCCCCTAGAAGTCCCTGGTTATATGGATGAAGGATCATCTGCATATATTTCTCCTGACCTCAACCTCTAAATTCATACCTGCGCTTCTTTATCTGTCTTCTGGATTTTTTTTTTCTTCTGCACCTACAGTCCATTTTCTAAATGATATCATTCCCCAGAAGTCAACTTCTCCATAGTGTCACTTCCCACAAGCCAACTCTGCTCAGGGATCTGGACCCAAGGCTGTGTGTTTACCAGACTTTACTCAACTTTTAGGCAACAGAGGAATTTTACAAAAGAGTTTGGCAAAGTGGCAGTCTCATATTAAACTGTAAAGAATGTGTTCTTAAAATTTCCTCAAACTTTTCTGCCTCTAGGAAATTTTCCCTGATCAACTCTTCAAGTTCCAACCTCCCATCCACATCACTACTGCTATTAATCATACTAATCAGTGCACCAGGCTAGTAGAAAGAGTAATAATAGCCAATAATTACTAAGCACTCTATGTGAATTATTAGTTTTTGCACTATTCCAATGACGTAAGTACTATTATATCTCCATTTTGAAGACAGGAAAAATGAAATACAAAGAGGTTAATTTGTCTAGAATCTCACAGCAGTGGAGTATGAAGTGGAAATTAGAAAGCAGATTCCAGATCATATGATTTTATTGATCATGCAGTGCAATTTTCATATTTCTGGGCAGGACTGACCCAAATGTATGTGGACTATAAGCAAATTTTATATATATACATAATCTGATTTTTTAAAGATGTATTAAAATTTGCATGAACCCATGTGAAATAAAGTGATTTACATTACATTAAACATTATTTATTTATTTATCTATCTATTTATTTTGAGATAGGGTCTCACTCTGTTGCTCAGTCTAGAGTGTGGTGGCAAGATCTTGGCTCAACCTCTGCCTCCCAGGTTCAATCGATTCTCCCACCTCAGCATCCTGAGTAGCTGGGACTACAGGCATGCGCCACCATGCCCAGGTACGTTTTTGTATTTTTTGGTAGAGATGGGGTTTCACCACGTTGGCTAGGCTGGTCTCGAACTCCTGACCTCAAATGATCTGCTGGCCTCAGCCTCCCAAAGTGCTGAGATTACAGTCATGAGCCACTGTGCCTGGCCTTAAAGAGGATTTAAATTAATGGGTAGGAAAGGGGTATTCATGCATTTGATAATTGTCCCATCAGTGAACAGAAAGATTCTTTGTAGCGTTCTAACTCATCTTTTCTTATTCAGGCCAACGGATCATCATTTCATATTATATATTGTCAAATGTCCCATTTCTTGCTAATTTCATAAGTCTCACCTTGAAAAATTGGTATTAATACTGTGACTTCACATAATAACATGGCTTTTCTCAGCCTGTTGGAATGGAAACAATACAGAACTTTTGGTCTCTGCACCTTCCTCAAATCATTTATTGAATGCCGCCTTCATCATTCCTCATCAAGCAGTGATCACTCATTGTGCCGCAATCTGTGAAAATTAAAATAACTTTCTAACTCAGTACAATGCAGATATGCAGCAGACTCTTAGTTATGCTCCCAGCTAACAGTATTTAACCCTACAATCCTTCGCTACAGCCAATAACTAGCCCCAGGTCCAGAGGAGAATCATGATGGGTGGTTCCGTTCCAGTCATTAGGGATTAGACAGTTCATGCCATTCTACATACTAGAATGTGAGTATGTGTTGTGTGGAGCCGCTGCAGCCCTCTTACATCCATGAGGCACACTGGAAAAACACTAGGAATGATAGAGCAGAAAGGTGAAATGGAGTCAGGTAATTAATGATATCACTGGGCCCATGAATTAACCAATAGAAAAGTCATCCTTCCCAGGATCATTCTTCTTGTTACCTTCTTTTTTTTTTTTTCTTTTTGTAGAGGTGGGGATCTCACTTTCTTGCCCAGGCTGGTATCCAGTTCCTGGCTTCAAGCCATCCTCCCGCCTCAGCCTCCAAAAATATATTCTTGTTACTTGAATAAATAAATCTCCTTACTATTTTATACAACTGTTATTTCTTCCATAACTTCATACCCAAAATCATCTTCATTGTTAAAAGACACCAATAAGAAGACTTACTCCCATTACTGAAATTTTATATGAATGGCATCTTAATAATTAATTAATTAATGGACCAAATTATAGACAGAGTAAAACACGGTGATTGATTTAAGACTTTTATAATTTATGTAATCATATAAACTTATTATTTATGAAATTATATGTATCATTTATTCACTCAAAATCCATTAAACATAGCACATGTACTATGTTATACATTATTTGTAACTACCATAAATAATAAAGGGTTAAAGAAGAAATTGTCTCTACTCAAAACCATGATAAAGTGAGGTTGTAAAATTATAGCAAAGAAGTACTTGAGCTGTGGGTAACCTTGGTCTCAAGACTGGTAATGCAAGAAACTTGTACATTTATTCTTAGCAAATGTATTCCTTTCAATCTGTCGACATGCAGTTGTTTGATTGAACTGAATATTCAGTCAATTTATTTTTTAGATAGCATATATCTACTTACTTGACACATGGGAAATCTATAAGGAGCTTTTGAAGAATAACAAAGAATAAACCTTCTAAAGTAAAAAATTAAAATTACCAGAGACTATCCTGATAAATATAGGAATAAAGGAAAATGAAAGCAAAATAAGATTGAACCTACACAGTAGTTCAGGAAATTCTCAATTACATCTAAAATTCAGTACTGGTGATATTATTACCTATGATTCCAGAGATCTGAGTTAGAGTCTTGTAAAGATTGTGTGACTGGCCTTGATCAAATGATCACTTCTCAAGCTAGTCTCAATTTTATTCTTCAATCAGATTAAACAATTAGAATGCTGAGAAGTGATTGGCCATTTGGAAAATTGTCTTTCACTGAGGAAAAGTGATATAAAATAGTAAACAGCACCCACTTGAGTGTTTTGAAGGAACACCCTTGGGGACAAATATCTCTACATCATTAGGTGCTCCCTGGAGATATTTCTCCCAGGTATTAGTCTTAGGAAAACAAGCAAGCAAGCACACAAGCAATCAAATGACAAACTTGGTTTCCCCTGAGCCAGTGGTTTCTCTTCAGTTTAGATAAATTAAAATCTCAAAATCAAGCATGCCAAGAAAATAAAGAGCTGCATTGCAGCCCCTAGCTCTTTATCTTTGAACAATGACAATAAAATGCTACTGGCTATAATTTTACCTCTTCTTTCATAGGCCTTTTTTTTCTATACCCCAATACCCTCATGTAAAGAATCTAAACTCATGTGCTATATCTATTTTTGCTAGTACTTGTGAGTTCAGGGAACATAGGTGCCTGAGTTTCCCAAATTATAAATTGAGAAAATGTGCATAGATGAGTTAAAAATCTTTGAATTTTTAAATTTCTATTTATCTAGGTTTTTTCTTTCAGTTAATTTGATGCTAGTAAGTTGTGACATATACTCATTGATACTGATATTTCAAAAAAATGCCACAGTATCTCTAGACTTAAAAATATCATCAGTTGAAGAATACTCTTTGAAATAAAAATATTAGTAGTACTTATCCGAACTTGCCTTTAATAAATGTGATTTAAAAATATTCAGTTAGAAATATCATCGGTATGCATATATTTTATTAGTGTAGGTTTTTCCTTGCTATTTCACCATAATGTACTTATTTTTCTAAATATAGTGATGTTTTATAAAAGATAATAATTACAATGTGACATGTTCTGATTTTTCTAATGGGACACTTTTAAAGAATTATTTAGGCCCGGGCAATTTAATTTTCTTAATCATGTTCAGATATCAGTGATGCATATAATACTTATCTGTCTCTTATAAAGTTAAAGGAAAATGTGTTCTAGAATATGTTCCATGTGGATAAAATATAATGACCCTGAAATAAAACACAGACAAACAAAGCCAAATGCAAGAGATTTTTTCATAAAAAATATACTTCAAAAGAGTATGTAACAGATTATCTTCTACATCGTTATTCTTTGATATCTCATGAAACTCAATTCGCATGTAAATATCAAGCTTCATACAATAGTGAAATACATTTGACTACTGTTTAAATGTAAAAATTTAAATAGAGTATTTCTAATCTATTCAGGCTTTAAATGATAGGACTGAGCAAAAGAATTAGAAAGAACTAGTGGTTTATGTAACACACATTCTCATGCTTTTGAAGGGATGCTTTTTTTCTCTTAGACCAAAGCAGGAGCAGTGATTAGTTTAGGTTCAGGGAAATCGGACCATCTGCAACATCCCTATTACACAGATATTCCCCCTTGTCTGTGGCTAAAACTCTCAGGCAAGCTTTGGCATGAGAATCTATTTCATTTTGCTATAACCATATTTTCTTTTTTTAATTTGCTAATTAGTCTACTACCTAAATTTCCACTTAATTATCATGAAAATAATGTGGAATAACTTGTAGAATATTTTGTATAGGCTTCTCATAGTCTTCTCAATTTCAACTATTTTAAGATTTTAATTATTCTGATTTTAAAATAATTTGCAGTTATTTGTGTGATTACTTGTGTAATTTTTAAAAGTTACTTACACCAGAAAAATATAAGCACTGTTGTTATTTTGATGTTTTTCTAATATTAATATGCATATATCATAGGAAGTATTTAAATGAATTTTAATTTCCCTTTTCAATCATCTCCCATTGAAAGCTGAATCATGAGGATACCATCTCCAAGCAGGTGGAGTATTTGATCCCTTTAGCAAGGCAGTGATTTTGAAATTCGGGTTTAGACAAAAAGATATTTCAAGCTCCTGAAGAACAAGTTTGAAGGATTCAGAGCAGAGAATTGCACCCTGGCATGATGCCTATGCCAGCTGGACTGTGTGATTTTTGTTCTTTAGTAGAAGGATAACATGACATAGCAGGAATAATACTGCCTTTTCTTTCTGGCATGGATCAAGAGAAAAGAAAATACAAGAAAACAGACAGAAGGTAAGTGGCCAAAATTTTTATTTCTGCTCTTGGTTTGGTGTTTGATAATTCGAGCTGAGGAAGAAAGCAGAGTGGTTTTGACTATACAGTGCAGTCGAATACAGGGAAGAGATAACTTTTCATGCTAGTCCTGCACAGAAGCCGTGGTGTCAACAGCTTGCGGTTCAGAGCTGGTCGAAGGCTGTAGCAGAAATTCAGGAGTTTGTGAGCAAGGGACAGTTAAGAGCTGCAGGGCCTGTTTTTATAAATGAAATTTACCGGGATGCAGCCACATCCATCATTTTATGCAGCTGCCTTTGAGCTTCAAGGGCGGAGTTAATTTTTTTTGCAACAGAAGCCATTTGCCTGCAAGTCTAAAATTAATTACTCTCTAGACCTTTAAGAAAAAGTTTCTAACCTCTATTCTAGAGCTTTGACAGGGCACAAGGTAAGGTCCAATATAGCAGTCCTGAGCAAGCCTAGAAAGAACAGGTCATACATTAAACCACCTCCAAAAACTGCCAGAAATGGGAGAGGTATTCTTGGAGCAGACTGTGCCTGAGAAGCAGTGAAGTATGACAGAGGTTCCCGCTGGCTTCCTGGGGCCAACGGTGCACATCTCTTCTCAACAATTGCATATTGGAAGTTTTAGAAGTGATCATAAGAGTATTTACACCATGGAAACTGGCAAATGCGACAAGTCAGATTTTTATTTGTTTGCCTGTTTTTCAGAGAGACAATTTTGAATCATTTAGTAGCACACAACTGCTCAGAAAATCAAAGAGGAGGTAGGGCTCACAGTGTTGACGGTTGTACAAGGCTCTCAATGATATCCCAAAACCCATCTTAGAGAAGTGCTAGAGGAAGGGCAGAAATTCAACTGAGTAAGCATTTTTATTTAAAAATAATAAGAATTACTTATGGCTTTATTACCCAAGCCTAGTTTTTAAAACAGATGTTTAAACGTCATTGATTTAGCTAATTGTTCATTTATGTGTTTCTGTTACCCTGCAACTGGGCTCCTGAGCCAAACCAAATCAGTTAATGAACTTGTTTCTATCCATAGGATTTTAGTAATAGAACATTACCAAATGCATAGTGTTCATGTGTGAATATACATTAAATTTTATTAAATGGGAAATATACACAGATTTTATGCTCTTTTTAAAGCTTAAATACAACTACTGTCTTCTATAATATTAAATACTCTTAAAAGACCATTAATTTAACAATAAATCCATAAATTTTCTCTTTTTTCTTTTTATAGTTTTAGCAAGATTCTCCCTCCTACCTCCCTGTTCCCAACATTTAAGATATGTATACAAGAAGAAATTAGGGGAATTTACTACCGTCCATAAACTGGGGGCTTTCCAACTTTAATTCTTCTTCTTTTTTTTTTTTTTTTTTTTTGAGACAGAGTCTAGCTCTGTTGCCCAGGCTGGAGTGCAGTGGCGCGATCTCGGCTCACTGCAAGCTCTGCCTCCCGGGTTCACACCATTCTCCTGCCTCAGCCTCCCGCGTAGCTGGGACTACAGGTGGCCGCGACCACGCCCGGCTCCAACTTTAATTCTTAATGGATCAATTTTATAGTTTCTCTTTAATACATTGATGTAAATTCGCCTTTGCAGCACACAATACACACACTTCCAGGACTTTAAGGATCCCTTTGGGGAAAAAGTTCTGTATTCACAAGTTGACAAACTTAATAAAGATAATAATACAGATTTGAAAAGCAAAAATGTAGATTTTGAAAACATGGAGATTGAGTTCATAACGTAAAACACATATTTGTAAAGTGTTTAAATATAAGGGAAATCACAGACAATATGGCAATCATCTGAAAGGTAATTCAGATACAGTTGCAAAAAAAAAGAAAAAATAAGTTCTTCAGAAGAACAAAGGGTAATATCGCAGTCAAAAAGTAATACATTGAGGAATTTTTCTGCTAGCTGAATGTTGTATTTTTAAACCTGTGTTTAAAGTTCTGTTGATGAAGTGGCATTTGAATTTCTCATCGTATTTTCACACTGGGGATGGATAGCTTTAATTCAATTATTTTTAATTGAAGGGCATTGGAATTCATTAAAATATTAAAAAATGAAGGTTTCCAAAGTATTACAAAAAGTGAATATTCTATTACTAGGCTTGTCTTGGTGGAGATTATCAGCCACCTGGAGATAAGGCTCTTTTCCACCTAGGGATGATGAGAAAAGCTCTAATAACGCATTCTCCAAAATGCTGCACACTAATTATTCTATAATTCCGTAATTCATTTTTTCAAATACAAGTTGTATATACATGATATCTGGCTCCGTAAACAAATTTACCTCCCAATTATTTAATTTTAAAACCACAATTTTTGCATTTTTTAAAAAACTTCTAAATCCCTCCTTACAATTTTGACTTAAATTTCCGTAGTTCCACAGTTCCACATGGCTGCGGAGACCTCATAATCATGACGGAAGATGAAAGGCACATCTCACATGGCAGCAGACAAGATGAGAGAGCTTGTGAGGGAATCTCCCCTTTTTAAAACCATCAAATCTTATGAGACATATTCACTATCACCAGAATAGCATGGGAAAGACCTGCCCCCATGATTCAATGACCTCCCACCAGGTTCTTCCCACAACAAGTGGGAATTGTGGGAATTACAATTTATGATGAGATTTGGGTGAGGGCACAGCCAAACCATATCAGATAGATTATATATGGCTTATGCATTTTATACCGCTTTCTCCTACAAACCTAATACATCATGCTGCATATTTTTAAAATAAGACATGCAATATAAACATTAAGTATCATCTTGACAAATACCAATCAAAACCTTGCATTTTCCTACTGGGATCGAGGAGATAATCTTAATGTAATTTAGAATCCCACATAGTTAACAAAAACAAAGGCACGCAAAGTTAGGCTTTGAGGTTTTGCTTAAAATCTTCTTACTAATGTTTCAAAAACTTAGAATTTTCTTCGTATGGCTCTGTAATTTAACCCACTATATAGTAAATGTTTTCTTGGAAGTCTCCCAAACAGAAGACTCTTAAACCTTGATATCAATGACCATCATTCTAATGTAACAAGCTTACAACTTTAAATTCTGTGACATTCTAAATTCTTCAAAAATAACACAAATCCTCTCTTTGTAAATGAGATCACCCAACAAGTTAATAGGGAATCAAACATTTTAAAATTCTCTGCATCCATTAAATGCCCCTTTGTTAAACTTCATCTGCATTTCAAACATAATATTTATTTTACTTCTTTGCAGCTGTTATACTCTGGGCATAAGACGGAGAGTAGTCCAGGAAAGGGGCAATGTCTATATTTTTGCCAAGACATTTTATTCATTACAGAGGAGTTTTTGTTTTTGTTTTGGTATCTATGGTTACTTCTCTGAATTTTTTTCTCTCTCTCTTTCATGTTTTCTCCTACAGTTTCTTATTAATATTTTCACTCTCCACATGTGAGGGGATCAATTCATGATGATGTGTCTTTTATAATCCCCATCTTCTGCAAAAGACAGTGTTCCCATCTGTTCATAAAATTTGTTCAGATTTTTGCTTCGATTAGGAGGGTGGGGATGGTTTCAGGATGAAACTCTTCCACCTTAGATCATCAGACATTATTAAAAGATTAGCATAAGGAGCACACAATCCAGATTCCTCGCATGTACAGTTCACAATAGGATTCGCACTCCTGTGAGAATCTAATGCTGCCACTGATCGGACAGGAGACAGAGTTCAGGCAGTAATACTCGCAGCTCACCTCCTGCTGTGTGGTCCATGGCCTAGGGATTTGGGACCCCTGTCTTAGGTGATTCAGGATATATAGTATTCCAGGAGCTGGAAAAGTGGAGATGACGGTTAATCTCTTGGGGTTATCAGTTCTACCACTTGACATAGATTAAGAGATTAAACATGTTTAACTTAAGCTGAGCATGGTAAAGTTTTTTTCCTAAACTTTAGACAGCAGAGCATACACAGAAAGTCCATAAAACAGAGGGATCAAGTTAGAGCACATAAGAAAAAATTGCCTCGCTCTCTCTCCCATGTTCTCCTGCTCTCCTTCTCTATTCTGGACTATCACTCATTCTCTCTCATTGTCGGTCTATCTATCTTTTGGTCTATCTCCGAAAGAGAGGTTAGGGTAAAAGAGAGACTAGGCAGAGAAACAGACTGAATCTATGATCCCTATTTGAAAGTGACAAAATCTTTTCTGAATAGAAGACAATGCAGAAATAGAACTTTGTGGCCGGGTGTGGTGGCTCACAGCTGTAATCCCAGCACTTTGGGAGGCCGAGGCTGGTGAATCATGAGGTCAAGAGATAGAGACCATGCTGGCCAACATGGTGAAATCCCATCTGTACTAAAAATACAGAAATTAGCCGGGCATGGTGGCATGCACCTCTAGTCCCAGCTACTTAGGAAGCTGAGGCAGGAGAATCACTTGAACCTGGGAGGTGGGGTTGCAGTGAACAGAGATCGCGCCACTGCACTCCAGCCTGCGTGACAGAGTGAGACTCCATCTAAAAAATGAACGAACGAACGAAAGAAAGAAAGAGAGAGAGAGAGAAAGAAAGAGAATTTTGCAATGAAATCTTTTGGCTGGTAAGAAGAGATAAGGATGAAGACTGAAAGGGAGATGTCTACCAAGCAATCATACAATTTGAACACTTCCTTCTTCCTATAGCCTACCTCCTCTGTCCAAAGATTCACACTTTTGCTGATACTGCCAAGAATTTGCCAAACTCTTGCTAAAAAAGACTACAGATCAGATGTTTTTGGAACATGGATTTTGTCATTTACTTAAGATACAGAAAGTGCTGATGGGATTAATCACCAGCTGGAAGCATAAGATTACCACTGGCAATTATGATGAGTGTAAACATTTTAAACAAAATTCTCCTGTGTTTGGAACTTACTCCATATCAAAGTTTTAGCTGCATTAAAAATTCCTTATGCAAATACCTTCTACATACATCTTCATAATGCCTCTAAATATTTCTGTAAGTGAGATTATTAAAGGTAGAGAGGCAAACTGCATGTGAGCTCTTGAGACAGACACCATGGTGTTGAAATCTGGCTCTAATACATATCAACTGTGAGCCCAGAGTTCATTTACTTAACCCCTCAGTAACCCAGTTTTCTCATCTGTAGAAGAGAAACAAAAATAACTAGTTTATAGACTTGTAAGATTATACAGGTTAATATTTACAAAGCATGTAGAGTAGTATTTTGACCACCGTATTAATAAGTCAAAAGCATATTTTAATATTTTAATATATGTGTTACTGAAACATGTTCCAGAAACTAGTTGAGGTAGTGCTACCTTTTTAACAAATTTAAAAAAAATTTTTCCTAGATTTTTGAGACAACCTGTCTGTCACTCAGGCTGGAGTGCAGTGGTGTGATCATAGCACACTACAGCTTCAGACTCCTGGGCTCAAGTGGTCCTCCTACCTCAGACTCCTGAGTAGCTAGGACTACAGGTGTGTGCCACCACACTAGGGTAATTATTAAATTTTTTGTAAAGACAGGGTCTCACTGTGTTGCCCAGGTTGGTCTCAAACTCTTGGCCTCGAGCTATTTTCCTGCCTTGGCCTCCCAAGTGCTGAGATTACAGTGATAGTTGTAATTGGTTTCAACATGCTAAATATGAAGGACCAATTTTTAACATCCTTAACACCCCTTATATATTCATGTTTATTCTCCTTTTACAATATGATAGAAAATATAATCATGTTCAAATTTGTAATTTTTGGTTTTAGTAGTTTTTCTTTCATAATTTATTCTTTACACATATTTTTTTCATTTGCAGTACTATGTATTGTAAAGTTGTCAAAATAAAAATAGAGGTACAAATATTCTTTATTCTTTTAATTTATTTTCTTTTTTAATTTCCAACTTTTAAGTTCAGGGGTACATGTGCAGAATGTGCAGGTTTGTTACATGGGTAAACATGTGCCATGGGGGTTTACTGCACAGGTCATCCCATCACCTAGGTATTAAGCCCAGCATCCATTAGCTATTCTTCCTGATGCTCTCCCTCCTTCCACTCCCTGACCTCTGACAGGCCCTGGAGTGTGTTGCTCTCCCCATGTGTCCATGTGTTCTCATCATTCAGTGCCCACTTATAGGTGAGGACACATGGTATTTGGTTTTCTGTTCCTGCATTAGTGTGCTAAGGATAATGGCGCCCAACTGCATCCGTGTCCCTGCAAAGGACATGATCTCATTCCCTTTTATGGCTGCATAGTATTCCATGGTGTATTTGTACCACATTTTCTTTATCCTTTCTATCATTGATGGGCTTTTTGGTTGATTCCATGCCTTTGCTATTGTGAATAGTGCTGCAATGAACGTACATGTGCAGGTGTCTTTATAATAGAATTATTTATATTCCTTTGGGTATATATCCAGTAATGGGATTGCTGGATTGAATGGTATTTCTGCCTCTAGATATTTGCGGAATCGCCACACTGTCTTCCACAATGGTTGAGCTAATTCACACTCCTACAAACAGTTTAAAATCATTCATTTTTCTCCACAACCTCACCAGCATCTGTTATTTTTTGACTTTCTAATAATGGCCATTCTGACTGGTGTGAGGTGGTATCTCATTGTGGTTTTGGTTTACATGTCTCTGCTCTTTGCCCCTTTATGGGAAAATTATGTGGGTTTTTAAAAACAAATTATTCTGTAAAGCTCTTTGACTTTAGCAATAATATACAATCACTCATGAAATAAATGGCAAATATTTTTGGAGCATTTTTCTTTTAAATCTTTTTATCATGTCATTAAACCATATATATATATAGATATATATATTTTCATTTGTGATCTCTCTTTTCATTTGTGATTTCACTTTTATCATTAGACATATTCTGATCTCAACATCAAAAATATATTCATTTGAATCTATTTTATGGCTTCAGGTTATTCAATTAATTATGCTAATCTCTCTGGAATCTGTGCAATAATAAGATATGAGATTAGAGCATACCTTAATTGTTTCCTAATTAAACAATTATCACAACCTCTCTGATATTTTATTTAATCATTATCATTTGTTTCTATCTTATCATGACTGTATCACTATCAATTCAATAACATTTCTGAAGGTAAAATAAAACTTCTTAACATTATTCTATCTTTGTAGAATATAATTTGATTTCTGAAAAGGATAATTTTTTTTCCTCATTCCTTTTTCTTTCCTTTTACTTTCATACTCCTTTCCTTACAAGGACATAGGCATGTGTCCTAATCCTGTCCATCTTACGACCTAAAGTTCAGTGTTCTGGAAGATTTCTGAAAAGATTTACATTCCTGATTAACAACAACAACAACAAAGGCAGAGAGAGAGAAGCAGACAGAGATCCACATTCTTAAATATTGGATTTGACTTAATTTTATGAGTATAGTATGCCAGGTCTACAGGATAGCTGTCCTGTGAACAGGAGAATAGTATGAAGCTGCCCCAGAATCCTGGAATTGTTGAGAAGCTGAAATATCTAACCCTTAAACCCCCTACTATAGACATCTTTTAATATTGGATAATTAAAACCAATAAAATATATCCAGCTTTTAAGAACATCCTAGCTGGTTTATTTACTGATTTTATTAAACTGACATGTCTTTATTGAGTCAACATTTGATTTAAATTTTCCCCTGATTTCTACCAAGTAAAGGCCAACATTCTTAGGTCAACATCAGGTTCTCTCTCTTATTTCCAGCCTAATTTCTGGCTATTTTTTTTGTGGAGTTGCATATTCAGATTTACCTCCTTTTCATTCCATATAGTTTTATTAGTCATCCAAATAGCCATTTCTAGCAGGGACATCCTTCCTACTCATTCCTTCCTATTGAAATTCTCTCTAGTCTTCAAGAACAGTCATGCATTCCAATAATTTGTGAACATACTTATCACAGCATAACTGAAATACAATTGTTATATTATAGAACATAACGGGGGTCCACTTGCTTAGCACAGTAAAACCAGGTATCTGTATGGAGTTTTGCAGCAAAAGAAGGAAAGGCATTTATTGCAAGGAACCCAGCAAGGAGGACCAGGCAGCTAAGTGCTCAAATCCTAACCTTCCCAATGGCTTGCAGGCAAGTGTTTTTAAAGGCAGTTATAAGTTTTAGGAAAGCAGAAGCTACAGGCAAAATAGTAAATCAGTACATGGAGATTACACACTGGTTTAGGCCTAAAAGGGCAGGATATCTTGAAGCAGGGATGGTGGTGCTTACAGGTCGTAGACAGATTCTAAGATTTGCTGATTTGCAATTAGTTAAGGAAGAGAAGTTTTGTTTAAAAATTTGGGGTCAGTAGAAAAACATTAACTGCCTGGGGGTGAGGAGTGATTTCTCCAATTCCCTCAGGAAGAAATTTAGAGAAAAAGACAATAGTTAAAGTTCATCTTCACTTCGCCCTTATCTGTGCCCGTGAATCCCTTTGGTGAAGGTCCTCATTGGGGGTCCAAGTTTCTGAAAGACAAGTCAGGGACATATGTTAAGATGCTATCCTTCGTTTCTATGAGGAAAGCAAGTATCTCCAGAACTCTAACTTCCTTGGCTATTGTTTTAAGCTACTATTACCTTCTTGTTTAACAAGTTACTTATTTAGTTCTGGGGCTAGCTTGGTACCTGAAGTTATCCTTAAGGAACTCAGG
This sequence comes from Homo sapiens, assembly GCF_000001405.40. Lineage (NCBI taxonomy): Eukaryota > Metazoa > Chordata > Mammalia > Primates > Hominidae > Homo > Homo sapiens. The sequence goes on along the minus strand of NC_000021.9, from coordinate 20,794,338 downwards.
ATTTTCTTTTATTTCCATGCTTTGGGGGCTTCAGGTTCCTCAAAAGGGGGTCCTTGCTCTATCTCACAATGTCTCTTTACCCTGAACACCAGCAACATCTGGCTTCCATCATTCAAATGACAATTTCACACAAGAGGACTAAAACCATTACACACAGACACTGTTTGCTGTCTAAACTAACATGAATTTACTACTCTACTGCCTGCAATTGACAAGAATTTAATTGTCCAAAAGTTTTTAACCCAGGAAGATGAAGATGTTGCAGGGGCCAAGGGAAAGCTTCCCCTTTGCCCTCTGAAGGTTCACTGAAAATGAACTGACGACAGACAGAGATTTATAAGAGAAAGGGAATACAGATTGATTTACTATGCAGAGCATGAGAAAATCACAGAAGAATGGTTATTCAATAACCCAGTGAGCTCCAGATGCTTTTGCACTCTCCTTCATAGGGCAAGAGGAGATAGGTGAGGCATGTAGGCATCAATGATTTTCAGGGGAAATGAATAAGCCCAAAGAACAATGACATGAGACAAAATATTTCTCAGCACTGAAGGAGGTGGCAGGTAGGTGAGGGGCTAAACTTCACTGGGAACAAAGGTTTTCTTATTATGCAGATAAAGCCTCCCAGGTAATCTGTCAGTGAGATGCTCCAAGAAGAATAGATACAAATATGTCTGGGAATGGTGAAAACTCCTAGTCTTCTCTTCTTCTGTGGGTAATCTTTCCTAGTTATTTGATGAGATCCCTAGAGAGGTGATGTTAAGGCAATAGCATTTTTTTTGGAAAGAAGTTTTCTTAAAGAAATTCCAAGAAGGGTTTATCTTGCTGCTTCCATAAAGAAGATCAGAGAGACAGGGAGGTAGGGGAAGGTCAGAGAGAGACCTCGAAACTGCTTGTTTAGCTCAGCATGTCAAAGTGTCACACTTGTGAGTATTGTTTTCTGAGCCAGCACTGTAATAACTTTATGATTTGCTTAAAAACTTCCTGACTGTCCATTTATCTGAACAATAGACAAGTCTACTTTACCTCCTCAGAACAACATATCCTCAAATCAGCTGAATAAACAAATCTTTACAGTTCCAAATTTACTTAGAGCTGTTCTTTCATTGTGCCTATGAATTCTAAAATGTCATATAACAAACTTTGCCCAGTTCCAAACAGGCCCTGTGCGTTGGAAACTCTGGGGAAATATAAGTAAAACAAAATCATCTCTCAACTTAGAATTTCTTTCTTCTTTTTTTTTTTTTTGGACAGAGTCTTGCTCTGTCACCCAGGCTGCAGTGCAGTGGTGCAATCTCAGCTCACTGCAAGCTCCACCTCCTGGGTTAATGCCATTCTCCTGCCTCAGCCTCCCGAGTAGCTGGGACTACAGGCACCTGCCACCACACCCAGCTAATTTTTTGTATTTTTAGTAGAGACAGGGTTTCACCGTGTTAGCCAGGATGGTCTCGATCTCCTGACCTTATGATCGGCCCGCCTTGGCCTCCCAAAGTGCTGGGATTACAGGCATGAGCCACCGTGCCCAGCCAGAATTCCTTTCTTCAAAGGTAGTAGGGAAAGACACAACTTTTATTATTGAATAAGCATTGAACAAGAATGTGATGTGCATTACAGACAATCCATTAAAAGATTTCAAAGACAAAAAGAAATCTCACCCTTTTATATAGTCAAGAACACACATATCATTATATACACATACTCCTTGACTTCTAATGGGGTTACGTTCCAATAATTCATCATATGTTGGAAACATTATAAGTCGAAAATGCACTTAATACAGCTAACCTGTTAGCAGTGGTGAATCTGTATGGGTCTGCAGCAATCTCAATTCTTGTATCCTCAGAAGGAAGAATTCCACTGAGGGGCACGGGCAGAGTGAAAGATGTAGGCAAGTTTTAGAGCAGGAGTGAAAGTTTATTAAAAAGCTTTAGAGCAGGAATGAAAGGAAGTAAAGTACACTTGGAAGAGGGCCAAGTGGACAATTGAGAGATCGAGTGCAGTTTGACCTTTGACTTGGGGTCTTGTACATTGGTAATCTGTATACGTAGTGGCCTTCCAGCACTTGGGAGGAGCCGCATGTGCAGTATATTAACTGGAGTTGGACGCATGCTCACTTGCGGCATTCTTCCCTTACTAGTCAAGTAGAAGAAGGCCATATACCAGTTAAATGCCGCCATGTTGCTTCTTAGTGCACATGTTTGAGCCCACTCACCCAGCTCCTGATATCTCATCAGAAAGCTGCTGATTACTAGTTTTAGGTGTTTCTATCTTTTGGGAGACTGCCTTTCCCTGGTTCCAGCTGTGACCAATTATTATGTTAGTGAGATCATGTAACAACCACCTGACCATCACCTGATGGTCATTTGACATTCCTGTTTGGTGTTTGGGGGGACCTCTCCTGCCACACTTATGTCTGACTAGCTACCTACTGAATCATAGCCTAGCCTAACCTACCTTAAACATGCTCATAAAACATACATTAGGCTACAGACAAAACATTTTATGACAAAGCCAACTTTATAATAAAGTGTTGCATATCTCATGCAATTTATTAAATACTGCAGTGAAAGTGAAAAACAGAATGTTTGTATGAGTATTCACCATTAATATACACATAGTAAAGTCAAAAAATTGTCAGTTGAACTGTTGTAAGTCAGAGAACGTTTCTACATGTTTCAAGATAAACAATAACTAGTTCTGAAATCAGAGAACTTGACAGCATGATTTGTCACACAGAGTTCTTCTTGACTTTACTTGATAATTGGGGTGACCTTTAGATAAGAAGAAACAAACTTTTCATATCTTCATGACAAGAGGTAGTTTTGCAACTTGGAACAAGGTGCCCACTAAAGATATTCTCCTAACTTTCCACAGAAGCTGGGAGAAGGTGGTGCTACCTTTCAAAGAGACGGTTCTTGGTCCTTTAGAAATACAAACCTAGATCACAAAGCTGACAAAATGCCAATCTGGTCTTCAAAATGATATATATATACATTTCAAAGAGGGAAGTAATTACTTAAAATTACATGTTTTATAAACAAAATACTCAAAGTAAAAGGAGGGAAGGGAAATTTCTTTCCTTATTTTCAACATGGAAGATTATGCCTCTTACTTTTAAATTGTGTCTGTCCTTAGAAAAGACTCATCTTAAATGAGATCTTCCATATCTTTTGAATATACTACCATTGATGTGTCCCATCTGCAACTTTACTAAGATGGTCAAGGTAGTGGTTTCCCCTATTGCAGAAGGAGTCAATTTGAATTTGATTTATACGCTGGTTATTTTGATGGTATTTTTAGCATCAACTGCTGGAAATAAACAACTACTATCTTATATTAATTTTTGAAACTATCATATACCCTCTAGTAGACTGTAAGATCCTATAAGGTAGAAAGTATTTTTTTGTAAATTTATATTTTATTTTAATTTTCTCTTGTGGTTAACATACCCTATACTCACTTGACAATCAGTGAATAAACAAACTTTCTTTAGTAGTCACAACAATGCTGTGTCTATATTTTGTGATGTGAATAGGATAAAATTAACTGACTCTGTGGTAGACAATTTGTAATTATCTTTCATTGCTCTGAACACAATTTAATCATAAATACAAACAAAATAGTGTCTCTCATTTAGTGCAAACTGAGAAAAATGACTGAAACAATCAATTACAACATATCTTCCATAAATTAGTATTATTTTTTCATATCTGCAGTAAAATACATGCAAATTGCCTGATTTAACAGACAGGAATTACTAGATTTCTTAATGTACTTTTCAAATTACTTTTCACTCATTATGCATCCTTTCTAGTTCTTGACTGGTTCTTCATTTTCTAAAAGAATATGCTTTTTATAAAGCACTTCAGAGATGCATAAGTCTGCATTCCTCTGAAAATGACCTCCCAGAAGAGATGTTTTGGAGAGATGTCAAGCCATTTTCATTCCTAATTAACCCCCTACCCAGGCATTGTTACAGTTTCTCAATCATCATAAATACCACAGATCTCTTCTTTTCTTTAAACATGCCAGAGAGCAAGGGGTCACGCTGTTACTAGACAAAAGCAAGATGCTAATACAAAGTTAGCCATGACCTTTATCCTTTATCAGAGTCATCAAGCAGTAGTTACTTCAAGATCACAGATGAAATAGCAATGCTCAAAGTGGTAATAAAAACTATGTTCCAATTAGAAAAAAAAGGGTAGTACAATTTTTTATTTGATACTTTCACTTAACTTGCAGGAAGCTTACTGAAATTGCTCAAGAACAGGTTAGGAAGTTTATTTGACCTATGCATTGCAATTATCATATATTCCAAGATAGGCAATTAGAGTGGGCTAGTAAAGAGTTTGCATTCAATGAAAATATCACTCTTAAATGAAATAAGGCATTTACTTAATTCCAAAAATACTTGGCAGAGTTAGTCACATGTTTTTTGCCTATGTGCTAGACGTTCTCCTGAGTCATGTTTGATTTTGTAATTCTAAAATTTAGCAACCTTTCCATTTCAGCCAGAAACCTTTTCTTCAACTTAGGTAACTACTTCCAGATGAATTAATGATGCCTGCAATTCTTCCCAGATATTAAAAAATAGGAAGAAATTGACAAGCATACTATGCTTTATTATATTGTTAAACATAAATAAACAAATTAATTACGATTAAAATATAAACATTAGGAAGATGTACTGTCTATGCTCAGAAAGAGAATGATCCCTTGTCTCTTCATTATAAGGGTCACAGCCAATGCTTCTCTAACAAAAGTCAGGTTAACAACAGAAAAGCATAACAAATTTATTAACGTGTATAAACATGATGGCCATATAAAAAAGTTGCAAACTCAGGGAAGGACCAGATAATTGACACTTAAATACCCTTTTCATTGAGGTGAGGAAAGTGGGGAGATTGTAAATGAATGAACCAAAAGACTAGACAATGGTTTGTAAACAATTTCTCTTTGGATGCTGAATGGGGCCAAAGGACAAATAGCAGCTTCAGACAAGTTACAGGAATGTGAGGGGCAGAACTACATTGTGAACCAAGGTTATCTTATTATGCAGATACATTCTTCCAGGTAATCTCTAGGAATTACCCTCAGAAAAATAGAGGAAAAGCCTATCTGGTCATGATGATAATTTCCAGTTTCTTCTCTTCACCACTGGTTAACCTTTTCTGGTTATTTGATGAGATACATAGGAAGAGGTCTTAAGAAAATTGCATTTCTTTTGGAAAGAAGTTTCCTCAGTCAGATAAGGTAGTGTTCAGAGAGAACCCCTCCTACTTCTATGGAAAAAAAAAAATCAGAGAGATGGGGAGAGAGGAGAAGCTTAGAGAGAGCTGTTGATCCTGAGGCTTATTTCTGAGGTCTTTCAATTTTCTTTATTCCAAAGTACTTAGCATGTCAAAGCACCATATTTAGGGTTATCATTTTCTGAGCCAAGATATTTTTTGCTGAGAGTGTATGTAATAAGGTTACCTAAATTAGTCTGAAACTTGAGTAAAAGTTTCATAGAAAAAGTGACATGGGTTTTGAGAAATAAAGATTGAGGCAATATTAGTGAGACAAAGTGTGGTGAACCTGTAATGTTCCAGCAGTTGGAGACTCTGTGATATGTGAAAATTTCCAGGAACGAAAAGAAGACCCAAAGGACCACTCGATGTGTGGCATGGAATACATCTAGCGAAAGATACAAAGACAAGGCTGTACAGGACATTTCAGGTTGATATAAAATCTTTGCTTGGCCAAACTTCAGCCAGCCTTCTCACTCTTATGTTAGGCCCATCTGTAAAATCCAGTTTTAGCAAGAACCCAGCTAAGTCAGTTTAGCAAGAACACTAATCCTTGATATCTGATCAAGTTTCTCATCTTCCACTCTCCCCTAAGTAATGTCTAATCACCCCGGCCTGTCTTCAGCAAAAATTCTGTTAAGTTTCTCAGTAAAACTGACCCCCACCCTGCTCCTTGCTATAAATTCCCACTTGCCCATGCTACATTCTAAGTTGAACCCAATCTTCTTCCTCCACTGCAAGATTCTGTTGCAGTGGTCCGTATACTTATCATGATGGTCCTGAATAAAGTCATCCTTACTTTGCTCTAACAAATATCATTAAATAATTTATTTTAGTAAGATTATATGGAGGAGGGCATATATCTTACAAGCAAGGAAAATGTCTGAAAGTTCTAAATAGCACTTGATGAGTCCTGTTAAAGAAAATCAGAGCTGGACAGTAGTCAAAGTGGTGAAGTCAGATTTACTCAGAGCTATTGCGATAGGGAAAAGGGACCTCGGTTTAGAACTGGGCCCAAATCTGAATATAATAGGAAGAGTGGGGATTCATAGCCAAGTGGGTCAGGGTTGGTGGATCAAATATTTATAAGCAGAAACATTATGCCTAAGGGGAGACTCTGGCTCTACCAATTAGGTGGATTCTTTGCTGAAGGCAGGGCAGGATGATCAGAAAACGCTCAGGAAGTAGTGTGGGATGAGAACTTTGATCATATACTGAAAGTGATCAGGTATCAAGGGTGATGAAGTTTCCTAAGCTTTTTTTTTTTTGAGATAGGGTCTCGCTCTGTCACCCAGACTGGAATACAGTGGCACAATCATAGTTCACTGCAGCCTTGAAATCTTGGGCTCAAGGGATTCTCCCACCTCAACCTTGCAAGTAACTGAGACTATAGGTTGTGTGTCACCATGCCCTGCTAATTTTTTATATTGTTTTTAAGACAGGGTCTCATTTTGTTGCCTAGGCTCTTATTTAACTTCTGGGCTTAAGCAATCTTCCTGCCTTGGCCTCCTAAAGTGTTGGGATTACAGGAGTGAGCCACCACACCCAGCCAAGATTCTTGCTACAGTTGAGCTATGCAGGCTCAATAATCATCGATCCTAAGGTTAAAGCCTAGAGGGCTTACAGGAGCTTGGCAGAGTTTGGTCAAGGGTAGTCTTTGTTGGTACTAAAATATCTGATATGTGTTTTAATAAGGTATTAATTTAAAGATATATAAGCATCCAAACACTAAATAGAAATTATAATACTGGAATTTCACATATTTCCTCCACGGAACAGGATCAGGATAAATGGTAAGAGGAGTAGGCAGGTATCAGGAAGATGTAGGAAGGAATTTTCTGAGTTGCATGGCTAGCTCTCTGGAAATATCTCTTTTTGAGTCAGGAACAAGCATTTGAAGGGGGCTCCTGAAAATCTAAATGCATTTTGTCTATTGTAGTATTACACAATGAAAATCCTAAATTCTATTACTAAGCACATTAAACCAATGCAGTGTATTTTTAACACTCACTGCCTAGATAAGTACTCTAAAAATTACTTTTTAGTTCATATATATGTAAATATCTATATGAGGCTTAAAGTAGCATTGTTAGTTTTCAAATGTAGTTTGCTAAGCCAATCTCAGATTTACAGTTGGACAGAAAAGGAAAACATAAACAGCTCATTTTTCTGTAAAGTAACATCTTAATCTAGAGAACTGATGCCACTCAGTTGGAGATAAAAAAAAATAAGTAAATTGAATCAATGAATCACTGAATTATTGAAATGAGCCACATTGTCAAATACTTTAATGTCTGTCCATATTAAAACTCCTTTTTGTAGCAATAGATAAATTTGCATGTTTTAGAAGATGAGTTCAATGGTCAAAGGCATAGAGAGTTTACAGGTTAAATAAAAACGAACATACAATTCTCTATTGTAGGCTACTTACTATCTATAAGTATTATTACATTATTATTAACTAATGTAACTGTACTGAAAGTTATTTCTCAGAAAAGGAGAAGGAAAAATTGCTACAATGTTCACCTGTCATTTTGAAATAAACTCTTGTTCCCCAAACTTTGGCTCTGGTGACATTAAAATGGAAAGAAATGTCACTGATTTCTCTTCCCTCTGGACTATGTGTCTTAGGTCACATAGTTCAAATATAGCCTTTCTCAGTAGCTGACAGTGCTATTCTCTTACTGGATAAGATACTACTACTACAGTTACACAAACTAATATATACTTAAATTGAGGTGTAAAAATCTAGTTAAACACTGGAGATAACGGTAATATTGCTTTCTGCCACTTTATTACTGTTTTTTCTATGTTCAGATCAATATTGACACCAATTTCCAAGCACACGAACTCAGAGTCAATGAAAGCTTAAAAGATTTCACATTGACAAATCAGATATGAACAGGTACTAACAAATTGCAATATGAACATGAAAACAGTGGAAATATGCTTCCTTTTCTAGATCCTATCTGCGACAATTAAGAGCACTCTAAGAGGAAAACACATCCCACCACAGTAAGTCATAAGACTACAGAAGCTAGAAACATATGAATATAATATAGGCTGGCTATGCTATATTACTGTGCGTTTCATAAAGCCCCAAGATTGTGAATCTTACCAACTTACTTAGTGTTTTAATCTATTTCTTTTTGTTCTCCCTTATGCGGTTGGCTCTCTAATCAGAATTATTTCTGTATTTTGTCTCTAACAGGCCAACTTTATACCTAGTCCCTTGCCTTTGCAATTGCTCTTATTTTTGCTTCAAATATATTTTGCTTCATTTCCTTCTTATTTAGATGACGATTCTTCACAATATGGCTTAGGTTTCACCTGTTCTACCAAATTGTTCCTGATTATTTTTTTCTTTACTGTAAAAGGAAGCATTCATTTTTGTTATAGTAAAAAAACTCTATGTGTTTATATATGTATTGACTGAAGGTAAGTTAGAGGTTAACTCTGGGTTAACTGCGGTCTACTGGATTAGGCTGGATTTCACTGGACTGATTGTCTCCATATATCTTCTAGTTCCAGAACACAATCTAGGACTGACTACTATCTGGGACCTATTGCTCTTAAGGCAAATGCTTGAAATATATTACATAGTTGCACCCAAAGATCCTGCTGAACTGTCCTGTTAAATGTCAGGTCTACTCTTATTTCACTCCCAAACGAGTAATTTAATCAAATTGCAGTAGTAAAGTATACTTCACTTTCTGGGAGATACTATTATGTAATACTCTTAAAGAAGAGAGAATCAATATTCAAATAATAATGCCAATTACCCCTATCTGTGCTCTTGATGGCACATAATTGATTTCTCCCTGCATGAAAAATACACTCAGTACTTCCCTAGGAATAAAGCAAATGGCTCTTTCAATCAAGACATTATATGTGAGGTCCTGTAGTTCATTATCTCAATCGGGCGCAGATGCAGCTCTTTTTGATCTGGAAACATGAAATAATAATATAAGTGTATTCTCTATCTATTCCCAATATTTGATTGTGAAACAGGGATACTAAAATAAACATTCCCAGTCAAATAGAGGAAGAAGAAGTGATACTCAAAGTCACTGCTTCTTTGCAATTAATCCCCCTGTGACAATTAAAAGTCTGCCATCTCTGAATGTAGGAAATGTTTCCTGATTGGACTCCAGTCCCAGTCCCTGCCTGTTGATTACCCATCCTTGTTTCTCAAAACTTTATTTCTTCTCTCTGAGAGGTCTTCTTTTTTCCTCACCTTCCTTGGCCATATCAGAAAGGCATATGGAGCATATGTCAATCATGGTAGGTGAGCAACTTTGCCTGTTTTCTGCCATTAGGAAATTGAGGGCCTAAGGATTGTTTTGCCTTCTAATTATAGTCCCTTTTAAACTAGGCTTATAGCATTTTTGAAAATATATACCTTGCAAAACCTTGTTGGCTTTTAGCTATTTGATTTTAGTCAGCTCCTTATGCCAATAGTGACACCCACAGTTCTTTTTGAGACATATGACATCTCTTGTCTAAACTTTGTGATAGGTATGGTGATCTTAACAGGCTTCTTTGGGACCACATATCTGGTCTCTTTCCCTTGATCATAAGTAAATGGGAAATCTTAGCAAGGAGCTTGATGACCTCTCACCACTGCTGCCTTGATCTGATGTTTGTCCCAGAGTTTGTCTTCATTGGCTTTTGTGGCTCATGTCTTTTCTCAAGTTTACTTCTTACTGATTGGAGTTGAGTGCATCTTTCAAATGTACAAGTCCTGAATTGTGTGGATTGTCTTCCTGTCTCTTTCATCTCTGACTGCCCACAGCTTAACTTTTTTACAAACCTGTCTCCTTCCTGTGGTATCATAGCAAACACAGCCAGTAACAAATCTAGGAACACAAATTCATGACATCCATTACGTATTTTTATGATAGGCAACAGTCTTATCAAATATTTTGGCTTGAATACCTGGATTGTCATTTGTCTAAACTTCGTTCAGGGTTTTCACACAGCCTGTCAGTCAGCCCAAAGGCAGTCACACCTATTGATTTTATATGTGCTATGGTAGCACTCTTACTGTTGTATTAACTTCTGTATGAGTCCTGCGATTACAACAGTCTGAAAATATCAGCATTTTACAACAACACTTATGTCTCACTCATGGTACAATAAGGATGACAAGTTGGCAGCTGTGCCGCTCAGCTCTGTTCCCCGTGTCTTCCCATTCTTGGAATGAATGAAGCCGCCCCTATCTGGAACATGGTATTCTGTCCTGGAAAAATACAGAACTAAGAGAAGGGCTGAGTCAGACCATGCAGTCATATTTAAAAGTCTGTTCTGACATAAATATCACATTCACTCACATTCCATTGATCAAAGCACACTGCATGATAAAAAGCTAAAAACCACTGAGATAAGTGCATAATTTCTTCCCACAGAATGTCTGAAAAAGTTGTACGATAGTGGGTGGGAATGTATAAGTCTACTATGAGAGAGTATATATGGTACAATAATCTATTCAATCACTATTTCCTTCGATGTTATATCTCTTTATGTTTCAAATTTTGCATTCTATTTTACTTAAAACTTTTGTCCCAGGTTAGTACATGTTGGCTTCCCAAATAGATTGTGACTACTTTGATGCTAACTCTGTATCTTCTACAACTTTTAGTATATTTCAGAGACTACAACACATTTATTTTCCATGAGGATTTATCAGTTGTATTCCAGTCATGTTGGTGGATGAGCTCAATATCCCTGAAGGAGTTCTGCTTACACATGGAGGACCAGTTGCTTCTCAAATATTCTGGTTCATAAAATATTAGAATTACTATGTTCTTATCAGTTCCACAAGGATAGAGGTGAAATAAAAGCTAACTGATTTTTTTTTGGAAGCCTATATATTTTTTTGTTTTAAAAATTGCAACTGAAAATAGACTGTTTTTGTTTTAAAACATAGAAACTATGTTTAGTAAAGTCTTGGAAAATATAAATAGTGAGGAAAATACATTAATAAAATTCATGGAAAGATAACATAAAATATTTTATACAAAAACGTTTTTGCCCACAATGTCAACTATTTGCATTCCTGTTACAATGGAATGTTTGTTTAGAACTACAGAAAAGCTTTTTTTCAATGATATAACCATGTGGATTTGTCGTACCTGATTTTTTGTTGGTAAACTTTAGTTTATGCATTCAAGTGATAAATTGTTATTATGCATATAGCTTTGTGCAGGAAATATTTTGGTCATATATGGATAAAAATGGAGTCTTAGTTTAATAATTTAATTATCTACAAATAAGCTACATAGCAAAAAATGTAAATAATAAAATTTTATTAAACATAAAATTAGAATTATAACAAAATAATATGTACCACTTAGGAGATTTAGGCTAAAGTGACCCACCTGAGGATACAAGAGAAAGTATTACATGAGGAAATCGGCGCTGAGAAGGCTGGCCTCTGTCCACCCCTGTCTTTTTTTTTTTTTTTTTTTTTTTGAGATGGGGTCTCTCTCTGTGCCAGGCTGGAGTGCAGTGGCGCAATCTCGGCTCACTGCTGTTATATATAAAGTTTCGGTGCTGCAAAAGAGATATCCTCCTAATATAAAATGTTCTTTTTGATTTTCAGCAAGGCAAGGTACTTCTATGGAAGGGTGAGCCCTCACAGATGGAGCAATGGGGCGCGCACACCTGAACAAGGGAGGGGAAGGAGTTCTTATCCCTGATGCATGTGACCCCTGCTGCTGTGTCCTTCCCCTATTGGCTAAGGTTAGACCACACAGCCTAAACTAATTCCGATTGGCTAATTCAAAGAGAGCGACGGGGGTGAGTGCTTTGGCGGGAAAAAAATGGTTACACAGGGTGGAGAATAATGAGACAGGGTGGAGCAGGTAGCAGGTAACCGGAATGAGTTATGGTGGAGCAGGTGATCAGGTGATCGGAATGAGTCACGGTGGAGTAGGTAATCGAAAAAGGTTGCTTTACGAGGAAGTAAAGTTTAAAAGTAGAAGGCAAAAAATTGCACATACTGACATATTAATTCTTTGAAGAGAAATTTAGAATTCATATTTAACACTGCAACCTCCATCTCCCGGGTGCAAGCGATTCTGCTGCCTCAGCCTCCCGAGTAGCTGGGACTACAGGCGCCCTGCCACAAAGCCCAGCTAATTTTTTGCATTTTTAGTAGAGGCGGGGTTTCACCATTTTAGCCAGGATGGTCTCGATCTCTCGTAGCAGGTTGTTAACGTTAAGTTATTGTAAACCACGGAGATACTCAAATTTGTCAATCATGTTTCTGACTGTAACTATTTTAGACATTTTGTTATCCACAGAAAATTGTTGTCTTATTTTTATCCTCTTTAAAAGATGATTTATAATCAGCTATATAATTTTGACACGTGCTCTCAAACGCAGGCTTCTGACAGCTTTGGAGATTGTGACATTGGAATAAAGGAAAAACGTACAGGACTCATGAAGCGCTGAAATGTTCACAAATATCAAGCAAAGTAAGAGTTAACTAAACAGACTAAGCTAATATAAAACTGAAGTAATCTTTTTGACACTTGCTTGGAACATTGCTGATCCTTATTTTCTTTTTCAGAGTCAATGAAATTTATTTTGAGCTATTTACATCATTTAATAATTGAGCAAGGTATACTCCTATGAACAAAATTTGGAGCATGTTTGTCTCTCTCTGCCTGGCGTCTTCAGAATTTGGAAACTAGTTGTAAGTATTCCTAACTTACGGCAGTATAGTCATTTGCATCAGTACAATAAGAATCCATTTTCTTTTGCCCACCTCGGCCTCCCTAAGTGCTGGGATTACAGGCCTCAGCCACCGGGCCTCAGCCCCAACCCTGTCTTTTCTGTGGCATTTTTCTTCCTTTTTTCGGGACAGACAGGCGAGCAGTGGCTTCTCGTCCCCCTCCCCTTCCAAGGGCCCCAGACAGCAAGCTGGCCAGCATTCCCCACCACTTACCCACGGAGTCTTCCCCTCCCCTGGCGCAGGGGTCCAGCTCAGTCCAAGCCCCAGAGAAGAAACAGCAATGAAAGTTTCCTCTCCCTGGTGGAGAAACTCATTTGCATAAGAATAGAGGTTCTTCCCCCAGGCATCTTTCCAGCACTCCATTTAAGTTGTCTTGTTTTTGTTTTTTCTTTTCTCCACCAGGTCAGGAGTTAACTTTTATGTGACAAGCTTTACTAGGTCAGGAGCCTATCGCTGTTTATATTCTCTGCAAAGTTTTAATTGTGAAAAAGGATTTGAGGTTGGTCTTAAGCTGTAGTCAATTTGATGTGCTTTGCATGTCTTTCTGTATGGTTCTGTCAGAAAGAGGGTTACCTTAGGATGGAATGCAGGCATAGGACTCCATTGGCCCATTGTTCAAGCCAGTCCCGCAAAATGCTCAAGGAGCTGTTGGCTTAAGGGCAAACTTTACTGCAGGCCTCCATCTTGTTTTGCGTCCTTGGAAGCATGACTGTAACCAAAGGGCAGTGCTTTGTTTTTGCCTCTTCCATTTTACAATGGCAGCCCAGGTTCAATCCTGGCTTAGAGAATGAGTCCTTTCTGGTTTGATATCTGTGTGAACTTTGCCCTTTGTTGATTCTCTTCCCCGCCACAAGCCACCTTGAATTTTCCTTTCTATGAGCAGTTGGGATGTTACTTTTGGTAAAGTTCAAAAGCCAGAAATATTGGCCGCTTGGCATGGCTAAAGTCAGGTAATAACGGATTTAAAAGGATTTTCTTAAAGAGTGCTCAGCTTAATTAAAAGTGGATATCCAAATATTAGGTATACTTAAAAGGCCTTTATGTTTTTCTCTTCTTGGATCTTGCTTTGCTTGTAAAAGGTTTTTTCTCAGTCACTGGAAAATTCCATCCCTGAACACATGTGCAGTAAGGGAAATAAATCAATGTGAATGGCTCAGACTAAGGGCCCACCTGCACACTGGGAGAATGGGTTGGAGCCACCAGGAATTTGCGCCTTATGCAGAGGGGAGGAGCCTGGCCTCTTCTGCTCCTGTGTGGTGGCCTGGTAACCATTTTGCCTTGCCACTGTTAATGCACACATCAGAGGCCCTATGGTAATTTCTGATGGCCTGGGACTCTTTGGGAAAAGCAGAAAAGGTACCACAGATTCCATTTTTGGAGAGACCTCTGTTTTCCTCATGGAGCCCCCAGGAATTAGAGGCAGATGGATCCTTCTCAAAATCTGTTTTTGTCTTCCAGCTATACCTATTTATTAGGCAATAGAAACCACATGCTTCTTTAGCCTTGCTCTTATAGGGCTCAACCCAGAGGCCAATAGTACAATTAGCCAACTGGCAAATAAAAAATCTTATAGCTACTGGATCTTCTTCTGCCTGTCTCGGTAGTTATATAAGTGTTGTGTGCATGGTGTGTATTTGAAAAAAGCTCTAATTAATTGACTTAAAGAAGGATAAGTTCTTGGATCTAATATTATTTAAAGGAAAGGTAAAAGCTCTGGTACCTTTTAGTTCACGTGACTTTAATCTTTGAGAACTAAAAACAGCCTTAAAGATTATTGATAAAATGCAGATGTCATCAAAATATGAATTTTTGCCTAGGATTAAGGTTTGTTTTGAATTAGATAAGGTAAAGTTAAAAGTTCAAACAATTTTTAGAAGAATTGTGAAAGTTAATATTGAAAAAGAAATTCTGTGTGCAAACATATTGACTAAATTCAAAAGGGTATTACATGCCATTTCCATAAACTGAGCATTGAAATAAAAGCACAAAAAGGCTCTCTTAAGGCACTAATCTGCTCTTTAGCAAAGTTTGTAATGGGTTATAAAAGGTTTTTGCTTTTTTAAAATTTTCAAGTCAACATTTTGGAAAAATAAATAACTTACGGTAATCTGGAATTCTATTTCATAACATCAAGTGTTTTAAGCCTCTAACATTTAAGAGTCTTCCTAAAATTGAACTTCAGTTTCAAAAATTATCTTTCCTGACCCCTAGCTTTTGTTGCTACAGAGGGCCCATGGAGCATTTAGAGGATAGGTAAAAAGGATTATTTGACACGTTTAGGTACATGGGATTGCCAAAATGATGTTTAATCTTCTTCAGGTTATATTTTAGGGAATAATATTAATATGTGTTCCAAAATTGTATGGGATATCTAAAATTCTAAGGTGTGAGTGTATGCTGTCAATCACAATTAAGGTTGTTACGTTAAGTTATTGCAAACCACGGAGATAATCAAATTTCTTTGTCAATCATGTTTCTGACTGTAACTATTTTAGACATTTTGTTATTCACAGAAAATTGTTGTCTTATTTTCATCCTCTTTAAAAGATGGTTTATAATCAGCTATAGAATTTTAACACGTGCTCTCAAATGCAAGTTTCTGATAACTTTGGAGATTGTGACATTGGAATAAAGGAAGAGCTGGAATGTTCATGAATATCAAGCAAAGTAAGAGTTAACTAAACAGACTAAACTAATATAAAACTGCAGTAATCTTTCTGACACTTGCTTGGAACATTGCTGATCCTTGTTTTCTTTTTCAGAGTCATGGAAATTTATTTTGAGCTATTTACAGCATTTAATAATTGAGCAAGGTATACTCCTATGAACAAAATTTGGAGCATGTTTGTCTCTCTCTGTCTGCCTGGCATCTACAGAATTTGGAAACTAGTTGTAAGTATTCCTAACTTATGGCAGTATAATTGTTTGCATCAGTACAATAAGAATCCACTTTCTTTTGCAACAGGATGCAATTGGAGAAACTGGTTGTTTTACCAAGGCTTTGACTGGAAGGATATGCTTCCCTTTAAGAAACCAAGCTCAACTTACAGAGCTGATAAAACCCCTTTGGGAAAACTGGCCTCATACCTTGTCTACACAGTCCCCATGCAGGGTTCCTAACGTGTGGTGAGTAAAGCATGTCACTTTCTAACAGGTCCAGGAACCCCATGTTCTTGGGACCTCAAGAAGAGTGGAGTTTACCAATTCACAGGTATTCGAGGGTAAAAACCCATGGGTGGTTTCAGCTTCAGGAAGTCCTATCTGAGATTCCTTGTGGAACAGCGTTCCATCAAAGCCAATTTAAAAAGCCTATGTCAAAATAATTATTCTTGCTACACTCTATGCAAATAAACAGGCCAAGTATAGGACTAAAGTTTATTTTGCAAACAGCTTAGTCCTATCATGATTTGTTTTTAACAAAGATGAAGACTGGAGAAAGAAATTATGTTTCAAAACTTATTATACATTTGTCATTAAATTCTAGACTCATTAGCTGTTTTAAAGTTATTGTCTACATTTTGGACTAACCCTGCTAATTTCTGTGAGCCAACCAGTGATCTCTGGCTGCAGCTCACAAGGAACAAAAGGGATAAGTAATGTAAAACTCTGGATCAATATTTTAATTCTGAGCAATTATTCTGCAAATCCAGTCAGGTAATGGGAATAAATAAGGTGCCCATCACCCAGAAGTTTCTTTTTTGGGAAAGTAAGACCAAGGGAACTAACCAAAGCAAAGCCCCATGCACCCGAATCTTAGCAAGCATAACTACAGCCACCAGTTACCTGGGCATGTCACAAGACATCCTTTTCTCTCCCTTGTTGGAGCACGACTCAATTCCACAGCCTCATCTCAGCATTTGGCTTATGTTAAGGAGTCCATGCAACCCCTGGAGACATATTTTTGTCTCAAACTCAATTCCTAGCTTCAGATCAAAGCCCTAGGAAAAAAACTTGCATCTGAGGGATCCAGAGGCAGATGATAACAGAAGTTAAAATGTACAACATAGGTGAGTATGACTAATTCCTGCCGATTGAGCCAAGCTTCCTGTTTCATGGATAAAGTTCATGCTAGTATCCATGGCATAAATAAGATCTAGGGAACTCGAAGGCTACTGACAGCAGAGGAGATAGGGTGTACATGGGTAAGAGCAGATATTCCCATCTCCTAAGCTCCCCTGTTAACATGGATGAAAGCTGCTTTGACACCCATGGGTGAAACTCTTGTCACAGTTGCCAGAACTCGGAGATGTAAGGACAGAAGAAAGAAAGAAGGGTGCCTCACTTTCTCACATACCCCAGGTATTCACTAGGAAGAGAAGGCAACCTGAGTTGCCTCATTCCCCTCTTTCTACATGAGTAGCCATCCATCTTCAGTCTGTACCACTTTCAAATGCATCCTGAACCCCTGAGACTCCTTTGAAAAAAAAAAAAAAAGCCTTCTTTTTTAGTTTCTCCTCCTCAGTTCTCTCTTCACAGATAGGTAATTGTGTCTCTGTACTATGGGACACTCCCCTCAGATGCATCCTCCAAACTGGGAAAAGTTAATTTCCCAAACATTAAACTGGTTGACTTAGGATTGGGCTCAGGGTAAGGGAACCCAGAAGCCTGACCTGCTGGCAAAAAGGGTAAAAGTGTTTTTTAATCAGTTGGGCTCTTGGACTCCCTCTCTCTGTGCAAACTGGTAAAAGTTCTCAAGATTTTCAAGCAGTCTTTACCTTGATCTTGTTTAATTTTTTTTCTTTTAGAGATAGAGTCTCACTCTGTCACCCAGGCTGGAGTGCGGTGGTGCAATCTCAGCTCACTGCAACCTCCTCCTTCCAGGTTTCAGCGATTCTCCTGCCTCAGCCTCCCGAGTAGCTGGGATTACAGGTGCATGCCGCCATGGCTGGCTAATTTTTTGTATTTTTTGTAGTAGAGACAGGGTTTCATCATGTTGGCCAGGGTGGTCTTGAGCTCCTGACCTCAAGTGATCTGCCCGCCTCGGACTCGCAAAGTGTTAGGATTACACGCGTGAGCCACTGCACCCCCTTGTTTTATTTTGATACATGTTTTTTAATGACCCGGTTTGTCTTTTCTTGCCTTCAGGCCATAAAACTCCAAACAGTCATGCAACCAGAGCCTCAGACAATGGCTTCTTTTGCCAGGGACCCTTGCTTAGGCCTCTGAGGGAGCTCTGACAGCTGTTTTCCCCAAACAGTGCCCCCTTTCAGCACGAAGCAGTTAAGATCAGTCTTCATCCTTATCCTTATTCTAACAGAAGTTAGATGTACTTCTTTAGAGAGGGGAATGATAGAGGCAGGAGGCAGATAAGAGAACCTGCATAGGGTCTTGCCTAAATATGCCCTTGGTGAAAAATTCTGTCCCTTAACACATGCACAGTAAGTGAAATAAATCAATGTGGAACAGCTCAGACTAAGGGCCCACCTGTGCACTGGGAGAGTGGGGTGGAACCACAGGAATTTGTGCCTTATGCAGTGGGGAGGAGCCTGGCATCTTCTGCTCACATGTGGTGGCCTGGCATTCACTCTGTGAGGTGGGAGTCTGCTGGCAAGACCCCCTCTTTTTTCCTGAGAACTTTCTTTTAATAAATTCTGTTCTCCTCACCTTTCAATTGTCTGTGGGCCTAATTTTTCCTGGTCATGAGACAAGAACCCAGATATTAGCTGAAAGAAGGAGCAAAAAATCCTGCATCAGATTGATTCTGGACATTATAATAAATTTGAATTGATAGTATATAAAGAATAAGTTGGGATATAGAAGAGATAAGCTTAGAACGCATGGGTAGGTACAACTCATGATTGGTTTGCAACATAACGTTGTAGAACTCAAAATCAACTATGTAAGATGCAGGGATAAATATAGCTTTTACTGTTCAAAATGTAACCTTTTTAGCAATGACATGGTTTTAGGGTTTATATTAATCATTGATAGGTTTTTATTAATTCAATGAGAGTAAAGGTACTTACTAGTAATTTCATTGAAAAATGACAGTATTTAAGAATCTAAGAAACTTTAAGATATTTAATAATCTGGTATGTGAGAATTGGAGGATTTTTTAAAAATAAGAAATATATATTAGTGACCTCTATGTGATCAAAAGTTAAACAGGTTCAAGAAGCTCCAAACTGAGCCAGAGTTGTTTAAAAATTTCCAAATAGCTCTTCAATTCATGAGCTTATCCCCCAAACCTTACCGATAAGCTATCAGTTTTGGGGCAAAAGTTTTCTCTTAGTTCAAACAGTTACACTTGAATCTAAAGTGCATATACAGGAGAGAAGCTTTATAATTCATTGACACATATTCTAAACAATTTTCCCCATCTAAATCAGGGAATCACTTTTGAAATTGTGATTGAATTACCAACAAATGACTCAGCAATTCTTGTAAGTGTGATTTTATTGAGTTGATGGCATGTCAGCCATGGAAAATTAGTACAATATCAACCTACCCACATATCAATCAAGTCTAATGCTGAAGACATTCAATCTCTTAAAAAATCAACAATGGAATTTTTTCTCAGCAGTTTTAAGTTTAATGGGTTTATATCTCTTGTTCAAGATGAAATAAATTATATTTTTGTTAACCACAAGTGAGCATATTTAGTTAATTAAGTAAATAAAATCTTCATGATCATCTTCAAATTCTCCCTAAAATCTGTTTTAAAGAGTATAAATATCAAAATGTTTATTTCTTTTTAAATTTTTTTCACAGCTAGCAGAGAATCTGATTTACAAACATAGAACACAAACTTCTATAATAAAGCACACAGAAGATGCCTAGTACACTTAGTCTTTTGATAAGAACCTAATTTTCTTGTACATTTCAGATGTCCCACTTGAGCTATTTCTAAATGCTTTTTACTTAAAGGTGGTTAAGACCTTCTCTTATTAGATAAACAAGCTAATCAGGCAAACACACACTTATTAAAAATAGAAATCAGGTGAAATAGAGTGGTCACGCAGATCAAATTTGCTGAGGGGTTACCTGTTAAATAACCTCATTTTTTGTCTTGGAAGTATAAGAGAGGCTGCCTGGTGATTCCACATTGCCAACCAAAATCTCACTGTGGGTCGATTTTCAGAGGCAAATAGAAAGTGACTTGAAAATGTCCGTTATTTATAAAGCCAGAATAATTGTTATTCAGTTTTTTGTTCTTTTACCATTAAGTTTTAGAAATGATTTATTGAGATTCATTTCTGGATATTAATAAAACATATCAATTTTTATATTATTTATAGGGACTGTTTCAAACGATTAATTAATTTTAAGATACTATAACACTTTTATTCCAAGGCTACTGTACAATGTTCCTCTTTTAAAAGTTCCTTAATTCAAAACCTTTTATTTTATAGTAGACTTTTTAATTGATCATGTGAAATATACAATGGATATGCTTACTGTATAAACATCTAATAATTGAAATTTAGAGGAAGAGTCAGATTGATTTAATCAGTAGATAATTTTTAAAAAGTAAATATAGGGAAAATGAGGCTTTTAAATTATAGGAAAATAAAGAAAGTTATGTGATAAATTAAATGATTAAAAATTTTTTATTTCCTCAAGTTTCCATTTAGTGGGTTAGAAACCAATTGCATCACTATCTTCTTTAACAGCTTTTCATTCTAATCCGTTAATTGAATAGATCCATTTTTTAAAATAATTACCTACTCAACCTTTCTGCTAGATAAAATATAAAGGCAAAAACCTCATCTCTGTAACAAATCTTTAGCAATGGAATCATATACATGATTCCAGTAATTTCTCTAGTCTAACATCTAATTATGTACATACGCATTACTAATTTCACAGAAGTGAATGCCAAGCTAATTGGGACTTTTATTAGGCTCTTCATCCACATAGAAAATAAACTCTGGTAAGATTTGCTAGTAAACTGGAATGCTATCTTACATGGAAGGTTGAATGCTTCCCAAGATTTTATTGTTTGAATTTGTTGGTACCATAGCGCAAATCCTATAACTCCGCACACCCTTTTGACTTCTTCAACACTTGTGATGGAGAAAACGATAAAGATTAGATGGAACCAATACATTCTCCGTATTTCCAGCAAAAGCCTCTTTCTTCTTCCCACAATGTCACCATGACAATCAGCCTTAGAAGGCATGAAGAAAAATCTGATTATGTCCTTTGTTTTTGCCTATCGGGTATCATAAAACACCACGAAATTCTGTTATGCTTCATTTCCTGGAAACACATATCTACGTGGATCTTTAAATTGCTTAACCTGACCCCATTGACTTTCACCCCAAATTCTGAAATTCTTCCATTGTATTTTTAAATCGCATGATTTGCTATTAAATAGTGACATGTTTTTAGCCAAAAAATCTCCCCTCATCTTTCCCTCGCATTTTTGTTCCAATGATACTTGGCTTTCACCTGAGATCACGGTTTTCACCTGAAGTTTTTGAAAAACTAAACCTGAAAGTGAACAATTCCTTTTCTGCTCCTCATTTCTGCAAATTTATTATTCCATCTATTTGACCCCTCAAGTTCCTTACTCTCCTCCCCATCACTGCTTTCAAACATTTCTCATCAGATTTTACTACCCATCTCTCCTTCTTTTTTGCTCTTATTTATAGATTTCTGGTCATCTCTCCTTTCTTTCTTTCTTTTTTTTTTTTTTGAGACGCAGTCTCGCTCTGATGCCCAGGCTGGAGTGCAGTGGTGCGATCTCGGCTCACTGCAAGCTCCGCCTCCCAGGTTCCCGCCATTCTGCTGCCTCAGCCTCCAAAGTAGCTGGGACTAAGGCGCCCACCACCACGCTGGGCTAATTTTTAGTAGAGACAGGGTTTCACCGTATTAGCCAGGATGGTCTCGATTTCCTGACCTTGCGATCAACCTGCCTCAGCTTCCCAAAGTGGTGAGATTACAGGCATGAGCCACCAAGCCCAGCCCCAAACATTTATTTTAAGTTAGGGGAGACACATGCAGAATGTGCAGGGGTATACACCTGTTATGCTGTTACATAGGTATATGTGTGCCATGGTGGTTTACTGCACCTATTGACTCATCCTCTAAGTTCCTTCACCTCAATCCCCACTCCCCAACAGGCCCTGGTGTGTGATGTTCCCCTCCTCATGTCCATGCATTCTCATTGTTCAACTCCCACTTATGAGGGAGAACATGTGGTGCTTGGTCCCTGTGTTAATTTCCTGAGGATGATGGTTTCCAGCTTCATCCATGTCCCTGCAAAGGACATAATATCATTCCTTTTTTATGGCTGCATAGTATTCCATGATGTATATGTACCACATTTTCTTTATCCAGTGTATCATTGATGGGCATTTGGGTCGGTTCCCTGTCTTTGCTATTGTAAATAGTGCTTCAATAAACATATGTGTGCATGTGTCTTCATAGTAGAATGATTTATACTCCTCTGGGTATATATCCAGTAATGGGATGATAAATATCATCTTCTTTCTTCAAAAACAAGACTTGGCTGGGCACAGTGACTCACGCCTATAATCCCAGCACTTTGGGAGGCCGAGGTGGGCAGATCACTTGAGGCCAGGAGTTCAAGACCAGCCTGACCAACTTGACAAAACCCTATCTCTACTAGAAATATAAAAATTAGCTGAGTGTGGTGGTGCTTGACTGTAATCCCAGCTACTCAGGAGGCTGAGGCAGGAGAATCGTTTAAACCTGGGATGTGGAGGTTGCAGTGAGCCAAGATCGCGCCACTGCACTCCAGCCTAGGTGACAGAGTGAGACTCTGTCTCAAAAAAAAAAAAAAGATAGTGAAGTTAAAGATATTAAATACTTCATCTCAAATCATTCAGTCAGTAGTTGACGTGGAATTTGGATAAGGTTTGATTGTGGTTTCCAGAGACCATGAATATAACTACTAGCCTACCACAAAATATTGAAAAGAGATCGAACAGTTTGATAAAGAGTCAGGATGAATAAGGAAGGTCATTTTTCTCCTGAGTTTCCAAAATTAAAAGCAAAATTATGCTGATTTTAACTCAGGAAAAAAGATTCTCAGTCTGAGTTTATTTGATAGTGTTAGTCCGTGTGCTGAGGTTACAAAGAAAAACATTGCACGTATTATTCTTTTTAGTCAATTAATTGTTATGATGCGGATGACATTTGGAATGATGGTATCTGTATTTGGGGATTTACATCTAACTTATTTGCTCAAATTTTGCCATTTCTTATTTGATTTCAATCTTTTAAATTATTAAACATAAGATGACAATTCTAAAGAACAACACTGAGTTATAGCAAGAACTTTGGTGAAATGATGTGTGTGTCAGGGACTGTGGAACAGGTTGCCCTGAGTTTGAGATAAATTGGTTAAGCTGGCCAATGTCATTAGTCTGCCTCCTAAGAATTACCAAATATTTTTCTGGGCAAGCACAAACTCCTTATTATAAAATGTGTAATAATTTTTAGGCTTGTATCTAACCCCAACCCTCCCAGATTTAGTCACAGGTCCTCATGAAATATGGAAAAGAGAGACTCAGAACCCATCTAATGGCTGGGTGCGGTGGCTCATGCCTGTAATCCCAGCACTTTGGGAGGCCAAAGCAGGCGGATCACTTGAGGTCAGGAGTTCGAGGCCAGCCTGGCCAACATCGTGAAACCCCATCTCTACTAAAAATACAAAAAAAATAGCCAGGCATGGTGAGGCATGCCTCTTATCTCAGTTACTCGGGAGGTTGAGGCAGGAGAATCGTTTGAATCCAGGAGGCAGAGGTTGCAGTGAGCCAAGATCCAGCCTGGGCAAACCAAGATCTTGCAGAAGAGTGAGACTCTATCTCAAAACAAACAAACAAACATCTGACAGAATGATGGTGGGAATAAAATGCCATAAAATGTGGATTACAGGAAAAGACAATGAGCTGCCTTAGAGAAAATTTGCCTATTAAAGAGAAAGAACGCTGGGGTAGGGAGCTAGACTCAGCAGAGGGCCCGCATGCTAGCATGAAGCAGCCATTCTGGATAGAGTATAAGGTTGTTCCTGAACCTGTCGACATTCTCACCTTGGGAATCCTGGAAAGAATACTTCATAGTAAGATCTGTAACACCTGTGTAACTGCGTGGTAAGATCTTCTGCTTTCTAATGTTTTCCTACACTAGTCAAGCATGGTAAAGGGAATCTATTTTCCTAAGCTCTGAAGAGAGAAGTAAACCCAGAGATATAGAAATGGGCAAAGATGGTGGCGAGCTCAAAGCTGTGGCTGCAGAGTGACTAATTTCTCTAAGGTTGTCAGAGATCAAGTATAGTTCAGTGATGTTAAAACAACAGAAACACTCTTCATATAGCAGATTGCTGCAGATGAATTAATACAGAATAGAAGCAACTGAAGAGTCAATAGCATGATAAAAAAACAATTAGGTCAGAGATCTATAGGCCATCAAACAGTAGGATTTTTATGAGAAATTTCTAACTTTGGGGATTCCTGGAGTCCTAAGCAGAGTAATGGTCTGAGGTTTTTATTTTTGGTAGGTGGTGTCCAGTGATCCAAGAATATTAGGGGCAAACATCTAAAGTGACTTTTCTATGATTCTTATGCATCTAAAGTGTCTTTTCTATCATTCTTCAGCAATTAGTTTTTATGGTACATTTGTTTACACCAAGTAAAATATCTGGTAAACATTAGTGATCAAGAAATATTGATTCTTTCCCTCACAATTCTATAATCCATCCTAAGTAGAAAGTAGTTTTAATGTATAAACTTTTATTAAATGAGTTATATTGTATGAAGCCATATTTTTTGGATGAGAGAAATAAATTTTGTGTTTTATTTTTTTGAGATGAGGTCACAGTCTGTCACCTAGGCTGGAGTGCAGTGGCATGATCATGGCTCACTGTAGCCTCAAACTCTTAGGCTCAGGTGAGTCTCCTGCCTCAGCCTCCCGAGTAGATGGGACTATAGGCATACACTACTATGCCTGGCTAATTTTTTATATTTTTTTGTAGAGGAAGGGTTTTACCATGTTGCACGTAATAGTCTCAAACTCCTGGACTCAAGCCATCTGCCCCCATTGGCCTTCCAAAGTGTTGGGATTATAGGCATGAACCACCATACTTAGCCTAGAAATAAATTTTGGTTGTCTAATGTATCCTCTACTTTTTTCTCCACTAAAAGCCAGAATTCCATTTAGTTGAACCAACTACATAAATCCCCACCATGGTTTTGTAAACTCTACTTGCTTATAGTTAGCCCAAATATAGTAAAAACTGTCAACTTTCTACCTTCTTTTGTAGCGCATAAACTTGTCTTAGAAAGTAAATTTAAGGATTGTTTTATTTTTCCATTACTAACTGTTTGTGAAAACCTTTCTACAGTGTCAAAACAAAGACTTTATTGAAGAAAAGTGAAATAGAAAAGGACTAAAAAAATAAAGTTGATGGATTAGCTCGGTATTTCTCAGCAGAAATTTTTTATTCTCTTATGCTTGGTAGTTTCTTATCTCCGTGGACTATCCTCTAGTTTTTATCAGTGACCTTAGGGACACTTCTCTACAAATACTTCCAATTCTATAGACTCTTTTGGCAGACCTCTCTGATACCTTTGGCTCTTTATCTCTGGATTCTATCAGAAGCTTTCAAGAGAGCTGTTTTGCAGCCAACTCTGGAAACCTAAGCACTAGACTGTTTCAGATCTTTCTTCTGTGAAATAGCTACGGTTCCCAAGATACCTATTTTAAAAGCAAACACCATTTTGTAGGGAAAGAGAAGTCTCCCTGATTCACTCACAGTAAGAAAATTTGTATGAATTTTATTTCTACTATCTTGTATTCTTTCATAAAATTCCTGTGGATATATATATAGTCAGATATTCTATGATATCGATCATTGTTGTTAAATTTTTAAAGACAGTATCTTCTACTCTTGCAAATGAGTAGCATTTCAAGAAACACACATTTTCATTAGACGGGGAATCTTAATCTGGAGTCTCAAGTCATTCAAGAGTTTTATGAATTACATAATTCTATTATATATTAAAAATAGTTTTATGAATACAATATAGGCATATCTTGTTTTAATGAACTTAGCCTTATTACCCTTTGAAGTTATTGTGGGATTTTTTCTTTCCTCTTTCTTTTTTTTTTCCTTGAAAATTGAAGGATTGTGGGAACTCTATATTGAGCTAGTCTGTTGGTGACATTTTTCCTATGGCGTATGCTCACTTCATGTCTCTGTGCCACATTTTGATAATTCCTGTAATAGTTCAAACATTTTCATTATGAAAATCACCTGTTATGATAAACTATGATCAGCAAACTTTGATGCTTTATTATAATTTGGGAGGGAGGAGGCTCCACAGACTGTGCCTATATAATATGGCACATTTAATCGATAAATGTGTGAGTTCTGCCTGCTCTACTAACTGTCATATCCTCCATCACTCTCCTTCTCTTCAAACTACTCTATTCCCTGAGGCACACAACAATATTAAAATTGGGTCAATTGATAACCATACCATGGCCTCGAAGTGTTCAAGTGAAAGGCAAGGACACACCTCTCACTTTAAATAAAAAACTAGAAATGATTATAAAGCTTAGTGAGGAAGGCATGTCTAAAGCCAAGATAGACTGAAAGCTAAGGCTCTTGTGTGAAACAGCCAATTTGTAAATGCAAAGGAAAAGTCCTTGAAGAAAATTAGAAGTGCTATTTCACTAACATGTAAATGATCAAAAAAGCAAAACAGCCTTATTGCTGATATTGAGAAAGTTTTAGTGGTCTGGATAAAAGATCAGACAAATCACAGCATTCCTTTAAGCTAAAGCCTAATCCAGAGCAAGGCCCTAACTCTTTTCAGTTTTGTGAAGGCTGCGAGAGGCAAGAAAGCTGCAGAAAAAAAAAGCTGGAAGCCAGCAAAGATCAGTTAATGAGGTTTAAGAAAATAAGTTGTCTACATATCATAAAAGGGCAAGATGAAACAGCAAGTGCTGATGTGGAAATTGTAGAAAGTTATTACAAATATTTAGTAAGATAATTGATAAAAAGTGACTATTCTAAACAACATATTTTCAATGTAGATGAAAATAGTCTTCTATTAGAAGAGGACGCTATCTAAGACTTTCATAGCTACAGAAGAGAATTCAATGCCTGGCTTCAAAGAATAGACTGATTCTCTTGGTGGGGATTAATGCAACTGCTGACTTTAAGTTGAAGCTAATGCTCATTGACCTTTCCAATAATCCTAGGGACCTTCAGAATTATGCTAAATTTACATATCCTGTGTTCTAGAAATGAAACAAAGGCTGAATGACAGTACATCTGTTTACAACATGCTTTACTGAATGTTTTAAGTCCACAGTTGAAACCTACTGTTCAGAAAAAAGATTCCTTTCAAAATTATACAGCTCATTGACAATGTCCCTGGTCACCCAAGAGCTCTAATGGAAATGTACAAGGAGATTGTTGTTTTTATACCTGCTAACACAACATCCATTCTGCAGCCCATGACCAAGGAGTAATTTCTCTGTTCAAGTCTTATTTTGTAAGACTATAGCTGCCATAGATTGTGATTCCTCTGATGGATTGTGGAAAAGTAAATTGAAAACCTCCTGGAAAATATTCACCATTCTAGACACCATTAAGAACATTAGTGATTCATGGGAGATAGATTCATATTGATATTTTCAGGAGTTTGGATGGAGTTGATCACAACCCTCTTGGATGACTTTGAGGGCTTCAAAACTTCAGTAGAGGGATTAACAGCAGATGTGGTAGAAATAGCAAAAGAACTAGAATTGACAGTGTAGCCTGAAGATGTGAAGGAATTGCTGCAATCTCATTCTAAAACTTGAACACATGAGGAATTGCTTCTTATGGATGAGCAAAGAAAGTGGTTTCTTGAGACAGAATCTATTCCTGGTGAAGACGCTGTGAACATTGTTAAAATGACAACAAAGGATTAAGAATAGTCCATAATGTAGTTGATAAAGCAGAGGCAGGATTTGCAAAGATTGATTCCAATTTTGAAAGTTCTTCCATGGGTAAAATGCTATCAAACAGTATTGTGTGCCACAGACAAATCTTTCCTAAAAGGAAGAGTCAATTGATCTGATAAACATCATTTTTGTGTTACTTTAAGAAATTGCCACAGCCACCCCTACCTTCAGCACATCACCCTGATCAGTCAGCAGCCATCTATGTTGACACACTCCATCAACAACAACAACAACTACAACAACAAAAGACTCATTGAAGGCTCACATGATTATTAAATAATTTGTATGAATAAAATATTCTAAATTAAGGTATATACATTTTTAGACATATGCCATCGTACACTTATTAGACTACTATATATTGTATACAGGAGTTCTATTTGCACCAGCAACCAAAAGATTTGTGTGATTTGCTTTAGTGAGATATTTGCTTTACCGAGATGGTCTGGCACTGAATCTGCAATATCTTCCAGGTACGCCTGAATGAGTTCATAAACTCAGATGGGAAAATAATAAAAACCTTATACATTTGCCTTCTCCAGTCTTCAACTGAAATTTAACATCTTTTTTATTTCAATCATAACTGAGGATAACAGATCACAGTGGTATTTGGAGTACTTTGTTACCAATGAAAATCATACATATTTTCCTTGCACTATCCCATTAGAGATATTGTATATTCATGTAATTACATTCATCACTACTTTGCAATCATGATTACTAGACTGCATCTTGCTAAAACATATTAATGTACTTAAGAGTGAGACACTCATATTAGTATAACAAAAAAATTTATAAATTATTTTGTGTCTTTATTTCAACATATTTGTAGGTTTTTTCTTAAGAGTTTATTATAAGGATGTAAAAATATTCTGAGAAGGGCATGAAAGCTGTCATACAACTGCCAAAAGAGTCCATACAAACAAACTCAAAGAACATGCAGCATAAAACTTTAGAAGTCTAAGCAGTCTTAGATTCTTGATATTCTTAAAAAATTACGATGATAACAAATATCTTCATTCATATGGTGCTTCTAATTTAAAAAGGCTTTTCATATGTTGTTGTTCATTCAACAAATATTCATTGAGCATCTGTCATATGCCTAGCATTATTCTAGTGACTAGAAAAAATGGAGTGAACAAAATCGACATAAATAGACAATATTTGCCTTTGCCATTATGGATTTTGTGTTTTAATACATGAGAAAAAAATAAGTAAAAAGTAAAAGCAAATAGTATAATAAAATTAAAGGAGTCATGACAATTGATTCTAACATATTATAAAGCTGCAATATTTAAGATAGCGTGGTATTGACAAAAAGATTGAAGCTTAAAATAATGGTATAAATAGAAATTCCAGAAATAGACCAGATATATTTAGTCAAATAATTTTCAATAAAGATGCAAAGGCAATTCAAATGGAAATACAATAGCCTTTTCAACAGGTGGTGCTGAGAAAATTTGATCTCAGTATGGAAAACTAAAAAGCATTGACTTGACCCGTGTCTTTTATCAATTTACTCAAAATGGATCACTAAATTCAGTGGGAAAGTTAAGGCTAACATTTCTAGAAGAAACCACAAGCCAAAATTTTGTGTGAACTTGCAAGCATATTGATATTTCATTGTAATTCCATATAGGTTAATGATATTGAACCTCTTTTTAAAAACTTGTTTGCAATTCATGTATCTTTTTCTGAAATCAATTCTCTGTTTAAATATTTTGCCCATTATTAATTGAACTACTTTTTGTCTTATTATTGACTTTTGAGAATATCTTATATATTTTGGTTAGAGGTTCATGTTGAAATTTGTTTTGTAAATAATTTACTCCAGTCAATGGCTTGTTACTTTATTTTTTAAGGGAGTCTTTGAAGAGATTACTCTTATTTATTATTTTTCAAAATTGTTTTGCCTATTATAATTCCTTTCTTTTTCTGGATAAAATTTAGAATCCATTTGTTGTTTTCTAAAAACAAAAGCCAAACAATTTTTTGTAATTTGATGGTATTTGGATTGAATGGATAGATAAGTTGTGGAAGAACTGCCATCTTAACAATATTGAATTTTCAAATCCACAAATATGTTTTATTTAAATATTCTTTAATTCTCTCATCAATGTTTTGCACTGTACAGTTTTGAATACAAGTGGTAAGAATGTATAGAATGATCATCTTTGTATTGTTTCTGATCTTTGTGTATAAGAATTCAGTCTTTCTTCATTACATATAATATTTGTACAATATGGTATTTGTATGTTTTTGGTAGATGGCATTAGTTTTTTTTATTAGGATAATTATGGCCTCATTAAATGAGGTGAATGGTATTTTCCTTGCTTGTATTTTCTAGAAAAGTTTTTGGAAAATTTATATTATTTTTTCTTTAAAATTTGGTGGCAAATGCTTTCACAGCATCTGAGCCTGAAGTTTTCTTTATAGAAAATATTTTAATAATTCAGTTTCTGTAATAGGCTTATGACTACTTAGTATACCTATTTCTTCTTGAGTGAGCGTTGGTAATTTTTGTCATTCAATAAATTTGCTGTTCCACCTCAGTTGTCAAGTTTAGGGGTATTAATTTTTTATCATAGTGTATTGTTATACTTCTAATGTGTCTTTATGATGTATAACAGTGGCCACTGTTTCATTCCTGGTATTGATGATTTATGTATTCTTTCTTTATTTTTTTCCCTCTAAGCTAGGGGATTATAAATTTTGTTGATCTTTTCAAATAACCAGATTTTACACAAAATTTTCTCTATCATTTTTCTTTTACAAAATTAATTTAGTTTATCTCTTTTCTTCATTGTTTGTATATTTTCACTTTATTCTAGTGAATTTTCTCTTCTTTTTAAAGTTTTTTAAGGTGAACATTTAAACCTCTATTTGAGAGGTTATCCTTCCTCTTTTCTATTGTAATCTTTTAAGGCTGTAAAATTTTCCCTAAACACTAAATTAATATTGTTTAATATGTTTTTATTCTCATTCAAATAAGTATTTATCAATTCCCCTGGTGTCTTTCTTTTTGACAAATCTGCCATTTAAAAACAAATTGTTCAGCTTCTAAATCTGAGGGGATTTTTTCAGATTTCTGCTATTGAATTCTGGTTAAATTCTTTTAAAGTTAGAACATCAATTGCTCTAATTTTAATTATTTTGACATTTTTGTGGTTTTGTTTGGTTGAGAAAGCCATCTATCTTTTAAATATGATCTGTATAGATAAAAATAATATATACTCTGATATTTTAGAATGAGTATGGTATAAATATTAATTAGGTCAATTGATTGAGAGCATTGTTCAGGTCTTCTATATTCTTACTGATGTTCTCTTTATTTGGTATACCAGTTACTAAGAGTGAAGTGTTCACGTTTTCAACAATAATTGTACATTTTTCTATTTCTAGTTTCAGTTCTATTCATTTATAAAGTTTAAACATTTTTATTTGTGAATTAACCTTTTTATTGTTATGTAATGTCACAATTCATTGCTAATAACATTCCTTGTTCTAATGTCAAGCTTGTCAGTTAAAAATTTGCCTCTATGGCATTCTTTTGTTTATTGTTTGCATGGTATTTATTTTTTTATCCTTGTACTTTTATCTTGTATATGTCTTTGTATTTAATATGGCTTTATCTGATTTGACCATCTATATTTTTAAATTGTTGTATTTAGACCATTTACATTTAATATAATTTTTGACATAGTTGAATTTAAATCCACCATCTTAGTAACTTCTTTCTATTCAATCTGTTTTTTTCCATCCCCTGACCTCCATTTAAAAATTTTTTCTCACTTGTGGATTAGTCGTGTGTTTGTTTATTTTTTATTAAATATTATTTACAATATTTCATTATTATTTGGACCCACACATTATCTTTGTAAAAACAATATTAATGGTTACCTTTGGATTTACAATATCATCTTTAATATTACAGGCTTTCTTCAAATAATATTATGTCATCTTACCTTTATTGTAAAACTTCACAGATTTCTATTTCCAATCCATTTATCCCAATTTTGTGCCATTATATTCACACATTTTAATTTTAACTATGTTATAAAGCCACATAAAACAATATCATTTTCCTTTAGAACATCAACTATATTTTAACAGGGTTTCTCAGTACCAATATTACTTACATTTTGGATCAGGTAATTCTTTGTTGTTGGGAGCTGTCCTGTGTTATAGTACTATATATAGTTTAGCAACATCTCTTGTCTCTACCCACTAGATTCTAGTAGCACCCCCTACTCTCCAACTTAAAAATAAAAAGTGTTTACAGAGATTTCCAAATGCGCTCTGAGGGGCAAAATTTTTCCTGCTTGAGGACCTCTGTTTTAGAGTCATTGAACATAAGAAAAACAAATATTTTTATATTTACTTTTATATTAGCGGTTTCCACAGAGTTTCATTTTTGTGTGTGTGTGTGAATGCGCTTTTATGGGGGGGGTCTGGTGTCCTGTTTTTCTCATCCATCCTTTCTCTTCTCTGTCAAATTGCATGCAGATTATATTGTGTGTTTTACGCTGTGTGTTTTTGTCCCACAGTTCTTTTATTTTAGATACTATATTTCTCATGTTTTGTTTGTGTAACGTATATTGCTTTGGCTTCCAATTAAGTAATTCTATTCTCAGTAGTGCTGATGTGTGTGTGTGTGTTTGTCAGTGTCTAGTGTCTGTGTTTTGCCTAGCATCCCCATTTCACCTTTTTAAATATCTTTTCTGTATCTTTTGAAATTCCCCATATATTTTTCCATGCTGCACTTGGTAGTTTACCATATTAATTATAGTTATTATAAATTGTCTCTCTGTGAATTCCAACATGGGGTCATTCCTGAGTCTGGTTCCAGTGATTGCTTTGTCTATTAGTAATCCTTTTTTCTTCCTTTTTTTGTGTTTTAATTATTGCTTATTTTGTTATTGAATGTTAAATATTATATGTGGAATAGTAGAAATTGACTTATGGGTTCAAAGAAAGCGTTAATTTTGTAGTGTATCTGGCCTTTAATTGTTTAAGTGGGAATGATGCTCTTTTCAGTTTTCTACATCATAGACAGATGTGGAACCAAAAAAACCATGTTGAGGAACACAGCAATGTGATCAGATTTACATTTATATTAAAAGATAACACTCCTCTACGGGAACTGTCAAGTGTAACCTGAGGACATCAGTCAGTAAGAAATTGTAATAGTTCAGGCAATAGTTGAGCATGTGAAAAGTTGTTAAATTCATGACATAATATGAAGAAAAAAACTAATAGGATTTTCTCATGGATTAATGTGTGTTGTGAAGGAAAGGAGTTAAAAACAAAATCCCAGGTAAATGTCCCAAGCAATTGATTAAATTGTGGTGGCCTTTACTGAGATGTAAGATACTGGATAAGGAGCAAGTACTTCCCAGGAGCAAAGAGAGAGGAAGAGTGGATCATTCATTCATTTATACACCAAATAATTGTTACAATTTTATTGTATTTGAAATCCTAGGGGCCCTCTAAGTGTATAAGAAATATCATTCTTATCCTTGAATCACAAGGGATGTAAAGCTATAAGCAAGAAATAACAATTTAGTCTGATAAATTAAAGGACAAATGAGATTCAGTATATTATGAAAACACTCCAGAGGAATGCCAATCTTACATGACTCAAAATATTTTCCCTATAAAGTGTGAGGATTATAACTAAAAACACGAAATTAAAATGCTCACTCAAGGATTTAAAAGTTAAAATATGAAACAAAAATTAAGGATGACATTTCCTTACTTTATGTTTTAAATACCTCCTATTGTCTAGGATTTATGTATCTTAGTGTTAACACACAAGTCTCTTCTTATATACTTCAAGTCTCTAAAATTTTTATCCTTTCTCTCTTCTACGCTTTTTCATGTGATTTCTCCTCTGGCAGAAGTGACTTCCCCTCCCACATCCCCAATGTGAGGTACCATCTGGTAAAATCCTACTCAACCTTAAATAATCAACTCAATTATGACCTCCTCACAGAAGCTTTCTTGCAACACTGCAGAAAGAGTTGGCACACTCTCCCTGTCTGAAATTATTTTCTGTAGCCGTTTTTTTCTTTATATTTTACTTGTTCACTTAATTGTCTCTACTTTAGACTCATATCCTCTGATTTTTAAATTCATAGCAGAGTGTTCAGCCCAGATAGATCAGATTATAAATATTTCTAAAGTGAATAAAGGCATAAATGAACACATCTATTTCTAAAACAAATGAATTTTTGAACTATTCATTAGAGAAAACACATCGACTCCTAAGCATTTTCTTATTCTTATAAATGAATTATCTCTGACTACAGCTAGTCCTAGATTACTTAGGATGTAAAGAGACTACCACAAAAGTATTGTCATTGACATGCTTGACACAATCAAGGTCGCTTTAAGGAAATTCTACAATGCTGCTGTATGAATGTGCTTGTGTCTGTTGCCAGAAACGAAGGTGAAATATTGGCAAGCAGGGAAAATATGTTTGGGAGAGAAGGACAGAAAATAGGGAACATGAAAATAAGACTCTAGATTTTCTGAGGGAAGAAAGACATCTTGATCATTTTTTCTGTCACCAGTATCTGACAGAAGAAATAGTTAAAGATAAATGGTACAAAGATGGCACTATTGACTTTCATATCTCTTAGTACTTCCAAAGCAAAATACTGTCTTTCCACTATCTATCAAACTATAAAATTGTTTTTATTTTTATATTTATTCTATGTCATCAGGATAATAAGCTATATTCTTCTTATATAGGCAGGATGTTAGCTACACATGTAATAAGAGTTCAGGTCACTTTTGTATTAATAGCAATAATACATTTACCTATTAGCATGTCATAGACATTCAATTATGCACTGTTAATAAGATTAGACTTGCCTGTATTAGTTGAATATGAGAAATGTATCATATTCTCATACTACCTAGTTCACAGTATCTAAATAAAATGTTATTAAAGAAAATCTTATGCCATTTTAACGTGCAAAAATTGTGCCATAAAATCCTTTAAACAAGATTCCACAGGAAATTTAAACCATTGAATGAAGGCTTACTTGTGTGTTTGTGTGTGTGAGAGAGTGAGTGTGTGTGTGTATATGTGCACTTGAGGCAGTTCCAATATCCCCCATGAATGTATCTGTATACATTTGTGTATTCATATATATACACATAAGATACATATGTATAGAAAATTATGCATACTATCACAGATACATTCTTGCACAATAAAAAGATTCAAAGTTCAAATATAATTTCCTAAAATAGTTCCAGAGATACTTATCAACGTTTAAATAATTGTTAAATCAAATCAAGCAGAAGGGTCGCAGAAAGCCTGCCAGACTTTCTTTTGTCATCTCCCTGGTAGTCATCAAGCTGAAGAGGAAGACGTTCCCCTCAATTACTGGGACAACTGTAGTTGCTATATCCCCCTAAAGAATTTTGACTTCTCCTTTGAAAAACGGCTGCTTTAAGCTTATTTTTTAACATGCATCTTAAAAATTAATTTTTAAGGCAGGGCACGGTGGCTCACGCCTGTAATCCCAGCACTTTGGGAGGCTGAGGCAGGCAGATCACAAGGTCAGGAGTTCGAGACCAGCCCGCCCAACATGGTGAAACCCTGTCTTTACTAAAAAATACAAAAAATTAGCGGGGCATCGTGGCGGGCACCTGTAGTCTCAGCTACTCAGGAGTCTGAGGCAGAAGAATAGCTTGAACCTGGGAGGTGGAGGTTGCAATGAGCCAAGATCACGCCACTGTACTCCAGCATGGGCAACAGAGGTAGACTTCATCTCAAAAAAAAAAAAATTGTAAAAATAGGAATTACAAAGTACTACGTTAATTACCTTGCAGATTATAATTTTATATAGGTGCAATTTTAAACATAGGGGCCAATTATACCATATGAACCCTTCCATCTCAATCAAACAAAATAGAAACTTTACAAATTTTTACAGGCCAAGTAAAAATTATTGCTATGTTCAAAAATATATTTATTTTATTTCCTGAGTCCCCTATAAAGTTTTCTGCCCATATCTGTTATTTTCAGTGCTAAGAAAGATTGAGCTCTTCCAGAAATTTCAGTAATTTGATTTGCTTTGATTCCTTGTGAAAAGAATTCTATGGTTTGTGTACGAGAGAGAGAGAAAGAGAGGATGAGTATGGGATGGGAGCACAGATCAAGAAACCATTTATTACAGACAAACTTTTAAAGTTTATTACACGTTTTCAAGTTCTGCAAAGTATCCACACTTGCCAAATTCCTCATAATTGATAATTTTTAACTTGACAGTAGGGGCAGACTATTTTACTCCGTGTGTGTGTGTGTGTGTGTGTGTGTGTGTGTGTATGTGTGTGTACTTCTCTCTGTCTGTCTCTCACTCTTTCTGTGTGTCTCTCTCTTTGTGTGTGTACTAAAATGGGACAGTTTTCCCTGGTTAAAAAGAAAGAGCACAAAATGACTATTAGCTGTATAATTCATGTAACTATATCATAATTTCTTGTCTTGTCAGAATTGTCATTACCTTTGAATTTGGGAATGGATAAAAATATTAAAAACATTAGCAAGCATTAACACATTTTGTAAAATAAAATTCCATCAGATACTCACTATTTAAAAAGAGTTGTTGGCTCTCTCCCATTTAGCTGTGCATGTGTGTTATTTGTTTACATGCCTCTTATACATTATTTTTACTGTAGCTATAGTTTTTTCTTTCTTTTTATGATATTGACCTATAATTTAGCACTATCTAGATATGAGAGAAAAAAATGTGCAATTGAAGGATTATGTATGTGTTTATTGAAAATCATCATCATCAACAACAAAATCTTTTTCAGGGAAATATGGTTTCCACAGGGCATTAACCTTGTTCAAGGTGTTATGTCGCATGATAAATTTTGTCCATTTGCTGAACTGAACTGCTATTGAAATACCATTTTCATGATTCTCAATTTTTCAAATTTATGCAGGTGCTGTACTGCATGAGAATGCCTGCATTTAGTATGCGAACTGGAATTGGCAAAGGACGATGGCTGCTCTCCCGCTAACTTTAAATAAGTCATGTCACAAATTGCATGTAAGACTTATAAAATATTAACGTTGGGAGACACTGAAACAAATCAGTATTTCTATTAACCTGCGAAAAGATCTTCCAAATATATAACCAAAGTAACTAAAACAAATACTAAAAAGAGTTTACTTTTAAAACTAGGTTTATGAAATATTTTCCCCAAGTTTGCATGATTATTAGAAAAGTGGCTTAAAGAGTAAAGAAAAACTGGAATCTTGTTGACCCCAAGTACTCCTCTAACCCTTTTGCTCTGCTGTTACAATGGACCAGTAAATCTTCAAACATAACACCTCTTAAATTAAAAACAGAAATGGTGTAGATTGCACACATTACAACATTTTTTTAGGCTTACTTCTTTTTTTCAATATTAAAGCTTATTTTTCACACATTACTTAATGTTGCCTGTTAAAAAGTGGTGCTTATATTTGTGTAGCTATCTGTTTGATGGTGGTTTAGTTTAGGAAATAAATCACACAGTGACAATTGGTTGTTTTTTTTGTTTGTTTGTTGATTGGTTTTCTGTACTAGAAAGGATGCATAGTCAAGCAAAGGTGGATAATTATAAACAGCCTAACAGTATCTAGACTCAGTCTGCTTTCTTTGCAATTAGTAGACAAGAGGGAAAAGATTAAAGATATAGTGAACTCTATAACTCTGTTTTATTGACTCCATGGAAATTCAGACACACATGCTTGAGAGAGAGCAAGTGAACTAGAAAGACTTTGTTTAGTGTCAGCTTTTAATTTAAACTGTATTCAAGTTGGCTTATTAACAGTCTAGGTTTTATAAAAATAGAGAGGAAGATAAATGATATGTAATAGAATGAACAATGTAAACACCTTTTTTCAAAAATGGATTTATTGATAACTTCCTATATTCTTCATATTAGGGTAGATATTATAGTAGATAGAAAAGCAAGATACAGTCTCCATCTTTGAAGTGAAATATAATCTTGCCAGGGAGATAAGCAGTCTTTACAGGTGCTAAATTGAGCAGATATATTATGTGAGAATTTTGAAAGTAAGCCTAGAACTCGGAACTTGATTCTAAGTGCAAGGAATAGCCACCAACTTTTATGAACACGATTTTGATATTGATATTGATATGACTGACGTGTTTTCAGGAAAGGTATCTATCAACATTGATTTCCAAAAGTAAAGGCCATTTTGTAGTTGATATTTTACTGAAATATTCTAGTACAACTGATACTGCCAGTCACTTCTTTGAAATTCTCTTCTCCTTGACTTTGGTGCCCAAGATTCTGTTGATTCTTCTCAAATTACTGTTATTTCTTATTATCTTTATGTGCTTCTCTTTTTCTTTAAAATGTTGATATTTCTTTGAAATATTTCTTTGCATTGTTGGTACTTCATAGCATCCCACCATCAGTTAAAGTCTCTTCTTATTTGACCTGCTTCCCACAAATGAAACAATAAATTTATCTTTACTCCAATGCCAGCTAAGTGCTGATGACTCTCAACTATGTCCTGGCTTCTCTCATTTAAGCTTAGACCCATATATTAAACTGTTCATATACATCTTCACCTAGATGTCATAAAAACGTTACTATGTCCAATAGTTGATTCCTTCCTCCCCAGACAGTGGGCATTCACTGTGTGTTGTATACCCAACACCAGTTTGTCTTTCTTGATGGCTGCTTGGTTTTATTTTGGAAAAATCTCTCTCTCTCATTTGAATGCATTTTTGTCAGTTCAGGAGCTCTGCCCTCTCACTGCAGATGCCAAAGGAGTGTTTAGAGAATGTAAAAGGCTATTTTTGCAGGTATTTTAATTTACCATATTGTGGTCTAAGGGTGAGCATGTTTCTGAAACAGACAACTGGATTCTCTCTCCATCATTCTGGATATTGTAATACAAGGACCAAAAACTTGAAGTCCACTTATTTCAACGATGGCATCCCGCTTGCGTGGTTGAGCAGTTCTTGTTGCTTCGGTTTCTTTTCTGGATGCTGTCCTATTTTCATGGCTACTATTCTAACTATGCCCCATCTGATATCTTCCTGTGTTAGTTATTTGTTGATATAAAGCAAATTACCTCAAAATGAAACAACTCAAAATGACCACGTTGATTGTTTCTTACAGTGTCCGTAGCTCAGGGATTTGGGAGTGGTTTAACTGGGTGCCTCCAGCTCTAGTTTTCTAATGAGATTGCAATCATGCTGTTGGTGGGGCTGCAGCTATTGCCAGCCCCAGCTGGGGCAGGTGAGCTCACTCATGTGGCTGTTGGCAGACCTCAGAAAGTTTGTTTCCAAATTTGCTATGTGGGCCTCTCTACAAGGTTTTCTTACAGCATGGCAGCTGGGTTTTACGAGGGTTGGTGATCTAAGAGGGAAAGAGAGAACATCCATGATTAAAACCACAGCATTCTTGTTAACCTAATCCCTGAGGTAATATCCCATCACTTCAGCTTATTCTATTCATTAGAAGTAAGTCAATAAATTCAGCCCACAGTCAGTGGAAGGGAATTATACAAGGCTGTGAATCCTAGGGGATTCACATGATTGGAAAACATCTTAGAGGCTGCCTACTATTCCCAACAAGTTTCCTTTCTACCTAAGATAGCCAACATTGTCTTCTATTGATTGCAGTCTTACAACTCTAATGGATAAACTACGTAAGCAGTACCCTTTTGTTCTGTATTCCTATGTGGTTTTTTGCCATTATGATCTTCCACCCAAAGTCCAAATCTCGGAGTAATGTTTATCACCTCGCCCTCCCTAACTCCCCACATCAAATATCTTTCTACATTCCAATCCTTCAGTTTCTAAAACCACTTCAGTTGAGAGGAATCTTCATGACTGCACTCTTCTATCTTATTATCTGAATCTTTTTCCTCTAGAATTTATGCTTCTGTTCCTGCTTTTAATTTCCTGAACATTTTCCATGTATATAATTATTTCTTGTTGTTCCTATGGCTCTTTCAGCCTGAGACACCTTTTCCTTCATCTCTCCAGTCCCACATTACACTTCTCCTAGTGTGTTCTTTTAGGGCCAGCTTAGTCATTACCTTACCTAGAAAACCGCCTCTGATTTCCCAAGTCTGAGTAGTGTATTTTCATTGTGGACTCACAGTGTTATCTGAATCTTTGTTATTGCACTTCACACATTATTATACTACCTGATATGTGTCTATCTTCCCTGTAAGACTGTGAAATTGTGGGTTAAAACTTTACTTTTGTGTTTATTTTTTGATCTTCATGTCTTGTACATACCTCTTGTATTATGATTTGTATTATAATTCTCAAAATATAATAGATAAGCTGCAAACAAAGTTTATATCAACATCCTACATGACTCAATAAAGATAGTTATATTTGCTCATAACAAAAATTAAATAGCATGAGAATCTATGTGGAGAGTAAGTCGTTGAAAGTAACACTGTTAAAGTTAGGGCACACATTGAATTGGAAATTCAGGAATTCAGTAGTATACTAGGAAAATAATGGAGAATTAAAGCAATTAGATAACTATTTTATCATAATTGCAAATCCTTTTCAATTATATATGCAGTTTATTATATGAAATGGTTTTATATAAATTACCATAAGAGTAAATTTAGAGCTAGTGAAAACCTGAAGATTAGTAGAGGCTTGCAGGGCACAATGAAGACTTTGCAATTTTTGATGATTAGAGATTACATGAACTTAATGTGTAAGGTTGTTTCCAAAACTCAAATATTAGAAATGATTGATATCCACATGCCATACATACAAAGTAGAGCCAGAGGACTTAGTGATATTAAGAGATGTGTGTCGTCACTAGTGATGATGACATAAAGTATGACTTCCAAGTGATACAAAGGCCATGAGGCTTGCCTTTTCCTTTCTCCTTTACTTGAAACACCTTACCTTGACTGTCTACATTTGCTTTTTTCCACTAAGAAATTAGGTTCTTACTCTCAGCTAAAATATAACACACTAGAAAAACATTAGGAGATATACCTAATGTAAATGACGAGTTAACGGGTGCAGCACACCAACATGGCACATGTATACATATGTAACAAACCTGCACATTGTGCACATGTACCCTAGAACTTAAAGTATAATTAAAAAAAAGAAAAAAAATAAAATTATACTTTAATTGAATAATTCTCTAAAGGCTAGCTTTCCATCTAGATTTTTTGAGCAGCAAGTTTTATGCTTTGTAGTGTTTGCCTAAATATGTTTTTCTCCTGAGTTAAACAAAGTTTATATTAACATCTCAAAATAAAATTTATCCAATTAGAGTAGACAATTTCATTGGCATACGTATTTAGACTTATTCACCTCTTTTCAAAACCTTATCTGCACGTTAAAATTACCTTTTACCTGGCCCTTTTTTAATTTGTAAAATATAAATGTATCTCTACTGATTATCTTGTCAGTAGATTCTTTAAACATCTTTTATGAATGTAATATTGAAGCATATAAAAATTTTAAATTTAATATTTAAAATATTTATGCTTATATAATATTCATTTTATTACAAATGAAAACAACTTTTTAGACATTAAAAAATTTCAACAGATATTTCCCATCAGAGAATATTTATCAATAAAAAAGAAAAAATCATGTTCATGCTTCATTTATTTTTAATCAGATTTCAATATTTGAGTCTTATTATGAAGATTCCACTTTGTGATTCTTCATATTTGTACATTTTAATCAAATATACATTGTTCACTTTGACAATGTAATATCATTTACTTATAGAATAAATTTATACTTCTCAGTCCCTACTTATTGTCATCACTTGAAACATTGGCTATTTTTACTGGAGAATGTAGCATAAAAATGGACAACACTTTTATTCTTAGAATTTCCTATTTTATCTTTGGAAACTGATAATGTTATTCAACCATGCTTCCAGATTTTTATACTATTTGGCATATTCTTTCCAGAGTTATAAAAATCTGCTCTTTGCATAATAAGACTTCCTTTAATATCCACTTAAAAACCCACAGAGATCATATTCTTTAGATAGGTGAGTAATTCAGGGTAATTTATAGCTTCAGAACATGCAGCACACTTACTTTTTTTGGTGTTAACTGATTTCTATATATTCCACCTAATGGCCTGCTCTTGTTCAGCCATCTTTAATATCTTTCTGATTTGATATTTGTTCCAACCATCTAGTTCTCGGGAGTTTCCCCACAGAGCTGTAAACTGAACTATTTTCAACATCTTTATTCAAATTTCGATGCTAAAATTTAAAGTGTATAAAAATCATGTTGAGAATCTTTCCTGTTTTAAGTAAGACATTGTGAAAATAATAAAAATATATTTTACATAAATTTTACCCTTTATACTTGTGAAGCTCTTTATAATTTATGTAATTATTCATTTATTTATATCTTTTGAGACAATCTGCTCTATTGCCCAGGCTGGAGTGCGGTGGCACAATCATAGCTCATTGCAGCTTCAGCCTCCTGGGAGACCCTCTCCCACTGAGTTTCCTGAGTAGCTGGGCCCACAGACATGAGCCATGATGCCTGGTTACTTTTTTTTTTTTTTTTTTTTTTTGGTAGAGCTAGGTTATCCTTATGTTGCCCAGGCTGGCCTCAAACTACTGGGCTCAAAGGATCCTCCCTCCTGGGCTTCCCAAAGTGTTTGGATTACAAGTGTGATCCACTTCGCCCAGCCATGAGTCTCTTTAGATCCAATGGATAAAGATATTCAATTTTGGTAGAATTGCTTAAAGCAAATAATGTGAGACACATTTCTGAAAATTTCTCTCATATCTAGATGAGAATATGCTTTAATATAAAAAAACAAATTTCTTGACTATGTTTGAAACTTTAAATAGAGCATGTAAGACACTTGCTCATCTGTTTCCTGAAAACCTTTCCCTCTTCACCTTCTCCTCTTTACTTTTTGATTTTTACATTCCAAAATTCTAAGCATTCAGGGTTGTTCAACACACCGTGTACTTTTGTGTCTCCGTATATTTTACTATTCAGATCCAGGTGACTTTCTCAACCAGCGTCCCCTCTCTTTTTAAGTATTGTTAATACTTATAAGATGTAATTTTGAATGGATCTTTCCAGTTGCTTTGGCTTTTTCAACTAGAATTCAAGAATGAAGAAAAAGAGACACTCAATATTTTATATTCCAAAGACATGACCAAGAAACTATAAAAATTATAAGCATAATTGTGTCTGAGAATTTATTAACAGATGGCCACGCTGGTTCTGGTATTCCATAACCATCACCCCGGGTCCGCACCTATCTATCTCCATCTATATAGCCTTTAGGGAAAAGTAAATGAAGAATTATGTTGCTTTGGGATTTCTGAGATGTTTTATTTTCCATTTCCCAAACCAAGGAAGAGGGCAATCTCTTGATTTTGAAGTAAGTGTGTGTGTGTGTGCGTGTGTGTGTGTGTGTGTGTGTGTGTGTATGTAGGGTAGCAGAACAGAATAGATGATCACTTGAGAAACTCTTAAGACTTGAAAATGAGCCACTAAAATGTATTCCGCTGAGGCTGGAATATCATTTGAGCC
Source organism: Homo sapiens (assembly GCF_000001405.40). Classification (NCBI taxonomy): domain Eukaryota; kingdom Metazoa; phylum Chordata; class Mammalia; order Primates; family Hominidae; genus Homo; species Homo sapiens. The sequence goes on along the minus strand of NC_000021.9, from coordinate 20,750,813 downwards.
CTGAGCAACATAGCAAGACTTTCTCTCTTAAAACAAAAAAGGATCCTGAGCCTCTAAGATGGAGGAAAATATGTTCATATTGAGTTAGAGTTTAATAACTGGTGCGATCTGAGCATCCTCAAGCTCTGTGCCTTCTGGGTCACCATTTAACATTGAAATAACATAATTTCCTTAATTTTATCCCTTGTCTCACCTCATTGCAGAGATCCCTGCTCTGTCCTGAGTTCCCCTGAGCATTCTTATGGCCCTGACTGCCACACTTTGTGTATATATAATACATATTATATACACACGAACTCTTCAATATCAAGAGATTATATACATATGTATATTTATATGTGTTTAACTTTTATTAAAAGGTCAGGGGTATTAGTGCAGGTTTGTTACATAGGTAAATTTCTGTAATGGGGGCTGGTTGTACAGATTGTTTCATCACCCATGTATTAGGCCTCATACCCATCAGTTGTTTTTCCTGACCCTCTTCCTTCAACCCTCCACCTTCCAAAACGCCCCAGTGTGTGTTGTTGTTCTCTTGTATGTGTCCATGTGTTCTCATCATTTAGCTCCCACTTACATGTGAGAACATACAGTATTTGGTTTTCTGTTCCTGCGTGTGTTTGCTCAGGATAACGGCCTCCAGCTCCATCCATGTCCCTGCAAAGGACATGATCTCATTCTTTTTGATGGCTGCATTGTATACAGGTAGAGGACACTGAGATCTTGATCTCTGGCAAGGAGTTTGCTAAATTGTGGAATTAGCAATATAACCAGGCTGGGGACAGTATGGGTAGAATATTCATAGGAAAAGTTGACATGTATCACCTGTTTGTTGGGGAAAACTGTGAGCACAGAGCCTGGTTCTTTCTTTGCTGGAAATATTTGAGGGTGAAATGCTGGTTTAAGCAGCCCATGTCTCCAGAATGAGAAGGGATAGTCGTATGCTTGAAAAGGAGGAGAGAATACCTTCAAACCCAGAGTTATCAACAGCCTTCAAAAACCAATAGAGGATGTAAAAAGCCCTTATAAATTCCTTAATCACAAACAAAAAAACTCAAGACTATTTTCCCTGCAGATGTATTATTGTTCATATGTCTTTTATTGAAAATATGGCAGAACATTTCAAAATGTATTTCTGTGAATGTATTCTTCACATTCCTGAATACATTAAAAATGTATTCAGTTAATCTATTCAAATTACATAGTTAACAAATATACTAAAATATATTCTTATATTCCAATGCTGTATTTATTGGGTACATTTATTTATTGAGTTTGATACTTATGAGGGATATATTATTTGTATATAGTCTTTTTCTCTTAATGCAGGAACTGAGAGATAGGATAGAGATATATTAACAATACTTAAAATGCTGTTATATAAAAAAGAGAGAACTGGATACTGGAAGTTAACAGAGAAAAGTTTGTCCTAGAACCAAATCATGCCCTCCCCACCCCTCATCCACCACTCTAACAATCTGTAGTTCAAAACCTAGTGAAAACCCAGCTACCTTTCCTCATCCACTTCACATTCCCAAGTACGAGCCTACTGAGGGAAGGGTAGGAGACAGGATTTGAGAAGGGTTGAGGTTAGTATTTTCATCCAGGCTGGGCAGAATCCTTAGAATATCAAAGTGAATGAAAAGTAATGGTAGCATCCTAAGATATCATTAAGGAATCGGCTTCCCATTAGGAAAGGAAAATGTAAAACTGTACATTCTAGGGCAGTAAAAAGAGATAAATCAAACTATTTTGCATGTGTACATTCCACACTTGAGCTTGTTTAATAGCCATTCAGATCCCACATCACTGCTTTGGGAAAAGAGATTTTTGGGCAACTTGTTCTCATCTAGTCTAAAGAGCCATGAACTTCAGAAAGTGACAGAATGTAACATTCATCTGTTTCCTAGTTTGGGGGCATAGATATATTATTCCTTTTCTTAGGGTTTTAGCTAAATAAGAAAACTGGATCATTAATACCATCCTAGCAAGATGCATTTGGCACATGGTTGGGATCTCAAATCTATTTTTTCCTCTTAGAACAAAACTTTCCTGACAGACTTACTTTCTGGTAATCAGATTTTTTCTCTTTATTAACTTCCATTGTTTTTTTACTCGTTATTTCAACTAGTGCCATTATAAGGCTGTATTGTAAGAAATTGTAATCACAACATTTTTCCTACTACTTTGTCATCCCTTTGACTTTAGGCAGATAATAATGGTGGGATCTTCACTTGCCAGCACTATTCCTGCCATTTCAAGTCTGCAACAATATTATCTGCTTGCTATGCTCTAGGTTTTTGTGATGCAGATAGAAAATTGAAAAGTATCTCTTACAAAGGAGAATACAGCAAAGACAGAAAAATAAACAGGAAATTTCTATAGAATAAATGTATGCTTAAAGAGTATGACTGTTCAGGAAAAAAAGGCTTGCTTAGAGAAGTGGTGGTAACCCCATTTCAATGGGCAGTATGCATATTCTTTTGTTTTCATGTAGAACTAATGCATCTCGATCTGAATGTAAGTAGAGATTAGGTAGTTGAAGGAATAAAAGTACATTGTAGGTCAGGGGTTGGGACTTTTTCTATAATAGGCCTAATAGCAAATATTTTAGGCATTGAAGGCCATGTGTTGGTCTTTACATTTTTCAACCTTACTCTTGTAGTGCAAAAATAGACATTAACAACATATGTGGCAATAAGTGTAACTGTGTTCTAACAAAATCACACAGGCAGAGGACTGACTCTTGTTGTAGGCAAATATATTAACATGAAAGGGTAGATAAATATGGTTCGCAGAGAGATCTCTTTGTATCACCTAGTTTAACTCTCATCACTCTCAAACTTCCACTTTACAAATTATTAACAGCTAATTATTTGGTTATCATTGTGCCAACATTGATAACCATATTAATAACCATTGCTAAGAAAATTAACCCTAACCCTATTAATAACCACTTCTTTGGTTATTAATAATGTGTAAAGTGGCAGTTTGAGAGTGATGAGAGTTACACTAGGTGATACAAAGAGATGGAAGAATGAAAAACTTTGTCACTATTAGCAGATTGACTGTTGTCAGTAAAGTCAGAGTGAGGAAGGATGGCTAAAGGGTTATAGTGATGATATTAGAAGCAGAATTGCCTAGGAGACTATTGAAAGGAATAGCTTCTAAGCTTATGCTATATAATAATAGAGAAAGGAGTAGGGTAGGCTGAAAATTCAAGTGGAAAAAACTTTCTTCAGCTGGCCAGATGCAGTGGCTCACGTCTGTAATTGCAGCACTTTGGAAGCCTGAGGTGGGCAGATCACAAGGTCAGGAGTTCAAGACCAGCCTGGCCAACATAGTGAAACCCTGTGTCTACTAAAAATACAAAAAAAAAAAAAAAATTAGCCACGCGTGACGGCGGGTGCCTATAATCCCAGTTACTCAGGAGGCTGAGGCAGGAGAATCGCTTGAACCCAGGAGGCGGAGGTTGCAGTGATCGGAGATCGCACCACTGCAACCCAGCCTGGGCGACAGTGTGAGATTCCATCTCAAAGAAAAAAAAAAGAAAAGTTTCTCCGACTAAGCCTTTCCACTGATGAACTATCATAATATGTGCCAGGGTGACAATTAGGCATTTAAATCAGGGTTATGGCATATATCCTTTTAGGTGTATCCTTTTAGGTGTATATCCTTTTAGGTGTATATATATCCTTTTAGGTGTATCATCCTTTTAGGTGTATCATCTTTTAGGTGTATCATATATCCTTTTAGGTGTATCATTCTTGAGGCTTGATGGAAATATATCCTTTTTGGCGTAGCATCCTTTTAGGTGCATCACCTATATCCTTTTAGGTGTATATATCCTTTTAGGTGTATCATCCTTGAGGCTTGATGGAAATATATCCTTTTTGGTGTATCATCCTTTTAGGTGTATCACCTATATCCTTTTAGGTGTATATATCCTTTTAGGTATATCATCCTTGAGGCTTGATGGAAATTTATTTAAGGGGGCCAAATGGAGAAAGAACAATTATGAGGTTGTCCAAGTGAAAGCTGATGAGAGATTGTTATAGGACAGCATTGATGACGATCATGAAGGCAGGCAAATATTTTAGAGATAAATTTTGTTGAATTGGTCATGGATAATTATCAAGAGAAATTGAAACAAGGTTGCATAATCTTAGTATGCTAACTTAAGCTCATTTTTGGATATTCGAGAGGTAAAAAATATCAAAAATAGAGAAAATTGGGTATATGTGTGTACAGGAAACTTAATTAATTGTTAAAAATATCAATATTTTAAATATTAATTAGATAAATAGAACACAGATGAATGATAATAAAATTAATGTCTCTCAATAGGAAAAGCGTAATTGATCATTTTCTGGTGGAATTTAATGCCTTGTTTTCTAAAGATTAAGATTGGTGACAGGCTGTGTTTATATGGCATTTGTCTTTTTTTTCTGAAGAAATTACACTTTACTTGAAATGTCAGTGTTATCAGTCTCTTTCCTTGCAAAGATAAATGTTGCATCACATCTAAATTACGATATTTTTATCCTTCTCATTAAGGGAAAAAGAGAGAAAGAGAAAGCAATATAGAAGAATGAGTCAAAAGAGTTGGATGAATGACTTTATACTCCCATGTAGCTAATTGTAAATTTTCAAGGGCAAAAAATTGACAATGACTTTAATAAGTCTTGTGGCTTTGTACATATATATTTTGACATATGCCTCTAGGTCGGTGCCGCAAACACATTTGGTTTCTTCCTTTCTGGGCAGCACAGTGCTATTCATCATGAAGTATGACAAGAGTGATTGGTAGAGGGTCTTCCAAAGTATTTAGAGCCATCACTGAGGGAAGAATAAGAAAGAAATGCCATTTATAAGATCCAAAGAAGAACAAAGTCCCCATTAAGAACTGAGATGTGAACATCACTTAACGGTGTCTCCTAGCTAGTCTCATGTGTCACTTGAAACTTATTGAAACTTCAAGCACAGAGTGCAATAGGGTGAGATTAAAGGTCGAAAACTTTACATTTCCTTTCTGGAATGAGTTTCCAGAAAGAATAGCTAAACTTATGATTCATCTTGGTATTTTATTTGTAGTTGTTATTTTGAGGGAATACATATCATGTAGGTCTCTACATTGTACTTACTATTTGGGGCATTGTGTCGCTATTTATAATTTACAAAGTGTTTTGAAAGCAAGATCTAGATGAGGAATAGTTTTAAAGTCATAGGACAGTGTCAGGAATCAGTTTGCATAAACTTCATCTTCCCCAACATATCACCAATCATCGAAAGCAGAAAGCAAAGTCGGAAAATTTCCTCATGTCATGTTAAGGAAATTATTGGTTTTGAATTTTTGCTTTTGAATCATTGCTTTTGAATTTTTCAGAATCTAAATAGTAGGGCATTTGCCACTTCCTCTAATATATTTGTCTCAAAGATGAAAAAACAATTCTGATCCATAGTAGTGAAGTCATTTAAATAACAAGGTTGTTTCTAATTGTATTATATACTTATTTACATTCCAAGTTTATTTCCCCAAATTTGAAAGTGACATATAATTACACATAATTTTAAAACTTTTGAAAAATTTAATAACATGTTAACTGAAAGATGTAGAAAGTAAATCTAATATAGATTAAAAAATACAAATCTGGAGAAACATAATCAGTTACAAGAGAAGTAAAGAAAGTACACGGCACAGAATTAAGCCTGTGATTTAAACTAGCTGCAAAGTCAGGATCCAAATTCCTGTTATGCAACAAATCAGCTGTAAACTTGAGAAAAATATTTTTTCTTTCTCTGCCCTATGTCATTCATTTGTAAAATCATCTATCTGCCAGGAGTGTAGTAAAGATTAAATTAATTATGAGATATAAATTACTTAGAAAAACACATAACACATATTAAATAATGATTAAAGGTTATCTGTTTTCAATTATTAGTTATTAATATTCCATTCTTGTAAAAAGAAATTTGATAATAACTTATTTTCTGTATTTTATTCATGGTTTTTCATGTCTATTTCCATGACGTACAAGTTTAATATAGCTTATAAAAGTGACTCAGTTATACACAGATATTAAATTTCAAATGAAATGCTCTAATATAAAAAACATTCTGTTTCAGAAAGAAATTAAGTTACACTGTTTTCATGTAAATGTTCATGTAGTGATTGATACTTCTATTCAAAATAAAATGAAGAGTTGACATAATTCCTCAGCTAATATAGTCTCAAATCTTTATACTGAAAGTGAAATCGTTATACTGCATGTAACATTTGTTCTGGCTGGAAGTTGTCTAGAGTTATAGTAATCACAATGCAAAAAAAGGAAATACATATTTAAGTATCTAGAGAAGTATTTAGGCATATAGATATCTTTAGTTATGTACATGCTTAGAAGATCGTGTTCCCAATTCAAGTTTAGTATATATACATACTTTATATATATATATAAAATATATATATAAAATATATCTATGTATGTATTTTTTTACACGTGAATGTATGTATATACATAAAGCTAAGTATATATGTATATTTATTATATATATAGTAGATATATACCCCAACTATGCTTCAGTATTTAGAGATAATGCAACAGAAAATTACTGAAAACAACCTTTATTTTTAAGAACAGGAGAATATAATGTTTCCCAAATTAAGAGGAGAGCATTTGTTTGTTTCAACACTGAGGTACCTATGGCAGCTGTGTTACTCTTGCTACATTTCAAATTCCTTGGGTAGGATGACACCATTGTAGTTTACTGGATTCTTTCTTCTCTGTTTTGGTTTGTGTGCTTGGTTTTTTTGGAGAGTGACTGGATGTGTCTCCTGGTATATAAGCCAACGTAAACAGAACTTTCAATAGCTCATGCTTAATAAAGACAGAATGGATGCGATCATTCTGTTCAAATTAAGGTATCCTATATGCCTATGGGTTAGATTAAAGGGCATTACTCTGATATTAACCTTGTTTTTTCAGTCGTTCCCAGATTTCCTAAACTTTCCAGAGAAAATGGTCTTCTCCCTGGCTCAGCAAGAAGATGAACTTTAAACACTGAGAAACTGGTCATCTCCCTGGCTCAACCAGAAGATGAACTTTAAACACTACTCTCAATGACTTGATGTTCCCATCACTACTCCTGTCATAAAGGGAGGGGACTCAGATATTGAGAATTTTATGATAGTGTGAACTGTCTGGTATGTCATTTAAGTAAGCCCGTTGCTGAAATATTTTCCATGTTATTAGAAAGAGCTGAAGAGAGGGATTGAGATGGCTTCTTTATTTTTTGTCTTTTGGGAATTAAAGGAACCTGGTTCAACAAGGGCCTACACCTAAGTCTCTTGTTGTACCAGAGTACAATTTAGGACTGCTCCTGAGGAAGGAATTAGCTAGAAATCTAGAGAGTAAGGGTAACAGATTTACATAGAATAACAGCCTCAGTATTTTTGGTTCCTCTCCAGTAAAGATCACAAAGAATATTGCTAAATCGCTAAAACACCTTTGCAATAACGTAAGGGCTTACAACTATATACCAATGTAGCTCAGTTACTAAACTGGAGTAAACTAATTTCTCTTGTGTAGAAAAATTGGTTGGCTGTGGTTTTATAGCAGATCTGCAATTATTAATAGTTATGCCAATAATCGTTTAACAGTGCATATGTTAATATATATGGAAAGACAATGTGTATAGACAGATGTGTAAAATTGAAAAATAAACATATAACAAGAGAGAAACATCTATCGAACAGACAATATACATACACATCAAACACAACAGCAGTTTTAGTGACCATAATATTTATTTCTCATTTTTACATTGCTTACTTTAGTGACAACTGAAAATGACAGTTGGCAATGCAGCTAACAGTTTCAATAAAAGTATAAAACAAAAGACTGTGTACAAAGCACCTGTCTTTCCGCTTTTGTAATCTTCCGTTGGAAAAAATTTACACACCTAAGTAACCATCTGTTTTCTTCAAGAAAAAATCATTCTTATTTCTCTCTCTCATCTTGAAAACAGCTGTCAGCCAGGAGGGCAGAGCTGAAATTTATTGCCACATCACATGAAGCATAGAACAGACTCCACTACTCCTTGAGATTCAAAACTTTGCCTCTCACAAAGTTACCTTTTATTTTCCTCTTGTTTGTCACTCATCTCCCCTAGTGTGCTCTTTTTATTTCTTTTACTATTAATAATAAAATCTGTGGATGACTGTATTATTGAATGATTACCTTAGTACAATAATTCAAGAAGTATTTGAATATTGCATCATTGGCTTTAGAAAACAAGTATTTATAGGCCATTTCAACTTCATATATATATATATTATATATATATATATATATAATATATATATTTAATTGTCACAAATTGAACATACCCACAAAACTAGCATCCAAATCAAGAATGCAAATACTGCCAACATTCCAGAAGTTTCTATAATACTTCATTCAGATCACTACCTGCCTGCTCAAAAGATAACCATTACAGCCAGGCGTGGTGGCTCACACCTGTAATCCCAGCACTTTGGGAGGCTGAGGCAGGTGGATCAGCTGAAATCAGGAGTTTGAGACCAGCCTGGCCAACATGGTGAAACCCCATCTCTACTAAACATGGAAAAAAAAAAATTTAGCCGGGCGTGGTGGCGCACGCCTGTAATCCCAGCTACTCTGGAGGCTGAGGTGGGAGAACTGCTTGAACCTGGGAGGCAGAGGCTGTAGTGAGCCGAGATTGTGCCACTGCACTCCAGCCTAGGCGACACAGCAAGACCTGGTTTCAAAAAAACAAACAAACAAACAAACAAAAAAACTATTACTCTGAATTTTTGCCTTTTTTACCTTCTGTAGTTTATTTTTTTCTTAGCCCTGATTCAATTATATCAGGCATTGTTAAAATTGAATTAAAATCTGAACACAGTGAAATGTACAAATATTAAGTATACAATTTGATGAGCTTTACAAATGTACATACCTCCATACATATCTCAATAGCGATAGAGTCATCCAAGAAAATTTCCTTGTGCTTTCTTATTATAGTCAGTCCATACACACCATAGACAAAAACGTTTCCTGATTTCCATTACCTTAAATTTATTTTGCCCAATTTTAGCCTGTCACATAAATGAAATCATGTAGCATGCGTATTCTGGGGGAGTCTGACTTCTTTCGCAATCAAGATGTCATTTCAAAATTTCATCCATGTTTCCTCATAACTCGGAGGCACCAGCTAGCTAATTGGGAACGATGGTTTGTAGAGTTCCTAGAATAACAAAGCTGAATACAGAAAGCTGAGTTTGAAGCAGAGACACAATAGCTTAAGAACTGGCACAAGCCAAGAGGTAAATATAAAGGTTATTATAATAATTGGTGACTTCAAAATAGCTGTGGTAGCCTCAGACCAGAAGCTAGCTCAAACAAACAAACAAACAAACAAACAAACAAACCAAACACCAGCATAGAAACACTGAGATAACTGACATCAGAATTTGGAAGTTGGAAGATATTTCCACTAACTATAAGGTTAATGGAACTAGGTTGGGAAAAGTAATTATGCACTTGGAAATAGTTTACTTATGTAGTGGAGCAGAGTCCACAACAAAAGACAGAAATAAATTTCATTTAAAGTCTGACCCAGAGAACCCAGGTTTCTACTAACTGGAAAACCAGATAGTTACCATTATGATGGACAGTTGATACATTCTGAGGAGGTTTTTGTACCCTTGCCCATAGTTTTACAGCCATTTGGGGATTTCAGTTCTAAGAAATCAGTGCTGCAGAGAGTCAGAAAGACTGAAAATTGTGTAGAAGTATACAGTATTGCAACCTGTAAGCAATTTTATAAAAAAAAAAAATCACTTTCAGCAGGGTGGATATGAGAATATTCTTGGAAATAGTGAATTCTCAACATCATGTTGTTCTTTATTTTAAATTATCAGAAAACTAAGCAATAATCTTATTTGAGGCTGCATACAAGAAACCTGTGTTCTATGAATGCAATTGTCTTATGAGAATAGAACAGAATACCGTACTCTAAAGATAAACTTGTCAAGTGTAGATATGGGCAAGCCTAGATTTAACCAGTGCTTATGTAAAAAGTATGCCCAGGTGGGGATATTCTTATATATTCTTGGTTGGTGAAAATAATGGATATGAATAAAATATTTTTCTTGCTATATCTGTAATAAATAATTTAATATAATAAAACAAAGGTAGTACAGTTTCTATACAATTTTCTATAAAGTGAAGAAAGTGATACCATAAAAATGCATGAGAAAAGCAAATACCTGAAAGTTATCTACTGCAGAAACCCAAATAAATTGGTATATTTTTTCATATAAAAAGTGGACTTTATGAAAGAAAAACATAAATGAGTAAGCGAAAAATAGGCTGTTTGCCTAAATTTAAGAATTTTTGGTTGAAATTAGTAGAAATCCATTTCTACCAAGATGGAAAGGAGGGAGTAGGTGAACAGGGAGCTTTTATGAAAGTACCCAGGGCTGTGCCACAGAATTCAAGGGTAACCAATCTGCTGAAGGGACTCTGCAGAAAATGGAAAGTCTCCGGGAATCTAGCGTGAAGTCACAGCACTGCTCCTTTAGGTATATGTCTTTGCATTTGCCTCAGTTTTCTGTCCACTGGGCAGCTGCACAAGCAATGCAAGCCTGACAATGTTCTGGGCAATGTTGTCTGGAACTCCAGAGCAAACATCGCTTGCCAGTGTTGTTCCCTATCGAGATGAAATGTCCAGGCCTTTACATCCTCACCTCCGCTTATAACTGGATATGGACTGTCCTGGGTGACATGTGACCTTCAGGGAGGCAGCTGTCTGCCGCTGAGACAAACCACAGAAAGGTGACAGTTGGAGATGTCTACAGACTGCGTTCCCTGAAGCCTGGCAGCGAGCACTTTCTCGAAGGGGCATCTAGAAGGAACATCCCCCTGACTACCACAATGCACTCCCTTTGCCTCTCGGATTCACTTTTTCATATACTTTCAGCAATTAGCTCTCCATGAATTCACGACACTCTTTTTTTTGGAGAGTAAAAGTATAACAGATTAGTTAAGTGAACTATAGCCCTGGTGCTGTACTTAATTTTCAGGGACCAAGTGATACTTATAGACTCCTTCTTCCACTTTTCATTTTCTTTCCCCTTTATCCTCAGCTACTCCCTCTGCTGGCCTCACCGATGACTTACCTCATGATGAGACCGAGACCATCATCCCTGAGGGTGTGACTTCCTGTTCATCACAGCTTCTCTGGCCAGATTGCCGTATCTGTCTTTTTGCAATTGTCACAATTGGGTGAAGAATTACCAAGACCTACTTAACTAGATTATCTGGGTGCCACGAATATTCACTGCTCCATTGCATAACACCACTTTTGCCTTTTCATCAACATGAAGGTCAATTACCATTGCCAAGATTGTGACTCCACTTCTTGTCTGCTTGTCCTTGAAACAAAAACCTCAGAGTGCCCAGGGGACAGCTGTGCCCGGTTTCTAGCTCAGTTGGAAACTTGCTTTTTCTAACCCCTTGGGGAACCTGGATGTCTACTCTAAAGCGTCCAGAGTCGCAGGCATGGGAAGTACAAAGTCCCATGGTGGGTCATGAGAATAATGACCTCTGCTTCCCTTCCTTATATCACAAAACCATGTACTCTTTCTTTAGGCCACAGAATCACATAATGGTGTTTGATGCAATGTATATCCTACCTCCTAGAGGATGGCATCTATAGTAGTCTGTTCTCACGCTGCTAATAAAGACATACCAGAGACTGGGTAATTTATAAAGAAAAAGAGGTTTAATGGACTCACCGTTCCATATGGCTGGGGAGGCCTCACCATCAGGGCAGAAGGCAAAAGGCACATCTTACATGGCAGCAGGCAAGAGAGAACATGTGGAGGGGAACTCCTGTTTATAAAATCATCAGATCTCATGAGACTTATTCACTATCACGAAAACAGTATGGGAAAAACCCGCCCCCATAATTCAATTACCTCCCACCAGGTGCCTCCCACCAGGTGCCTCCCATGATATATGGGGACTATCACAATTCAAGGTGAGATTTGGGTGGGGACACAGACCCAAACCATATCAGCATCTCATCTCCACAGAATATGGCCTCTAGACTGGGGATTCAGAAATGTATCCGCCATTGCTTCAGTTCTGTATCAGGCCAGCAGGTCCTGGGTGGTGATCTTATGTGATCTGAGCAGTGGATCTCAAGGTCAGGGCCTACTTATATCCTGAAAAGTGGGTCCATTGATCTCAGGTGATATTAGACAGGATCCTGGCTAGTAAATTAAACACCGTAAATGGTAAAATAGTGGTGCTTGTTGAGGCTCTTAGGGCAAGAGAAATCGATCTCCAGAATGTCTTTTTATATTTCTGTGAGAATAGACTGGTGGCTATCCGTATATGAAAGAGCCTAAGGTGGTCACTTTCCCAGCAAGTGGCTGGATGGTGGCCTAGAAGAATAGTGCCGTGGTGAGGGGTCAGCCTTAGTGCTTATTGCTATCAGGTTGGCTGTTTGGCAATGGAAATAGCTAGATTATCCATGAAAAGTGAGAATCCTCTCTGTTGGGCCCATTCATATTTTCCATGTCTACTACAGTGACCACTTCTTTTGCGTGCCTATTGTGTTAATTCTGAAGCAGTCAACGGCAGAGGCTGATGGATGTCAACCTACCAGTCATTTTGTCTAGTTGGTTATTTAATTCAACAACTGAGACAAAATGTTCTTTGGTATCTGTTAATATGTTATAAAAAGATCATCATAGTTTGTGCCCACTCCCATGTGTCTATCTTCATGCCTCTAACCCTGAGTTCTTTGCCTCATATTTTCCAATCCTTTTCTTTCTAAGCCTCTGAACAACTAGCCAGGCCTTACCCTCTGGCCGTAAGGCCATAGACTTGCTAATACCATGGTCCTTTTTTGTGTGTATAAAGTACATGATAAGATGCTGCTCCTGAAACTCTGCCCACTGGGAGCATTTTCCCCAGCTCTGTCTTTCATGATCACCCCAGAAAGCAGCATACAGAAGCTGCTATCTATTTTTGATTTGTAAACACATACTGAGCCAGCTCATCTGTAATTTAAATGGGCATTTTGCTCCTTTCTTAAAGTGCTCCTACATCCAGGCAAGAGTTGAAAGAAGAGCATGGGGTGTTGAAAGCCACAGATTTCTGGTGAGCTTCCCTTTTAGGAGACACATTTAAGGTTTTTTGCTGCATAATGGGCAGGTATAATGTAAACTTTTTCTTTCTTTTCTACAAAAGCTTCAGTAAATTTTCCATCACTTAAGAATGCTTTGTTCAAACAAAGTCTTCTTGGGATTTTCAAAGAAATGAAAATGTTGAAGCTGACACTTTGATTACTGACACTTTGATTACACTTTCAGTGTAGAAAAGTAACTTGATTTTTAAATGACTGTTGAAGAGATTAATGGAAGGAAGAGAGTAAAGACAGGTTTTTGAGTGGATATTAGAACAAAATGAAAATATTTTTGATCAGGAAGATTTCAGAAAGCTAAAAATGACTTATAAGACTGAATAATGGTCTCCAGAGATGTTCATGTCTTAATCCCCAGAATCTGTGACTGTTAGTTGATATTGCAAGAGGAACTTTGCAGTTGTGATAAAGTTAAACGAGGAGATTAACCAAGATTACCCAGGTGGGCCCCTCTGAAGTCAGAAGACAATGTAATTACAGAAGCAAAGGGGTAAGTCAGAAGACAATGTAATTACAGAAGCAAAGGGGTAGAGAATGAGACTTGAAGATGTTGCGCTTCTAGCTTTGAAGACGTCTAGAAAGGCAGTCTCTGGAAACCGGGAAGGGCAGGGAAGCAAAGTCTCCCTGGATCCTGCAGAGGACAGAGCCCTGGTGATGCATTTCAGACTTCTACCCTCCAGAAGGATCAAATTCTACAAATATGTGTCCTTTCAAGCCCCTAAACTAGTGGGCATTTGTTATAGCAGCAGTAAAAAATGAATACCATGTGCTATTTTGAAATCTGACTTTTGTGAGAAGCCAGTTAAGTATTTATTTTGTTAACAATTGGCTTTTGTGCTCACTGGAGGTTAAAAATATTTTTGTCATTAATACACTTTGAATACTCAGTCCTAAGTAATATAAGTAGCGTGACCTTTTTTGCCCTTTCCCTCTCCAGGCACAACATGAAGAATAACTCAATGATTTGCCGAAAAGAAGAGAAATATATTATCCCTTCAGTTCCTAAACTTACTTGTTTTCTCATCTTCAAGAACGAAAGTAATTCAGCATACACATATAGCATATTAATATTCTTTATAAATTATATTCATGTACAACTATATAATGTATAATCATATTCATGTACTACCTGTACAAACAAATTTACACATTTAAAATATAAAAAATAAGATGAAAATGGAATCAATGTATCACAAGTGATTGAAATATCTAATACTTTCTTTCAGCAAATCACTGGATCATACTGCAGATTCCTTGAATTTCTGCTCCTCTCATTACAAACTGTTGTATTAGATGACCAATATATATCTTTTCCTACCATTTAATGATTCTCTCCTTTTTCTACTGTGAGCTTGTTTTGTTGTTAATGACAAATACAGTACAGATTTAGTTAGCTGCTGTGGAGTATGAGGCAGAATAAGCAATGTGACTAATCCTTATTGTGCATTCTCAAGCTGACTCCCAGTACTCTCTTTTCATGCCTCCTGAGCACTATACTTATTAACATTGTCTACTTCTGCAGTATTTTAGTGAAAGGTATTAGGATGCAATATATTTTCTTTTTAACATGCAAAGGTGATGAATGAAAATTATATGATCATTTGGTTAATGATATTAATTTATCAGTGTGAATATGTATTTTAAAAAATCACATACTGTTACTGCAGGAAATAAATTGAAGTTTCTTATATTTTGAAAAAAAATCAGATAATATACATGCCATAACTAAAATGATACTTTGTTGAAAGAATCTATTTTAATCAGAGTATGAGGATGCCAATCTCATGTTTTTTTAAATATATATTTCAGAGTGAAATGTAAAATGAAGCTTTCCATTTCTAAAAATCCTTGTGTTTCTTTCAAAGTTTTTGGCCTCCAGAAACCCTACATGACCTACCCTATCATTACAATGTGTTATGATTTACATGAAAGAGGAAAAAAACAACCCACAGATACAGCCATTAATGAGATGACTTAAACTATCTGCCAACATTGAATAATTTAAGTGCAAAATGACTTTAAAAGGACTGTGGTGTTTTAAAATTTAAAACATCTACAAAACTTGTTTTTTTTACAAAGGGCCCTGTAACCTCCCACTGCATGACTGAATTCCTGTCAGTAATATTACGGTCAGGGAGATCAAAGGAAGAAATAATAGGCAACCCTGATTAATGCATCCTTGCTTTCAGTCTTACACTTGATTTCTTTTTTCCTAAAATGAATTATGTTGTGACCTGGGGATCAAATTATGACTACAGAATGTTTAAATTGCATTTTGCAATTCAAACCAATACCCAGAAATCATTTCTTTTGCATATGATTCAGGGTGGATGTTGATTTCTTATTTACTATTGATTTACTATATCTGTGATAAAAGGGATAAAAGGGTAGGATTGTCTAAAAATGACCCTGAATCTTCACTCTGTGCTTCATGGACAGTCAGCCAGGGAGATCTGTAGGGGAACAGCATCAGCATGGTGGCCTGGAGACCTTACACCTATCCACATATCCATACAGGCAAAGGCTTAAAACACTGTTCCTCGAGTCTTGGAGGAATAGTTTGTGATTTTCCCTCAACAGGCAAAGATAGAAGGCTTGTGAGGCTCTATCTCAGGGCCATTTCCAAATCATCCTCTTTTTCCCTGGGAGGCTATTTTGAAATAGTTTCTCATTGTTTCTGGGGTTCTGAGGGTTTATGTCCCCACTCCATCTCGGGGTATAGTTGCAGATCATAAAAGGAATTTTGCATTCAAGAACTGAATCTCAGCAGAGTTTTCCACAACTGGTACTGTGATGATTCTGTGACTTTTATGTCAGTGTCATCTGTTTGGTGTGTGGGATAAGGAGCTAGGGAGCGGGCATCTTTGGCTATACTTACTTGCATGGTCTATGTAAGTGATAAAAGTGTCTGAATCTAAAAAGGCCATTGTGTTTTTACTGGCTGAATCAGTCAGGCCTTGACCTTGGCCTTGTCTGAAGTGTGCTTCCCAGAACCTCAGCCACCGCTCCTCTTCTCATGGAAGCAACTACACTGACATTGATTTTGCTGTGATGCTGAGAGGGATTAAATTTCCCAGATACCCCTGTTTTCAGATAACTGTAAAGAAAAGCTATCAACCAGTGCAGACAGCCTGGCTCTCAAATCCGAAACTCGTGTGTATCCCTCTTTGAATCAGTTTGTTCTCATGCTTACCTTATCGAAGGTCCCTTCACTCGACTAGAAAGCCATGTGTGTGATCAGGAGCTCACCCAGCCTCCACTCCCCATGTCTCTCTGAGGCATCATGGGAAGATGGGCAAAACACACCTTTTCTTTCTTTGCCGACTCTTGGCTTCTAATTGTCCTTTCTCTGAGACCGTGCATTGCAGTTACGGAAATTGCCCTGATACCTAGTGTGTGAGAGGTGGTAACACCGGTGAAATGAATACCTCAAATGCTAATATTTAAAGAAACATGCTTTATGGGCTGGGCGCGGTGGCTCATGCCTGTAATCCCAGCACCGTGGAAGGCCGAGGTGGGTGGATCACAAGGTCAGGAGATCGAGACCATCCTGGCTAACACAGTGAAAACCTGTCTCTACTAAAAATACAAAAAAATTAGCCGGGCATGGTGGTGGGGGCCTGCAGTCCCAGCTACTCGGGAGGCTGAGGCAGGAGAATGGTGTGAACCGGGGAGGTGGAGCTTGCAGTGAGCCAAGATTGGGCCACTGCACTCCAGCCTGGGTGACAGAGTGAGACTCCATCTCAAAAAAAAAAAAACAAAAACAAAAACAAAACATGCTTTATGGACTGAATTGCGTCCCTTTAAAAGTCAGATGTTGAAGTCCTAACTCTCTAGTACCTCAGTCTGTCACTATATTTGGAGTCAGCATCTTTATAAAGGTAATCAAGGTTGAATTAGGCTGTTAATGTGAGCCCTACTCCAATTTGACTAGTGTCCACATAATAAGAATTTGGACACACAAGGAAACATCAAAGGTACACGTGTTCACAGAGACAACCACGTAAAGACATAGCAGGAGGGCAGCCATCTGCAAACCCGAGAGAGAGGCCTCAGAAGGACCTAAATCTGATGACAGCTTGTTCTCAACTTCAACCCCGTAGAACTGCGAGAAAATAAATTTCTGTAGTATTTTGTTATGACAACCCTAGCAAACTAATGTAGATGCTAAATAGGGAAGTTCATGATGGAAGCTGAAATTATGACTGCATTGGAAAGAGATAATTTATTCATCCTTTCTGTAATAACTATCAGCATCCAATTACCTTTGAAATGAGAAGACCCATGCTCAAATAATATAGGAGACCTCAGGAGCTAGGAATGGTTGCACAATAACCATTTTAGCATTAATTATGTAAAATATTTATTGCTTTGAAATATAGAACACCTACTATTAGCATGAGTGAATGTCTTAGATATCCATGGAAAATCCTTTATTTTCACTCTAGAAAGTCTTTTGGTCATCCTCATGTGACAATTCTTTCTTCCTCTGGATATGTTGTGCTTGTTCAACTATACCCTTGAACAAATATTACTAAACGAACTCAAATATTAAGTTTGCAAAAGATAATTTATATAAATAATAACAAACAGAGAGGATGAATAGATGGTAAGCTCTGAAAAAAATTATTATTATTATTATTATTATTTGAGACAGAGTCTCGCCCTGTTGCCCAGGCTGGAGTGCAGTGGCACAATCTCGGCTCACTGCAAGATCTGCCTCCCGGATTTACACCATTCTCCTGCCTCAGCCTCCCAAGTAGCTGGGACTACAGGCGCCCGCCACCATGCCTGGGTAATTTTTTGTATATTTAGTGGAAATGGGGTTTCACCGTGTTAGCCAGGATGGTCTCGATCTGACCTCGTGATCCACCCATCTCGGCTTCCCAAAGTGCTGGGATTACAGGCGTGAGCCACTGCGCCCGGCCAAAATTATTTCTTTTAGTTATATATATTTTAAAGTATATGCTCAGCTCTTATAATAAATTCTCTTAGAAAATAGAGGATGCCCACTTGTCACTGGTCTAATTAGAGAATAAAAGGCTGTAATTGGTGGTTGTCACTGTCACTTATCTTGGTTAAAAAAGGAATTAGGGCACTTCAACCATATGAAGCAGTTAATAGATTATGTCCTCAGAATAGTTAAGCCTCTGTCCACTATTTCTCCTTGGGAAATCTCTTCACATCTGACTGCCTTTCTTCTGGACTATTGTCTCATGAAGTTTGTAGTGTGAACAGACTTGGAAGACAGAGATAGTGTCTCCTTCTGGAGCACAGTGCAGGGTTATTTATAGTCCATTATCTTAAACATAATGTCTTTCTCCAGCACTGACTCTTAGGTCCATTCCAATAGCTTAGTGTTGGATCTGCTGTTTGGAAAGCTGCAGACTAGCATTTTAAAGTCACTCCTCTTTGAAACCACAAACAAAAACAAATCATGAATGCTGATCTGGGTAAGTCGTCTAGATACCCCCGATAAGGGTCTAGTTTTTATAAGAACAATTGGAATCAAGAACCGCCTAGACTGTTACCATTGCTTCCTGTATGCATGTGCGTGACAACACATCCACCATTTTAGACTAGATACAAAATAAAAACTCTGTGTTTCTACTGCAGAGGCTACCACTACATGCAACATTTGTGACTCCCCAGAAATGTTGACCTTTTTCTTTTATCTCAAGGTAACGAAGCTGCATGGCATGCAGTATTGCACTGGCCCATTCTTGGCGGAATGAATATATCAGGCATGTAACCCCATATGGAACTATCAGTCATGCTTCAGCATCAGTGACACTTTTTTAGGTTAGAGAGTTGCAGCTCTAGTCCAACTGCTGGCTCAGGCCAAATCGCTGTAGCTCCTGAAACTAATATGGGTCACATTTTCAATTTTCTGGACCATTTGAAATTTGGCAGTGGTGGGCCTTTTATCACAAAACCTACTAAAAAAATAAGTGATTGTCAAGGTATTCAGTGGGTCACCCATTGTTCTCATCCACAGTCATCTAGTATTTTCTGAGCATTAGAAAGGCCTCTTTAAAAGTTGACATTAGAAGTTTGCCACCATCCTTACCTCTTTTTGGTTCACATACAGGGCAGTTTTGTGAATGAATGTAGCTATCACCAGAAAGAAATAATCCACTCTCAAGTGCTTTCTGGGTAATTATCAGGACAAAACAAGTCAGAAGTTATATATAAGCATTTCAGGTTTCTGCCATTACCATTTCTGGATCTGATGCTTCATTTTTTTCCTGTAAAAGTAACACCAATTCAGCCTGATTGGAATGCACACTGAGCCTGCCTAGGGAAATTAGGCTTAATTCTGGCTCAGTTTCCTGTATTCTCCTGTAATACTGGCATAATCCTAGATCACAAAGATAGTGATCATCTGGTCCAATACACTACTATTGGCAATGTGAGCCAATGTAGAGAACACAACAAATCTCTGTAAATTCTATAAAACTGTCCCTGCTCTTCGTACACCTGACTCTTCCAGAGAAAAATTCTGACAAGAAAATAAGTAAAATTATTTCTACTAAAATGTGGCACATGGGCTTTGTGGTAGTAGAGGGAGAGCAACAACCAGGTACCTAATGTGCCAGATAACAAGTATATCAGATCCTGAGAGAGGTGTAGGGGAAGGAGGAATATCGGTGACCTTCATCTTTCAGATCTGCCTTTGGAGCCTTCCTCATGAAGGAATCACTGTGGGGCTTCTCTCTGGAACTGTTGCAAGAAGTTTCAGTTTAACCACCTGCTGGGTTAGCTATGCCCAGCAGACATCTCTGTCCACAATTAGATCACTATTTGCCTTAATCTTATGGAGAAATCTATAGAAACTGCAAAGAATGGCTCCTTCTTCTGAATCTTCTAAGCAACTTGTCAACACAGGTGTACTGTCTCTGCTTCATGCCTATTTTTACAGCTGCTCCTTAGTCATTCCCCGGGGAGAAGCATGCCATCCGGCTGATAACATAGAATACAGTATACGGTATAGCTTGAACTGAATGCCCCCAGCAGGCTCTCCGCAAACAGGGATTAAACCGAGTTATTCAAGCTAAACTGGGAACGCTGAGAACTACTCAACTATATTTCCTGAGTAGAAGCCAGTTGTTAACTTTTTTCTTTCTGCAAACAAGATGTCTTGCTCGTCAGATGTGGTCATAAGAGAACTTCAAGTGTATAAGGAAATATTACTTGGCCCTAGAAGATTTTCAGGTCAGCCTCAATTCAGTGACCTATTTTAGATTTAAAAATGCCCTAAAATTCCTTCTTGCATGCAAAGGTGGAGACCGTAATTGTTAATATATTCTTTTGTTCAGGATTAAGGTCTCCAGCCCTATGGAATAGTCAATTCAGAAACCTAAGGAGAAAGTCGCATGGCTTTCCAAGGTAGACCCTGATGGCTTATGGGATTTGTTCAACTGGTTAAGACCAGGATGCTGGGGAGTGGTTTAAATATGCAGAACGGCCTCATCCTGCTGCTTGAGGTGGTGTTGATAGTGGCCTAAGTTAAATGCTAAATGAAACAAATTGAACAGATTTGGTCCCAGCTACTAATGGACAGTTTAACTGAAGTGGTCAATGAAGAGGTGTACTTACAGAGAAATTGTCCAGAAGTCAGGATAGTAAAGGAATGTGCAGATAACATACGAAGACAATCCCCCTATGATCTCTTTTATTTCTGTACATGTTGGTCTGGACTCCTTCCAATGATGTTTGTACAATGCACAGCCTTGGAAGATAGGAATAATATCTCCCTCAAGCACAAAGGGCAGATTTGTTTACTGTCCAGTAAAGTAAAATAATGTCTACCTCTGGAGCAAGGTGAAGGCATGCTTACTGCTTTTATAGAAGAATTAGCTCCCCTAAACTCTGTGCTTTTCTGCTGTTAACACAACTCACTTCGTGTGCGAGCTTCACCTACTGTCTTTGGCTTGCCCTCTGGGAGTTGGAGCTTGAGAAACTTGCTCAACAAAATGCTGATATTCTGGCTACTGGAATTGTTGTGACTCATAAAGGTATTTGTGCCTCACTCAAGAGTGTCATATGTTCTGCCAGAATTCATGAAACAGTGGCAGTCTAACTTGTTAGCTTGCAAGAAGAATACAATCTCAGAATCTTTACAGTGCTTGGTGCTTCTGAAACATGCTGTTAGGTTATACAAGTTTTGATTTTCTAAAAAAGAAGAGAAAATGAAAAAAATAAAAGAAATTATCAAGAACATAGTAAGAAACAATGCAGATAATATTTAGTCATTATTTAATATTATTCTAAATAGAAAATTAAAAGAATCCTCTTTAAAATGCCATATCAATGTCTGTCTTTGTTTTATTTTTGAATCTGTGTTTGATACTATGATAAAAAAGAACCACTTAATTAATTTAATATGAACATGGAGAAAGGGGAAACTCCTGTTCTTTAGGAATAAACCTGTAAGAAATGGAGTAAAAGCATCCATTATTGAATAATAAAATGGAAATAGTAGGAAGTGTCTTCTTACAAAGAACTCTGGGAACTGGCACAAAGGGAAAAGGCTCCCAAAACTCAATGTCTAATACAGGTTGCTCTCCTGATACGCAGATGCACATGTACAAGGCTGGTATTCATCCCGGTGTACTGGTATGGCTGCGAAGGTGTCAACTGCACTAACAAGCCATTTAAAGCTGCTGTCACACCCTTTAAGTACCTTCCGTCTGGACTGGCAGTTCTCCAGCTCTGGTGTGATGGACCTTCCAACCTTACAGCAGTTAAGTTTCTTTCTCCCTCCCTGCTGCTTGGTAAGTCAGGAAGCCTCCAGCATTTTACGGTAGGGAATTTGCCAACATCCACGGTATTAAGCATTGCCTTTGTTGCATTAGTTATTAAATATTTTTAATATCACAACTGATTAATTATCCACTTAGGGGTCATACTGAAACATCCATTAGTATCCCCAAAACCCATCTCTGTCTTCCCTCCAGACCCTATTCTTCCTCTTTTATATTCTGCCTCAGAGGAAGTCACCACTAAGCCCAGTCTGTTGCCCAATAAATATTTTGTATAGTTTTCTCTCTTCTCCCTACCCAAATCCTTTCCATTGTGCTTGTCATCCCTGTAATAAACCTCACTCCCTCTTTCTCTCCTTTTCACTGCCTTATTTTTCTCTGCCTACTGTCTCAAACTCCTCCAATCTTAATTCTCAAGACAGCTGTTGGATTAGTTTTTAAATACAATCTTACATGGTTACTCTCTGTTTAAAATTCTTCAACAGCTTCCTTGTAAACTTTTCACCTGGTCTTTAGAGAGCTGGTCTCGGATGACCTAGTTAACTCAGATCTTACCAATCCACCACTCAGACCCTTGTGCCAGCCAAACATAGCAGACTACTTGTTATTCATACAGCTATTCCATCCTCCTGCACCTCTGTGCCTTCATCACCACAAACAGCCTCTCCAAATCTTTCCTGTGTTAATTACCACTCAACTCTAAAATTTCAGCATAGACATGCCCTTTGGGAGGCATGCCCAGTTGAACAAATAATATCTCTTCTGTACTATACCATGTGTATATTTCATTTTATATTTCTTGTCTGGTTACTTTTCTAGATCATGCAATTCTTTGGAGTTGTTTATGATTCATTAAAAGATCTCAATAAATATTGGCTTAATGAACAAATGTATTCCTAATAAAATGACTTACATGTTGACTGTGGGCATGTATCCATTTTTTAAAGTATGTATGACAAAGTGTTATATACCAAAAAATCCTGACATCTTGATAAAGAGAACAGCCATCAAATTTTCATCATATCAAAGAGTAATTATGTTAGCATAATATAAATAGAACGTCAATTAAAAACAAAAAGGGGTCTAAGCTATGAGAAAATCCAGGAAGTTATTATAATAAAGACTGTTTGCATTATTGGAGACATGCTTCCCCGGGCTCCACATTTTCTCTCCAAAATGTTCATTTATAAAAGGCCTATAAAAATCAGTAAAATTTTTTCATATGAAAATGAAGCTGTACCACAAGAAATTATTTTTCTTAGGAATAGATTAAGGGAATGCTCACTCATTGTATAATTGCTTTTATTATTTGTTCAACACTAAAAATTTTTACAAAAAGACAACCCAAAAAATAATAGTCCTACACTGAGAAAGTAGACAACTTGGTAATTTCTCTTAAGTGCTTAAAAGTATGTCATTTGCCTTCTTGGACTAGTTTTAAACTTTTGCCTATATAGAATTTAATGGGCTAGAAATAGAGCTATAAATTGGGTCATGGATAACTAGCTATTCCCACCTCCAACCAGAACTGTTTCTTTTCCTTGGTGAGGAAAAGAGAAATTCCAATTATATATTTAAGTTTCAAGGCCATCTGTGTAACTTTTCGTAATATTTCTTCACAGGGAATGGTTTCCAGTTTCAAGGAAGGTAAAGAATAAGATATAGACATCTGTGGAGGCCTCCAATAGTTAATCCTGGAACTATCTGGGTGAGTAAACACAGTGCTGGAGGATTATAAAGACTTTTCTTATCTATATATGTTAGTAAATTATATAAAATGAAGGTGGAAAAAGTCTGTATTATAACAAATTTTAAAGCTACATTGGTGCTGTTATCCAAAGATTAACTGTAGTATTTTTTCAAATGTTTTTGTACTACATATTTTTTTTATTTTTTCCCTTCCTGTCAGCTAAAGTTAATTGCAATGAGTTAGGAAAGAAATTATTCTTTATCTGTAAGGTTCATAAAGAGAAACCCTCTTCCGTGTTTCAACATTTTTGTCGAATTATCTAGAATGCTTTTACACTCGTTTTAATTAGGTTTCTTTCTCTGTCTTACACTTAAACCCTGACTTGATCTCATCCATTTTTCTTAATGAAAGAGAGAGTTGTTGGTATTCACAATATTGCTTTCTGTTTTTTTTTTTTTTTTCAGTTAACATACATTCTAGAATCTACACAGACTCAGAGGAATCAGGTTATGGATTTTCTTTTAGTTCTAAAGTATATCCAAATTCTGTTGTCCTCTGTGTTTCTCTGGATCTAAAGAAGTAATAGAATCCAAAATAAATTCTTTCTCTCATCTTGGAAAATAATGCGAATAACTATTTATTTTGCCACAGCTGTGGGGCAGTTTAACCCCTTCCTCCCTGAAGATGTATTTCTATCTTAGATATTGGGACTAGCAATATTTTTAGCCAGAATGATGTTATAAACAGATTCCACATAACTCAGAAGCTTATAATCAAGTCAGCTTCCCTACAAGTTCTCTCTGAACTAATTTTCTGATTCCATGAAATGGCATGCTTTTACAATAGTCATCATTCCAAACACGTTCATTAAGTTCTATTAACAGTAAATGCTACATGACATTGACCCTGGATTTTAAATAGTGAACTTCCTGGCTACTTCAAGAAACCCATATAATATGTACGTATGTTGGTTATTGTGGGAAATTCTTTATTTCTGCTCTGCTTCAATGGCGTGGAGCTTGGGGAAGGGAGGGAGATTTCTTAGAGGGCAACAACTAGGTCCCAGTTTTTTCTTCTAGGTCTATTTTGCATTGTTACTCCTATTTCTAACACCATGTCTCCGCCTACCAGGATTGTGTTAATATCTGTGTTTTTTTAATTAAAAACCCTCAGATTTAACATCTATCTAATTAAAATTCCACTAACAACTTTGTTAGAAATATCTCCAATCATATGATTTTACAAGTTTGATGCATATTTCTCCATATATTATTTGCAGTTTTCTCTGACAATCTCTACTATAGATTGATCTATAATATCTTCCACCCAATCAGCACCCCAAACACACTCCACTTGACAAAGTGTGGAATGAATGGTGATAATTAGGATGCTTAAAATTATAGAACTTATTTATAGCTGGGCTTGCAAATAATCTACCCACACTGCCAACCAAGATCCTTATGTGGATAAAACTACTAGGATGCAGATGCTTCCTCCAACATGGGAGGCAGTGGGGTGCTGATAAAATTATGGTAGTGGTCCCATCAAGTTTCTAACATCTTAAAAAATTTGAATCTTCATTTTTATATAACATCTCTCAGTTTAAAAATATTGGCAAAGTTTTAAAAAATTCTATAGGCCAAACAAAAAATGTCTGAGGGCCAAATTTTGCTGTTAGGCTACCAGTTACACCTGCCTGATTTGGGGATTTCATTTTGCTTCTTTTACTCTCCCTTTTAAAAATTTTTTTTGATGAGTTGCTACTACTAAACATAAGCTGAGAATATTTAGTGAGAAAAATAAATCACAATAAAGAATTCCTTTTGTGATTTATTGAATAATTAGCAACAGAAGAATACTGTATTTGAATCTTTTTTCCAACAGTTGAAATTTTCAAGATAAATTTTATGGAATTAGGCTCCCTTACTATTTTAACCATTTAGGAAATGTTGTAATGTTAGAGAGAAAATAATGTTTTTCTATGAAGGAAGTATGCCTTTGCATTATTAAATTTACAGGAAAACTGTCTTACTGAAAAAATAAGACGCCAATGGATTATTCTGCAGAACATCCTGAGATGTGTGTTTAGTATAAACTTGTGCATTAAATGGATTACTGTCATCTATTTAAGGATTACATCAATGACCAAGACATTAATCTCTCAACTGAAGCTTCTCAAAGCTGGCTGAAAATTAGAAGCACCTGAGGCAATATTGAAACATTCACTTGCTTGAAGCCCACCTGGAAGGATTTTTGACTTTGGAGTATTTACATAGTTGATAGAAAGTCATACAAAAATAAGACAAAAGAAAAATGGATCTGAACATCACAATTAATACACTTGAACTAATTGATAGATTTAGAACATAGAACACTGCACCTAAGAAAAACAGAATTTATCTTTTTTTTTAGGAGTACATCTGAGCTTAACTAGAATCAACCATGCAATAAGCTATAAAAAAGCCTCACAAAAATTTAAAATACTGAAATGATTTAAAATATGTTATTTAATTATGAGATTAATAAGAATCAACTATGCAATAAGCTATAACAAAGCCTCACCAAAATTTAAGATACCAAAATAATTTAAAATATGTCCTCTAATTATGGGATTAATTATAATCCCAACAAAATTATAACTAAAAACAGTTCTACTTCCTGGAAATTAAAGAATATACTTGTAAACAATTCAAGGATAAAAGAATAAATCAGTATAAAATTATAAAATTATTCCACTAAATTTTAAGATAAAAAATTGTGAGATGCAGCTAGAGCATTGTTTAAAGAAAAAAATGATAGCCAGTTTGCATATATGAGAAAGAACAAAGGGTAAAAATCAACAATTTAATTTTTCATCTAAAGAATCAAAACTACGTAAAGGAAAAATAAATAATAAAGAACAGCAATGAATGAAATAAATAGGCCGGGCATGGTGGCTCATGCCTGTAATCCCAGCACTTTGGGAGGCTGAGGCGGGCAGATCACCTGAGGTCAGGAGTTCGAGACCAGCCTGGACAACACAGTGAAGCCCCCATCTCGACAAAAAATACAAAAGTAAGCTGGGCGTGGTGTCAGGTGCCTGTAATCCCAGCTACTCAGGAGCCTGAGGCAGGAGAATCGCTTGAACCCAGGAGACAGAGGTTGCAGTGAGCTGAGATCATGCCATTGCATTCCAGCCCGGGGGACAAGAGTGAGACTTCATCTCAAAAAAATAAAAGAGAGAAAGAAAGAAAGAATGCAGAATAGAGAATGTAACCAAAGCAATGATTGAAACTTTAAAGATTAATCAATTTTATAAATATCTAATATTGATCAGGATGAAAGAGAACAGAATTACAAAAATAAAAACGGGCACATAAACACAAGCTCTATACATATAAATAAAAAAGAACACTACAAACAACTTTAAGCAAAGAAATTTGATAATATGGTTAAAATGAGCACCTTACTCCATAAGTAAAACTTACCAAAGTTAAGAGATGACATATACAATCTCAGTAGTAAGGCATATGTCAAAGAAATTAAATTTGTTATTTTAGATAAGTTTCCACAGGAAAACTCCAGAAGCAGATGGTGAAGACTAGTGAATTTTTCCAAACATTTAAGAAAGCTACAACCGCAATCTTGTACAAAACATAGAATAATGAAGGTAACCTTTCCTAACTATTTTTTGGTGGCTAACAAAACCATGATTCTAAATCCTGTCAAGAACATTCGAGAAAAAATAATATATCATAGAAGCCAAAAGAAAGCATTAGACTAAAATTTAACACGCTTTCATGAAAAATCTTTTAGCAAATTAGGAGAAAAAGTAAACTTTTTAAAATGGCAAGAGATAGCTACAGAAAACCTAGAGTGAGTATACATTCAGTGATTTAAAAGAAAAAAATAGAAAATATTTTCCCTGTAGAGGGGGAAGAAAATGAGCATATTCACTATTTCCATTGTCATATTGTGGTGGAGAAACTAACCATTGCAATAAGGCAAAAATAAATAAGTAAAAAAAGGAGGGGGATATATAAGGACATAAGGATTGGAAAGAAATAAATAAAACTGTTAATTTCTTGACTATAACATGGCAACAAAAAAACTCTAAAATTATTCTATAAATGATTTCACTAAATTAGCAAATTTACAATCATCACAGGGTCCAAGTCAATATTAAAAAAGAGCGATTGTATTTCTACCACAAATAAAACAATACAGTTGGAAATTTAAGATAAGAATAAAGGGTAAACAAGTTCTGTAATACTATTTACAAAGCAATAAAATAATTAAATATCTAAAAATAAAACAAAGGTTTGTAAGATCACATTAAAATCTATAAAATATAATTGAAATAAGTTAATGATGACCAAAGCAAATACCATGTATATTCTGGAGACTGAATGTTGTAAAGATGTCAGTTCTGCTCAAATTTATCTATAAATTTGCAAAACCATCAAGATACTTATAGACTTTTTTTCTCAGACATTGACACATTATGAATCCATATATTTATACAACGTGCCACGAAAAGACAAAGTAATCTCCAATAGAAGTACAAA
The DNA here is from genome assembly GCF_000001405.40 of Homo sapiens. Lineage (NCBI taxonomy): Eukaryota > Metazoa > Chordata > Mammalia > Primates > Hominidae > Homo > Homo sapiens. The sequence continues at coordinate 20,722,578 of NC_000021.9, read as the reverse complement.
CCCAGGGAAACTGTAGTAACAACTGTGATTCTACTATAAAATTATAAAGCTGTACTAAGACGTTATGATTCCGACAAAGGATAGAAAAAAATAGAACAGAATATAGATTCTAAAGGTACCTCAAGACATGTAATGTCATCTAATTTATGATAATAGTGGCACTTCGATGAAGTCAGAAAATAATTGTGTTGTCAATATATGTAAATTAGACATTGATATATGAAAAGGTAGTATCTTTACCCCTACTTCACACTGTACACACAAAAAAATTTAGATGAATTGCAGATCTAAATGTAATAATAATAAAGATTCAAGAAGAAAAATTTGTTTTAATCTTGGAGCAGGCAATAGTATCTTGACACCAACCCCATACCATAGACAAAAATAAAATCTAAATGGAGTGCAGATCTTAATATTTAAAAGAAAAAATAGCATGTATGCTTTTAACAATAAAATTACCATGGTTTGAGGGATGATGGTTTGAGAGGGAAATATGGGATAACCTTGACCTCTGAATAGGCAATAATTTCTGAAGCAGGGTCCAAAACTTGTAAAGTGTCAAATTAAACTATATTAAAATTAAGAACATTGATTCATCAAAAACATGAAGAGAGTGAAAATTGAAACTACAAAGTGCAAAACGATTTTCACATTTCATATATCCAGTAGAAATCTCATAGCCAGAACAAATAAAGAAAACTTACAAATCAAGGAAAAGCTGTTTCCTAGATTGTATGAGTTAGCTTGTGAAAATTGATCAAGTTGTACACTATAAAATGTGGCCTTTATATATACTATGGGACAATCACATTTAGAATTAAAAGTAACATTTTCTGAAATGGGGCCTGGAGAAATGGTGCTTCCGTGCTGCCAGGGTTAAGAGTCACCATTCCCAGTTCTAAAGGCAGTGAGGACTGGCTGAGAACTGGTGGCTGGGAGTGATCACCTTGGGCAGCATCAGCTTCTATTTTGCTTCCCTCCGCCTGGGCGGTACTTTTTTTCTATGACACAAAATGTATGGCATTTTCCCACACCAACAACCAATGCTCTAATTATTCAACATCAACTGAGTGTCTAGCAACTCGAGTTTGACTCTAAGTCCTGGACCTAGTGCAGACTCACAGGTCAAGGACTCAGTCTCTCGAAGCCACCCCCACTTCAGCTGGCAGCTGCAAATGGGCTTCTCAGCCTCCTCATGGTTTCGTCCAGTCCAGCCAATCACAAGTTCAGGGCTTCCTACGTGCTCAGAGAAAAATTGAGAAGTCAGCCGTAGGACCTACTCCACAGGTCCCACAATTTTCTAGAATGATTCACAGAACTCAGGAAAGTGCTCTCCTTGAAATTATCAGGTTTTTATAAAGGATTAATTCAGAAACAGACAAATGGAAGACATAAAACAATGTATAGGAGGCAGACGGTGGCACAGTTGCCATACCCTTTCCGTACTCTCTACCTTCTCAGCACATAAATGTGTTCACCAGCCTGGAGGCTCCCCACATCTTGTTGTTCAGGAGTTTTTATAACCCAGTCTCCAGCCCCCTCCTTCTCTCCAGAAGTCAGGGGGTAGGGCTGAAATTTCCAGTTCTCTAATCATGTGATTGGTCTTTTCTGGTGACCAGTCCTCATCCTGAAGCTATCTAGGGACCTCAACAAGGTATAAACTCAAGTAGAAACTCAGGTGTGTCTAAAAGGGTTCTTTATGAATAACAAAAGACCTTCCTATCACTCACGGAATTCCAAGGGCTTTTGGAACTCTGTGTCAGAAGTTGACCACAATGACTAAACACATATTTTTATACCACGTGCCCTAAAAATAACATTCTGTGTATGAAAAGACCTGAGAAAACCTTCTGAGATTAACATTTTTCCAAATGTCTTTTGTAGCTTATTAGTGTTCCCTACATCAGATTTCATTTTGGAAAATAAAACTTCATTATTCTTTGCTGATTGTATATACAATGTTATATTATAGCTCTTTCCATGTCTGCACCAAGAAAATCTGTGTAATTGTTTGATCTAACGTTTTTCACATATTTAAACATAGCAATTTTTGTATGCTTGCATAATGCCTATTAACTAGCCCAAAGACATTATGATTCTAAAGAATGTATTTTTAGAAAACTATCATTTTCATTTTTATCCCTTTTCTACATTATGTTAGGGAGAAAAAGAAAGAAGAGTTTTTATTCAAGCATTATATGTAAAATCCACAAAGAACCAAAGATAAATCCCAGGTACTTCTCAATTTTTCTCTGAGCATGTAATATATTTTTCTACTTCAATTTAGTTTTGTAAACCAGTTCCAATGCAAATTTGACTAATGGTATAAATACTTGTGTATTTTTATTTGTTGATGTTTTGGGCTATATGTATGTGTAGGGGTGTGTGTGTGTGTGTGTGTGTGTATTTATATATATATATATATATATTTGTGTCTGTATTTGTGAGAAGATGTTCCTGTGCTTCTCTGAAATTCTACTTCCTCCATTCACATAATTCAATTGTTCTTTCTTTTGTTCGACTTAGGCACATTGACTGTGCCTCATACTCTTGATCATTATACCTTCAATAGCAGGTTATAGAAGGGATTCACCATTCCTGAAGTAGTGGTTGTATGAAACACACATTTATACTGAGTAGTGCCGGTTGCTTCCACCTCCATTATCTCAAAGTTTGACTTTCAAGTGCATCTTTGTAGGGTAGGGCAAGTGCCAATCAGACCATAGCTGTTATCATAAGTGTCCTAAAGCCTAGGAGATTCCCTACAAGCCAACTGCCTAGTTGACTGATTATATGCAGTTGAACAAGCAATTGAAAACAATTGAAAGCTCCAACCGTGACTCTGGTTCTAGTTATGCTTTTTGGCTTCATTTTTTTAATATATAAATGAATGAGTCCATAATGACATAAAAATTGACCTTTCAGCACAGTAGCAGCCTGGTAGTTTATATCTACTTATTACTATCAGTTTCTGTATCAAAACTTTTCATTCTCTGACCCAATGTATTAATAATTTTTAAAATATATATATATATATATGTGTGCATGTGTATACACAAATATGTATACGTGATTTCTCTATTCATATGAATTTACACATAGATATAAGTCATTGTTATGCTGCCAAAGCTGACACTTAACATAAACCAATTGAAAAATAGTTCCTAAATTTGTTATATACTTCTGCGTGGGTATTAGGGCACTCTCTCTCCTGAATTGGAAGAGATGAAGTATGAAACTGATGCTTCCAATTGTTTACGGTTTTGAATGATTACAGAAGAAAATGCACTTGAAAACTTCACTGCTCTGTTCTGTATTGAAAATTCTCTGCTTTTTAAATTTCTGTTACATAACTTGTTTAGGCATATCCTTGAACATTACCGGGGATAGCCTTTGAATTTTTGTCTTCCATCAATTTGAATAATTCTAAAAATAACAAATTCAGCATCATTTTCCTTGTTTGGAATGTGCCTGAATTCAGAGAATCCCATGCTAGACAATTTCTCCAATGTCCTCAGTCTCCATCCACAGTCTCCATCATAAAGTATCCCTGAGGCTGTGGTTCCCTGTCTCCAGTATAAAGTACTGAAGTACTGTCCTTTTTTTTTTTAAGACGAAGTCTTGCTTTCTTGCCCAGGCTGGAGTGCAGTGTCACTATCTCGGCTCACTGCAAGCTCTGCCTCCCGGGTTCACGCCATTCTCCTGCCTCAGCCTCCCAAGTAGCTGGGACTACAGGCACCTGCCACCACGCCTGGCTAATTTTTTTGTATTTTTTCCTTGGAGACGGGGTTTTACCATGTTAGCCAAGATGGTCTCGATCTCCTGACCTCATGATCCACCCACCTCGGTCTCCCAAAGTGCTGGGATTACAGGCATGAGCCACTGTGCCCGGCCTGTACTTTCTTAAAGTATCTATTAGTTAGTGAAAATACTGTCATCCCAAGACTGGGATGTGTTTGTGTGTTATGGCTTTCTCCTGCAATATTTCACCCCAATTAATTGTAACAATAAAGGAGATCTTGGAGAGAAGCTCTCAGGTTCCTTGAAAGCCTGGGGATGAGGCGAAAACAATCAAGTTTTAAATGAAGTAAGCTCCACCTACATATTTGTGATCATTGCTTGACTTTCTGAGCCATATTTCCCAGACTTCCTTTTCACTGCCTTTTGCAAACAATATTTTCATATTATTACAAAGCTGAAATTCTTTTCAACTTCTTATGCCAGATGGCCTCACAATACACGTATGTTTCCTTGGCAATTTCTATGCTGTCGAACTCTTCATCTAATGCCAGTAACCAGTCAAGTACAGGTAACACTGCAGTCTTGGCTTTCACCCCAGGTACCACCTCAAAGCAAGGCCACTGAAGCTTACAAAAAGCTGTGTTTCTCAAGCTTTTATAGATTTTATGCTGTCATTTTTTTTCTTCTTTATCTTCAATGCACCATTCAAATGCTTCATCTTTCAACACTCACTTTGCTTCCCTTAAAAATTCCTTGGATTTCTGTACCTGGCAGGGTCTAGATTGGGCTATATGGAGAAAAGAGTTAACATAACAGGCTTGAAACTGCTATCTTTGGAAATGCCTGCTAGAAAGAGAGGCCCTTAGCTGGCATATGGGATTTAGGGAGGCTTTCCACCATTCGCAGAACTAATAAGAATGGCTTACTCTGCCTAATCTGTTTGTACAAACAACAGCTGAACACCTGCTTTCCTACTAGGAGTCTGAAATTTTGGAACATACTGGGTAGAGGGTGCTTCCATGAGCATCCCTCAATTAAAACCCTGGGCACTGAGTCTCTAATGAGTTTTTTCTGGTAGACAATGTTTTACATGTGTTGTCATAGCTTATTGCTGGAGGAATTAAGCACATACTGTGTGACTCAATTAAGGGAGGACTCTTGGAAGCTTGCACCTGGCTTACTCTGGAAAATCCTTGTATTAGTCAGCTTGGGCTACCATAAGAGAATATCATAAAATGGGTGACTTAAACAACAGAAATTTATTTTCTCACAGTATTAGAGATTGGAAGTCTGAGATTAGGGTGCTAGCATAGTCAGGTTCTAGTGAGGGCCCTCTTTCTGGCTTGAAGATGGCCACCTTATCGATATATCCTCATGTGGCAGAGATAGAAGGAGAAAGAGTGAGAGCGAGAGAGAGAAAGAGAGAGAGAGAAAGAGAGAGAGAGAGCAAGAAAGCACCCTTTGGTATTTCTTATTTTAAGGGCACTAATCCCATCAGACCAGGGCCCCATCCTCACAACCTCATCAAATCCTGATTACCTCTCAGAAGACCCATTTCCAAATACCATCCCATTGAGGGTTACAACTTTAAAACACAAATTTTGGGGAAGTACAAATATTTGGCCAATAATAGGCTCTGTGCACATCTTCCCTTTGCTAATTTTGCTTCATTCTTTTGCTGTAATAAATTATTGCCATGAGTGTGACTACATGCTGAGCCCTGTGGGTTCCCCTAGTGAATCACAACTAAACTGGGAGTCAATATTGGAGACCCATGTGAAGCTGCTTCACTTGATCAATCTTTTGTTCCAGGATATCAGTCCAGAAACCTGGCACTTCCTGTGCCATATCTGTTGCTCTGAGGCCCTTCCCCCAACTTCCCAATATTGCTCAGAATCTTCCTTCCTTCTGCAGAGGCAACTGTATTCTTTTTAATAGTTATGTTCTGGACAAATACATGCATGTGAACCATTGTCTATTAGCTGCCTTGCCTGGGTGTCTCCTCCAAGGGCTTTATTTGATAAAATCACATGCCAAAGCAAAAGATTCACTTTTGTTCAATGATATCTTCGGAATATGGCCACCAATCAACAAAGCTCTATAGTTGCAATCACTGCCTCCATTGATATCTGTCTCCAAAGACAGTTACTCCGGGGACCAGTATTACTTTGGCCTTTTCTGCTTTGACATTATATAAGTAACAGTTTTGTTGATGTCCTGGCCTGCTAACTGACTTAATTCTATAATGAGCTTTGAATCAAACTCAGATCTATAGTATGCTTGAGTTCAAGTTTAAATTTACATACCACATATCAGATCAATTTTCCTATAGATTCTTGCCCTAAAGATTGATCCTTAAAGTTTAGAAGAAAGCAAAGTATAGTCTATAGATCTCATTGGATGATCAAACTATCCTCCTTTCTTGCTCTGACTTAAAGTACAGAAATCATTCTATTTTTAAAATCCTATCCATCCATATCTACATGCAACCCAATATAGATATAAAGAAGTCCCTTATCTATGATCTCTTTCCTTTTTCTTCATTATCTCAAACCTTTCTACTCAGTTTTTGCAATAGGAATTGCTTCTTTCTTTATTTCTCTCAGTCCATTCCATTCCATTTCATTTGGCTCTATCACATTTTTTTGCCATTGAACCGGGGGGATTGTGGTAGAAAGTAGATTCTGTTTCTGTTTAGGGAAATAGAGCGTAAACAAAAAATGTTTTTCGTAGTCCTTCTCAAAAATCTAAATCTTCCATAGTTTTTATTGATTAAGTTATAGTATTAATACTGAGAAATTAAACTCTTGCCTATATCCATGAGACCCTTTTTTAAAAAGAATCACCGCACCTGATCTCTACTCTCATTTTGTAATCTGCAGGTCAATTATGTATGAAATCCTTGCTTGGTTTGAGCAAAAGTAGCTCAAATTCAACATGTTTTCAATTGAAATTATGATTGTCCCTTTTATTCACAATATGAACTTACTTTAATGTAACATTGTCAATTTTTTTAAAAAAACAAGCTGGAATGCTAGATGATTTCTTTGACATTTTCCTTTCTCAGATTTCTCAATAGTAAACTCTTTATTAAGTTCTGTCAATTTTACATCAGAATTGTATCTCCAGTTATCTTTCTTTCTCTGCTATTAACATCTTCTTCACCTGGTATATTGCAATACCTTCCTAAACAATAACTTTCCATCTAGTATTATCCCAATAAAATCAATTGTCCACACATCACAAAACAGATTGTTCATTTTGAAACAAGCATCTAATGATGTCATCAACCTCAGTCAAATATTTCCCACCTTCCTGTTGGCGTTCAGTTCCTCAAACACTCTATGTGTCTTCTGAGACAGGACCTTTACCCCAGCACATCTTACACTAGAACAGCTTTCCCTCTAGTTCATATTTATTCTTTCTTTATTTCTTAGCTCAGTTGCTTCTTCTGTGATGTCTTCCATGACGCCTATGACCAAGTCAAATCCTACTATTAAGACTCTACTGGCATAATTCATCTCTCTTTTCTAGTGATACTATAGTTTGTAATTTTGTATTTTTTTCTGTGTGATTATCTGAATATTGTTTTATTTACTAAATCCTGGTTTCCATGGGGATGGAAAAAAGTCTGGTTTTATTTACCACTGAATTCTCAGTATCTCACATATATCCAGCTTACAATCGACTCTCAATACATGAATTCATGAATGAAGGGACTATCCTTTCATGTTATTATATAAAATGTGTTAATTTTTATCTTTTCAGCTGTTCTAAATACCTCATTCCGGTAACATAGAGTTCAGAATTTCCAGAGACCCAGATGTAGAGATAAATATGGACAACATTTTGGAACAAATGTGGATGGAGAGAGAGAGAGAGAAAGATTTTCTAAAATTTCTAACCTGTATCACATTAAAAAAAAATCTGAATTTTAGGAAAGCAGTTTGTTGAAAGGCTTAGATTTTTAAAATAAATCCCAGGACCCAAAATAACTTTCTTCAAAATACTCCTTTGATAAGTCTTCTTATTTATCTGGGCACAGTATGCATTTTAGTATTATTTTCATTCTTTTTAGTAGACACTTTTTTTTCTGAAGGAATAGTCAACTTGCTTTTCTTTCTTTGGCAGGCAGTGAATAGTGCTTAATGTTACCAAAGTGAAAAATCCAAATCTAAAGAACCGTTGTGTTAAATTATCTTCGAGATATGATAACTGTCTCATCAGTTAAGAAAATTCTAACTTTTGTTTTTTTCTCCCTGTGTTCTTAGTTCTGACTTTATACACATGTTCTTATATCTCAGTTTCAACTGACTTCTCTTTCTTCTCTACCCCCAACCTCACTTCACTATTAAGCGGGTTTTACTTTTTCAATTTTGCCTTATGACTGAATTTGCAGCTTTTTTACAGATGTGAACAATTGTAGACTCTTGTCTCTGAGGTGGAATCTGATGCAAAAATATTGTGTGTGTGTGCATATATATATATATATATATATGCACACACACACATTCATACCCTTCATATATATATATATTCATACCCTTCATATATATATGTGTGTGTGTACATACATATATATATGAATGTATATGTATATATGAAGATATATATATATGAAGGTATATATATATGATGATATATATATATGAAGGGTATATATATATATATGAAGGTATATATATATATATGAAGGGTGTATATATATATATATATATATATGAAGGGTATGAATTGCATTTTACCAGTAAGCTCTATACCCATGTCAATCATGTTTCTTACTTTAGGGATTCAATCACGATTTTATACATAGATCAATGAAAAGATTGCTTTGCTTCTTTTGACTTTCTGTGTCTCCTTCATTCCTGCTATTAGCACTCCTGTTAGTTTTAAACTGTCTTGTCTTTGAGGGAAGAGATTGTGCCTAAACACTCTGATTTTTTTCGCTCTGAAATGTGAGGCGTAAAGCCTTCTGCTTAGGTGCGTTTTCAAACTTCCTAATATATTTTTAAGAACCAGTTCATTTTTGAATAGCTTCAGTCTTTCTCCCAAGTAAAAAAAAATGACAAATTTTTCATAATAACTCAGAATATTGGCTGAAGTTCCAAAGCTAGGGACAATCAATGACATTCTCAAGAGAGTTTCTTTAAGCATCAATAGCAGGACTTGCTGAACAGTGGCTAAAAGCAGGTTCTCTGACTCTCATCCACCAACCACTTTTAGCCAGTATATACAACCAAAAATGAGGTTTGGGACAGAGGGTACTATTTCTTTGAAAACAGTGGTAGCTATTGCTGCACCTCTATCTTTTCTGTAACTTCAAGTCGCACATGTTTATAGTGAAATTTAGAAGTGCCTACCAGGTAGGAAGAAGCTGGATACTCACTGACTTGTACAGTGACATAAGTTCTTCCTTTACCAAACTTTAGTCAAGCTCTGAGTATTCACCTAAGTTTGCTTTCTTCTAAAATTCACTTTTAGCAAGAATCCTGCTAAGTCAGTTTAGCAAGATCCCTGCACACTTAATATCAAATCACGCTCGATATCTAGTTGGGCTCCTCATCTTCCACCTTCCCTGAGGTGATGTCTAATCATGTTGGGCCTGTCTTCAGCAAGAATCCTGTTAGGTCAGCTGAAACAGAATCCCCTTAACCCTGACATTTCTTAGTAATTTTCCATCCACTGACCCCACCCTTCTCCTTGTCCATAAATTTTTATTTTCCCTTCCTATATTTGGAGTGAAGCCCAATCTCACTCCCCACTGCAAGACCCCATTGCCATAGTCCCTGTATCTATTGTGATGGTCTTGAAAAAAGTTAGTCTAACCATGCTTTAGATGTCATTGATTTTTTTTTCTTTAGCAATAGTTTAATAGGGCTATGGGACAAGAGTAGAGCAGTGTAAGAGATTTCAGAAGTCAACTTAAACTATTGGGATTTGGGGAGCACAAAAAAGGCCTGAATTTTTCCTGGATACATCTATTTCATCATTTTTTTTATTGAGACAGAGTCTTGTTCTTGTTGCCCAGGCTGGGGTGCAATGGCGTGATCTTGGCTCACTACAACCTCCGTTTCCAGAGTTCAAGCAAATCTCCTGCTTCAGTCTCCTGAGTAGTTTGGATTACAGGCCTCCCACCACCAAGCCCAGCTAATTTTTGTGTTTTTAGTAGAGACGGGGTTTCACCATGTTGATCAGGTTGGTCTTGAACTCCTGACCTCAGATGATTCACCTGCCTCGGCCTCCCAAAGTGCTGGAATTGCTGGGATTACAGGTGTGAGCCACCACACCCGGCCTCCTGGATACATCTAAATATGAGAGTCTGCTTGGAGCAACCCTTGATGTTAGTTAAAATCTCCATTTTAGACTTTGGTAAGAGCCATTTTTGTTTCCAAGGTTCGATCTGGCAAAAATGCAGAGCACTTTATTGAGCTAAGTGGACGGATTAGAAGGAAACTCATCCAGATATGTTTTGACCCTTTCCAAGTAGACTACTTGTGAAATAGAGAACAACAGAAAAAATCACGGTCTTACATTTTTAACTTTTGTTGTTGGAAATATTGAGATGAGCTGGACAGTGCATTGTACTGAAGTTTAGGATAACCCACTGGGTAAGGAAAGTCATGTGACAAACACACATTAGAGAAAGAGTCATCTAAGTTAGGAAGACACCAATACCGGTTAATAATGGTTTCTGTAAAGTGAGATACTTTGCTCACTTGTCTTTGCCAATACCAGACAGCCCCATCCCCTACCTACATTTGTTTAGCATGGTTGAAGTTGCTTGGTATCAGGTGCGTTAAAATTTAGTATAATCCCTTTTGTTTTTTTCCCATGGAATGTAACATTGTGATGAATGCTCAAAGTGGGTATATCTTTCTGCCACTTTAAAAAATATTTTTGTTCTAGATTCTTTATCCTGTTGGGAGCCTAGAGAACACATTGCCACAGAAAATATGAATAAATTCTCTTCAGTGGAGGTAACCAGTTGTGAGGAAAGTTGTAGTTTTTTCAAATAATATTTTAAACTCATTTTACTGATATGACTGTTTATATAATTTCTACAATCCCCTGTAATGAAAAAAAATCACTTTTAATATAAAAAGGATCAATAAGAGGTACTGAAACATCTTAGAATTTGTTAATGTTACTAATTCTTAGTCCAATGTGATTTCATTATGTACAATGCAGTCAGAATAGAAAAGATGGCAATATTTAGAGTATATTCTTTAGAAGTAAAATTCTGGGACAAAAATACATTAGTTCAGTAAACAGTAAGAGCAGTATTAAGCTGCTATATACAGATTTTTTTCATTTTTCAACACAAGTAATTTCCTGAAACAATGGTCTTTTTCTGTAAACACTTCAGCAAAAAGTGGTTAGTATTTTTACTGGAGGCTCTATTTGATGCCAAAAATGCCATTTACTTTTCTTCTCTGGCCCCACTTCCCCCACTGCCAGTTACATGGTGTTATCTGAAGGAGATAGTAGGCTCTCATTTAACCCAATGGGAAAATCCCCTGAAGAAATTAAAGAAGGGCGCTTTCTCTCTAGAACGAGGGAAGTAACTCAGCTGTTACAGGAGTATTGAGAAATCTCAGTTTATCAAAGTAAAAGCAAATTTCCCTGGGGTCTAGACCTGTAGCCTCAGCATTATGCTAAATTGCCAGGATAGTTTGAACTCAGGGAACGTAGCCTCTCACACAGCACAGTCAGCAGAGATTAAGCAACCTTACTACCTGTTAGTAGCTGGAAATACGAATGTTAGAACTTTTATTGATTGTGGCTTTCCTAAAAGAAAATTGTGCAAAAATGAATTCACAAACAAAACAGCTTTCTTATTTTTATATTATTTTTCTGAGTCAGTCAGAAAGAGAGTAATGGCAAATTCAACCTTAAATCAGTAGCTTCCTCTCTCATAGCAACAATAATGCTGCTGTCTGTTTATTGATGAATTCACAGGAGGAGCAGATAAGTCTATGCTCACTTGGGCACTTAGCAGTATGCTCTAAGGCAAGACCATTTACCACATTTGCCTGTCTGCAATTAGGAGGCAACCTGGCATATTGAGAGGGGATTTACAGCAATTCTATAGTCAGAGCAGAGGGCAGTCATGTTTGATGGAATGGGGGTGCCCTGTCCTTTAGGCTACTGGGTGAAGGATACTCTCTGGAGCTGGCAGGTGGTGACCCTGGAGAAAGAACGAGAGATCTGAATTTTAATTCTTTTGCTTACTTGTAGGTGACCTTGGGCAAATTCTTGTAATGACACCTATCTTAATTAGCCTTAAAATTAGGTTAATTAAAGCAAAACTTCTTGGTACTTTTGACAAGTAGAAACACTATTTCCTGGTACATAGGAAACAATGAGTTATAGTTATATACGTGCTACTTTGCAAAGACCTAGATGCAATCATGGGTAATAAGAGAGTAGGTCTTTCAAGTAAAAAGAACATCGCAATTTTATTATTCAGATATTAAAAAGTGATAAAGTAGTGAATGTACTTGGTGAGTACCTAAATAAGAAAATTAAAACCCTGGGAGTTAAAGTGATTGACTCCTCTCGGTTAAGATTTAAGGAAAAAAGAAAAAAAAGTTAAGTTATCTGGTGTGTCCTACTTTTTAAATATTCTGTGTTACTTTCCTCCCAGAGCCCCTGAGTCAAGACATTATTTTCGTATAAATTGTTTGATAATGACTGGTGAAAAAGCCTTCATCTTTTTCAAAACTGTCCAGATGCCAGCTTTGGATTTTTAAATCATTTTTTAATGTTCTTAAATGATAAATAGTTATTTAAAATAATTTAAAACTACAGGCTATCAATAAAACAGTCACCTATTATTCCACTACTAAGAGATAACCACTGTTATATTTTCCTGTTTTTGTAGTTAGACAATTTCAAAATGCATATAAAAATCAATTACATATTAAAAATGAAGTAGTAATAAAAATTTATTATGAATTTAAGAGTACAAAAATCCAGTATCATTAATGTGTTATAAAAGTGTAAATTCAGTTCTAGCTCTCTATTTTTAGTATTTTGGGTAATATTCTTTTTCAGAAATCAGGATATAACATAGAAAATATAACAAAAAGCATCTAAGCACTAAAATGTATAAATTTACAAAATTAAATTGTTATTATAGTAATAGTAATAATTATGACAGGTTGAAATATGTATTCTCTAGTGATAGGAAGCATCTACTTTGGATAGAAATAATGGCATAAATTTTTTATAAATAGCACTTACATGAAATGTTTCCTAATGAGTGTTTTAAATGTCCCAATAAGTGGCTCACGCCTGTAATCCCAGCACTTTGGGAGGCCGAGGCGGGCAGATCACGAGGTCAGGAGATCGAGACCATCCTGGCTAACACAGTGAAACCCCGTCTCTACTAAAAATGCAAAAAAAAAAAAAAAATTAGCCGGGTGTGGTGGCGGGCACCTGTAGTCCCAGCTACTGGGGAGGCTGAGGCAGGAGAATGGCATGAACCCGGGAGGCGGAGCTTGCAGTGAGTCGAGATAGAGCCACTGCACTCCAGCCTGGGCAACAGAGCGAGATTCCATCTCCAAAAAAAAAAAAAAAAAAAAAAAGTACAGAGTACTATAGGATTTGAAGAAGGAAGTATTCAAAAACATCTGTATGATCTGCTTAAGTAAAGGTAATTATTTCTAATTAAGCCACTATTCTAGGGAAGCTAGGCAAATAAAAGGAATTGGTAGCTTAGGGATAAATGGTGAGATTTGCTAGTTTTATTTTTATTTTGGTAACCATATACTGGTTAGAAGGTGAAAGCCATAACATTTAGTGCGTACTGCTTCTGCATCACTCACTCTGTGCCTGGCTGTGTTGCACGATCATTTAGCTATCAGAAGTAAGAGCTTGCAAACCATTGTGTTGTGCAAAATAGGTTTCTTCTGGGTCTGTCAACTTTCTCATGTGGGTAGGATTCTGGATGAATTCCGTGAAGTCCTATTTGCAAGGCCAGGTCAGCAAAGAAAGAGAAACCCCAGATTTTCCTGGTCCCTCGACAGAGAGGCTTGTCAGGGCCTGGGATGCTCATGGGCCCACAGGGTATTTTATGTTCTAGGGGAGAGACATCGCCTTCCCTTTAATTTTCATTTTATGAAGCAAATGTGAGAAAGTTATCTTGTACATGGGGAAAACAAAGGGGACCTGGTCTCAGGCAGTCTGGAATTTTGATGCCAGCCATTGATAGGCGTTGTTTGGGAATACCAGCCACACACTCCTCGAGGGCTTGGGGCCCATGAGATGTTATAATTTCCCTTGTTAAGAAAAGGCAGCGACTTCTTACGTGGGAAGCTGAGATTTGGGTGTAGTTCCTTCTGATGAGAGAATAGGGTGAGACTGGAGTGTTATTCCCAACTATCTTAATTGGCTGTTTGTCCAAGAAATCTAGAGTGAGCTCCTGTGGTCATTTTTGGACAATTCAATTCATTTTACCACAAAATTACTGAAAGGGGGCATTTAAACCAAGCCAAGTTTTTCAATGAAAAAGTTCATGATATGGCAGACTCTTTCATTTGAAGAATAGTCAGAAGGATCAGAATAGGGCAATTTTATAGAGGCATGATACTTTCCTAAAGAGGTATGGACCAATATGAGGTTTTAAGCTTTTATGCTACCTCTGTGTCTTGAAAACATAGAAGCATTAAATTTCCAACAAAGAAACAGAGGGATTAGGGAGAACATTTTTTGTTTGGAATACAGAGTAGAACTGAAGTAAATGTGAAACAATGCAGGAGAAAAATAGTCAAAAGGCCATTAAAGCCAGGAAAAGAAGCAAGGCCTAATTCCAAGTTTTGGGGGACCATGGCTGTATACTGCAGATTACTTTACCAGGGACCATCATGAAACAAGGTGCATATACTGCAGGTAACATCTGGGTGAGTAAACTATATAAAATGACTTCAGGTATTATTGGCTTCAGGAATTAGACGATTCGTGATGCATGCAGTTTTTTCACAGCTGGCTCCCAGAAGCAAATGAATGACTTCACCCATGACTTACTCCTCTAAGAAGTAATGATAGAAATGATGTCGGGGAAAACCTTGGAGTTGAATTCTTGAACTTGTCAGTCATGGTTTGACCTGAGCCAGAGCTGCCTTATTTGTAAAATCATAAAAATAACACTTGTCCTAACATAAAAAAAAAATTGTGGTGTGAATCCAGGGTGAGATGTTATATGTGGATGTACTCTAAAATGCATAGATTTCTGTTGTTTTTATTATTATTAGATAGCATTTTTATCTGTTGTCAGACCCTGAAGAACATAATTGTATACAACCCTGAGTATCCCCTGAAAACCTGTTTTTATGTAGAAACTTTAGAAGTGTTCATTGATTTGGGGTGAGATCACTACATTAGGAATCCCCATCTTTCCATCTGTCATCTACATGATCTTGTATGATATATGATATCTTTTATATGATCTATGATATCCTTGAATGGCATACTCTTTGATGTCATTTTTTTCCTACTACACTCTTTATTATTTGTGTATGTGTGATAGGAACACTTTTAAAAAGCCTATCACCTTAGCAAATTTTTAGTTATACAGTGTAGTACTATTAACTATGGGCACTATAATGTACAGTAGATTTAGGACTTACTCATCTTGTATAACTGAAACAGTATGCTGCTTAATTGATGCTTCCCCATTTCCCCCTTCCCCTGTCCCTGGAAACTGACACTCTACTATTTTACATTCCTCTTATAATTGGTATCATATAGTATTTGTTATTCTGTGTAAGGCTTATTTAATTTAGCATCCTGTCCTTTAGGTTCATCCATGTTGTCTCAGCTGACGGAATTTCCTTTATTTTTTTTTCTTTTTTGAGACGGAGTCTGGCTCTGTCGCCCAGGCTGGAGTGCAATGGTGGGATCTCAGTTCCATGCAACCTCTGCCTCCTGGGTTCAAGCAATTCTCCTGCCTCAGCCTCCCAAGTAGCTGGGACTACAGGCACACACCGCCAGGTCCAGCCAATTTTTTTTTGTATTTTTAGTAGAGATGAGGTTTCGCCGTGTTGGCCAGGCTGGTCTCTAACTCCTGACCTCAGGCAATTCGCCCACCTTGGCCTCCCAAACTTTCCTTCGTTTTAAAGGCTGAATAATATTCCATTGCACATATATATAACATTCCTTTATTCATTTATTTGTCGATGGACATTTAGGTTGCTCCCATGTCTTTGCTATTGTGAATAATGTTGCAATAAACATGAGAATGAAGATGTCTTTCACATCTTTAGAAATCTTTCTTTTTTCATTAAATCATTTCAATTAGGTACACATTCATATATTGCCATCATTTTCATCTTCACCGATCTACTAAAAATGAAATAACCCTTTCTGTCTTCTAAGAGGACATGTTCTTGAATAAAAAGGAAAGTAGCAATTGATTCCTAATTTTACTTTGGTTTAACTGGATCAGCAGGAATTATTCATTGAAAGGCAAACGCTTTCAACATGCTAATTATAGTGGAGATGAGGGGCTATTTTTTACTTCTATAGAGAGTTGATTCACCAAGAATAACATTTTTGTATTTTACTCAGGATAAGTGAACAAAGTTTTTGCCATTGCTTTTAATGACAACAAGCACAGTTACTTTTGCACCAGCCTAATAATTAATTCCATAAATGTTGTGACTAGGAATCACCCATTGTTCTGATTTATAAGATAAAAACAGCCTTGGAAACCATCGGTTGCAGATTTGTTTCATCATCTGTGACTCCTGAAGACTTTTATAGAATTCCACCCAAGATCATTCTATGAAACTCTTTTGGAAGCTATTTTATTTTAAAGATCTATTTGTTATTACAGCAAGCAATACCCTGTCTAAGGCAATTGTACCTGAAGCAAGAAAGAACTTGTGAGTTGAAAACAGGAAATCTCACATGGCTGGAATACTCTGGTGCTCTGTACCTGACAGGTAGGATAGCATTTAAGAAGTGTAGAAGAAATTATTCTGGGAAAGGAGTTGGAGGCCAATTCTATTTAAAATTCCCATTCCCCTCCCCCCATCCAGAATATTGAATATGCAAGTGTAAAGATAGCTCTAATCTTGGGCTTGGGCTTGATGGCCTCTTTTTGAACTCTGACTTGAGCATTTCACTAACTACATATCTCTAGGCATTAAAGTATGTGTACACTAACCATAACATCTGATATAAGGATAGAACTTTTTTTTTTTGAGTTGGAGTTTTGCTCTTGTTACCCAGGCTGGAGTGTAATGGCACAATCTCGGCTGACTGCAACTTCCTCCTCCTGGGTTCAAGCGATTCTCCTGCCTCAGCCTCCCAAGCAGCATGGATTACAGGCACACACCACCATGCCCAGCTAACTTTGTATTTTTAATAGAGACGGGGTTTCTCCATGTTGGTTTGGTTGGTCTCAAACTCCCAACCCCAGGTGATCCACCCACCTTGGCCTCCCAAAGTGCTGGGATTACAGGCATGAGCCACCTCGCCCAGCTTGGATGCATGTTTTAATTGATACTGTCTTCAAATTGATGTCAGCTGGAGAGTAATAATGGCATAGTTGTCACTGCCTATAAATTTTTTAAAAATAATAAATATCCAGTTTCAAAGTTTGTGATGTGGATGGCAGAGGCATTAAAGAAAATCTAAATGACGACACTGGAATTTTCTTTTTATTTTCAGAATTTACAGTGGAAGGCATGGGTGGGGGGAGCGGTTATGAATCAAGCAGTTGAGCAATAATCCCAAAGTGGGATTTTGATGAAGTTATCTTAAGAGCTCACCATTACTGGCTTTTGGTTATATCATAATGCATTTTCATAAATGCTACATCTAAAACTCTTATTGGCAGAGAAGACGATAGTGTCAACTCACGTGACAGACCTGGACAGAAAAGTAATTAACAATTAGATTTTGAATAGTAATGCATTTTAGTAATACTTTAATTAATTTGAATTATATTTCTATTTTATATGTGTACAATGATGATGGCTGATTAATAAAATCGGTGTAGTTTTTTTAGAAAAAGCTTTAAGTAATAAGAAATTATATCACTTTAATTGGCAGATTTTATTCTTTCTCTCTTAGAGATCTTTCTTAGTATCTTATTTACTTATGTTTTCTATAGAGACAGGTTTCTTGCTATATTGCCTAGGCTGGTCTTGAACACCTGGCCTCAAGTGATGCTCCCATCTTGGCCTCCTAAAGCACTGGGACTACAGGTGTGAGACACAGTAGCTAGTAGTATCTTATTTTTTTTTAATAAGAAAAAGTAATAATACATAGCCAAAGGAAAAGATTAATTAATCCATGCAAAATCTAACCTATAGAAAGAGGTCCCTAAAATATATTATTATTAACTGTCCATGGAAATCTATGAATATAGACCATAGCCTGTAATAAAATAATAATCTGATAATTTAAATTAGTTTAAATTGTCCGCTGCATTGTCTAATGTTTATTAATTTGGATTTTTTAGCCATTAATGACCCAAATTACAGATGCCCTCCCCTGAGGGAACGTTTAGAAAAGTTTGAAAGGATGGCTATTTTAATTCAGTCTAAAGGAAGAAAATGGTGCAGCCTTAAGGAGTACAAATATACACTTAAAAGAAATAAGACCTGGTGTCCCATAGATCAGTAGTGACTATAGCGAACATTAACCAATTGTGCATTTCAAAATAGCTAGAAAAGAATAATTTGAATGTTCCTAGTGGAAAGGAAAGATAAATGTTTAAGGTGATGGACATCACGACTACCCCAATTTGGTTATATGAATTATGAAATTATGACACGTACCCTGAAAATATACACATCTAATATGTATCAATAAAAATACATTAATTTAAAAAATGGAAAATGCCATCTTGATCATCTGAAAGAAGCATCAACATGGAGTAGAGTAAGTTTATTTATTCTGCCTGCTGCAAAGAGTTCTGTTTTTTTAACAGACCTCCTGGTCTAGGCATGAGTGGTAATAACCACCAGCTGTACCACTCTTCCCTTGAGATCCTATTAGTTCTTTTGTGCTTTGACCTTCCCTGTTCTGGCAGTTTTATTGGCCAGTTCTTCTAGGAAACTTGGTGCGTTTGTGAAGCAAAAGAAGCACTAAAATATCCTCAAGTCCCACAGCTATTTTGTTCAAAACTTAGTGCTTTGTTACCACAGTACTACCCATTAGCCATTATCCATCATGGGTTTGTGAAAACAACTCACATGCCATTTGCAGCTTCAAAGTGCAGACTGATCTCTGCTGAAACAGGGACAGGGGAGGGAAGGCAGGGAAGGCTTGTCACATCCTGCTTGGACACCTATTGAAATTTTATTTTCAAGTGACCGGGACAGACTCATGAATACCACTCTTCGGTTTACTACATTTTTCTTCCCTTTAGATAATAGTGGCTATTATTTTAAGACTAATCAATTTTATTCTATTTACGGACTTAGATAATAAATCAGGTCAGCTTTCAGATTGAGGAAATATGGATACTACTAAATATTCATTGAGAGTGAATGCAGCAGTATGTCTTTGTTAATGTGGTCTTGTGGGTTTAGTTTTGTGACTTATTTAGCTAAATTCAATTGAACTTAATTGATTTAGCAAAGCCAGGCATAAAATGTAGAGAAATGGAGTGCCTTTGAGAGAACAAAGCAGTTATGAATTCATAAGTAGAGACAGATATAAGAATTATAAATGAGACCTAGGATGCAGAGCATAAAACCTAAGGAGATAAACACGGAAGAGTTTATGACACTTTTGCCTCAATCAATTTATTCTTATTTCTCTAATAGTATTTAACTCGTGCATCTCAGCAGCAGAGTAACTTTGACTCCCTTCCCCCACGCTCTGATCTTAATTGCACGGTTTTGCTCCTAAACGCAGAGCTAATGTTTCATGATGCTTTTCTGAAAGCACAGGCTGTCTTTAGTACCATTCAAACATTTGTTCTATTCCCAGGAACAGAATTCTTTATTTATTCATTCAGAAACATATTTTGAGTGTCTACTATGTATTAGGTACAGATTGGATCTGATTAAATACAGAGAAAGGGAGAAAAAGGAAACAATCCTAGTATCCAGAATCCCAGTTTGAATAACTGATTCTGTGATATGAGATGAGAAAGAAAGGGTGGGAAACATTTCAGGAAGGGGTGGCAGAGAGAATGATTTCTGTTTTGAATATCATAAATTTGAATTACTTATAGGACACATAAAGTAAAATAACATGTAGGCAGTTGGATACATGGGTGAGAAGCTCGAAAAAATTATTTGACCTGAGCATAAACCTCAAAAACGTGAAGATTTGAATAAGCACGTCTTACTTTGACAACAGGTGAATACAAAAGAACTGTTACTGTTGGCAGGAATCTGAGTTACCCCAAGTGACCTGCGGTGTGTCCGTGAGGGTCTGCAGCAACTTTAGCCCTTGCTTCCTCGGAAGAAAGAATTCCCCTGAGGGGCATAAAGCAGAAAAAGAGACTGAGGCAAGTTTCAGAGCAAGAATGGAAGTTTATTAAAAAGACTTTAGAACAGGAAAGAAAGGAAAGTTTGCTTGGAAGAGATCCGAGTGGGCACCAACGTCCAAGAGATAAAAAAGGGAGCCGGGCGTGGTGTGGCTCATGCCTGTAATCCCAGCACTTTGGGAGGCCGAGGCGGGCAGATCACGAGGTCAGGAGATCGAGACCATCCTGGCTAACACGGTTGAAACCCCGTCTCTACTAAAAATACAACAACAACAAAAAATTAGCTGGGCGTGGTAGCGGGCACCTGTAGTCCCAGGTACTCGGGAGGCTGAGGCGGGAGAATGGCGTGAACCCGGGAGGCGGAGCTTGCAGTGAGTCAAGATTGGTTACTGCATTCCAGCCTGAGCGAAAGAGCGAGACTCCGTCTCAAAAAAAAAAAAAAAGAGCAAGAGATTAAAAAAGAAGAGAGAGAAGGTCAAGTGCCCTGTTTAACCACGATCTTAGGAGAGGTTTTCCTCTTTTCCATGATTCTTCCCTTAGCTTAGGGTGGGCTGCCCGCATGCACAGAGCCCTCCTTACCCTTGGGAAGTAAGCACCCACAGTGTGTTTAGGGAGTTACACGAGTGCCATTCTAAGGCTGTCTTCCTTTTTCTGGTGGAGTGTACCCGGAAGATCATACATCACCATTTTTGTCTCTTAATGTGAGTGCCAGGGAAGTTGGTACTCCAGGGAGGCGTGTGTGTGTGTGTGTGTTCGGGGGGGGTGGGGGGGGTGGGGGGTGGTGTCTACCTTTAATTAACACTTTAATGTTAACAAGTATGGACCATCAGGAAATGGCCTCTCCTTGGTGCTGGCTGCCAATGCATTACTTTTAGAGAGGCAATGCAATAATTGCTGAACCATCACCCGACGTTTCCAGTGGGTGGGGAGAGCCCTCCCGTGCCACGCTCATGTCTATCTACCTGTAACACAGGACCTACTGTGGTTTCGGTGGTGGTGGTGGTGGTGGTGGTGAAAATAATTATTTAGTGGTACTTATTTTTAGTCAGGTTTGCTGAAGCATGATTTACATACAATATGAGTCACCTAGTTTAGGCATACTGTTCTATTCAATTTGAAAAAAACATGCATATAGTTGTGTCATCACCAATGCAGACAATATATAGGGGATTTCCATCACTTCAAAAAGTTTATATGTGTCTCTGTGTAATGAATCATTTTCCCCAACCCTAGCCCCTGGATCACATCCAAACTTTCACCTTTTCCTAGAATTTTATATTTCACACAATGTTTCATACATTAATGCGAATCATACATCAGGTAACATTTTGAGAGATTTTTATTCACACAGTATAATATCACAGATTCATTCATCTTGTGTTTATCAATGATTTGTTCCTTTTTATTGGTGAGTAGGCTTCCATTGTATATTCCTGTATAACATTTTGCTTACTCATTAAAAATTTGATGAACCTAGGAAGCTGTTTCCAGTGTTGGGTGATCATAAATATTACTGCTATGAATATTCAAATACAGGTTATTGTGTGGATATATGTTTTTGGTTCTTTCTTTTGGGTAAGTGCTTAGGAATGTGATTACTGGGTTTTATAGTGAATATATATATATATATATATACACACATGTTTTTACATTATAAGAAACTGCCAAACTGTTTTTTCAAGCTGGCTGTGCCATTTTGCATTCCTACCAGTAATGTATGAGCATTCCAGTTACCCTCAACATCCGTGCCATCATGTGGTATTGCCAGGTTTTTTTCCCCAATTAATTCTAAGAGTTGTGAAGGGATTTCCTATAGTGATTTTAATTTACATATCACTAATTGCATTGTGCATTTTATTGTGTACTTATTGCCATTAGGATAGTTTCTTTATTGGAATATCTGCTCAAAATGTTTCTCCATGTTTAAACATTGGATTGTTATTGTTGAATTTTAAAAATGCATTACATATTCTGTATACGAAGTGTGTAACTTGTATTTTTTAACTATTTTTCGAAGAGCAGAAAATTTTAATTTTGACGAACTCAAATTAATCAATTTTTTTCTCTGATTCATGAATTTGTATTAATTCTAAGAAATCATGGTCTAAACTAAGTCACAAAGGTTTCATTATTGCTATTTTTGTATTTTTATTATATCCTATGTTTTATTCTAAGAGTTTATAGTTTTAGCTTGTATATTTAGGTCATTCATTTTGAGTTAAGTTTTTATATGGTGCAAGCTATGGGTTGAGATGTTTTCCGTTTTGGGTATTGTATTAGTTCATTTTCACACTGCTGATAAAGACATACTCAAAACTGGGTAATTTATAGAGAAAAAAAGGTTTAATGGACTCACAGTTTCACTTGGCAGGAGAGGTCTCACAATAATGGCAGAAGGTGAAAGGCACGTTTTACATGGTGGCAGGAAGAATGAGAGCCAAGCAAAAGGAGAAATCCCTTATCAAACCATCAGATCTCATGAGACTTAGTCACTACCAGGAGAACAGTAAGGGGGAAGCTGCCACCATGATTCAATCATCTCTCACCAGGTCCCTCCCACAACATGTGGGGATTATGAAAACTATAATTCAAGATGAGATTTAGGTGGGGACACAGCCAAACCATATCATTCCATTGCTGGTCCCTCTCTCCCAAATCTCACATCCTCACATTTCAAAACCAATCATGCCTTCTCAACAATCCCCCAAAGTTTTAACGCATTTCAGCATTAACTCAAAAGTCCGCAGTGCAAAGTCTCATCTGAGACCAGGCAAGTCCCTTCTGCCTATGAGCCTGTAAAATCAAAAGCAAGTTTGTTACTTCCTAGATACAATGGGGGTACAGGCATTGAGTAAATACGGTTGTTTCAAATGTGAGAAACTGACCAAAATGAAGGGGCTACAGGCCCCATGCAAGTCAGAAATCCAGCAGAGCAGTCAAATCTTAAAGCTCCAAAATGATCACCTTTGATTCCATGCCTCATATCCAGGTCACACTGATGCAAGAACTGGGGTCCCGTGGCCTTGGGTAGCTCCGCCCCTGTGGCTATGCAGGCGACAGCCCCCTCCTGGATGCTTTCACAGGCTGGCATTGGGTGTCTGCGGCTTTTCCAGGTGCATGGTGCAAGCTGTCAGTGGATCTGCCATTCTGGTGTCTGGAGAAAAGTGGCTCTCTTCTCACAGCTCCACTGGGTCGTGCCCCAGTAGGGACTCTGTGTGGGGGCTCCAATCCCGCATTTCCCTTCTGCATTGCCCTAGCAGAGGTACTCCATGAGGGCCTTGACCCTGCAGCAAACTTCACCCTGGATATCCAGCCATTTCCATTCAGAGATTTCATCCTCTGAAATCTAGGCAGAGTTTCCCAAACCTCAATTCTTGACTTCTACTCATTCAGAGGCTCAACACCACATGGAAGCTGTCAAGGCTTAAGGCTTGCACCCTCTGCAGCCACAGCCTGAGCTGTACCTTTACCCCTGTTAGCCAAGGTTGCAGCAGGTGGGATGCAGGGCAAAAATGCCTAGGCTGCATATAGCAGGAGGGCCCGGGGCCCAGCCCACACAACCATATTTTCTACTAGGCCTCTGGCCTGTGATGGGAGGGGCTGCTGTAAAGGTCTCTGCCATGCCCTGGAGACATTTTCCCCATTGTCTTGGTGATTAACATTTGGCTCCTTGTTGCTCATGCAAATTTCTGTAGCTGGCTTGAATTTCCCCCCAGAAAATGGGGTTTTCTTTTTTATCACATTTTTAGGCTGCAAGTTTTCCAAACTTTTATGCTCTGCTTCCTCTCAAATGCTTTGACACTTAGAAATTTCTTCCACCAGATACACTAAATCATCACGCTCAGTTTCAAAGTTCCACAGATCTCTAGGGCAGGGGCAAAATGCTGCCAGTCTCTTTGCATAGCAAGAGTGACCTTTACTCTAGTTCCCAATAAGTTTCTCATCTCCATCTGAGACCACCTCAGCCTGGACCTTATTGTCCATATCACAATCAGCATTTTGGTAAAAGCCATTCAACAAGTCTCTGGGAAGTTCCTAACTTTTCCAGATCTTTTTGTCTTCTGAGCCCTCCAAGTCTCTAGGAAGTTCCAAAGTTTCCCACATTTTCCAGTCTTCTTCTGAGCCCTTAAAACTGTTCCAGCCTCTTCCTGTTACCCAGTTCCAAAGTCACTTCCACATTTTCAGGTATCTTTACAAGCAGCACCCCATTATCTGGTACCAATTTATTGTATTAGTTTGTTTTCATGCTGCTGAGAAAGACATATCTGACACTGGGATCTTCATAAAGTAAAAGAGGTTTAATGAACTCACAGTTCCATGTGGCTGGGGAGTTCTCATGATCATGGTGGAAGGCAAAAGCCATGTCTTACTTGGTGGCAGTAAGACTGAGGGCCAAGCAAAAGGGGAAACTTCTTATAAAACCATCAGATCTCATGAGACTTATTCACTACCATGAGAACAGTATGAGGAAAACCACCTCCATGATTCAATTATCTCTCACAGGGTTTCTCCCATAACTTGTGGGAATTGTGGGAGCAACAATTCAAGAAGAGATTTGGGTCGGGAAATAGCCAAAGCGTATCAGGTATCTTTTAAAAAATGGGTTTAATTTGCATATATGTGTGTAATTGATCCAGTCATAAGACTATTCCTTCCACATTGAATGGTCTTGGAAACTTTATTGAAAATCAATTGACCACAGATGGGAGAATTTATTTCTAGGTTCTCTATTCTATTCCTTATGTCAGTATCATACTGCCTTAACTGCTGTAGCTTTATAGTAAGTTTTAAAATTGAAATGTAGGACTCTTCCAAATTTGCTCTTTTTTCCCAATATTATTTTGGCTATTCAGGGTTTGCTGGATTTTCAAATTAATTTTAGAATTAGCTCATCCATATCATATCTGCAAAAGAAAAAGAAGTTAGAACTTTGTTAGGGATTGTATTAAATCTCTAGATCAACTTGGGAAATACAGTGCCTTTAACAATATCATTTTCCAAACCATAAATCTGGAACATCTTTTCATTTATTTAGATCTTTAATTTATTTAAATAATGTTTCATAGCTCTCGGTATATAAGTCTTATTTTTTTGGTTAATTTATTCTTAAGGATTTTATTCCCTTTGATGCTATTATAAATGGACTTCTTTTCTTAATTTTATTTTCACATTGTTCAGTGCTCATCATAGGGGAATGCAACTAATTCTGGATGTTGATCTTGAATCTTGCAAATTTGCTGAAATCATTTATTAGCTTTAATATTAATAGTTTTATGTGAGGGGTGTGTATGTGTGTGCGTGTGTGTGTGTGTGTGTGTATTCCTTATGGTCATGTCATCTACAAATACTTTTGCTTCTTCCTTTCTAATCTGGACTTGGCTAGAACAGGTAGTACAATACTGAATAGAAGGGGCAACAGCAGACATCTGTCTTGTTCTTGATCTTAGCTGAAAAGCTTTCCATATTTCACCATTACCTATAATGTTATCTGTGAGGTTTTTTTGCAGATGCCCTGTATCAGATTGAGGAAGTTACCTTCTAATCTTAGTTTGTTGAGTGTATTTGATATGAATACATATTGAATCTTGTCAAATTTTTTTGCATCTATTGAAATATTTTTCCTTTATTCTATTAACATGTATTTAAAATTGATGAATTTTCTATGGTGAAACAAGTATGCATTTCTGTGATAAGTCCCATTTGGTAATAGTGTAAAATTCTTTCTGTGTACTGCTGGTTTAGGTTTGCCAGATGTGCAGGCAATGTTAATATTTTCCATCAAATATGGAAAGTTTGGGTAATTTCTGTAAATAGTTTTTTCTTCTTTCTCTCTCCTTTCCTTCTGGGATTCTCTTTATGTGCATGTTGATATGCTTAATGGTATCCCATCAAACTCTCTGAGGCTCTGTTCATTTTCTTCATTACATTTTCTCTCTCAGACTGAATAATCTTGTTTGTCCTATCTTCAGTTTGCTGATTCTTTCTTCCGCCTGCTCAAATCTACCATTGAACCCCTTATTGAATTTTTAATTTCAGTTATTGTACTTCAAAGGTTTAACCTTTATATTTAGTTCACTTAAACTATTTCTATATCTTTATTGTTATTCCCTATTTGGTGAGATATGATTCACATACATTTATTCCTTTAGAGATGACTTTCTTTAGCTTTTTGGACATATTTAAAATAGCTGTTTTAAAGTATTTTTCTGGAAATTCCTATATCTGGGCTTCCTCAAATATAGTTTTTATTGATGGCTTTTACTCATCTGTATATGGGACATATTTTCTTGTTATTTTGCACACTTCTTTTCTCTTGAAAACTGAAAATTTAAAATATTATATTGTGGCCGCTCTGGGAATGAGACACATGCTTGTTGCTTCACTATTGTTGTTGGTCCATATAGCTGTTTTTGCTTATTTGTTTATTGACTCTTCTGAACTAATTCTGTAAAGTCTGTATTCTTTGTTGTTCTGGTCACTGAAGTCTCTGTTCCATTAGCTTAGTGATCAGCTAATGTTTGGACAGGATTTCCTTAAACACTTGGAATCAAAAACTCTTCTAGTCTTTGCTGAGGAGTTCTCTCTGTGTGTTGGGAATATCTCGTTAGTCCTTTAGTTGTCTCAATTGTTATCCGTTATTTCTGGAAGCAGTGACTAAAACATTACTCTGTAAATGTGTTTGACAAATACCCTTGGAAGCAGCTTTAGCACTGACCTGGTTCTAAGCAAGGCGAAATATTGTTAAGAATTTGAGTTGGCCTTCCAAGGGGTGACTAAACTGGTCAAAAAAATGTTTACAAACATTTGCAAATGAGATCTGTCTGCTCCCTCTAGTATTGGAAATGTGAGCTCTTATTTTCACAGCTACTGCCGAACTAGGGAACAGAGGACAAAAGTAGGTTAAGTTAAAACACTGCACAGCTCACCGTGTTTACTGACATTCAGCTGTTTTCCTTGAATAAGCACTCCCTAGCTTACGGCAAGCCTTTGGTTAGTATCCAGATTTCAAAAAAAGAAAAAAAGATGATTCCAATCATTTGGCCAGTGTTTCCGTTACTTATATAAAGGAGTAAAGTTGTAAATTTCTTATTCCTCCATTTTATCTGATGTCAACCATTCTACTCCAAAGTGAATTCTTTTATATGCAGCAAACTCTGATTTTAGTTGGGATGGTAAACCATTTTAATTAATTAATTAATTATTTGGGATATACTATTTTATTCAATCTGGCAAACTCTGATTTTAATTGGGATGGTAAAACATTTTTATTTATTTATTATTTTTTTGAGACAGGGTCTCACTCTGTTGCCCAAGCCAGAGTACGGTGGCACAATCATAACTCACCACAGCCTCAAACTTCTCAAACAATCCTCTCACCTCAGCCTCCCAAGAAGCTAAGACAACAGGTCCATGTTACAATGCCCAGCTACTTTTTAAATTTTTCTTTTAGGGTCAGGGGCTTACTATGTTGCCCAAGCTGGTCTCAAACTTCTGGCCACAAGTGATCTACCTGCCTCAGCCTCCCAAATTTCTGGGTTTACAGGCATGAGTGAGCCACTGCACCAGGCCCTATATTTAATGTTATTATTGATGTTACAGTATTTAAGTCTCTTTGTTGCGGTTTGTTTCTATGAGTCCTATCTGTTCTTAATTCTATTTTCTTCTTTTTTTTACTGTTGTCAGATCTTTGTATCCTTACTGAGTTTCTGTCCAAGTGTCTTATTAATTACTCTTTTCTGCTTTTGGCTCCAAATTACATGGTGTTAGACTGTTTACTACTGTCCCACAGTTTAAAAATTTTTTTCCCCAATATTTTTCTCGTGTGTTTTAGTTTGCATAATTTCAGCCTATATATATATACACACACACACACACACACACACACACATATATATATCAAGTCTACTTTTTTTTCTTTTCTTTCTTTCTTTTTTTTTTTTTTTTTTTTGAGACAGAGTCTCGCTTTGTTGCCCAGGCTGGAGTGCAGTGGCACAATCTCGGCTCACTGCAAGCTCCACCTCCCGGGTTCACGCCATTCTCCGGCCTCAGCCTCCCCAGTAGCTGGGACTACAGGCGCCCGCCACCACGCCTGGCTAATTTTTTGTATTTTTAGTAGAGACGGAGTTTCACTGTGTTAGCCAGGATGGTCTCAATCTCCTGACCTTGTGATCTGCCCGCCTCGGCCTCCCAAAGTGCTGGGATTACAGGCGTGGGCCACTGTGCCTGGCCTATCAAGTCTACTTTTGAGATGGTCAAGGAAATTATTTACTGTTGATATTATGAATGTTAATTATACTATTTCCATTCAATTCTTTCTTATAGCTTCCCTCTCTGCCAAAATAGCTGTGCCTTCCTACATGTTGTCAACCTTTTACACTAAGTCTTTTATATATTAATCATAGTTATTTTAAATGCCTCTCTAAAGGTTCCAACATCTTGGTACATTCAGAATCCATTCTGTTGATTGCTCTAATTTTTCCAAATATGTAGCATTTTTTATTCTTTTTTTCTGCATCTCAAAATTTTTAATGAAATATTGGACATTTTGGATATATGAGGTAGAGACTGAAGTAAATAGTATTTATTTGAACGAATATGGAAATAACTCTTCTGTCAGGCCATTTGTGTGTGTGTGTATATATGTGTGTGGGGGGAAGGGTATGTGTGCATATGCACACACATGTACTTGCACACATGGTAGAAGAGATTGGAAACAATTTTATCTCAAGTTGAGTTTTTAAAAATTATTGTTTTTTTTTTTTGCTTTGATTTTAACATGGTTATCTTTAACATTCTACTGGCTTCAAAGTTCTCCAGTGATGCTCTGTGATTAAGATGATGTCTTCAGAGCATATAATTTTAAATTATTCATACTTCCCCCCTCCCATCCCTCTGGTTTAAGGTGTCCTTGTAAGTTTTCTCCTCAGAGGAAGTTTATATCCATTGTCTTGCCCTGTCACATAGTAATACTTTATTTTTTGCTTATTATTACTCAGTGCTTGCTAGGCTGATAGTGGGGAATATAGAGATATCTCAATTGTCTTTGACCGCAGTCTTAGGTAAGTCCTGTGCACCTGGGGTTAAATTTTCTCAGCATTCATCTCTTTTTCTACCCAGGTCATCCAGATGTTGCCTTGTGTCTATGTTAGAGCTTACATGGCACAGAATTCTCTTCCCTTCCTCCAGTGGTTAGTCATTTCTATTAGCAACAGTTTAGAATCTTGACTTCAACAGTTTTTCTTTTCTCTCTCCCAGTGATAGGCCGTTTTTTCTCTACCTTTTTACTCTTTAACTATGCCTGGAGGACAAGGGGATTTGGTGCACCTCTTCTAGTGGATTAAGTCTCTTGCTCTGCATAAAAATATGTCTGAACAGCGGGTGAAGATTTGTGCCATTCTCACAGCTGGGGGATAATTTTCTCGTCTCATATTGCCCCCAAGCTTGCTTATAATCATTGCTGGAAGTTCATGCAGATGAGTCTGATAGTAACAGTGTGTTTCTTTTGTGTCAAAGGTCCCCCACAGGCTCTGGTAAAACGGATTCTCTCGAGGGCAGGATTTGGTAAGAAGAATAGAATGCTCTAGTGTATTTCAAAATGGTTACTTTTCTCCTCTTCTTCCTGGAAGCACAAGGGAATTTCTCTCCAGCACTGTCTCTGAGACTGTGGTGGAGCTCCTAGAGGTAAACTCACAGAAGCATGGGGTCCTCCTACGACTGCATCCCTATGGAGTTTTTATTTGTCCAAATGGAGCTTCCAGCAATTCCTTAATTACAGTTCTGGTTTCAGCACTGGTTCTCGTGGAGGTTTCTGATTTTGGATTTCTGTTCAGGAAAATTGTCATTTCCTGTGACCTCACTTCTGTGATGTATTTAAAAATTGTGAGTGTGATCTAGTTTGTACAGCTTTTCCCTCATTGTTAGGACTAAATGAAAGCTTCTAGTCTCCTTTGCTAGATCAGATACCAGAACTCTTATTTCTTTCTAATGACAAAGTACGATGGCTTGAGAGACCATTCAGTTTTTCTACTGGTAGCTTAGTATTTGTGAAATTCCTTCACCTCCAGGTACTTCTGGAATCCTCAGGTAATGTTCACATATATAAAAAAATCTGCTATCTCAGTCCTACTTTTTATTCTCTTGCTTTATGATCCAGACAGCTGTTTTCAGCTCTATCTATTGGACGGTGCTACAATCAACACTCTTTGGGCTGCTCTTCTCCTTCCAAGTACTATCTTTGTAAACATAGCACATAAATTTTTCTTAATGTCTTAAGTGATAAAAGAAATTAGACTTTTTTTTCTGTTTTATGTGGATGTATGTGTCAAAATTAGACTTTAAATAATAATGTATTAAAATTTAGTGTATTAGTCAGTTCTCACACTGCTATGAAGTACTGTCCAAGACTAGGTAATTTATTTAAAAAAGAGGTTTAATAAAATTGACTTACAGTTCCACATGGCTGAGGAAGCCTCAGAAAACTTACAATCACGGCAGAAGGTGAAGGGGAAGCAAGGCATGTCTTACATGGCAGCAACAGGAGTGCGGGCGAAAGTGCCACACTTCTAAACCATCAAATCTTGTGAGAATTCCCTCACTGTCATGAGAACAGCAAGGGGGAAGCCTGATTCTATTATCCAATCCCCTCCCACCAGGTCTCTCCCTCGACAGGTGGGGATTAAATTTGGGGATGAGATTTGGATGGGGACAAAAAGCTAAACCATATCATTGAGGCATAAAAGAAATGAATCATAGAATTGTAAATAAATAGTAAGTTTCAAAAAATGTAGCCATTTTCATAACTCAAAGTCCAAAAAAATCAGTCCCATCTTCTGTGAGTCTTGGTCAACATGCCTCCCAGATCCTGTACTATGTCCCAGAGCCATCTCACCTCTTTCCAGTGGAAGGATCTACGTGCACTTTGCTATTATTCAAATTTCAGGTTATCTTTAGAGATTTTGTATTTGTCAGGGTTCTTCAGAGACACGGAAACATCAGGATGTAGATAGATAAATAGATAGAGAAATTTATTTTAGGAATTTAGCTCACATGATTGTGGAGGCTGGCAAGTTCAAAATTTGCAAATTAGGCCTGCAGGCTACAGACCCAAGAGAGAGTTGCAGTTTAAGTCTGAAGGCAATTTGCTGACAGAATTCCCTGTTATTCTGCAGAGTTCAGTCTTTTTCTGTTAAGGCTTTCAACTAATTGAATATGGCCGACCTACATTATGAAGGAGAATGTACTTTACTTAAAAAGTCTACTGCTTTAAATATTAATTTTATTTCAAAAATACCTTCACAGAAATATTGAGAATAATGCTTAACCAAATATCTGGGTACTATGTACTTGTCACGTTAACTCATAAAATTAACCATCATAGGTTCCAATGAAGAATGTTTTCCATTCATTCATGTCAACTACATTCTACATCATTATTTCCTGATCATGCTACAAGACAGCAAATCTGCCACCTACCAATTGTTAGAAAGCCCAAGATCTTTCCAACCCTCATCAACTTTGTTTAGTTTGTTTTCTTCCTGACATGGTCTGTTATTTGTTTTCCTTCCTGCCTGTGTGGTTTCTTCTTACCTTCAGGCTTCAGCTTATATCTGTCTGCCAGGCTTGTTTTTCCTGACCACGTTCCTCTATTGGATCATCTGGTTTGTTATTTCAGTTTTTATTTGTATTATTGATACAGTTTGGCTCTGTGTTCCCAACCAAATCTCGCCTTGAATTGTAGTTCCCATAATTCCCAGTGTGGTGGGAAGGACCAAGTAGACATAATTGAATCATGGAGGCGGTTTCCCTCATCTTGTTCTTGTGATAGTGAGTTAGTTCTCACGAAATCTGATGGTTTTATAAAGGGCTTCACCCTTCACTGGGCCCTCATCCTTCTCCCTTCTCCCACAATGTAAGATGTCCCTTGCTCTTCTGCCATGATTGTGAGGCCTCTCCAGCTGCGTGGAACTGTGAGTCAATTAAACCTCTTTCCTTTATGAATTACCTAGTCTGGGGCATGCCTTTATTTGCAGTGCAAGAACAGACTAAATACAATTATTTTTCTCTATTTTGTTTATTATCTTTCTCCTTTAACTATATTTAAGCTCCTTCAGGGTAGGTCCCCTGTTTGCTTTGCTCAAAATGCTGTTTAGCTATGCTTCTTACCATGCCTGGCCAAAATAATTGATTAAGAAAAAAATGTATATTTTTAAATAGTGACTAAATTCATTAACACCAAACTTTCTATACTCCCTTAAGATGTGTTTGCTTGCTTTCAAAAGCATAACAACCTTTCCTGAATAGACCTTTGGGAGGCTCCATAGCATAGGGAAGTTTCATATTATGACTCCGCAAGAGACAGTCCATTCTCTTGTAATGGTGAGGTGGATTGCAGGGGATGATACGAAGAGTATAAGGTAAGTGTGTGTCAAAATTAGACTTTAAATAAGAATTTATTACTTATCTCACGACCTGTCCCTAAGCTCAGCATGGTTTATTTACAATTTCCAGCTTTTCTTTGGCATTTTGTCGTAATTCCTAGAAGAGCCTAAAGATTCTGTGTAGTTAAATGCAATTTAGAAATTTTAGAACAGTCTTCCCTTTTTTTACAGGAGGTTTTCTGCCTTTTTAGAGGGGAGACAGAATAGCTCAAAGACAGCAGCAACCGGTCTTGGTTCAAATTATGGCAGTAAACTTACAAGCTGTACAGCATTGAATGGAGCATTTAACCTCTCCACACTCTCACCTATAAAATGAAAGCAAAACTAATGTTATTTACTTCATTTTGATATCTTATGGATTGAATGACAGATAACGTATGCTATACACAGTATCTGAAACATTCTAAAATAATTTCTGATGTTGTAATCCTTGGAGAGGATTTTGATTCAAATATGACAAAATTCTAAGAAGGGTAATATTTGAATAAAAATCCTTTCCAAGGATTACATTCTAATCTTGCATTAGAAAAATGTCTTTTTTGTTGTTTGCCGAAGAAAGTTAGCCATTCTGTTGGTGTTTACTTATAGAATGTATTGGTCTGTGAATTTTCCATAGGTAGTGTTCTGATTCAATTATTCTTTTCATTTACTTATTTATTTACTAGGTTACAGGTTCTTATCTGTCGCCCAGTTTGGAGTACAGTGGCACAATTTTAGCTTACCACAGCCTCAACCTTCTGGGCTCCAGTGATCCTTCTGCCTCAGCCTCCCAAGTAGCTGGGACAACAGGTCGGTGCCACCATGCCCAGCTAATTTTAAGTTTTTTTTGTGGAGATGGGATCTTACCATGTTGCCCAGGCTTGTCTTAAACACCTGGACTCAAGTTATCCTCCTCTCTCAACCTCTCAAAGTGTTGGGATTACAGGTGTGAGCCACTGTGCCTGGCAATTTTTCTTTACGTTTATGCAGCGATTTCTGAAATATGGAAAATATTCATTAAATATGTCTTGAATAAACAGATGCCAGATTATTGAATATGCTACTTTTTTCAAAGGGTAATCTGGAAAGAGAAAAATCGACATAAATTTTTTCTTTCTATAAATTAGAATTTCCAAATTTTACTATGCATAACAAACACTGAGGGGTTTTTGAAGACTCCCAGCTCCTCCATCTGAAACCAGCTGAACCTGAAGCATTTTAATAATCTAGAGCAAGCAGTCCCAAATCTACTCTTTTATAAACACTGCATTAGACTGTTTCTTGCTAATTTTCAATCAAACAGAAGGAAGAGAATGAGGCACATTCTAAATTAATTCAGAGAAAGCACAGACAAGTTATTACATTAATCTCTTCATAAGCTCAACAACAGCATGAGTAGCAAGTCATGTAATGATTGAATCTGGAATAGTACCACATGTACCTAATGACAGAATGGTAATTAAAATACGTGCTTAAAATTTTTCAATTACAGAGGTAGTAGCCTCAAATTTACTCAAGAGGAAGTCTGAACACAATGATCTATAGTGATTCTCGAAGGCTGGAATAGGCTATTCCTAGTGGAAATCACATATAATTTGGGTCTCAAAATATTTTTACGACTACTTTGTGTCTTTTCAGATTATTTTAGGTTGATCAAGTCAGAAGTTAATAAATGTAATGCTAAACAACCACTAAAATGGATGAAAAGAGGAGAAATACTTCGCTTGTAGTATGCATAATATCTGTCTATGTTGATGCAAACTACAAATGTTTAAGTCTCTCCCATAGTTATTATATCTTTTCATCTTAAATCTCAACCGTTATTTTTATAAAAAATGATTTAAAAGCAAATAATTTCATTGAATTCATAGTAAGAAGTGAGAAGAAGCATAACTGTTCATACCACCAAATAGTTTTCTAGTAACAGATAATATGCCTTTATTTCATTTCAGTAATTACAGTTTTGATAACTCACATTTCATCACATTTTAAAATTTGTCAAAACCCCATATTATTAAAACTATGAACTTTTTAGTCACAACTCAAATTTGAAAATTCTCCGTCTCTCTCTCCTCTCTCTCTCTCTCACACACAGACACACACACACACGCACAATCACAAATTCCAAAACAATTAGCCCTAATAACAAGGGCACTGATTTTGCATCACTTTGAAAAGATGAATTTACTATTTATGTTTTGGTAAACTAATCTTGTAGCTCCCAAGCTAAAAATATTCCTTTAATCATATAAAAATGCAAAAAGTAAAAATACAGTGAGATCAAAAAGATAAGTATTTTTTTAAATAAATTCATTACATCATAACTTATAGTTTAAGAAATTGAAGGCTGAAGAGATTTGATGAATATCCCAAAGTCATACTAATCTAATTGGTGGAAAAAAGGCTTAAATCTGTGGCTTCTTAACTAGTTCAACATTTGCTTTGAAAGAATTTTCTGCCTCTGTCAAGTAACTTGGCAGCTAAAGGACTGATTGATGGAGGCATGGAAAAATGTTTGTGTTTGTGGGGGGTTTCTTTGTTTATTTTATTTTTGAAGTTAATGGACTGCATTTCTTAGACATTTTAGGTTTCCAGAAAAATTGAAGAGAGTACAGAAGACTGCCATATGCTCTCTCTCCCCAGGTCTGTAGTTTCATCTGTTATTAATAGCTGTCATTGATCTACACTTATTACGATTGATGAACCAATATGGATGCCTGTCTTAGCTCAGACTGCCATAAACTGGGTGGCTTAAACAGAAATTTATCTTCTCTCAGTTTTGAAGACTGGAAGTTTCAAAAATCAGGGTGCCAATATGACTTGATTTTGGTAGTGGGTGTCTTCCTGGCTTGAAGATGGTGGTCTTTTCACTGTGTGTTCTCATGTCTTGAGGTATGCTCATGGAAAGAAAGAAAGAGAGAGAGAGAGAGAGACAGAGACAGAGACAGAGAGACAGAGAATCTTATTCTAAGGCATATGCCTGTGTGTGTGTGTGTGTGTGTGTGTGTGTGTGTCTGTGGGGAGGGGGAGAGTTATCATAAGGTGTATGCCTCTGTGTGTGTGTGTGTGTGTGTGTGTGTGTGTGTGTGTGTGTAGAGAGAATGAGAGAGAGGAACAGAAAGAGAACTTCTTCTTATAAGGTCACCAATCCAACAGGCTTAGGACCCTACCCTTCTGGCCTCATTTAACCTTAATAACCTCCTAAAAGCCTACCTAAAAACCCTATCTTCAAATAACATCACATTTGGTGTTAGGGCCTTAACATATGAATGACAGAAGATACAGTTTAATACATAGCATTACATTAGTGTTAACTAACACCCATAGTTTACATTAGGGTTTACTCTTTGTGCTATACCATTCTATGGGTTTTGCCAAGTGCATAATGTCATATATATATATATATATATATATATATATATATATATATATATATATATATTTCATATAGAAAAGTGTCACTGTGCAAAAAATCTACTGATTTCTTTACTGTCTATGCAGTTTTGCCTTTTCCAGAATGTCATATACTTGGAATCATACATTATGTAGACTTTTCAAACTGGCTTCTTTCACTTAACAATACTCATTTTTTTCCAGCTCTTTTTCTGGCTTGAGAGCTCTTTTTTATTTTATTTTATCTTTTTTGAGATGGAGCCTCACTCTGTCACCCAGGCTAGAGTGCAGTAGCACAGTCTTGGTTCACTGCAACCACCACCTCCTGGGTTCAAGCAATTCTCCGGCCTCGGCCTCCCAAGTAGTTGGGATTACAGGTGCCTGCTATCACACCTGGCTAATATTTTTGTATTTTTAGTAGAGACAGGGTTTCACTATGTTGGCCAGGCTGGTCTTGAACTCCTGACCTCTGATGATCCATCCCCCTTGGCCTCCCAAAGTGCTGGGGTTACAGACATAAACCACTGCACCTGGCCAGCTCACTTCTTTTTTTATCACTGAATAATATTCTATTGTATAGATGTACCACAGTTTGTTTATCCATTCAGCTATTTAAGAACATCTTTGTTGCTTTCACTTTTTTGCAATTAAGAATAAAGCTGCTATGATCATCCATGTGTAGATTTTTGAGTGGACATAAGTGTTTAACACATTTGGATAAATTCTTAGGAGTTTTATTGCTGGATATTTACCAAGAAGATGGTGCTTAGCTTTCTAAGAAACTGCCCAACTGTCTTTCAATGTGGTTGTACACTTTTTCATTCTGACCATAAATGAATGGGAGTTCAGTTACATCCTCTCCTTGGCAATAGTTTGTGTTGTCAGTGTTTTGAATTTCAACCATTCTAATGGATGTGTCATTTTATCTCATGGTTGTTTTACTTTGCAAATTCCAGTGACATATGATGTTCATCATGTTTTCATATGCTTATTTGCCATCTGGATTTCTTATTTGGTGAGATATCTGTTCAGATCTTTTTTCCACTGTTCTTCAGTTTTGTAAAATTAAATTTCAGAAAACTAGACATGCGAGCAGATGAACTAAGGAAAGATTATTCCTGTTACAAGAGTTTTTACTTTACAAAAATATTCACCATAGTGATGCCTTAGTAAATAGTTTTAGAATGTTCTTAATATTGTCTGATTTATATGTTTAAAACATATATCAGTAGCACAAAAAACAATATCACCGTATTATAAATTTAGATACAATGATCAGAAAATGCATTATTTCCTTCTACAGTCTCCACGGAAAACATGGTTAGTAATTTTATTTTTGTTATTTGATATTCTGATATAATCTTACATTTTGTATTTGTACAGAAAATCATTTTTACTGATTATTCTCCTCTGGACTTGGTATATCCCTGTTGGAAAACATGGAGAAAAGATGCAAGTCTTACATTTAAGCTTACCCTCAGTGACAAAGCACTTTTCTTTCTGAAATTTTATAACCAGTGAAGATCACATCTTAAGGTACAACAAGCAGCAAGTTTAGAAATGGGAGATCAAAGAAATACCTTCTATCTGAAGAAAGTTTCTAGGAAGCATTAAACAATACCAAAGAACAGAATATTGAACTTATGGTCAGAAAAGCAAATTTGAGTCTTGCCATGTATTAATTATATAACTGTGTTTCACTCACTTTGATATTTTGGCTACCGTTCCCTTATCAGTTAAATTAGCAGATTATGTTCAAAACTTTTCAACATTTTACTACCTGATACTCTGAAATTCTAAGTTCTCGGAGAGATGCCCCCATATGTAAGCTGAATGTTTTACTCATGCATTGGAGAAAAAAAAATTGAAAATTTGAAAAATGTGTCTTTCTTAACATATAAGTTTTTAATATTATAATTTTAAACTGTTTTTAAATTTAATGAAAATTTAATACCACTTTTGGTGAGAAAAGAAAGTATAAAGATCAAGGAAAATGAAACTATAAAATACATAATTATGATAGAATTATAAGCAAGGTAGCTAGTGAATGTTTTGAATACTGATGTGTTTGTCTGTTTTGCATGGCTATAAAGAATATCTGGGACTGAGTAATCTGTGAAGCAAAGAGGTTTATCTGGCTCTCAGTTCTGCAGGCTATACAAGAAACATGCTGCTGGCACCTGCTTGGCTTCTGGTGGAGCACTCAAGAAGATTTTACTCATGGCAGAAGTCAAGGGGAACTGGCATGTCACATGGCAACAGAGGGAGCAAGAGTGTGGAGATTGTGGAGAGGAAAAACTGACTGTTCAGGGAACTAATAGTAGTGTGAGAAGTCACTCATAACTACAGGGAGGACGTCCAGCCATTCACGAAGGATCGGCCCCTGTGACGCAAACACCTCCCACTAGGACCCACTCCAACACTGGGGGCTCACATTTCTTTTTTTTTTATTTTTTATTTTTTGATACGGAGTTTTGCTCTGTCGCCCAGGCTGGAGTGCAGTGGCACGATCTTGGCCCACTGCAAGCTCCGCCTCCTGGGTTCACGCCATTCTCCTGCCTCAGCCTCCTGAGTAGCTGGGACTACAGGTGCCCGCCACCACTCCCGGCTAATTTTCTTGTATTTTTAGTAGAGACAGGGTTTCACCATGTTAGCCAGGTTTGTCTCCATCTCCTGACCTTGTGATCTGCCCGCCTGGGCCTCTCAAAGTGCTGGGATTACAGGTGTGAACCACCGCGCCCGGCCATGGGGGCTCACATTTCAACAAGAGATTTTCAGGGGACAAATATCCAAACTATATCAACTGATAAAATGACTTTTCAAATACACATACATACATATAAAAATAAATGCATACATGAAAATTGGCCAGCTTAATAAATTGTATCAAAAATAAACATGTCCATTAAACTACCATCCAGACCCAAAACACCAGAACCCAATTAGTTGAGTTTATGATCATAGATTAATTTGGAAGCTTTTGAATTCTATATAAATGGGATTGTATATTAAGTTTCTTTTCTTTTTTTTTTTTTTTTTTTGCTCTTTTTACCCGTTGTATTCGTTTTGGTTTGTTCATACTGCTTTAACAAAGTGCCTGAGACTGGGTAATTTATAAAGAACAGAAATTTGTTTTCTCAGAGGTCTGGAGACTGGGAAGTCCAAGATCCAGTCACCAATTGATGATGGTCCAGTCTCTCTGCACTCAAGATGACACTTTGTTGCTATCCTGGATGGGAGGAATCCTGTGCCTTATATAGTGAAAGGGACAACAGGAACAAAAAGGTGTAAACTCCTTCCTTCAAGCCCTTTTATAATGCACCTAATGTCATTAATGAAGACAGACCTCTTATGACTCAATTACCTCCTGAAGGCCACCTCTCTTAATACCATTGCATTGGGGATTAAGTTTCAACATAAATTTTAGTGGGGAAAAAAGCATTCAAACCATAGCAATGTTTATGAGATTCAAGCAAGACATCGTGTACCTATAGTTTGTTCATTTTTATTGCAGTAAAGTAATCCACTGTATGATACTATATATAATATCATTGCTTATATGTTTTACTATTGAAGAAAATTAATTATATAGTAATCCATTGTATGACATTATATATAATACCATTGCTTATCTGTTTTACTATTAAGAAAATTAATTTGACTATCATTAGTAATGCTGTTGCTAGTGTTTAAGTTCATGATTTTGTGCACGTTTCTGCTGGGCAGGAATGAAATTACTGGATCATATGATGTGCCTATATTCAGGTTTGTAATTAATGCCAGTGAGGTTACTCAAGTTGTTGTACCCAAAGGCAGGTGTAAATTTCAGTTGCTGTGCTACCTCAAACACTCCATATTATGGGGTTTTCCACCTTTTCAGTTATTCTGGTAGATGCATAGTGCTATCTCATTGAACTTTGAATTTGATTTCCTCTGGATACTAATTAGATTTTGAACTTGTTTGTATATTTATGGCATATGTAGATCCCCTCTTTGGTAAAATATCTATTTAAGGCTTTTTATCCCCTTTTAAGATTGATTTATCATTTTTTTCCTTATTACTTAGAGAATAGCTCTATATAAACTGGAACTAGATTTTTGAGTGTTAAATAGGTGAGAAATGTGTCCTATCTCTCTATATCCTGCATTTCACCTGCTAATAATCACTATTAATGAATAAAATTTTCTAACTTAAACGTTGTATAATTTCTTCATATTTTGAACTTACTGTCCTATTCAAGAAATGTCACCTTATTCCAAATTCAGGACATTTTTCTCCTGAACTATCTGCTGGAAGCTTTATGATTTTATCTTGTGTGAGACTTTCTACCTCCACCCTCCACCTTGAATGAGGTTTAATGTCTGATGTGAGACAGGGCTAAAATTCATAATTATCTATTAGTCTGTAGTGCCTTTTTTGTCATCATTAAAGAGTCTTATTTGAGTGTAGATCTGCTTTTGGACAATTCTGTCTCATTCAATTATTTTTAATCTTTGTTCAGAAATGACATTGTCTTAATTAACCATGCTATTTTAATTAGTATAAATTTATACTAAATTATGTCATCTTACAGTGCAAGTCATTCAACTTTGGTTGCTCTTTGTGTTTAAAAATCAATGTTAGAACCATCCAGGCACAGTGGCTTACGCCTGTAATCCCAGCACTTTGGAAGGCCGAGGTGGGTGGATCACCTGAAGTCAGGAGTTCGAGACCAGGCTGGCCAACATGGTGAAACCCCATCTCTACTAAAAATACAAAAATTAGTCAGCCGTGGTGGCGGGTGCCTGTAATCCCAGCTACTCTGGAGGAGAATCACTTGAACCTGGGAGGCAGAGGTTGCAGTGAGCCAATATCGCACCACTGCACTCCAGCCTGGGCAACAAAGAGGGAAACTCTGTCTCAAAAAAAAAAAAACAAAAATCAATATTAGAATCAAT
The DNA here is from genome assembly GCF_000001405.40 of Homo sapiens. NCBI lineage: Eukaryota > Metazoa > Chordata > Mammalia > Primates > Hominidae > Homo > Homo sapiens. The sequence goes on along the minus strand of NC_000021.9, from coordinate 20,681,634 downwards.
TTTACACACACACACACATACACACGCAGACACACACACACACACACTCTTAGACACTCCTGGGATTTTATCTATTATGATGTTGAATTCATGTATAGATTTTGGTAGAAACAATAACTTAAAATACTAAGTATATCAATCCATTAAAATACATATAATTATTTGAGATTTTTATTACTTTCAATTTTTAAATATGTTCTGTGGCAAGTTTTTGCCTATCATTTAGAATTATTTCTGTCTTTTACAAGTTGTTGATGTTATTCAAATAGTAATTTTATTTTATTTTCTGATTTTTTGTTGTTGGTAATATAGAAACAAAATTAATACTTACAAATTGACCATGAAGCCAAAGATTTTGCTAAATCATTTTATCAATTTCAATTGCTTATCTATTGATTGTTTAGGAATTTCTATGCAATTTTGCAATCCGGCAAAGCAGTAAGTCTTATTTCTTGCCATTCAATCCTTATATGTTTATTTCTTTGTTTGTTCTTATTCCACTGGCAAGGACATCTAGTACAACCTTGAACTGAAGTGATGGTAACAAGCGAACTTTTCTTTTTATCAATCTCAAGAGGCATGCCTCCAATATTTCACTGTAATATAATATTTGCTGTATGATTTTTGTTGGTATCTTTTATCACACACACACAAATATTGTTTCTAATCCTATTTTTCTAAGATTTTTTTCACTCAGGGATGGCAGTTGAATTTTATCAAAGGCCTTTTTTGCATCTTTTAAAAATGTCAGTAATAAAACAAAGTTACTGATACATAAAAGAAATCTAGAATAAGTTTACAAAATATTATGAGAAATTCAGTATATGTACCTAACGTTTTTACAGAAAAGGAGTATGCTGCCTGAAATATCCTTTGAGATTCTTGAAACACTGAGACAAATTAGTAAATGAATAGCAAGATGGATAAAGACATATGTGATAAGCACTATAATAAAATGTTAACTGAAAATTCCTGTATAGCTGGTATAGATATCATGGGAAGATTCTTTCAACTTTGCTGTACGTTTGGAATTTTTCATAACACAGTGCTGAACATAACAATGACCATTAATAGTTTCAACTTCCTATCATTCATATCTTTAGGTAATTTTCTGCATATACTTTACCAGAACTTTAACTGTTCCAAATATTCCATCTTTTCCTCTAATTTAATCATTTTTTATTTCTGCCTTTCTCTTTCTTTTATTTTTTGTTTCCAGCATTATTGAGGTGTAATTGGTAAATGAAAATTATACATACATGATTCATACATGATGATTTGATATATGTATACATTGTTTAACATTACAATTAAATTAATAAACACAACCATCACCACACATAGTTACCCTCTTTTATGTATGTCTGTGTATTGAGGACCCTTAAGATTTACTATTGTGGCAAATTTCAAGTAAACAGTATTATTTTTAACTATAGTCACTATGCTATATATTATATCCACAGATTTTATTAATATTGTAACTGGAAATTTTTTCCGTTTGACCAACATTTCTTCATTACTACCTCACTCCAGTCCCCGGCAACCACTAGACCCAGAAAGACATATATATACTGTCTGGCCTCCTTTATGTGTGGAATACACTTTGTTTATTCCTAAGAGGAACCTTCTCAAACTCGTTGTAACCTCCTTTACTTTAACATCCTCCCTGTTCTTTAAGAATGTGTTACCTACTGGAGTTTTCATGACAGTCATTCTCTTGACATCAAGCTTAATTGTCATGCCTATGCAAGTTCCACCGGTTTGCTTTTGTTGACTCTGGATCAATATAATGGCTTTGGATCAATAAAACAGCTCCTCTTAGTTGGAAGCGTACTGGATAAACCTACAGGACAGCATTGAATCTATTGGAAATTAATGATTGCTTATTCAGATGAGCTCTGAATACTATTCATTTCTAATATCCTTTCTTTTCTTTTCCAATGTAAATTTTAACTGCACTCCAGCCTGGGCGACAGAGCGAGACTCCGTCTCAAAAAAAAAAAAAAACAAAAAAAAACAAAAAACTATTACCACCTTCCTAATGTATACTACTGACTTGCCTCTCATTGCTCATAAACAATTACTACTAGGCTAAAAATTGGAAATTAACAGCGCCTTCCCATTTTAAATCAAAGTTCACCACTAAGATCTCCTTTTTCTCATTTATCTGGTTTTTGTTTTGTTTGTTTGCTGTAACTTCTTAGTTTTTCTGTTGAAATCTTAAACCATATTTCTTTTCTTCCCCTCAAGGAGATATTATTTCATCTTTCCTATCTTTATTTCTTGTACCTTTAAAATTAGGTTTTGCTTTTTTCTTTCCTTCTCTACCGAACTTCAGCTAAGAGCATTATGAACTCTTCTCTCTAACTCCACATGTGACTCATTGAAACCAGTTACTTATTTCTAGTTTTTATCTTATCTGATTTCTGGATGTTGATCATGGTCTCTTTGAAAAAAATAATTCTTCCTGAGTTCCACGTTCCTTTATAAGTTTTTATCTGATATTCCTATATGAACACCCAGAAGTCACACTCACTGATAAAATCCACAACTAAGCCTATTTTCTCTCATCCAGAGTCTATTTATCATTTGACTCTCCCTATCTTTCTAAGGGGAGGTAGTAGTGACTCAGATATCTAAACCAAAAAGCTTAAAGTTGACGCTGCTGCTCTCTCATCTGTCATTCTATTTAACAAGTTCTGTAATTCCGCACCTAAACTACTTCTAAAAACAAGTGTCTTTTATATATTCACAAACTAATTCAAATTATCAGTGTCTTTCAGATGTTGGAGTGACTATTAATATTTAACCTCACATTTTTATTTTCATATACTTCAAAGTATAAATCTGTAGCACACTTGATTTCAATTAAATGACCATAAAACAACTAATGACTACTATATCATTTTATTAGCAGAAACCCCACAGAATCTTCTTCACTACTTCCTTCCATCTAAGAAAAACAATAAAAAAGTCTCAAAATATCTTTGTGAAATAACCTTAAAGAAACAATTCTCTTTCAATCATATTCCTTTTTGTAGTTACATTATCTGTTTTAATGACAGAAATGAGCCACGAAAATAAAATATTCCTATAAACATAGACTCTAACCATAAGAAAGATAATAAATAAAATGTAAATTAAGAACTACTTGGCATTATAGGTGTGGAGTATTTACTCTTTTCCAAAAGAAATAGATAAAATGGAGAGCTCACAGGAATATAGAAATTACCTCCCATTTGGAGATATTATTAGAACACATTAGAATACCCAAAAATAAGTGGCATATTTAGTTTCATATTTCTCCTAGAAAAACAGAACCTTCTAAGAAGTTTTTCCTTGTTGCTTCTAAGTGCACCATTAAGTTTAAATACCATAGTTTCTATCACATAGCCAAAATTTCTATCTCCCAGGTGTCTTCTACACATAGACTAGATCAAATATGTGAAAGTCTTCCTATAAAATACAAACGATGTTCAATCAAAGAACATAAGAGGAGCAAAACTCTTGTTTAATTATTTGGTAAAATACTATAACATTGTACCTGCTTTAATTGTCATAGATTTATTATATCACCCTTTATTATTAAGGACTAAAAAATTTTTTTCAAAAACTAGGTCATGTTATATCCATTGCAATTGTAAGCAAACAGAATTTCTGAAGACATGAAAGATAGATCAGCATTTTGGAATTAAAGTTTTCTTTATGCAACCTGTCATAACTAGTAACATATGTTAATAAAGTCTAAGGAGTTTTGTTAATTAAAGAATAATATTGCCTTTGATACGTAGTTCATCATTAATTTGCTCAAATATTTTTAAGGAAATTTCAAAGTAAGGAAAAAACAGAAAGTAGAAATAATAAGTATAAAAGCTGAAATATTTTAGGGAAGAGGCTTTCTTGCTCATTCTCTTTGAATTATGTTACTTAGAGTATATTAATTAGTTTGGGTCGTGCTGTGCTGGGGGACCACCAAGCAGAAAAACTTCAGGCATTAGTTGAAGTCTCTACTAATCTACTAATCCACTTACTCATTGTGTAACTTACTTAGTTCTTTACCAGTTATGTTTCTCTTTTTTTGTCTGTAAAATGAAGAAAGTAGTAGAACCAACAACATAGAGGTTTTGTAAATATTAATATAAATTATAAATGTAAATTAATTATCATTATATAAGTGCTCAATAATCTTAGCCATCATATAATATTAGATATTGATCATTATATGTATTATTACTTCTGCATCTCAGACTTTGTTGGAATTGAATATCTTAAAGGACTAGGGGCACACTTAAATAGCAGTATTATCAACATTTAAATTACTGTAATTTTATTTTAGATGTTCACATCAGTCTTTCTAAGAAGGAGAAATCTGGACATAGAAACAGCTAAATTCAAATCTATTGCTCTTCTTTCCTATCTCTAAGTTATCTTTTTCTTCTAAATATAGATGCTGGGACATGTAGTCATCTGACTACAGTGGAATCTTTGGACTCTACTAAGAACCCTTTGAAGGAAAAATATATGAGACTTTAGTATCTAAGGGCCAGATGAAGACCTAGATAGTGGCAATGAGGACCCCAGGGCAAAACCTAGAGATGCATATGTCGAGCAGAGTTTGAACATAACAGATGTGTTGACTTCAGATTTGGAGGTAAGGAAGTCTACAATGATGTCACCAAGTTGCATCATTTCTATTATATAACAGTGGAAGAGGTTGCTGAAGAGTAGGCCAAGTTCTACCTGCAGAAGAAGATCTTGAACTAGGAATGTGGGGTACCAGGGCCTTGTTATACATTCCTCTTCAAGGAGCTAAATTCCTTGGTTTCCTGTCCACCACAGCCCATGTAGAAGAAACCATAGTCACCACCTAACTGTGCCACCTTTGAAGGCAATCCAGCAATTAGGCATGAAATATAGCATAGGGGCTTGAAAAACATAAGCTACTATAAAACAAAATAAGTTAACTATCTCAGAGGACCTTGTATCAGAGAGAAAGATCAATCTGTATAAACAAATAATGTACACAAAAAATGAAGTTGTTAGAGAAGATGGGTATTAACATGAATAAAAAGGGGATAGTTACTCAATTACAACATCTAATGACTCTCTGAAATTAAATAGTAACTTGCATAAAAAGAAAAAACATCAAAAAGGGAAAGAAAAAAAAGACTCAGTGAACAGAACTGACATTTACTTCATTAAATGTCAATAAAAACAATAGAAATTATTTCTAAAGAGTACTGAGAAAAAAGGATACAATCAAGATTTGAATGGCCATCAAAATAGTTAACCATCAGAGCTAACTCATGAGTTAAGGTATGGTATGTGAGGATAAGCCAAGATTGAGGAAGCATAACATCCATTGCGCATGTCAGAAAAACACATGAGAAATGATTATGCTATACCCAAAATGTGCAAGAACACAAACTCAAAATAAGAAAAGATGAAGAGGAAATAGTGAGAACGTGGAAGTATATAAAAAGAATATAAATATAAGGGTTAAATATACAGAGCCTTGAAACTAAAAGGATATACTTAGGGGTCATTGTAATAACAGTAAAAGCATTTAATGATTTCAACCAAACCTAGAAAACAGGACTTGGGTTGGAGATGAAGAGTTAGCAAAGCTTTTACCAAATTTTCATGTTCTCATGAGGGAATTAGAATAGGATGGAAAGCAGAAGCAGGAGTAAGGCAAAACGTGTGCTTTAATTTTGGAGAGGAGGTCTTATTGTAAAGAGGAAATAGGGGAGTTAGGTTGGGAAAATTATTTTTCAGGTAATCTGGTTCTTTCATTTCTTTTAATTTTTTTTCATATAAAAAAGTCTGAATTGGATGAAGAGAGCAAGGTAAGGAAAAATGGGAACCTTTAATAAAATTTTTAAAAATCAATAATTTTTCTTAATGATCAAAGAAAAATAACAAATAAAGTATGTATTTTGAAACTAGGATAAATATGAGCTAGAGAAAAGAGAAAGAGAAGAAGCAATGTATCCCAAATAAAATCATGTTTATAACAACAATGATGTATTGAAATAATGGTGCACTATGACGAAAAAGATTTATTATAGAAAGGCAATGCTATTTTATAGTTAGCAAATCAACATTATTTATTTAATCTAAGTTTTAAAGGAGTTAAGAAGGTATGATTCTAGTAATAATTGCTACAAAAATGATAAACTACAGCACACATTCTCAAAAACTAAGCAAATTAAAATGTTTAAAAGAAAGCTAAAGTGACAAAATAGAATAGCAAATAATATCCTAAATATTGGAAAAATATAAACATTTTATTGAAATCAACAATTAAACTTATTTTGCAGTAAACATTTAAATTGAAAGTGCAAATAAATAGTTGCTTTATATTAGTGATAAAAACTGTAACAGAATTTTAAAACACTAAAATAAAAAATAAAAATTTTAAGTCCCATACGAAGAAATCTATAAAGTAATATGGAAACATATAAAATAAGACACAAACAACTGCAAGGAAATGTGTTTCTGGGTAGAAAGAAGTAGTGTAATAATCTCAATTATTCAAAATTAATAGAGAATTTAGTATTTCAACTAGAATTACAGCTTTATTTTCTTTGGAACATCTCTTACAAGTGTGGTCCCTGGAGTCAAACTGCCTGAGTCCCATCACTGTCATCTACAAATATGTAACTGGTGGCAATTTTCTTAATATTTCTGTGGCTCTATTTTCCTGTGTGTAAAATGGAAATAATAATATTACCCACTCAATCAAATTGTTGTAAGGATTGAATGAGATAATAAATTTAAATATATTTTCAGTTTCAGGCACAGTGCTGAATGAACGTGGTATGTTTTCATAAACCACACATGCAGATTTTGTGCATCAAGGTTTTCAGACATACCTAAATTGCTCTTTGCCTAGCTTGGGGTCAGCTAACTACTGCCCATGGGCCAAATCTGGCCTGCTGTCTGTTTTCTCTGTGGCTGCATTTCTCCAGCAACAGTAGACTAGGGTTGTTGCAACAAAGAACATATGCCCTGCAGGGCTGAAAATATTTACAATGTGGCCCTTTACAGACAAGAGTGTGTCTTCCTGACCTAGACTGGTCTACCTCTAATTTTCTTAGCTAACTATTGTGTTTTAGGCTGTTCTTGCTTTGCTATAAAGAAATACCTGATACCGGATAATTTATAAATAAAAGATTAATTGGCTCATGGTTCTGCAGGCTTTACAAAAAGCGTGGTGCTAGTAGTTGCTCAGCTTCTGATGAAGCTTCAGGGAGCTTTCAATCATGGTGGAAGATGAGTGGGGATCAGATATGTCACATGGCAAAAGCTGGAATGAGGGAAAGTGGGGGTGGGGGCTGCCTCACACTTTTAAATGATCAGATCTCTCAAGAACTCATTATCACAAAGACAGCACCAAACCATGAACAATCTGCCTCCATGATCCAAACACCTCCCACCAGGTTCTACCTCCAATATTGGAGATTACAATTCAACATGAGACTTGGACATGGACAAATGTCCAAACTATATCATTCTGCCCCGGCCCATCCCAAATCTCATGTCCTTCTCAGATTGCAAAACACAATAATGCCTTCCCATCAGTCCCCCAGAGTCTTAACTCATTCTAGTATTAACTCAAAAGTCCCAATACCCAAGTCCAAGTCCAAGGTCTCTCTTCTGGAGATGAGTTCCTTTCACCTAAGTGTCCGTAGAATCAAAATGAGTTATTTACTTCTAAGACACAATAAAACTATAGGCATTAGGTAAACATTCACATTCCAAAAGGGAGAAATTGGCCAAAAGAAAGGGGCTACAGGCCCCATTCAAATGCAAAACCCAGCAGGGCTGTCATTAAATCTCAAAGCTCCAAAATAATTTCCTTCGACTCCATATCCTATATCCAAGGCACATGGTGCAAGGGGTGAGCCCCCAGGGCCTTGGGCAGTTCTGCCCATGTGGCTTGCAAAGTGCTTTACTCCCATGGCTTTAAAGGGTGCAGCCACTGTCACTGCTTTCCACAGGTCATTGAGTGCCTGTGGCTTTTCCAGGCATTGGAGGTCCTCTTCTCACAGCTCCACTAGGCAGTTCTCCATTGAGGACTACTTGAGTGCTCCAACCCTACATTTCCCCTTGGCACTACCCTGGTAGAGGTTCTTTGTAAGAGCTTGCTCTGATCCTGCAGCAGGCTTCTTCCTTGGCACCCAGACTTTCTCATAAATCCTCTGAAATCTAGATGGAGGCTGCCAAATATTCTTCACTCTTGCATTCTGCACACTTACAGGCTTAACAAGATGTGGAAGCCACCATGGCTTACAGCTTGCTCCCTCTAGAGCTGCAGCCAGAGCTGTACCTGGGCCCCTTTGAACCATGGCTAGAGCTGGAGTAGCCAAGGTGTGGGGAGAATTGTACTGAGGCTATGCAGGATAGCAGGGTCCTGGCCCTGGCCTACAAAACCATTCTGTACTTCTAGGCCTCTGGGCCTGTGATAAGGAGGGGCTCCTGTGAAGGTCTGTGAAATGCTTTCAAGTTATTTTTCCCCATTATCTTGGATATTAGCACTTGGCTCCCTTTTAATTATGCAAATAGCTCTAGCAAGTGGTAATTCCATAGTCTGCTTGAATTCCTCTCCCCCACCCCACCCCACCACAAAAGTTTATTCTTCCTTTGCCCTAAGGTCAGGCTACAAATTCTTCAAACTTTAAGTCATGTCTTTGCTCCTATTTCTGAGTTAGGATCTTAGAAGCAGCCAGGAAACTTCTCGAATGCTTTGCTACTTAGAAATTGCTTCCACCAGGCACCATAAGTGATCACTCTGAAGTTCTAACTTCACAGATCCCTAGTGGATTAACACAGTTCAACTAATCTCTTTGCTAAGGCTTAACATATGTGACCTTTGCTCCAGTTCCCAATAATTTTTTCATTTCCATCTGAGACCTTGGCAGCCTGGACATCACTGTCTATCAGTATTAGAATTTTGTTCACAACAATTTAACCAGTTTCTTGGAAGTTCCAAACTTTCCCTCATTTATTTTTCTTCTCCTGAGCCCTCCAAATCCTTCCAACCTCTGCCCATTACCCAGCTGCAAAGCTGCTTCCACATTTTCAGTTATCTTTATAGCAATGTTCCCCTGCTTGGTACCAATTCTCTGTATTAGGCCATTCTTGCATTGCTTTAAAGAAATATCAGAGACTGGATAATTTATTTTAAAAAAGAGATTTAATTGGCTCATGATTCTGCAGGCTTTATAGGAAGCATAGTTCTAGAATCTGCTCAGCCTCTGGTGAAGCCTCAGGGAGTTTTCAATCATAGCAGAAGGCAAAGCAAGAGCAGACACATCACATGGTGAAAGCAGGAATAAGAGAGAGACATAGTAGAAGCGGCGAGGTGCCACACAGTTTTCAATTACCAGATCTTGTGAGAAGACGCTATTATGAAGACACCACCAAGCCACGAGGGATCTGCTTCATGATTCAAACACCCCCCACCAGGTCCACCTCTAGCACTGGGGATTACAATCCAACATGAGATTTGTGTGGGGACAAAGATACAAACTAAATCATATTGTATTATTCAGGTCTCATCTTTTATGTCACAGATTAAATTATGGTCTTTCTTCCTATCAAAGTGTGTATTTCTTTATGAACTTGTATAAAAGATTATCTTCTAATTAACTGTGTAGTTCATAAAGGGAAAGAGTTAGTCACTTTGCTTATTGAAATATACCATCCAGTTTTTGACATTGCTTTTAAACCACAGTATTCAATAAACACCTACTAAATAAATCAATGAATAAAAGAATGAGTGAATGATCTAAAACAATAAATTCTCATCTTTTCTTTTATAATTCATTTAATCCAATTATTTATTTTTATTAAGATACAAAGATACAAACAAACTGAAAACAGGTAAACTCATTTACAGTCTTATAGTCCAACTGATTCAGTTGCTATGTTAGTATATATTTTGGTATATAAATATATTTATAAACAAAGATATTATAATATTTTACAACATCGTTGTAAATTTTGCTATTTTTGCACTGCCTTGACACTTCCTACTTTAGTAGTATTTCTATTGTGTAAGTCTTCGGGAGAGCATGGTCTTGCTCTCTTACTGCAGAATTACAAGACCCCAGTTAATCTCATGTGGGCATCTGACCAAGTCTCAATAAATTGAGTGTGCACATCAGAGATGGTGGCACCATGAGGTCAGTAATGGCAATATCAGGTGTTCTACAGCAATATCACTGACATGACCTCTCAACCAATTATTTCTGGGTTGTGTCCTTGGATTTGCTTCTTACTACTGAACCACTCTCCTGATTAGCTTTTATTTCTAGGCTTCTCTCAGATTTCCATCCATTCTGTGACCTTTCTATTATCTTTCCAATGATTTTATTTTCTACTTCAGTTAGCTGTAGTACATTTAATCTATAATTTGCAGTAGGATATTTTGACTGATAATGGTATTTTTTTAATCCATTCAGCCATTTTAAAGAGCTTTAGACCTAAATGTAGCCAGGTACATTAAGTCCCTAGGAGAAACACAATCCAGCCTCAGAATTCTACTACACCCACAACAACTCTGCAGGGCAATGTCGTCACTGATATTTTGCAGTGAAGCAGAGAGGTGCAGTGAATTATCCAAGATCACAGGGCTAATGTATGTTGTAGTTGGATTTCTGATACAGTGATACCTTGCTCAAAGGTTGAGCTCTGTGTATTCCTGTGACGATTATCTTTTCTTTCATAAGTAGAGGCATTTTTTACAGGTGAGTTGGGTCTTAGCAACTCTATTTTGGAGGAGAGGTGTGTGCTTGTGGTAGGATTAAACTTATATGATTTAGTGTAGGGGAAAAGCACAGTAAGTTTTAACTGGCCGTTCCAAGTGGAAAATATATTTTATTCCTTGTATTTGAAGAAATGTGTTCTTGGAAACTAAAAATGCAAACAGTATGTGACTATGGATGTATTTCCACTATCCTAGTCTCCCTACTGGCAACAGAGTCTCACGAAGGAAGGAAATTAGGGACAGTGTCTAGATAGAAGTGGAGGACAGTGGTATGGACTGAAATTGTTTCTATAATAAGCCCACCAGCTTTATGCTACTGTGAGATTTATATTTTTTCCTACAGTTGCACAAAAGTGAATTAATCCTAATTTGGTTTCGGAGAACATTTTCAATCTCTGGTTCATGTTTTATCTACTTTATTTAGTTATTGAATTATTTAAAAATAGTCATTAAAGAAGGAATATAATAATTATATCTGAATCAGCTATCCCAATGCAATTTTGTTTTTTTTTCTTTTCTTTTTTTTTTTGAGATGGAATCTCCCTCTGTTGCCTGGCTGGAATGAAGTGGCTCTATCTCGGCTCACTGCAACCTCTGCCTCCTGGGTTCAAGTGATTCTCCTGCCTCAGTCTCCTGAGTAGCTGTGCAGCACCACGCCCAGCTAATTTTTGTCTTTTTAGTAGAGAGGGTTTCACCATGTTGGCCAGGATGGTCTCTATCTCTTGACTCTGTGATTCACCCACCTTGGCCTCCCAAAGTGCTGGGATTACAGGTGTGAGTCACCGTGCATTGCCCCCAGTGCAGTTTTCATCCTAAATATGATTCGCATTGTCTCCACAAATTCTTTTCTTTGCTTCTGTCTTGACTCAAGCAAACTATTTTTCACTTACATTGAATATAACCATAAAATGGTACTTTTCACAGTATTTTTAACATATCTAATCTTATTAATTTCTAATATCTTCTAAAATCATTCTAAAATTTAATCTAGTATCTAAAATATATTTCAAAAATATCCCTATCATAAAATAGTTTGCATATACATGTTTAATTTTGGAGTTGTTTCACTGCAAAGAGAAAAACGCTGGGAAACTAAAGACCACCACACATAGCCCTAAGCCACTCTTTGTAGTAACATCCTCACCCCAATGCTTAATAAGCATTGATGTAGTCCCACTAGTACCCTTAGTGTAGATGCAGAATTTACCCACTTACCTCTTGACCTTCATTTAAAAAATAGACTATTAATAGCATCCTCTTCATCATCAAAAGGACAATAAGGATGATTGGAGAAAACATTTCTTAGTGTGGATTTTATTGCTTATACTAAACTGAAACCATGATTTAAGTTTCTGGGCACTCTGTCTGTGGAAAAAGAAAACACACAGTTTAGATTTCTGATCTTTATCCTTGTTGAGATACTTTGCATTCTCTTAGGGGCTGAGAATTCAGGCTGTTTCTGATTTAAAGTGCCCACATATTCAGGCAAAGTGTTTGACTACAGCAAAATTTCACCTTGCAGATTGTTGTGTTTGAAGTAGTGTTTTCACAATATGAAATTAGCTGTCTGCATTTATAATGGAGAGAATCCACATTAAAATGAGAACTTTTAGCTTCCCTTGAAAAAATATCAGAAGTATTGGAAATGCTGAGGTGGTTACCTGATGGAACCAGTTGGCTTGAGCTGAGTAGCAGTCCCTTTTGAAGGGCAATACCCTTTAGCTCACCACTCGGTCAACTCAGCACAGCCTTCTACTTATGTTATTTGCTAGGCCCCTGTTGAAATTGGCATTTTTAATCCCTGAAGCACAGAATATTAATGAAATGCCTCTAGAACCAGAGTCTCTGTATTCTAGACCTGAGACTTTTGTAGTGTTAGTGTTGCAACTCTGAAAATTCACTTAACCTCTTTGAACCTTGGCATTACTCATCTGAAAAATGACAATAGTTGGAATTCTATTGTTTAACGTAGAAATTCTGTCTTATGCATTCAAGAGGAAAAAAAAATCAACTGTGTGTGTATGTACATGTTTTAAGCATTTGAAATTGGTGTTAGGAACTACAACAATAATTCAGTAATGCTGTGGATCAGATATCCATGTAGTAAAAGTGCACTTGTATTCCTTCAATTTATACCAAAAAAAATTAAGCTTAAAATGTAATGATTTGGTTTTCGTTATTTCATTTTTCCCTATCTACAAAGTATGTTGTAAATAAACATCCAATAAATATGTGTTTAAATGACAACTGATGAGGAGGTGTCTGTTGCCTACATAGGCATTAAATAGAGAAAATGACTTTGGGGAAATAAATTCTAGTGCATTTTCTTTTACTATTTTATTTTATTTTGTTGTTCTCTTTTTTTGGAAGACAAGGCAGAAAAAAATAGCAGAGTTGCTAAAATAAACAATATTAAGGGCTCTAGGTCACAAATTTATTACTTTGTCTTACACAATTTTAACAGAGATTTGGGTTTTTTGGACTCTATAGCTTTTGTCCAGGTTAAACGCAAGGTGAGCTGAGGTTACAGAGTGGATGCTCTATGAAAATGTTTGCTCATATTATTTGGTTGATTTTTCACTGCATGTAGGTAGGCATCAGCTGCTGATTCTTCCCTTAGCAGCAGATGCTCCAATTTGTTCTCCTTAGGGCCCTCAGATAATTGCATGGAGCTCTGGAATAGCCCCATTTTCTCTGTGTGTTATGGCCCAATTTACTTTTTAGCAGACTCGTATCATTGGTGCCAAAAAGATGTGCTATACTGTAGTAATGAAATCTCCCTGACGAAAACAGACATAAAAGGAAGAAATAAGCCACAAAAATTTTCTTGCTAATTGCTCTTAAATGATTATAGGTTCACCCCACTGCTTTCTGACACTCTTATTAAGCAGTGTAATCTTATTATCCAGGATGTTCATAAAGATTAAAAACTCCCCAGCATCGAATCACCATGCCTTCTTACACAATTAAAAATCTCAAAGATTCCTCTAGATTTGTCTTGCTGGCTGAGTTATGGAAATTCTACTCTTCTTTAGAGACAATGCTACAGAATGGAATCATGTACATACCTATAAAGATATATTAAAATTACATGGCAGAACAAAAGGTGAACTTGGTAAGTAAATGTGACATTTAAAAGTTCTTGTTATTATGGCTTTTAAAAACTCAATTATTTATGAACATTCATTTTCAGTTCTCAGAGGAATAATGACCCAGTTATTATTATGGAAACTGTAGGGGTGCAACATGAAAATGATTTGCTTTTGAAACTTCATCTATCACGTATTTTAGTACTGTTAGAGGAAATATTTCTATAAGGTTTAAAAAAATAAGCATAGAATGGTTTTGGATTTTTGTTCTATGAAAAAAATTATTAAGGGTAAGAGTGTTTTATATGGTATATGGGGCAGACCAAGGAGAGAGTTCAGAAAGTGAATAAATTCAAAATCGTAGCACTTTTGCCAGATAAAGTCAGTCAGTTCATACATAGAAATATCATGTATTGATTATTTATATTACCAGAATTCATTCATAAGACAATTTGTCAAATTAAAGTGTTTTTGCCTTCCTTATTTTTTGCTATTTGGTTTTACTGAAACTTTAATCCACATTCAGGAAATGCATTTCACATACCTATACTCAATTTTTAAAATTAATTGACACATAATAATTGTACATTTATGGGGATGGGCACAGTGGCTCACTCCTGAAATCCCGGCACTTTGGGAGGCTGAGGCGGGCGGATCACCTGAGGTCAGGAGTTCGAGACCAGCCTGACCAACATGGCAAAACTGCATTTCTACTAAAAAAAAAAAACAAAAATTAGCCAGACGTGGTGGTGGGCACCTATAATCCCAACTACTCAGGAGGCTGAGGGAGGAGAATGGTTTGAACTGGGGAGGCGGAGGTTGCAGTGAGCCGAGATCATGCCATTGCACTCCAGCCTGGGCGACAGAATGAGACTTTGTCTCAAAAAGAAAAAAAATTGTACATTTATGGTATACAGTGGCATGTTTTGATACATGTATATAATGTACAGTAATAAAATTAGCATAATTAGCATATCCATTATCTTAGAAATTTATCATTTCTCGATGGTGAGGACATTCCAAATCCTCTCTTCTAGCTATTTTAAATATACAATTTATTATCATTATTAACTATAGTCACCCTGTGCGAAATTGAATGCCATACTTCATTCCTCTTAACTGCAACTTTGTCCCTCTTGATTGACTTTTCCTATCTCTCCTCCCTGCTACCCTTCCTCACCTCTAGTAATCATGATTCTACTCTCTACTTCTGTAAGATCTGCTTTTTTGGATTCCACATGAGTGCAATCATGTAGTATTTGTCTTTCTGTGCCTGGCTTTTTTCACTTTAAGTATGTCCTACAGGCTAATCCATGTTGGCTGCAAATGACAGGATTTCATTCTTTCTTATGGCTGAATAGAATACTGTTGTGAAGTTACACCACGTTTTGTTCTTCCATTCATCTGTTGATGGACATTTGTACTGATTGCATTGCTGGGTTATTGTGAATGGTGCTACAATAAACATGGGAGTGCAGATATAACTTCAACATACTGATTTTCTTTCCTTTTGAAATATACCTGGCAGTTGGATTGCTGGATCATATGGTATTTCTATTTTTAATTTTTTTGGGAACCTCCATACTGTCTTCCATAGTGACTATACTAATTTACATTCCCACCTCAGTGTTTTAGAGTCCCTCTTTCTCCACAAGCTTGCCAGGATATGTTATTTTTTGTCTTTTTGATAATAGCTTTTCTAACAGGGATGAGACATTATCTCATTGTGTTTTATTTGCATTTTCCTAAAAATTAGCAATTTTGAGAATTTTTCCTCTTTAATTTCTTTCATCATTGTTTCATAGTTTTCATCATAGAGATCTTTAACTGCCTTGATTAATTTATTTCTAAGTATTTTAAGATTATTTTGGTAGCTATTGTGAATGGAATTGCCTTTTTGATTTCTTTTTCAGATAGTTCACAACTGATGTACAGAAATGCTACTGATTTTTGCATGTTGATTTTGTATCCTGCAACTTTACTAAATTTATTAGTTCTGGCAGTTTTTCGGTGGGATCTTTAGGGTTTTCTTATATAAGATCATGATGTCTGCAAGTAGAAACAAGTTGACTTCCTTGTTTTCAGTCTGGATGCTTTTTATTTATTTTTCTTGCCTAATTGCTCTGGCTAGGACTTTCAATGCTATGTTAAGCAAAAGTGGTGAAAATGGGCATCCTTGTCTTCTTTCAGACAAGAATGCAAAGAGGAAAAGCTTTTAACTTATCCCCATTAAGGGTGATGTTAGGAATGGGTTTGCAAAATAAGGGCTTTATTGTGTTGAGGTATATTTCTTCTGTATCTAATTTGTTGAGAGTTTCTTTCATGAAGAGACATTGAATTTCATCTAACCTTTCCCATATCACAGATCCAGAGAAAGCCCAGTCTCACCTCTAGCCTCTACCACCTATTCTTATTTAAGTTAGTAAACATTGATATAATCAATTGACAGATGAAGAAAATGAGGCACATAGCAGTTAATAACTTGCCAAAGTGACAAAATGACTCCAATAAACTGCAGAATCAGCATCTGAAGTCAGGCCGCACTCAAAATCTGATGTGCATTACTTTGGAACTTTTATTACAGAATAGTTATAGTCTATATTATATAATTGTTTTTGAATTATAGTCTATATATAACTTCGGAGGAATTATCTTCTCTTTTTTATACTTTGAGAAAGTAGAAGCTCAGGACACTTATTCTAGCTATTTTCTAAAACAAAATAAATATGAATACTCCATTCTATGTTGATAAAACTCAAATTGTAGGTACTCTGTAAAAACATTACTAATTGTACGGACAGAAGTCTTCCAGTTTTAAAGTGTCTACATACAAAGAGACAACATTCTTTTTTTTTTAATGTATGCTTATGCCACATAGGAGAAACAATAAATGCAACAACCAGATCCAGCCTCTGCTCAAAAATGAACCTCTAAATGTTCCACTTCTAACTTCATTGGGTGACAGTAGAAATTTTGCTTTAAAATTTCAAGACAAAATTTTCAGTATCTCTGATGACTATCTACAATGCTCTTTATGACAATGTTGAATTTTACCTGAACCCTGTGATCCTAGTAAACATTGAAGGTTAAGGAATTCCCCTGACCTTTTATGTTCCCTGAAAAGGTCTACTGCAATAAATCATCCTTCCCAAATCACTCAGATTATAGATTCATGGATGTCCCCATTGCTACCTATTGCAAAAACATACTGACCCTCCAAATAATCATTCTTTGCTTCATAAATTATTAGCTATACTCCTTGTCCCTGCTGATCAATCAACACAAAATGACGGTTAAAACACAACACAACAACACTAACAATAAATTTGGTTAAGTTTCTCTTCTTTCCCAGGGCTTTGTTGCCCAGCATGCAATTCCTCCTTAACAGCTTTTCCTGAGAATAGCCTGGTCTCAAGGTAAAATAGTCTCTGATCTCTTCTTTGATGACAGTCATTTCTTTCTTACCTTGTTCATTTCTCTCTACAAAAGCAAAATGCATTTTGCCTAGCCCTTAAGATGCTTGCAGATCTAATGATCAGTGTTCTTTCCATTGAATAATTCTCCTCCCATATTGCAATAGTCCTTTCCTCTCTTGCAATAATCCTTCCAATTAGTCTCTCCTTACTTAGTCCAGATTTATTTTTTTATTTGACAATTATAAAGAAAAAAATGAAAATACAGCACCTCCATTCCCATTAGTGTGTAACCGCTATGATAAAGTTTATAAAGACACTTTAATATTAGTACTGAAAAGCATAATAAATAAAAGCAGCAGGTATCCCCGAAGCCTGGCTGTAATGGTGGGTATCAGAGAAAGGTAGGATGCTTCTCTTTGCTCTTTTAATATAGTTAACGGTCCTTATGAGCCTAAAGAGAGAATAAAGCTAGTAATAGAAGGTCATTTCTGAAAGATTTTTTTTTTTCTTAGCTGCTCAAAGATAAAATTGTGGTTCCTGGGCCACAATAGCATTATGACTATCTTGTGTCAATTTTGATGAGCAGTTGACAGGTGGCACTTATTTTTCTGAATAACCACTTTGAAGAAACATGAATACCTTTTTAAATAAAATGGATTCATTTTGATAGTATCTTGTTCAAATAATTTTACATTCAGATGTGGAAATAAAAGGTAAATAACAATATATTTTGTGGTAAAAGAAAACATGGATTTTGGTAGGAAAATGTTATTAACTAAACCACCAAATGACTCGTAAAATAGAAAATTTGTAGATTTTGGGGGGTAGGTGGGAAGGAGGAGACTAAAAAGGACTGGAGCTATAGTTTGGGAAGGGCAGGAGAGACTGCTTGCTAGAAGCTAGAAATGCTGCCAGATTGAAGTCCAGTCAAGCTAAGAAAAGTTTGGAGGCAAATGATGTGCCATTGGTCTACTTTGTGCTACTCATAGCAAAGAGAATTCCAGGAAATAGAAGAAGTTGTACATGCCAAGATACAGGCTTTTCCATCACAAGTATTTCTGGTCCCTCAGAAGCTTTCATCAAGTTCCCAGCATTTGTGACCTCAAAAAAATGTTTACCAAGAAAGAACTATTTATTCTATTGTAGAACTTTGATCCTTAGTTCAGCTTAAATGGGGTTCTTGTCCCCTTTACTCTCAAAGGGAAAGGGGACTGGAAAGCTTGGAGGAAGAGGTTAAGAGACTTGAGGAGATCATGTAACTCAACATCCAAATTGCAAGAGTGCTAGAAAAAAAATACAAAGAAAACTGAGGAGTCAATGACATACAAATTAGTCATATCTGAGCATGTCCTAAGACAGAGCTACTCATGTATTTATATACTAACTAAATAATTTGTTTTTAATATAGAATGAAAAAAATAGGAAAAGTTAAGCACACAGACACATCAAAGTGTGAGGGGAATGGAATTTATTGGGCAAAGAGGAAAACAAGAAAAAAACTTCCAGCAAAGCAAGAGGGAGTCCTGCTAACAGGCCCCCCACCTCACAGATTGATTCCAGGCCACCCACAGGAACTAAAGAGGCCAAGCTCCTCCCCTCTACAAGCTGAGAGAACTTCCAGTGGCTCCACCCCATTCTCCCAGTGCTCAGGCCAGTTGGAGATGCTCTAGGGGACTCCCCTCTTATCTGCCTCCTGCATCTATCAGTTCCACGGGTGGACCAACCCTGCCTGACCCAAAGTACTGCACGTTGCATAAGTAAGAGGCACTTTCTAGGACTGTCAAATGGTGTGATTTCAGGGGATCTTCTGCAGCTACATTTTTTTTCTGGCTTTCTCAGTAGCAGAGTAATACTCTGTGAATCACAAATATTTTTTTCTTTCTATATTAAAACAAATACTTGGTTAGGATACAAATGCATGATTAACTCTGTCTTGGGACATGCTCAGACATAACTAATTTATATGTCATTAACTCTTCAGTTTTCTTTGTATTTTTTTTCTAGCATTCCTTCAATTTAGGTGTTGGGTTACATGATCTCCCCAAGTCTCTTACCTCTTCCTTCATGCTTTCCAGTTCCCTTTCCCTTGGGAGAGTAAAGCTCAATTAAACACACCTGCTCATTAGTTTGCTTTTCAACAGTTCCCATTGTACTCTTTAGCCTGTGTATTGAGACTTTTTTCATTTTAAAAAAATTCAATTTTTATTTTATGGTGTTACTGTGTTTGTATGTGTATGTATGTTTAAAGCCATACTTATTTTAAAATCTGATCTTATAACAGTTTCTTTATGTCTAAATGTTTCTCTTCATTGAGCCTGCTGTTTCTTTGTTATGGTGTGTGCTTTCTTCAGTCTTGCTTTGTCAGTCTTGATATTGTTATGTTGGGACTCCCTGCTGAGAGCTGAGACTATCTACATTCACAGCTCTTACTGTCTACATTAGCATGTTTTTCCTCCTCCACTGACTTCATCAACTTAACTTTAGTATTACAGCAAATTCTTGCCCAAGAAGATTACAATTGCAAATGACTTTATTTTTCATTCCAGCAACTTACTGAATGGTATATGTCAAGACCCTTTGAATTACTTTTCTCAAAATTCTCTCCTCCCTGCGTTCACAATTCTAAGCAACTACATTATGACGCTAGCCCCATCTTAACCAAGTTCCACATTGAAAAACTTGCACCAGACTTCAAAATCTCAAAAAATATATTTCTTGCCCCTCTGCTGAGGTAGCGTTCACTTTTACCATGGTAAAAAATAAACTCAGCTTTGTCTCATCAACAAGTTGTTTTGGTTGTATCTTATTGAGTCAGCATTCAACATTGCTTGAAATTGAAGAAAGTCATAAAGTTTTGGAGTGAGCAAAGTGTTGCATGCTCTGTGTGGTTTTCAATGAGAGCAGAGGCAAGTAAGCCCTGTTGCTCGGTGGAATGCCTGGTCATTGGGAGCTCTCCATTTCTTCTGGATAATAGCAGCCCACAGAGATTGATTTTCTCTCTCCTCTCCGATAGCAGCCATACTCACTGCTTTCCAGCTCCAGTCAGACAGTATCGTTAAATCTTACTAGACTGCCACCTGTAAACCAGAAATTTAAAAGCTATAATTTATATTTAATCACGAATCAATTTTAATTGAATACAGACTGTTTAAAAAAGTGCAAATATTTATTAAATCATTTTTTGATTTATAGACAGGGGAATACAATGAAGCAGAAATTTCCCAGACAGTAGTTGCTAATAGAAAAAAAAAGATTATAGAAAATGAATCTGTCAGAAGATAAGCCTCAAGGAAGTCATAACCTTGATTCAGGTGATGCCAATTTATTTTGACCTCTTTGGGGAGAAAGCTACTGATGACTTTGTATCATAAAAGTACTCATACAGACAGCTGTTTTCATTATGAAAATTCATTCTATACTTGAATGAAATAATTCGATCTTAATCTGTTTTTTGAGAAATCACTGTATTATAGACATTGATTTTTTGAAACATTTTCTATAAATAATATATGCTATATTTTATAAAATATGTTTTCACTTTGTAATATAAAAATTATAAACAAAACAACAAACTCAAAAACAATTTCTATCTTTCCTTCTTCCATTTTTAAAATTTGAAGTTTGCTACTCCTTACTTTATTGATTGATTGACTGATAAATGCCAGTTTCCTAAGATTGACAGTGACTTATAAAACCATTATCAAGAAGACTTTGTGTTTAATCTTGATTTTCCAAATCTTCTTTCTTAAATAAAAAAAAAAAAACCCTTTTGTAAATGTTTACATTAATGCAGTTACTATTCCAAATATTTCCCCCTATATAGCTCAGTTCAGCCATGAAATGTGACAGTTTAATACGGTGTCTCCGAAGCTGGAAGATTTGTCTGTTTAGATCTAATTCTAAGGAGGTCAGAACAACTGAAAATCATTAGTCTTCATCATTAGTAATTCTTGTATTTGAAAGCAGTTTTTGACCTTGAATTTGTATGCTCATTGTAGCAATTTAATTCCTGCAATGACATCATTTGGATATAGTTAGGATGCTTTAATGGAAATGAGAATTTTTTAAATTTTTCATCTATCCACTGTCTTACAACTTTTCCACTAAATATCATCACATTCCAATGTTTTATTTTCTGATGTTATTTTTCATATTAATAAACATTTTCAATAAACTTTGAAACAATAATTAAGTGAAAGATACATGATGACACCTTAAGAGTTCAGATCAGTGATGGAGATAGCAAGCAGCTCATATTTGCATATTTCTCTAAAGTTTCTTACTTAACTACAAAATATTATGCCTGCTTTTGTATTGAACACATCCCTCTGATGCAGTTAGAATCAAAGGTTATTCCTAATTTTCAGGTATGTACCTAAGGCTCATCTTAATCAGATCTAATTGATAGCTGGTATAGTTGGAAAGGACTTTAGATGTTACTATGCATCTAGATTGTTGAAATATTACCACAATTCCATGTATACACATAGAAGTCAATGGAAGTACCACAATTCCATCTATACACATAGAAGTCAATGGAAGTACTATTTCTTCACCCACGATGTTCTGAAAGTGGAGATTGCTTTACTTTCCTACTAAAAACTCATTGTGATTTTGCAGTTTGAGAACACATTTTTCTGTATTTTGGGAGAAAATTTATTTTCTATTTAAAGATAGCCTCTCATTTTTTTTTTCTCATCCTCTGATGTCCCTTTAGACATATATCTAGACTTTTATTCTGTCTGGCTAGCACAATCCTCATCTTAAATTCACTGTGATAGAATCTTAGTAATGTCTTCAGATCTGTTCGCCAAATAATTAAGTAATTAACAACTTAACTAATTTGGTCTGTAATTGATCCCTTTTCAATTTAAAGGGCAATATTAATCTTTTCTGGAATTTATGCATTGTTTAAATGTTCTAGGTGCATTATCTAGTTCTCCTTTCTCTCTATGAATACTTTAGCTATTTTTTTTTGTAAAATAAATTTCTGGCTTATATACGTGTGGATTTGTGGGTGTGAATTTTCCCTTTTTTCTGCTAAGTCACTTTCAGAGGAAATGAAGTATTTCTGTGCTTTGTAATTTTCTGTGTGAACAATTCTTCAAAGGCATTGTCTTTAGAATAAATCTCACGCGGCGCTGGGTTGTAGAAGTACCTGTGGGGAATGAGTGTGATTCATCTCTGCTAGAGACTGTGTTGGGTAGTCTAATATCAACTTGACATCAACCTCACCACTGTTTTGAGGTGTCCTCTGCACTCTCAAGGAGAAGCAGGAAACTTCATTTTCGAGAATCTTTTTTCCTACAGTCTTCTAGATTATAGTTTACCATTAAGAAAAACTCCTGCAATATTTAGAAGGTATTTTCTTCCAGTCTCATGGGCAGATTGAAGCATCGCATCAGATTTTAAATAAGCGTGTGAGAGGCACTCATTTTGCTCGGCTGAGGAGACAGTTAAGAGTTATTAACTAGCCAGTCAACTTTTTGAAAACCACCTAATTTAGTGCTTAACATGAATACTTTGTCATTTGCTTTTCTCCCGCCTACAAGTATCTTGCATTTGATGACAGTTTCTCTGACTGTAGGTTCCCCAGCTCTCCCTACAAACACATATACCCAATGCATTTATTAAACCAATCATTTTATTAAATTGACTTTGTTTTCCTGGTGGAACCAAGACTGATAGAAGTCCCTATAGAAATACTTTGAGTCTGAGTAATTTTTACGTTAGGTTTTCAGATAGATGTTTTATCACCCAGAAACCATGGGCTTCAGGATTAGGCTTCTGTTTAGTTATAGTTGGCACTCTCTCAACTCAATCTCTCCCATCAGTCTGCTTCCTGGGAAGAACTTCCACACTGGCAGTGCCTTTCCCATTCATGGATAGGATTATTTCTTTCGGTTTTGTCATGATCTGTGGCCTTGTCTCCACCATCAATTCATGGGCATTGCCCAGCACATTTGATTTCCACAGCCTCATATCTACAGTGACCAGATAACATTTTACCCAACCCAGAAAACATCTCAGAGTATAAAGGGTGCTTTTAATTAAGCCAGTACAATAGGCATGTACTGGAGCATTCCAGGCAAATTAGGACACCTAACACATATGCCACACATCTTCTACCTCATTTGTGTATTCGCTGAACATTTCCATTTCTTAATTATTATCATTATTATTATTATTATTATTTTGAGACAGAGTTTTGCTCTTGTTGACCAGGCTGGACTGCAATGGAGCAATCTCCGCTCATTGCAATCTCCGCCTCCCGGGTTCAAGTGATACCCCTGCCCCAGTAGCTGGGATTACAGGCATGTGCCACCATACCCAGCTAACTTTTTATATTTAGGAGAGACAGGGTTTCAACATATTGGTCAGGCTGGTCTGGAACTCCTGACCTCAGGTGATGCACCCACCTTGGCCTCCCAAAGTGCTGGGATTACAGGCGTGAGCCACTGCACCTGGCCCATTTCTTAATTTTAAGCTTGACTCAATCTCTCTCTCTCTGTCTATTGTTACATATATATATATATATATATATATATATATATGTGTGTGTGTGTGTGTGTGTGTGTGCGCGTGTGTGTATGTATACCTATAAATATATGTGTGTGTATATATGTGTATGTGTGTGCATGTCTGTCTATTGTGAGTATATATATATATACACCTATACATATATATACTCACAATAGACAGACATGCACACACATACACATATATACACACACAAATATCTGCTTTGGTTTGAATGTGGTGTCCTCTCTGAAACTCATCTTGAAACCTAATCACCAAAGTGATGGTATTGGAAGATGGGACCTCTGGGAGGCTCTTTCCTCACTCATAGTTTACGACCCTTATAAAAATGCCTTGCAGGAGTAAGTTCATGGTTCACCCTCTTCTCTTCTGCCATGTAAGAATGTAGCATTGATCTGCTTCTTTGTGCTTCTGCTTTCTACTACATGAGGATGCAACAAGAAGGCCTTCACCAAATGTTGGTGCCTTGATCTTAAACTTCTCAGCCTTCAGAAATGTGAGAAATAAATTTCTGCTCTTTATAAATTACCCAGTCACAGGTATTTTGTTACTACGGCACAAACAGACTAAGAGATATTCCATATTATAATCAACATTTGTGTGCTTTCATAGCAGGGACATAGCAGTCTCTCTATATTTATGTAATAAATATATATATTACCTATTGAGTATGATATATATTTTACATATTATATTCAGAAGCTGTATGTTTTCATGACAAAACCAGAGCCTATTTTATAACCCAAATATTTTATATTTTATATAACCCAAATATTTTATTTTATTTTATATGTCTATTTTATGTCTATTACTTTATATGTCTATTTTATGTCTATTTTATAACCCAAATATTTGCTCCACGCTTTTTAAACTAATGTGTACTACTTTCGGGGGGATAATATTGGTAATCAATAAAAGAGATTTTTTATGCAATTGTTAATACAACAAATATTTAAAATGCTTTTTCACACTATTTATACTGAGAACATATTTTAGTAGAAAATACTAACTTGTGATAACCATAAAGAATGCTCTATACCGAAGACCCAGAAACGTAGGTCCCAATTCTTATTCTGCTCCCAGTGAACCTCATGACCCAAGAAGATTCCTAAACTTCTTAGCATTTTCCTCATTTGTAAGATGTGAGCTTAATAGTTTCCAGTACTGAATATCTCTTCCACTTTAAGAAGTCAAGTCTATCATTCAAATAAGTGTATTATTTTTCTATGTATTAAAGAAGATATATTTCAGAGATAGTGTTGACATTAGAGGGAATGATATTTGCCCTTTTTATTATGAATATATGACCTCTTAAGAGATCTTGTTTCTAGGCCGGGCACAGTGGCTCATGCCTGTAATCCCAGCACTTTAGGAGGCCGAGGTGGGTGGATCATGAGGTAAAGGGATCAACACCATCCTGTCCCACATGGTGAAACCTAGTCTCTACTAAAAATACAAAAAATTAACTGCGTGTGGTGGTGGGCGCCTGTAGTCACAGCTGCTTGAGAGGCTGATGCAGGATTGCTTGAACCCAGGAGGCAGAGGTTGCAGTGAGCCGAGATCATGCCACTACACTCCAGCCTGATGACAGAGCAAGACTCTGTCAAAAAAAAAAAAAAAAAAAAAAAAACTTTTTTCTTGTAACATCCTGGTTTTTCACTGGTGTTCCAAATATGGAATACTTGCCTTTGATAGCACTGTCAGTTTGTGAGGTGAACTGCAAAGCCTAATCAGGGTTCAAAGACTAGCAAGAATGACAACTCAAACTCGGCTGAAATTGCTATCATTGCAGTTTACCACTGTCCCAGCAAATAAGGGACACAAAGGACACGCCAGATAAGGATGTGTGTGAGTGGAAACAGTTCCCTGGTATCTCTTTAGTAGCTTCATGAGTGGGAAAGAGATAAAGTTTGTTGGTGATTGTATCCCATGTAGAATACAAACACTGAACAGGCCAGGAACACAAACAACAACCACAAAGAAACCAATGGACATTGTGACATTTATACGATTCAGCTAACAGAGATCTATCCCTTCCAAAAAGTAAGTGTTGGCTGCAAAAGTTTCATACTTCAACGATATTTCCTTTTGGCCCATTTGGACCCAAAGTGGCTTTAATCATGGCTGACCAACTGACCACAGTATTTTTGACAGTCAGACATTAATCTGCCAAGTTATTACACTTATTTTTATAAACAACTAAAAGAACCATAAACTTTAAATTCTAGAAGCAATGTATGGTTAACTTTTCGTCTTGCTACATAAGGGCTAAATAATAATTGTATTTTAAATTGAATTTTTTTTATTTTATTAAACTAAAATGACAAATTAAGTTTGTGACAGTCTAAGATGAAGTAAGTTAATTAAAAGTAATGACAATTATAATAGTTACAGGTTCTAATATTAGTAAATAATAATTAACATATTTATAATTACTTGAATGTTAGGTACCATAAACCAGTAGCTATTTAAATGCTGAATAATTTAGCTATACTTGAGTAGGTGAATAGTAATTATTATATTAATTATTTTGAATTAAATTATTTTCTACTAGTTAAAATCAATTATTTACAAAGATGCATGTGTATTTTGGAGATGCTTGAAAAATTATATACTCACATAAAATTGGAGTGCACAAATTAGAAAGATAGTTTACCAGATAAAGATCTATAATGAATGAACATTTCAAATCTAACTCACTGTTTTTTCTATCTGTATTTGTCATTTTTAGCTTTTTTATTAGCTGTGGAAAAGTATAGCTAGTCACAAATTCTTTGACACTTCACACCAAGAGGTGGAGTTGAGTTGATGTCCTTTCTTGAATATGGGAGGTTTTTTTAACTGCTTTGACGGACAGTGTATGTCAGAGATAATGCTGTGACAGTTTCTAGGTTCAGGTCTTAGCAAAGTGGCAATTCTCACTTTCTGTCTTTTGGAATAATCTCTCCTAAAACCCAGCCAGGTTCTGAGATGAGCCCCAGGCAGCTTTGAGAAGGTGCTCATTAGGAGTGAAGCTGGGATCCTGGGCTGGCAACTCTGGCTTACACTGCGCTCATAAAAGTGAGCCATCCTGGAAGTGGATTCTCCAGCCTACGTCTAGCCATACCAGTTGATACTCTCTCTATGGAGCAGAGAGGAGCTATCTCACTCAAGCCCTCTGGAATTGCAGATCAGCAATCAAAGTAATTAACTGTTTTTGGTTTGTGCCACTAACTCTTGAGGTCGTTGCCTACACAACTATAGATAATCAGAAGAGAAATCATTACCTCATAAAACTTTCTGTAAACGTAATGCAATTCAGTGATATACAGCATGCCTTTTGTTACTTAGAATATTTTTTCCATCTTTGTGGCTGAGGTATAACTAAAATTAGTTGAAATTTTTCTTTTGAATGAAATTTTCTATACATATTTTATATACTTGAAATACTTGTCCATTATTTGATGTAAGGATGCTGAACATTGGCAAGGATATGTAAGATTCTTCCTCTGGGAAATGTGGGCAATATAAATATAACTAAGATCTCTTAAGGAATAAATTGCCTTGTAAGATATATCACATGATACAAAATATCTATATCTATTTTAAAGAGAATTACTTATGAGACTGATGAGACTACACAGCAAAGGTCACACCTTGTTTGTTGGAATTTTGCCTGAAGTTATTTACTATTATGGTAAAGTTAAGAGGCTGAACTGAAAGGGATATGAACTTTTTGGAAATCTTATTCTTTTCATCAAAGTTGCATTATTACATACTGATGGAATACTTCAAGCTGAATAAAGTGTCTTAACACTCTGCAATCCAGAGTATTTGCCACTAGTAAAAATTACTCTGGACACTTACCTAGGTGACTTCAACTAACAGAGAGAGGTAGAGACAGTTAGACTGTAACCAGTGCTAAACTAGTTACCTACATACAGATATTTAAAAATGATTTTATCATAAAAATGATGCTGAATTCTATAGTTTTTATACACATTATTTTAGAAAGTTAACATGCACAATCAAACATATTGCTGTTTTTACCTATTATGTATACACATACACCTCAATGCTGAATCTTTCCAAATATTCAAGTGGGCTTTTAGCTTGAAGAATTGTAAATCTGCTTCTCTACTTAGAAGCTATAAGAATCTGGAATCAAAGAACATTCTAGACAAAAATGTATCATAAGAAGTCTTAAATTGTAGCAAACAATTTATGTTAAACATACCTGTATTAGAACTTCGTATTAAAACAGAATTGCCCGTGGCTTTAATTAAATACAATTTGATATATAAGTGAGCTACTGTAAATTCTCTACCTCACTTTCAGATTTTTATATTCCTTGGAATAAAATGGAGCATAAGAATTTTCTCCAATAACTTATTTTCTTCAATAGAACTTTGGAGGACATTTGTGGCTACTGAGTATTTCTTTTGAAGGACATTTCTTTTGAAGAACATGTATTTTAAGAAGCTTACAAATGTGAATTTTCCCCATATTGAACATACTTTTTACTTAAATATCGTCATATTGTTCCTTTTTGTTTCTAGTCCTTTCTATCTTCCATCACTAATTGTGGACCTAACCGATGCATTGTTTCTGTTTTCCGTTTTTCATTTGCTTTTTAAACCTATTTTCAGAAAAATCTACTTAAAAACAATAGAAAATAAATGAAAGCCCTGTTTTCAGTTTACAGCTGGGATTTTGCACAGCATGTAATACTAACTGCATCTGTGCAGAAATACTACCATATGGGCGGGAGGGGAATCATTTAATTTAGTTCATATGCAAGAAGTAAGTGAAGAGTTGACTATATTTTAAACCTCACCAAAGCTAAGCAACAGCAGAATTAGGAACAGAATCCAAAAAGTTTCATAATCAGTCTTATGTTCTTTCTAGTAAACTACACCATCTTTTAAGGCTGTTCACTTGTACAGTGCGAATAATATATCTTCTTACTTTGAAATGTATTTTTAAGATCAGTGTAAATAATATATTTTCATTTACTATTTATATCTTTCAATTTTTTGTCAAAATATCATAAATATGTTATTTCAGAGAAAATAAAACATGTATAATACTTGAAAATAACAATCATTTCTGGAAAAAAATCTACATGTATTGCATGAATAAGGACACAATTTTAATCTAAGTAATATAACTTAACTGATGCAAGCCCATAGAGATTAAAGACAGTTTATTACAGTTGATCCTGACTAATGGGACAGTGGTCTTTCAGAGATAAAGGGGAGACAGGATTGAACATGATAAGGATAGCTCAAGAATAGAGAACATAAACCTAAAAAGGAAATTTACATTTATTATTTTCAATAATGAGGTCATGAAAATATTCCATTTGCTTTATAGGAAAAATGCTCACACAAATTATTTCAGGGGAGCTTTTAGTGAATAAGCCTTCAATTTCCTCATCTGTAATATGGGAATAATAATGTCTATGAGGTGGAATCACTGAGAATATTAGTATGGACGTACGTTCTGTGTCTTCTTGGGGAAGAAACTTTTAGGAAGATTCACTACTCTTTTTAAAAAATGTTATTTACTGCTACAGAAAAATGTCTCCTCTGTAAAGTCTTATTTAATTATGGGAGAACCATTAAAACCATGATCTCATAGTGAATTGTGTAAAAATAAAATAATGAAGACTTACATCTATTACAAATAGGAGAGTATTTCTTTTATACAAAAATATAGCCCATTAATAAATCACCAATGTAGATGTTACACATGGTACTATCTACAGATTAGAAGAGGTCTCTCAATCAGACTAAACTGAAACAACTATTAGGATTAATCAACATTTTTCATGGCCTTGATGGTGATACTTGTTGTAATTTCTGATTTAATTTAAATGAATAGTTTGATAAACTAATGAAAACTGCTTGTAAAAGAGTAATATATTCTATTAAAGTTAAATGCATAGTTTACTCTTAAAAAGTGAGTCATTAATAAAATGCTGCCATACAAGATGCAGATAAGGCAACCGTAAAAGCAATAAAAGTAAAGTTTACTGAATAACCAGATTTTAAAGAAATCCATGCTTCTGGTTATTTCATATTTTTATTTGGTATTTTGTTCAACCTTTTTAGTCAACGAGTCAGTAGCATGACTATATTTAACAATAATCAATTGTACATTTCAGAATAGCTAAAGGAGAATAATTTGAATGTTTCTAGCGTAAAGAAAAGATAAATATTTAAGGTGACGGATATCTCAATTATCCTGATTTGATTATATGCATTTTTCAAATTATCACAGGTACCCCACAAATATGTACATCCATTATGTTTCCATCAATCAAACCTCTTCAAAAATATATGCATGATTTATTAAAGAAAGATTCCGTAGGCTTTGAACTGTTTATAATTTACAGATAACGAATAAATAAAGATAGATAGCTAAACAACTTTTCCTTTTTGTTCTCCTTGTTAATCGATTTGTTGATGAATAAACTAATTACCAACCAAATTTTGTAAATAAAACCAAACACGTCTATATATTTTATACAGTATCTGTATATTGCAGGTATTAATATACGTGTTACAATCCATAAAGTTGAAAAAAATTTTTTGAATAGTATAAGAAAAAGAAAGCGCTTTGAAGATTTTACTAAGTTTTAACTCATGTCTCATGTAGAAATTTTCACTGCACAATTTCTGCCAGTTGGTCCTCACGCCCTTGTTTAAAAAATATTTTCACCTCGTGATCTGCCCCCCTCGGCCTCCCAAAATGCTGAGATTACAGACATGAGCCACAGCGCCAGGCCGAGACCACCCTGGCCAACATGGTGAAACCACGTCTCTACTAAAAATACAAAAATTAGCTGGGCGTGGTGGCGGGCGGCTGTAGTCCCAGCTACTCGGGAGGCTGAGGCAGCAGAATCGCTTGAACCCAGGAAGCGGAGGTTGCAGTAAGCCGAGATCGTGCCACTGCACTCCAGCCTGGCAACACAGCGAGACTCTGTCTCAAAAAAAAAAAAAAAAAAAAAAAAAAAAAATTAATCATAATTGAAGAGTATGTTCTGGATTTTTTGTTGAGTTATTATTTTGTTGAGTTGTACATATTGGGAGGTAAGTCATATTGTATTATTTTGCATTTCATTAAAAATCAACCTAAACAAATATTTGGGTACATAGATGGTAGAAGAGAATACAATGGAAATGTCTAAAAAGAAAAGCTACTATCTTAAAATATAAACATGGCTTTTTTTGCTTTTTTCTTTTGGATATTGACTTATTCTATGTTTTATTTTAGAAGACAGAATTGATATAAGGTTTAAGTCTAATATGTAGAAGAACTTAGAAGAACTTACCTGCAAGGAAGTTTGGCTTAAATGGAGTAGAGGAAATGCAAAACAATATCCAAATAAAAGACATTCAAAAACAAATTTAATATTGGACATTTCATGTTCATTATATCTGCAATTGGCAGGAGGTATCATAATGTGACTTTATATTCTCTTTATGTTCTCAAATTTCATGCATAATTGCTTGTGATTCAAGTTGGAGAGGAAGGTAAAGATTTCCCATATATTCCCTGCTTCCACACACACAGGGTCTCCGCCCTTAACAACATCCCTCAACAGAGTGCTACAATTGTTACAATTAATGAACCTATATTGACACATCATTATCACTCAAAATCTGTACTTTACATTAGGGTTCATTCTTGGAATTGTGCATTCTGTGGGTTTGGAACAATTTATAATGACATTTTTCCACCACTTTTTTCTTTTTAATCATGGAGAGTAGTTTCACTGTCTTAAAAATCCTCTGTGATCTACCTATTCATCCCTCCCTTCTCTCCAACCTTACAAATTCCTGATCTTTCTCCTGTCTCCACAGTTTTGCTTTTTCCAAAATGTCTTATTGTTAGAATTATATGGTAGGTAGCCTTTTCAAACGGACTTATTTTGTTTAGCGATAAGTACCTAAGTTACTCCTCTATATTTTCATGGCTTGATAGCACATTTCTTTTAGTGCTGAATAGTATTTTATTGTTCGTTTGTAAGGAAATTTACTTATCCATTTATCTACAGAAGAACATCTTGGTTGCTTCCAAGTTTTGGCAATTATGAATAAAGTTGTTATCATTATGTAAACATCAGAGTGCAGATTTTGGTGTGCATATACCTATTTTAAATTCTTTTGGGTATATTAAGGGAGCTCAATTTCTGGATCGTAAGTTAAGAGTATGATTACTTCTGTAAGAAGCTGCCGAATTGTTTTCCAAAGTGGCTATACCAGTGCATTCCCATCATCGATGAATGAGATTTCCCGTTGCCCTGCATGCTCTCCAGCAGTAGTGTTACGTGTATTCTGGATTTTGACCATTCTAATAGTTGTGCAGTGGCACAGGCATACCTCAGAGATATTGTAGGTTCTATTTCAGATCACCACCATAAAACAAATATTGCAATAAAGTGACTCACTCATTTATTTTTTGTTTTCCAGTTCATATAAAGGTTATATTTGCACTATAATGTAGTCTACCACTACATTTTTACTACTTTGTCAATAGTAAAAAAAGTACTTAATTCAAAAATACTTGTTACTAAAATATGCTATTGTCTGAGCCTTCAGCAAGTCATAGTCTTTTTGTTGAGGGAAGCTTTTGACTGGATTTCAGTGGCTGCTGGCTGATCAAGATGGTAGTTGCTGAGGGTTGGGGTGGCTGTGGCAATTTCATACAATAAGACAACAATGAAGTCAGCTGCATCGATTGACTGTTTTTTTTCCTTGGGTTTTTTTTTTGTAAAATGCCACGCTGTTTGATGGCATTTTACCCATAGTAGAACTTTTTTCAACACTGGAGTCAATCCTCTCAAATCCTACCACTGCTTATCAAATAAGTTGTGTAATATTCTAAATGCATCATGTTCAGCAATGTTCACAGCATCTTCACCAGGAGTAGATTCCATCTCAAAGAAACATTTTTGTGGCTCATTCATAAGAAGCAATTCCTCAGTGATTAAATTGTTATCCTGAGATTGCAGTAATTCAGTCACATCTTCAGGTTTCACTTCTAATTCTAGTTCTCTCACTGTGTTCACCGCATCTGTATTTCTTTCCTCCACTAAAATCTTAAACCCCTGAAGGACATCCATAAGAGCAGGAATCAACTTCTTCCAAACTCCTCCTAATGTTGATATTCTGCTCTCTTCCCATGAATCACAAGTGTTTTTAATGATATCTAGAATGGTAGATTATTTTCAGAAGATTTTCAATGTACTTTGCCCAGATCCATCAGAGAAATCACTACCTATAGCAATTATAGCGTTACATAATGTATTTGTTAAATAATAAGACTTGAAATTTGAAATTACTCCTTGGCCCAAGGGCTGCAAAATGGATGTTGTGTTAGCAGGCATGAAACAACATTAAATTTGTACATCTCCATTAGAGTTCTTGATGACTGGCTGCATTGCCAATGAACAGTAATATTTTGACAGAAATCTTTTATCCTGAGCAATAGTTCTCAACAGTGGGTTTAAAATATTCAGTAAGCCATGATGTAAACAGATATGCTGTCATCTAGATTTTGTTGTTCCATTTAATAATTAGTATAATTCTTAAAGGTCCAAGAATTTTTGGAATGGTCAATAAGCATTGGCTTCAACTTAGTTATCAGCTGCATTCAACCCTAACAAGAGAGCCAGCCATTTCTTTAAAGCTTTGAAGCCAGGAAATTGACTTCTTTCTAGCTACAAGAGTCCTCGATGGCATTCTCTTGTAATAGAAGGCTGTTTCATCTACGTTGAAAGTTTATTTTTTAGATTGGCCATCTTAATCAATTATCCTAGCTAGATCTTTTGAACAAC
Organism: Homo sapiens; assembly: GCF_000001405.40. NCBI lineage: Eukaryota > Metazoa > Chordata > Mammalia > Primates > Hominidae > Homo > Homo sapiens. The sequence continues at coordinate 20,647,986 of NC_000021.9, read as the reverse complement.
TTGCTGCAGCTTCTACACCAGTGTTTGCTGCTTCACCTTGCACTTTTATGTTACAGAGATGGCTTCTTACTTTAATCCTCATAAACCAACCTCTGCTAGCTTCCAACCTTTCCTCTGCAGTTTTTTTTTACTTCTCTCAGCATTCATGGAATGGAAGAGTGAGTCATGCTCATGATTAAGCTTTAGATTATGGAAATGATGTGGCTGGTTTGATATTCTCCCCAGATCACTCAAACCCTCTTATATCAGCAAAAAAGGCAGTTTTGCTTTCCTATTATTCGTGTATTCACTGGAGTAGCACTTTTAATTTCCCTCAATAACTTTTCTTTTTGTTCACAATGTGTTTAACTGTTTGGCACAAAAGGCTTTGGTCTATCTGGATTTTATTTACTGAATATGTTAGCCACCTTTTTTGGGGCACAGACCTTGGCACTCTAAAACAATTACAATAGTAACATCAAAGGTCACTGATTATACAACACCATAACAGATATAATGATAATGAAACAGTCTGAAATATTGAGAGAATTACCAAAATATAACACAAAATGATGCCAACAGACTGGTTGCATGCAGGGTTGCCACAAACCTTCAATTTGTAAAAAGCTGCAATATCTGCAAAACACAATGAAGTGAAGCACAATAAAGGAAGATATGACTATATGAATGGAGATATTTTATTTTTAATATGATTTTCTGTTGCTATTATACATTGCTTCTTCTCATGCTGGCATATAGAATTTATGTAATTTAATTTTATTTCTGTTTCATATAGCTGGAAAGTGTAGGTAAATAAAATCAATAGTAAGTAATAAAGTAATAGTAAGTAATAAAGTCCCAGTAATAATATAATAGTATTAGACATACAGATGGAATAAATTATTTCTAGTTTATTAAGAACCTTGAACTCATTTAATTCCCACAAATTCCTGTAAAGTTAGTCTTATAATTTCAGATGGGGAAATGGAATCTCTGATTCACTATTGATGGAGGAAGAAATGAGTACACAGCAAGAAAATGAGAAACTTGAAGGCATTCCTGAATTATAATCTAACTTTGTGGTGGAAGACTTGCTAATCACTTTGTTAGAAGGGAGTTAAAAGTGAACAGAGGAAGGGAAAGATTGTCACAGGATACATAGGGTGCCGCTTCTCCAGCTGGAAACCTCTGTGGCCAGCTGCACCTTCTGCCTAAGTATTGCTCATGCCCAGTGGGCTCATCCCACCCACTTGGCCCGACAGGCTAAGCTCAGTTCCCATTACCAGTCCAGATCCCACATCTGCCAAGTGCGAGCCAGGCACAGAGTGGAGAGGGGTGTGTGGGTGAATGAGCGTGGGGTCCAGCCACTGCACACAGCAAGGCACTCTGACTGCTGCGGCAGGGCAGGCAGTTCCAGGTATGAGCACAAGTGCCAGCTCCATGCATGGCCGTGGCTGGGCCATATGTATTGCATGTGACTTCCACTGAGGACACCCATGGCTGGACAAGGAGAACATGGTGGCGCCAGAGGCTTGGATATTCCAAGAACTACAAAGCCTCAAAGAGAATGTCACAGCTCTGGCTTGGGGAGCCCCTAGGTCTGGGCTTCACAAAGGGCCTCAGCTCTTCTCGCCTTCTCATTGCCCGCAATGTGGTGAGCAGGGAGCATGTTTCAGCCTTGTTTGTGTTACAGCTTTTTTAGCCCCACCATTCAGTGGGTCCCAAGTTCTTGTCTCACATCCAGGAAGAATGAGATATGCAGACAACTGGAGGGTAAGCAAGTCAGAGAGGAACTTCACTGAGTGGCAGAACAGTTCTCAGGAGATCTGGAGAGTGTAGCTCCTTCCTGAAACTGGTAGTCACAATTTCTGTGCGGTCCTCAGTGGAGAGGAGACCCAGAGTGGGTAGCTCCATTCTGCAGGCAGGTCATCCCATCATCTGCAGAGCCCTCAGCAGAGAGGACACCCACAGTTAATAGCTCCAATCTGCAGACAGGTCATCGCATTGTCCAAGTCTGGCTGAGTCCAGGGTTTTTATGGGCTTCAGAGGGAAGAAAATGCATGCTGATTGGTCCATGGGCAACTATAGGTGGGCCCAAAAACAGCATCATAAGTTCTCACTCTGGTCCACAGAACTGGCAGCCCAGCCCCCAGGCTTCAGGCTGTCTCTGTCTTGAAGTTGGGGCTTCACCAGGACCCACCCCTTTCTTCCCAGAAGCCTGTTTGCCTCCTGCCACCATCAACCTGCCATCTATGGTGCCCATGGTGCCCCGGCTGTTAGTGCTGAGGGCCTTCTGTAGGCCCGTGCTGAACTGTACTCTGCCCCCACTTGACTTCCCTCCTGTGCTTGTTGAAGCCCAAAGTTGAGAAGGGTCTGAGGCAGCAGGGGGCTGGAGAGTTAGCACTGCCCCAAGTGAGTATACACCGACCAGGTAGCAACAGTGCCTGGGCTCGGCCACCACTTTGCTCCAAAACTGGAGTGGACACCAGGTGCAGGGAGAGGCCAGGCAACAGGAGCAGGCACTTCCGAGACTGGGGGCAAGGGAACTTCCTGGGCCCCAGAGACCACAAGAATGCCTGGGTCTGCAGCTGCAGCTGGGCAGCTATGGCTGCTCCCAGGAGGGCAGGGATCCTGCCCCTTTAACTCAGAAGGTGGCATGGCTCCTGCCTGTTCCTGGCTCCCACAGGCTCCACAGAGTAGACAGCCCTGGCCAAACCTCCCTCACTGCAGCAGGCATTATGGCAGCAGCTGCTACAGATGGGCTGCCACCACCATCAATATTACATTAGGCTATATACTTCTTTTTATTTTATGAGTCTTAATAAGAAAATGGGTGCATGAATTGTGCAGAAGTCCATATTCTAGCTCCCATGATGTGACAAACATCATAATATTAATACGTTGCCTGATTCTGAGAGCCTGAATGAACTCTTTATTTAAGAGTTACAATCTCAAATCCAAGATTTGATCAATAAAGCGATATTGGTAGCTATACTATCTTCTAATACTTTGGAGGAAACTCACCACATGAGGCAGCTCTTTTTGGGCCATGGATAGTAAGGAAAAAAAAATTGCTGTGGTATACTAACAGTAGCCAGATACCACATTAAGACTTTGCATTCGTTATCTTATTTATTCTTTAAAACTACATTTTTAGGTAGGAGTTACTACACTCATTGCAATGTCAAAGTCCTTGAAGTTCATAAAGGTTTTACAAGATCACACTGTGGGAATGTGGTAGAAGTAGAATACAGTATTTGCACAAATATGTAATGAACCGTTGTTACTGGTCTAAACTACTCATGATCATTTTATGGTTAGTGTAAGAACAGAGAATAATCCTCCATTCTCTCTTGCCATCTTAGAAAATAAGTAACTCAGCTAAGAACAATTTGAACATGTTTATTGCAGTATATACCTAAGTCACTCATAACCAGTTTATTATTATATATATTTTTTGTCTTTAGTATACATCAAACACTTGGAAACTTCTGGGGATACAGAGCCCAAGTAGTCATTGTTTTGGGGGTTTCATAGTCTATCTGAGAGAAACATCTAAAAATGCTCATGTATTAGGTTGGTGCAAAAGTAATTGCAGTCCTAATACACTGGAAGGGAAAAGCAAGGAATAGTCAGTTTTATTCATGAAGCTTGAAAGCATCATCATAATGTGAGTGACCCATCATACATAACTTAAAAGAAGAATTCTCATGGGATTTTCAAAAAATTTGCATGGAGGTAAGGAATGTTTTCTCTTGCTTTCTAAATGAATCCTATTCTGTCCCAGTGACCTAAATTCAATTACCAAAAAAAGTTAATTTATACAAGAAGTTCTTCAAAAATATGTCAAAATTATTAAATGTAAAATTAAGGAATTTGGGGAGCAGCTTTATTTTTCTGAAATACAGCAGAAGTGTTACTGATCAGGTGCTTCAAAAAGTCATATCTTGTATATAATACATCTCAATTATTTATTGTATACTTATCCTTTCTTCTAGTTGCTAGGATATTCTAGTACAACTTACAAAGGATATTGCAGCAATAATAAATGCCCAAAGGAAGAAGAAAGCATGCACTCTGATTAGCTATGTAGTGGACTATTTTGCCAAATAAGAAATTGGGGCTCACTGATAACAAGTGACTTTCTCAAGTTTATTTAACTAAGCAAATGATAGAATCTAGAAGACTAGATTTAGTCTTCTCTTTCCAGTTTCATTGTTTTCTCCATTGATGAGGACTAAAGGTTTTCTGAGATCTTCATACACAAATGGAGATTTCATTATTTTTTCAAGATTGACCTTCATTTTAGAGCCTATGTAGACACTGCATCTCTCTAGTGGAAACATATTATCTTTTCTTTTTGTTCCTTTTTTGAAACACAGGCTTTGATTTAACAACTTTATATTTTTCAGATTGGATCTTCCAGAAGCAAATTCTGAGATAGAATTTGGTATGAATGACATTTAATAAGAGCCAACACCAGGTAATAGAAGGGGGAAATACTTCTGACTGCACTCCTTAGAGCTGAGCAGCAAGATCTTCCTTGAAGAGGCATCTGGGCACCACGTCCCTCTTTCTACCACATCTTACATCCTGACAACGACCTTGATTCTCTTCTATTTCTTCAGAGACTTTTTAAAACTTCTGCCTTCCTACTAGATTTATTTCTTTCATCATCTTTTACAACTTTTCGGCCTCTCATATGACTGTAAACATTGGGAGGAGTTAGTTTTCCTCAAACCCTTTTCCAGCAGAACGCTCAAAACCTGTTCACAACATATATACATAATGAGAGCCCCTGGCCAGGAAGGTCAACATGACCTGCAGATGGCAGAGCCCTCAGACAGTGCCTTTGATTTACATAACTTCACAGTCCCCATATGATCTAATTTCACTTTTCTCAACAAATTCCTACAAAGTTCTGTTTTTCTATTAACTGTGTGAATCCAGGTTCCTAGTCACACAGGTTCTCAAAGGAATTGTCTTTAAGCTCCCCGGCATTGACCCATATGGTCCTTTTTAACCTCAATTGAACTCCCATGCATTACTGCTTGCTTAGCCACAATTTAGCTAAGACCAAAACTTCAACAAACAGAGACCTTCGACCAGTATTCTGAAATCTCTTAGTTTCGCATACATTTTTCCTGTACCTTTTCCCAGCTGAATTCAGTATCGTAGCCAAACGTTACTTCATCAAATACATATCCTACAGCATTTTTTTAACCTTATTCTTTCAGGAGGGGGATCAGAGCCAGTAAATAAAGCCAGCAGTTTGTGTGAATATTAAGTTATATACCTCTTGCAAATTATGGAGCCTCTTTTTTTTTATTATTGTACTTTAAGTTCTGGAGTACATGTGCAGGACTATGGAGGTTTGTTACATAGGTATACACGTGCCATGGTGGTTTGCTGCACCCATCAACCCATCATCTACATTAGGTATTTCTCCTAATGCTATCCCTCCCCTTGCCCCCGACCCCCAACAGGCCCTGGTGTGATGTTCCCCTCCCTGTGTCCATGTGTTCTCATCATTCGACTCCCACTTATGAGTGAGAACATGCGGTGTTTGGTTTTCTGTTCTTGTGTTAGTTTGCTGTTGTTGTTCATTGGAAAAGGGAAATAATATTATCTATATTAGAATACTAATATGAATATTAAATATGATATCATAAAGTTCTTGATATATGCAAACTCTCAAACTTTTTGATTACCTTTGCTTAATAGTGCAGTGGTGTGGTCACAGCTCACTGCAGCCTCAAACTCCTGGGATCAAGCAATCTTCCCACCTTAGCCTCCGGAGAAGCAAGGATTACATGCCTGTGCCAAGACTCCAAGCTTGTTTTTTTTTTAATTTTTTGTAGAGACAAGGTCTCACTATGTTGCCTAGGCTGGTCTGAAACTTCTGCCCTCAAGCAATCCTCCTGTCTTGGCCTCCCAAAACACTAGGATTACACTGGTATGAGCCACAGATGCACCCAACCAATTCAGTCTTCTACTAGTAGCAAATGGTATTATTAATCATACTCAGTGAAACATTGGTTGAAAAAAGCAGAAAACAAATAAAAATATTCCACTATTTATTCACCTTTTTGAAGTTGGCTCTTCAATGCACAGCTTTGCCATTCTCTTTACAGAATATTCCCTAGAAAAAAGCCATAATATATTTTTTCTTTTTTTTTACCATTTAAAGTGGATTTTCTCTATGTATTTCATCTCTCACACAGCACACAATATATTCAGTTATGGTTTGACATTTATCTTTGATTGGACTTTATAAGCATTAAAATAATGATCACTATTACAGTTAAAATGTCTTTCTCTAAATACAAACTTCTGCCTACTTTTAAAATTTAACTTCTAATTTTTAAACCAGATGTGTACCCAGAGAAATACGAAGAATGTTATAATTCAGTTTTATTTGGAGGCAGAAAGGATCACTTTCTATCTATTAAGAAGACTGATTTCCTCAGCTTTTGTCTGTATTTCATTCTGATGGATAAACTGTAGTTGTGTAAAGCGTATCCACATAACAAAAGGCTGGCCAATGTCCTGGAATTACATCTCTCTCCAGCCCACAACTGAAGAAGAGAAAGGGATGAAAAACCAGCCAGTTGACTCAGTGTTGCTTTTCTCTCTTCACCCTTTGAGAGAGTTGAAGATAATAACTTGGTCAATGCTCTTCAGCTGTAAAGAAAAAAAGAAAGATTGTAACTTGGGATTAAATTTCAAGGATGGATACACACACATACACCATTACACATAAATACATACAGACACAGAAATAATGCTTATAAAGTTATAATGTGGTTTTGGAGTGTGCAACATTTCATTCTATCAAACATCTTCCTTTGTTCACTTCAAAGCTTTCATGAGGTTAAAAAAACTAAATTTTATTTACTACTCTTATTAATAATTAATTTGACATGTTCTTGGTTTAGTTTTGTTCTCATCAAATTAATCTTTTTTTTTTTTTTTTTTTTTTTGAGATGGAGTCTCGCTCTGTCGCCCAGGCTGGAGTGCAGTGGCGCAATCTCGGCTCACTGCAAGCTCCGCCTCCCGGGTTCACACCATTCTCCTGCCTCAGCCTCCCTAGTAGCGGGACTACCGGCACCCGCCACCATGCCCGGCTAATTTTTTTTTTTTTTTGTATTTTTAGTAGAGACGGGGTTTCACCGTGTTAGCCAGGGTGGTCTCGATCTCCTGACCTGGTGATCTGCCCGCCTCGGCCTCCCAAAGTGCTGAGATTAGAGGCGTGAGCCACCGCGCCCGGCCCAAACTAATCTTTTGGTAGTTGCCTAACCTGTGGATTTGTTTTGAAAGACACTGCAGTTTATTTGACTGTATTGGTTTTATTATTGTTGAAACCCAATTCTGGTCAGAGAAATACATGTATATTTTGAAGTAAAACTTGTATGAAGAGTAAAACACGAGACAATTTCCAAGGAGCGTATTTATTTCATTTATACTTAGGCGTAAATCATCTAGACTTACACTTGAAAGTACTTTAAGAAGTTAACTCAGCAGAAATATTTTAATGTGCAAATTATTTGATTATGCTGATTACAGAAAATAAACACACAAATCAAATAAATTTCATTTTTTCCTTGCTTAAGTAGCTGTGATTAAGAAAAAAAGACAATAAAGTCCCAAGGACTTACCCATCAAAAAGCATCTTCGGTGAAAGATCTATTAAGAAAACCACTGCACTTGGATGAACATGCAGAAGTTAGCAACAGAAGCTTCAAACACATGATTTTAGAGCAGTGTTGCAAGCATAATATTAATATTCTAGAATAGCATTATACAATAAGATTTTTTAAATTAACTTTTCTGGTGAAATACGCATAATGAAATTTATAACTTTAATCATTTTCAAGTGTATGGTTCAGGGGCATTAAGTAGATTTATATTGCTGTACAGTCATCACCTCCATCCACCTCCAGAATGTTTTTCATCTTCCAAAACTGAAACTTTTATCCCATTAAACAATAACTCCCCATTGCCTGCTTCCCCATGTCCAGATCCTGGCAACCACCATTCTACATTCTGGCTCTCTGAATTTGACTATATTAAGTACATCATATGAATAAAATCATAAAGTATTTGTTCTTTTGTGACTTGCTTCTTTCCCTAACCCCTAAGTTCACTTAGAACTAGGTTCTTCCATGTTGTACCATGTGCCAAAATCCTATCCTTCTATTTTAAGGCAGAATAATATTCTATTCTATTCTACATATATGTATCATGTCTTGTTTATCCATGTATCCATAGAGAGATACTTAGGTTGTGTCCACTTTTGGGCTATTGTGAATGCTGGTGCAATGACATGAGATGCAAATATATGTTTGTGTCCCTGCTTCCGATTCTTTTGGTTATATACCCAGAAGTGAAATTGCTGGATCATATGGTAATTTTAATATTGTGTTGCTCAAAGAATGAGGTTAAAAATATTAATTTAGAAGTTAAGAATTGAGTGTGACCATGATTGGTTAAGAATTGAGTTAAGAATTGAGTTAAGAATTGAAGTTAAGAATTGAGTGTGACAACACTATTGCTTTAGGTACCAGTAAGGTGACTGTACTTTCAACTTACTGAAATTAGTGGATGTAGAGCCAAAGATATTACCCTCGGGCAGGGGGAAGTGAGGAAAGAGATCATGAAAATTATTAATGGGAATCCCTGCAATGGCAACTTGAAGCCATGGAAATGGTGATATCTCTTATTATTCCCCAGGGTTTCTTTTTTAATGCATTGGGTTTAATAACCAACCTATGATTCATCAGAATGTGGCAATCTCCCTTTGCAGAAACCAGCATAATGTCAGAGCACTTGGTTTCCACTTGTCATGAAATTGCTTTCCAAATAGTAGCCACGGCCTTGGTAGATTTGTGGTTAATTCAATAATTGTAGAATCTTTTGTGTCTTCCATGGAGCCATCCAAAGCCAGTAAAGCTTGTTGGCCCTGGTTCCTTCCCTAGTTCAGATGTTCTGTTGGTTCAAACTAAGTGCTTAGCATGCTTCATTTTTAGTATCTTTAAGAGTGCAACACACAATATCTTCTCAGAATCAATCTTTATGCATTACGTTTAAAAATTACCGAAACCTCCGCTACTATAGCAGGTTCCCCAAATGGATTGAGACTCAGCACTCATTGTTTAATCTTGATCCTCATTTCTGTTGCCAAATACAATAGCAGAGGTTTAGTGCTCCATGATAAAGTGAAAAATTTAGCTTCCCCTGTAAGCCAGTCCTCTATGTCTGTTGTTCAGAGATTGTGGCCAGTGTACTTCCTCTCTATTTGAAGGAACTGCACATCAGGTAGTAACTATGGCATCATTCAGTTATCAAGTAGGAGAGGGGGTGTCTTCTCTGTCAGAGAGAGGGACCGAATACATCAGTGCCCTCTTGAAAAGTCAACAAATCTGCAGCAAATCCAAAACTTTCTAAGTTGCCCTTCCCCATGGAGCCCTGTACTCCTGGTCCTTGGTCTTCAGTGGATGTGGCTTTGTTGAGTGACACAGCACTCCTGTCCTCTGGTCTCTTGAGAGTTGGTATTTTAGGCTTTGTCTCTGAGTCTTCGTATGAAACTGCTTACCCTAGAAACCCTACTTATTTCAAAATATTTGTTTCTCTGGTACACATGGATTATTCTCCATGATAGGACATATAGTAAGTCATAAAATAAGTCCCACTAAAATTAAGAGGACTGAAATCATACAAAGTATCTTCCCCAACCACAATGAAATCAAATCAGAAATCAATAACAGAGAGAAAATGTGGGATATCTACAAATATGTAAAAATTAAGCAATTTTGAAGAAACTGCCTCTGCGGTTTCCTGAACTGAGGCTCCTGGAGTCTGAGCCTCTGGGAGATTGAAGAGGGAGCTTTAATACCCTTGCATGCACCCTTTTCCAAAAACTAGTTTTTTGTAAAGCATGGCCATTGCTGAATGTTGAAGTTTTGAGGGACTGAGTATCTGTGCTTCTGTGACAGCAATATTTATCTGAAGTCAGGAGATATTACGGAGAGCATAGTTATGTTCTCCCCAAAACATGTTTTGACATTTCATATGTTGAAATCTTAACCTCAATGATGATGGTATTAGGAGGTGAGGCCTTTAGGAGGTGGTCAGATCATGAGTGTGGAGTCCTCATAAATGGGATTAGTGCCCCTGTGAAAGAGACCCAAGAGAGTCGGCTCGCTCCCTCCACCATAAGAGGATGTAAGGAGAAGTTGATAGTTTGAACCCAGAATAGGTTCTTCACCAGAATCTGACTATACTGGCACTCTGATCTCAGACTTGCAGCTTCCAGAACTGTGAGAAGTAAATGTCTTTTGTTTAGAAGAAATCCATTTTATGATATTTTGTTTTAGCAGCCTGAACTGACTAAGACAGGGGGCAGACTCTTATCTTTCTCTTTTGCTCGTCTTCTGTTCCTTGCCTAATTATTTTAGGAGAGAGAGTTTGGTCAAGGTTTTAGATTTGAATCTGTTTCTCATTTGTGTCTTTGTGGAGGGCTAGCACAATTTTCTGGGTATTAGTACTTTCTTTCCTTCTACTTTTTCTTTGTTCCTTGGCTAGGACTTTCTTCCATTGCACATTCTGGCACTCACAAAATGGTGTATTGGTGAAGTGCATGTACTTTTCCATTTCCTAGTTATGTGACCTTTCTATGTGAAAATTTGCTTAGGTAAAATGAAGAAAAGGTTGTTGCGAGAAGTGTGAGTTTATATATGTGTGGGTGTGTTTATACATATTATCCATATAATATATATAATGTATACATATAATGTATGTGTATAATGTATGTGATATATATAATGTATATAAGGTAGTGTCTGACACACAGAAGCTGAGGCATGTGTTGTGAATTATTATTTATTTATTTATTTATTATTATTATTATTTTTTGAGACAGAGTTTTGCTCTTGTCGCCCAAGCTGGAGTGTATTGGCACGATCTCGGCTCACTGCAACCTCCACCTCCCGGGTTCAAGTGATTCTCCTGACTCAGCCTCCAGAGCAGCTGGGACTACAGGTGCCCACCACCACACCTGGCTAACTTTTGTATTTTTAGTAGAGATGGGTTTCTCCATGTTGGTCAAGATGTTCTCAATATCCTGACCTTGTGATCCGCCCGCCTCGGCCTCCCAAAGTGCTGGGATTGCAGGCGTAAGCCACAGCACCCTGCCTATTTTTTAGTCAAATGTTCTCTTCATGTGGAACACTCCTCATTTATCATTGCTTCATCCAACTTCTGCCTAGCTAATTGCAACTCTTCCTTTTTTTTGGTTTCTTTTTGTTTATAAGTTTACTGAAACGCCTACTTTTTGGCATTCAAGTGCAAAAACCTGAACTGATTAAAATTATTTAATTTATTACACATTAACTTCATGTGGGGGCTTTTATTATTAATTTATTTTAAAATATTTATTTTAATAATATGATGAACATCCACGAACACATTGCCAAAGATAAGGAGTAGTGAATGCCAACAACTCCTATCCGTACATTCCTAATGACAAAGGAGTCTTTGGCCAAGCTTTAGTCATGCTCCTGCACTTTCTTATAGGCCAGTCTATGAACCTCCTTGTAAAATCCAGTTTTAGCAAAGAACCCTGCTAAGTCAGTTTACCAAGAACCTTCTATCTTTGATATCAGATCACCCTCAATATCTGATCAGATTTGTCATTCTCTACCATCTCTCAAGTGACATCAAAATCCTTAAGGTCTGTTTAGCCAGAATCCCCCTTATTCCCGATGTTTCCTGTTAGTGATTTTCTATCCACTAACCCCCACCCTGCTCCTTGGCTATAAATTCCCACTTCCCCATGCTGTATTCGGAGTTAAGCCCAATCTCTCTTTCCCACTGGAAAATCCCATTGCAGTTATCTCTATACCTATTACAATGGTCCTGAATAAAGCCAGCCTGATGATTTAAGTATCATTAAACAATTTTTTTTAGCACTTCTCTATTTTATCACTGATAGAATTAATTCCTACTTTGACTTTGGGGTTTATCACATCTTTCTGTATGTTTTATCTCTCTCTATATATATTTACCTAAAATGTAATATTTTACTTATATTTGAATTTTATATAAAATTGTCCCCTATGGTCTTCTGGGACTGGCTTTCTTGACTCAGTATTTGTTACCTATATTTATTTACATAGTCCCTTCATTTTTACTCTTGTGTGATATTTAATTGTGTGACTTTTTTGTAATATGTTTACTCATTCTCCATTGGATTAGTGTCTTGGTTAGTTTGAACATATTGAGTATATCATTATAACAATCAGGAACCATATTCTTTAAATGGCTCCAGGCATATATATACACAAACATATATAGGCATATTAAAGATATATATGCATTTATACAAATTATATATAAACTTTTATATATATAAAAAAGATTTATATATAAAAAAGATTCTCTTGGGTAAACAGAAGTATGAAATTATTGTATCATAAGATCTGTCTATATATATAGATTCATATATACATATATAGATATATGTATCTTTATATATCTGTTTAATCTTACAATATAAATCCAAGTTGTTGGTTTCAAAGTAGTTTTATCGATTGACACATTCAACAGTAATTTGTGAAAATTCTTTATCCACAGCCATTCCAACACTATACATGCTCAGATATCTTCATTTAAGCCAAGTGAATAGTATACAACAGTATTTTATTTTAATTTTATTATTTCTTTCTTTCATTTTTGACCTTAATAATCAACTTTTTTATTCAAATTACCCCAAGATTTTCTTAATTTCTTGAGCAAAACTGATTTTCACATTATTATAGATATGTCTGAAAATGTTTAAGTCTTTAATTTACAGTAATTTCAACAAGTTATTTGTGTACTTCAACTAAATAATATCACATGCTCTATTTCTTTAATTTTTTTTTCTGCTTATAAAATGTGTGACCTTTCCCTTTCATGGGTGATGAAAGAGTTTTGATGTCTGCTTCTTAAAGCCATATTCAGAGTTTATGTAGTTAGTTAACTAGAGAACAGTCTGTCGCCTACCAAAAAGTCACATGGACCCAGGAGGCTAGCTTATTCACAGTTCCTTCTTTTGGCCCTGTGTTAGCCTCCTTGTGCTACTATAACAAACTGACATAGAGTAGGTGTCTTAAACAATAGATATTTATTTTCTCACTGCAGTTCTGGAGGCTGGAAATCCAAAGTGCAGTGTGCCAACATGGTCAGGCTCTGGTGAGGTATCTCTTCCTGGCTTCCAGTTGGCCGACTTCTCACTGTATGCTCATATGACCTTTCTTTAGTGAAAGTTGGGAGAGTGGGCTCTGATGTGTTTTCCACTTTTCATAAGGCCACTAATTCCACCATGACCCCCACCACACACATTCATAACCTAATCACCGTGCAAATATTCCACCTCCTAATTACCATCACACTGGGGGTAGGGCTACAACCTACAAATTTTGAGGTGATATAAGCATTTAGCCCAAAACAGGCCCCGGAAACAGTTCAAATTAATATAAAGAATAAGCAGTTTGGGGGCTGCTTGTTTGAATGCACTTGCCCATACTGTAAGAAACTCCAAAATGGAACGTGTTTTTGAGCTCCTGGCTGAGAAACTAAGTCCACAGATACCTAGAGGCTTAGATATATAAACACTCTCTCTTCCTTATAGTTGAATCTGTTTGAGTAACAAATGACTAGGTGTGGTCTAAATCAGATTTGTGTATTCTTACCAAAGCAGTTGGTATTTGCTCATCCAGATACTGCCTCCCTGCAATTAAAACCATTCAAGCAATTATTAAAATCATCAGCAAGTAGTAGAAACTAACTATAACTCACCATGCTCAAACCTATAAGGCATATGTTCAGAACCACCTCCGGTGATGGGCTAGGATCCTGTATCTCTGTATATAAAACTGTTCCCCAAATCTCACTCCTTATCATCTACTTCAATGGTTAATGTGCCAAAATGTTAAGGTCTCAGGAAGGCCATTAAATAAGATTTATCTGTTCATTTCCACATTTCAGAACAAATCAAGGGTTAGAGACAGGACTAGAAAATAGAGATCAAAATGTTAGCTCAGTTATATGTAAACTAATTTTAAACATCGTTTTACATTTCAGTCAAAACAGCTTGACAGTATTTTATCACAAGAATAAACATGTATTTGACCTTGTTATTGGCATAGGTAGACAATTCAGACCTCTCCTCCGGAGCCCCATTCATTACATGAATTTCCACCCACACTATCCCACGTATACAAGGGAAGAGAAGCTGCCCTGATGAGATTATCTTAAAGGATAAACCAGAATGTATTCTTTTTTCAGCCAGATAAAATTTTAAAGAGTAGAGGAGAGAACCAGATGTGCTCAGATTTTTTTCTTCTTCTCAAGCTCACCACGGGTCACCTCCTAGAGAGAGCAGAGGCTGAGAGGTAAGAGAGAGGCAGGTGTGTTACTTGAGATGAAGACTCTCCACAGGGAAATGGAAAGCCAGAGAAGCAGAAGCTTCCTGAAACAGTGGCTCATAGATTATGTGAATCTGTTTGTCCTAAAAGTCAATATTTCCTGAGGTAAGCAGGTGGTCTCAACCTAAGTTCAGAAATGTCTTTAAAACCTGAAATTTTCTGGAATTCATAATTTCTTTATAGAAAATAAAATCAAACTATTGAGACAGTATGTTTCCTAGAAAACTAAACAATTTTTGTATAATGTATAAAGAAGCACGAATCACATTGCAAACCAGCACCAATTAAGGTCATCTTAGATATTCCGCTAAGATACATATATTACCTATTTCTGAGGTAAACCGGTCTGGCTTGGTCTTTTCCCAGAATAGGACATAAAAAAATAACTTTCTAGGCCAAACTGAGATATCAATCACCTTTTCCCTGTGGAAAACAAAAGTGTATATTAAATTAAATATATATATATGTGTGTTTGTGTGTGTGTATATATAGATAGATAGATACATGCATTTCAGTGTTGCATTCATTATTATAAGCAGTTTTTTCTTACTGATTTCTGTTTTTTTGGAACTTAAACTTAACAAATTAATTTCCTATTTAAGACATTTCAAAATAAAACTTATTTTTCAAATTTAAGTTACTGAACACAAGTATTGCATTTATTAAAAGAATTGCTGTGCCACATTAAGTACCACTTTTCTTATGGGTCATGCTTTCTTTTAAAGGATTCTACAAATAGAAAAGTAAAAATAGATTGTTGGTCTGGTAGCTCCTGTGCTGTGTTATGGCAGAAGAAAAAATAGAGAGGGAAGAGGGCAAATATAATATCTTTGATTTTAAAAGTAAACTTTTTTAAAAAAAGAGGAAGCAAGGCCTGGCACAGTGGCTCACGCCTGTAATCCTAGCACTTTGGGAGGCAAAGGTGGGTGGATCACAAGGTCAAGAGATTGAGACCATCCTGGCCAACATGGTGAAACCCCATCTCTACTAAAAATTAAAAATTAGCTGGGCGTGGTGGTGTGCCACTGTAATCCCCGCTACTCAGGAGGTTGAGGCAGGAGAATCACTTGAACCTGGGAGGCGGAGGTTGCAGTGAGCTGAGATCGCACCACTGCACTCCAGCCTGGGAGACAGAGTGAGGTTCTGTCTCAAACAAAAAAAGAAAAAAAAAAAAAAAGAAGGAAGCAAACAATGCATTTCAAAGGTAATTTTCTGTCTTTTCTGGCACATTCATCTTGGAAATTGATATTTTTACTCTTCTTTTTGGGTAAACATGGTAAACACTTGTATCTCAGCTTATATATGGAAAATATTCTAACACATCATTTTCTTGCCTGATTTTGAAGACATTATCTGTTATATATGGAAGGTTCACTAAGCGCATCAATTGTTTTAGTCAATATTCGGCAGTAGCTCCTTCTATAGCTATGCGTTCGAATCACCGGGAGTGCTTTAAATATATACACAGATGTGTGACTCTGTGTATTTTAAAATCTCTCTAGGCTATAGGAATGAGCAGCCAGATATGAAAATCAGTTTCAGGGAAGCCCTGAAAGAAATACCACATTAAATTTGAAAATGTGGTATTGAAACACGCATACTTTTAACAATCTTTGTGGGAGTTTAGATTTATGTATCCTCTTTTACAATATTAAAGCATGTATAGTAGCTAGAATTTGGACTGAGCTTCATTGTAAAAAATGAAAAACAAATGGATATGAGGAAACAAATCTACATATATATGTAGTGAGTCAGTCAAGAAGTAAAAGAGGTAGAAGGAAATGAGAACAGCCTCCCATTTCCTGGGAAAAATATCAAGTAGAAGATGTTCATCTTTGGTAATCTCCTATTTCTCCATCACAAACTTCTGTTTCCCCCAGTTACTGTGTACCCTCAACTTTCTAACTCAGTAAATTAGCCTTACAAAAGCCGCTTCTCCCCAAATTTATACATATTTGAAAAGATCCTTTTTTTCCTCCATCACCATATACTTATTAAAGATGTCCATTTTTACTTCTGTTTTTATTTACCTCAAGATGTTAGAAAAAGAAGTATGTTAGAAGAAAGAAAAGCACTACAAAACTGACAGTACTTTAAACTTTCAGGTTATTTATTTTATAAACTAGCAAACGTGAACTCAAATAAAAATTGATAATATTTGAACTAAGATTACCAAATTAAGTTAAAAAAAGAAAATTTTGGTGACTAGAAAATGTTTTGAGTAAAGGATACTTCCTAATCACCAAAGATTTATTGGCTATTGAAACTGCCTTTGCAAAAGTTATAACAGTGAGAAAATTATGACAGTGACAGAGATCTAACCTAACCAACCCCATCTTGCTTCTAACCTCCGAGCTGTCCTTGTTTATTCCTGGGTGTATGCCAGACTGACTTTGAGAGGAACTTAGTTTATTGTTTAACTTTGAAACAAAGATGATACCATCCCCTTTCTGAAACAATCCCCCTTCTTGCCTGAGGATCAGACTACCTTTGTAAGACTAACAAGTTAGCCACAAGATTAGAAATTACGGTTTAGGAGTCATGAAGATAGAGACCTCAAGATTGCAAACTTCCCCAATATCTCCTAGGGAAAACACCACTGTTGGAAAACCTAAGACTGGTGCCGGAAATATTTTTCAGGCCCTGCAATTGATGGATAAGCTGGCACCACCAAGATCGATAAACTGGCTCACCTGGTCTCATGGTCCCCGTCCAGGAAAGGACTGACTCAATGCAAGAGATCAGCTTTGGCTCCCTATAAATCAAACCAACCAATCAGCACTCCCCACTTCCCGATCCCCTGCCCACCAAATTATTCTTAAAAACCCCACTCTGAATTTTCAGGGAGACTGATTTGAGTCATAATAAAACTCTGGCCTCTTGTTCAGCTGGCTCTGCATGAATTACTCTTTTTCCACTGCAATTTCTGTCTGGATAGTGGGCAAAATGAACCCGTTGGGCAGTTACATTATTACCTATGTTATTGATAATACAGTAATGAAAGAGCTATAGTTCCTAGATTTAGGAACTTTGTAATTTAGTAGAAAAAATATAAAAGTAAATAGGTGACATAAATATAGTATAATAAATTCTATATGAAATATTTGTTTAAAATCTTACAAAATGTTACAAGAACATGTAAGGATATCACCTAGTGGATGATTTTTCTAAGAAAATTATGGATCTTTTTAATAACACCATTAGACAATAGATAACTACTCCTACACACTGATAAAATAAATGTTACGCTTGTTTAAGGTACATTGATAAATGAAGCAGAGAAAAATATTTTGGATTAAATATTTTTGGAGAATTTGAGAACATGTTTATTTTTATTCTCTTAAAATGAGAAGGTAAATTTAAAACAAGTCATATATTTAATAAAGTACATTAATTAAATTATCTGATTTTATTGTCTTTAAAGTTATTTTGCTTCTCTCTATAATCTTTCATCATGTTTCTATGTTTAATCTTCATATGGATTAATTGTTTGAAACTGAAAGAAAAATAGAGAACAAATGTGAAAATACTGCAATGAGGAGGGAGAAAGAATTTGAGTCATAGTGGATTTTATCTAGACTTTCTTTTTTAAAAAACTATTATGTGTATGGAAAAAATGTTATGTACTTTTCAATTAAATGTATACAGGCTCATTAAATTAAAGGCAAGTTGTTAAAATGAGACAGTATATACTTTACAGGTAGAACAATATAAGCATTTGATTTAGTAGTGAGAATCATTATAAATGGATTACTTTCTTGTTTTCTAAAGTTGTCTAAAAATACTGTGTCTCCCTCAACCATAGATAAACCTTTGCTAAAATATGTCTAAGTATTATACAAATAAATCAAGTTTCTATATTGTTAATATAATGTTGAATTAATTTTTGAAGTTACCTCAATTTTTATTTTAAAATTTTGTTACATGAAGCAATTATAATATGATACAGATTGATAATAGGAAGACAATTCTGGTATCAAAATCAGTCACTTTTCACGTTATATTGTGGATTGTTTAAGTTTAATCATGGGTTGCTCACTAATGTTTTCCTATCCTAATTACATATTCATATCTGTTAATTACAATAGGACAAAATGTCCAATGAATACAATTTAATAGAATAAAAACATGAATTATCAAAAATATTTATGAACAAATTGTACCCACGGCAGGTAGCTTTTGTTAGATATGATAAGTTGTTAGTTATTAGCTAAGATGGCGGAAAGCTTTCTGCATATCCTGCAGCAGATCTGAAATAACACTGAAGTTCAGAGACATTTTCCATTTTGTTTGCAGGAAAAACTTTTGTATAGCCCTTAACTTTTTTTTTTTTGACTCATATTGAAACTCCCTGTTTTACTTTAGGTAACACAAGATATTGTTTACAGCCTACCTCAACCAACGTATGTCTAATGTCAAAAAAATGCATAGAATATCTTTAGGAAAATTACAGTTCTGTAGCTATATGAGTGCGTGTGTGTGTGTCTGTGTGTGTATGTATATTTACATTACCGTAGTTAGGGTGAAATTTACAGCCAGGTAGGGTCATGCCTGTAATCCCAGCTACTTGGGGGGCTGAGGCAGGAGGATTGCTTGAGCCTAAGTGTTCAAGGTCAGCCTGGGCAACATAGTGAGACATCACTTTTTTATATTTGCACATACCTGAATGACCCACCCTGGTATCAGATATATGAGTTAGATCATCTCAGATGGAAAGACCTCTTACGCCTTTTCCCAGTCAATCTTTACTTTCACAATCCCCTAACCAAGTATTATTTGTTTTTCAATCCTACCTTTTTACTTCCCATGGATAAAATCATGCAGCATGTATTTTTTTTTTTTTGCCTCTAGCAATTTTTGCTCAGATGTTGTTTAGAATCACCCAGGTTGTTGGAAATAAAGTAAGTAAGTAGTGTTTCCCCGCCTTTGATGATTCAGTAGTATTCCAATGTATTTTTTTTTTTAGCTTTCATTTAGTTTTACGAAAGAGAAAAGGGAATCATACATTGCTCAGAATTGGGTTACATAAGATTTTCATAAATGTTACTTAGTATATTTGGAATAGACTTGTCCTCTAATTCCTTTTTTTTTTTCAAATGGTAAGTCTCAATTTTATTTTTTATTTTATTTTATTTTTTATTATACTTTAAGTTTTAGGGTACATGTGCACAAATGTATTTGTATATAACTCAATTTATCCTTTGTCTCGTCCTGTTGATGGATGGATATTTGGGTTATGTCATTTGGGCTACTATGAAAAACATTTATTCTATAAGCCTTTAAGTATGAGTGTTCTCTCCCCCACTTTTTGCATATATCTGTGTTCATTTTTTTCAAGGTCTGTATTTCCAACTTTGGCCATTTTCATAGGACTTATGAGGTCTTTCTGTGTGATTTTTACTTTTACATTTTCCTAATAAGTAATTTCATGTTTTAGAGAAATAGGTAAAATAATACATCTGTAGTGGTGTATAATAGATAAAAGACTATGGGATACTTATTAAACATAACTTATTGTGTCTTAATCATGTCCTCACGGTAGAGGCTCTTCAGGTCCTATCATTATGAGATTAGATAATATTTGAAACTATAACATCCAACTCGTAGACACAAGGAGACGACCAGAACAGTGAAGTCACCCAGAGCCTTGACATTGTCATTTTAATGAGTTAATTGTAGAACGAGTTGCTCCTATACTACTTTTTTTTTTCTTTTGACAGCATCTGGCTCTGTCACCTAGGCTGGAGTGCAGTGTCATGCTAATGGCTCACTGCAGCCTCAGCCTCATGGGCTGAAGCAATTCTCCCACCTCAGCCTATCTAGTAACTGTTTCTACAGGTGCTGACCACCATGCCTGGCTAATTTTTGTATCTTTTGTAGAGAAGGGTTTTCGCCACATTGTCTAAGCTGGTGTCCAACTTCTGCACTCAAGGGATCCACTCCCCTTGGCCCCCCAAAGTGCTGGGAATGCAGACGCGAACCACCACACTCGGCCTCCTGAACTTATTATTAAACGTAAAAGTAAACCTCTCTTCTTTAACTCTCTTTTTAATAATTATTCTGTTACCTGAAATCAAAAGATCCCTAAGTTAGGGAGACATAGGCAAAGAGTGGGATTTGAAGAGACCTCATAGTTTGAGTAGGAAAATTGCTGTAGCAAATAGAAGATTGACCATAAGATGTCAGATCTGAGCCAAATGTCTCAGTGAATGCTACTGGATTCACGGATAAGAACAGATACTACGTTCGGTCTTAGCCAAAAGGCCGAGAAGCGATTAATGTTACGCGATTTAAATGACAATGTTAGAACCGGATTACATGATGTCCCCACCATGTATGTCTCTGTATATAAACATAGAGTGAAATGATGATTTTCTGTTTATGTATTGACTATGCATGTGCTTTTTCACAATTGTTACCTACCGTAGGAAGGGACGAGGAAATGCTAAGTTGACTGAGAAAACCCTTATTTGACTATTTTTTTTTTTACATGGACCTAACATCGATCCTTTTAAAAATACCAGGAAGAGTTGGCAATCATGTTGGCATTAAATTCAGGTACCGAGTTTTAGAGTTGCATTTTTCCATATATGTGTGCTGAGATTTTACTTGTGTAAATTTGCATTTTGTTTCTTTAAGGCCGATTCAGGCAGTCACTTCCATAAACCTCTTACCTCTATCCATCCATAATGAGATTGGCTGAAATTAAATGCGCTAGGTGTGATGTAGCTGAGACGCTATTACATTTTTGGTAGCATCATTAAAAATGCAAGCTTTCAAACATTAGTCTTATTTGAAATGGAAAGGTTAATTTAAATGTTTAGCTTTTATAAAGAACACACTAACCCACATTCCCTTATTTTATTTATTTTATAGTGGATAAAGAATATTCTCTTTCAATTCATCTCTTGACATATAAATTATATGCACTTAAAATGTAAAAACTGATCACTCTTCTCAAATTTGAAATAGTGATTGCTACTAATAGATTCTGATAGGTCCCTTGTGGCTCACAGTTGGCTCAAGGTGGTCTGTTCTGCTTTTAGACTATTACAAACAAAAAATAAAAGATTATCTAGAGTCAAACTACTTCTTAAAAAAAAAAAACTAAACTTTACTCTGATGACACCTTGAGTTTAAAAAAAATCAACAGACTTATGAGGCATTCCTGGTACACATTCATTATTTTCATGAGACGTGTCAATCAGCAGAAGATACATAAAAACTTCTTAACTTAAAGCTCTTGAGTTAATTATATTGAAACTCACTTATTCATTATTGAAGATCTGTTTTAAATGGGATCATGTAAATTTGAGTTGAATTTGGATGATATGTAATAAATGTTGGTTATTAGCAGAAACATTAAGAGTCCTTTTTGGAGATCTTACATAAATATATAATTTCTCCAACTTTTATCGTTCTTCCTTTCCCTTAGGGTAACCTTCCTCTTTGTCTTTTCCTTGTGTACATAGCCTTCTAGTATCTCTCCTCTTTTCTCTTCTGATTACTTTGGTGAATCTTTATGTTTCATATGCTTTCCTTGATATCACCATATACTCTGCTTTGTTTTGTCTTCCTTCTATAAGTTGCTCTTGCTCCTCAGTGAGTCATGCTCAAATATATTTGTAATCCAAAAGAGATATATGTCAGCACAGCAAAATGTGCAGTCCTCTGGTATAAATAAAAAACTATTTGGCATTTACAACTATGAAATAAGAAACACAGAGATAGAAAATCCAATTCATCAAATTATGTAACAATAATGTACCTATAGCATATGAATAGAACTATTAAAATATTTTAGAAGTTAACATAAGAGAGAAAGATACCTATTTATAGTTTAAAAAAAAAAACTAATGAATTCACACTGCTTAGGGCCTGTTTATGCAATGGAAGCCTGACTGGATCTAAGAGTAGGAGAAAAACTTGACTCTGATACCAAAATAAAATGGAAATAAATAAAAATAAAAAAAAGAATGTCAATGAAAACATTTACATCAGGGGTTTCTAATACACTATATGTTTTGTTGGCTTTGTTTACAAAGAAATACTGAGTTTACATGTAAGAAGTGCCAAATCATCTGATTAGCCCATTGGAAGGTAATGGGGTAGTGCAATAAATAAATTATATGATAGAATTAAATCCAAAAGGAATAGTAATTTGCATATACAACATAAGAAACTTAGGAGTATTTCAAAATTTTTATTATTATACTTCTGATATTCTTTGGGATGTCTCAGTTCAATTAGAGGCTGAAATATTCCTCTAGTTTCATAAAATAAAAAGCAAGTAGAAGTAGCAACAGTGGCGGGTGAGTGGTGTTCGTTTCCTCTCTGAAATGGTTTGGCTCTGTTCCCACCGAAATCTCATGTTAAATTGTAATCCTCAGTGTTGGAGGTGGGGCCCGGTGGGAGGTGATTGGATCATGGTGTAGTTTTTAAAGATTTAGCACCATCCTCCTAGTGCTGTCTTGTGATAGAGTTCTCATGAGATCTGGTTGTTTAAAAGTGTGTAGCACCTCCCCCTTCACTCTCTTTCTCCTGCTCTCACCACCTAAGATGTGCTTCCTTCCTCTTCACACCATGATTGTAAGTTTCCTGAGGCCTCCCCGGCCATGCTTTCTGTACAGCCTGTGGAACTTTGAGCCAGTTAGACCTTTTTCCTTTATAAATTACCCAGTAATTATCAAGTAATTTATAGCAATGCAAGAATGAATACACTCTCTAAGCAAAATACTTGGAAATTCAATAACAAATACTTATTGAATATGTATTGTTTTCAAGGTATTTGTAATATGGTGATATGGTTTGGATCTGTTGCCCCTTCCAAATCTCATGTTAAATTGTAATCCTAAATGTTGGAGGTGGGGTCTGGTGGGAGGTGATTGAATCATGAGGGTGGATCCTTCATGAATGATTTGGCACCATCCTTTTGGTGCTGTGCTCATGATAGAGTTATCATGAAATCTGGTTGTTTAAAAGTGTGTGGCATCTCCACCCCCTCTCTCTTTCTCTTGCTCATACTGTATGAGACATCTTGCTTCCACTTTGCTTTCCATCATGATTATAAGTTGTTTAAGATCTCCCCAGAAGAGGAGTAGATGCCAGCATCATGCTTTCTGTACAGCCATACGGAACCATGAACCAATTAAACCTCTCAGTGTCAGGTATTTCCTTATAGCAATGCAAGAATGGACTAATACAGAAAATTGGTACAGAGAAGTGGGCATTGCTATAAAGATACCTGAAAATGTGGAAGCAGCTTTAGAACTGGGTAACAGGCAGAGGTTGGAAGAGTGTGGAGGGCTCAGAAGAATACAGGAAGATGAGGGAAGGTTTGGAACTTCCTAAAAATCTTGTTGAATGGTTGTGACTAAAATGCTGATAATGATATGGACAGAGGTGGTCAAGCTGAGGAGGTCTCAGATGGAAATGAGTAACTTATTGGAACTAAAGTAAAGGTCACTTTTGCTATGTCTTAGCAAAGAACTTGACTGCATTATGCCCCTGCTCTAGGGATTTGTGAAACTTTGAACTTGAGAGTGATGATTCAGGGTATCTGGTGGAAGAAACTTCTAAAAGATTTCAAGATGTGGCCTGGCTGCTTCTAGCAACCTGTTTCATAAGCATAAGCAATGACCTGAAACTAGTACTTATATTTAAAAGGGAAGCAGAGTATAAAAGTTTGGAAAATTTGCAGCCTGGCCATGTGGTAGAAAAGAAAAGTCCATTTTCAGGGGAGCAATGCAAACTGGCTGCAGAAATTTACATAACTGAAAGGAAGGCAAGTGCTGTTAGCCAAGATGAGACAATGGGGAGAAGGCCTTGAAGGCATTTCAGAGACCTTTGCAGCAGCCCCTCTCATCACATACCTGGAGGCCTAGGAGGACTGAATGGTTTGCTGGGCCAGGCCCAGGGTCCTGCTGCCCTGTGCAACTGCATAAAATGCTCCCTGAATTCCAGCCACTCTAGCTCCTGCTGTGGCTAAAAGGGGTCCAGGTACAGCTTGGGTCACTGCTTTGGAGGGTGCAAGCTGTAAGCCTTGGTGGCTTCTATGTCAGGGTAAGTCTGCAGGTGTGCAAAATGGAAGAGTTAAGGCTTGGGGGCCTTTGTTTAGATTTCAGATGATCTATGGAAAACACTGGATGTCCAAACAGAAGCCTCTGTGGGGCAGAACCCTCATGGAAATCCCCTAGTAAGGCACTGCTGAGGGGAAATGTGGAGTTAGAGCCCCCACATAGAATCCCCACTTTGGAACAGCCTTGTGGAGCTGTGAGAAGAGAGCTAAGTCCTCCAGACCCCGGAAATGTAGATCCACTGGTAACTTGTATTCTGAGCCTGGAAAAGCTGCAGGCACTCAATGCCAGCCTATGAAAGCAGCTGCAGGAGACATAACCCTACAAAGCCATAGAGCTCTGCTGTCTAAGACCTTGGGAACCTGCCTCTTGCACCAGGGTGCCCTGGCTGTGAGACATAAAATCAAAGGAGATTATTGAGCTTTGAGGTTTAATGACTGCCCTTTTGAGTTTTGGACTTGCATGGGGCTTGTAGCCCCTTTCTTTTGGCCAATTTCTCCTTTTTGAAGAGAAGTATTTACCCAATGACTATACCTCCAGGTAACTAACTTGTTTTTGGTTTCACAGGCTCATAGGCAGAAGGGACTTGCCTTGTGTCAGATTAGACTTTCGACTGTGGACTTTTCAGTTAATGCTAAAATAAGCTAAGACTTAGGGGGAATGTTGGGAAGACATGACTGTATTTTGAAATGTGAAGAGGACATGAGATTTGGGAATGGCTGGGGTGGAATGGTATGGTTTGGATTTTTGTTCCCATCAAAATCTCATCTCATATTCAGTTGTAATTCCCAATGTTGACACATGGTTATAATTTTTTTTTAAGTCAGACTATCAAACATAAATTGGTTGTAAAATAATACTAGGTTACAGTATGGAGATTTAAGAATTAAGTACATGCATACCTGTGACAGTGGTGATGCATAAAAGATAATCTTTGATTTAAAGTTTGGAAAGATCACTGTGACTGAGCAAACCTAAGTGAGTGACATGGAAGGATATTTCAGTACTGACCAAGCTTGTTTATATTGATTATTATCTATATTATTTTAATGAAATGAAAACAAAATTGCTTCTTATCATACAAAGTGTCTCAGTTCAAGCATAAACTGATTTATATTTGTTCATTATATACTCTAGCTGTCTATAGTTGAAATATGTAACTGATGAAAGGGAAGGAAAATACAGGTATTTGTTGAAATGAGGTTAGTATTGAGGAAAGTAATGGTAGAGAAAAAAAGTACTTATAATTTACATCATACAAGAATAAAACCTATTTTTATTAAAAAATAGGATTTTCCAATTAATGTTGGAGTTTACATGAGAATGTTCACTATAATTCTTAAAAAACATAGACATATGCATTTGCTTACATTGTGTATTACAGTTAACAGTGATATTTTAGGCAACATACAACCAGGAATAATTAATATGCATTTTTAATTCATGTAACGAATTATATTGCAATTATGCCATGATTCTTTTGTATGCTGTTAAGCCTATCCCTTCCCTCATTTTTTATCCTTCCCTTCTTTCTTTCTTTTCATTTAGACATTGTGATAATAATACCAAGGATATGGAGATATTTTAAGAATTAAATAAAAACCTGCACACAAAGATAGTGCTTAGAATATACTCAACTCCCAATTTATTGGGAGTTTGTAGTTTGTTAGAATATTTTAGTTTTAAGTGGTGTCACATGCTTCAAAATCTAGCATTTTAGTCCTAATAATACATAAAGCATCCATCTCCATCTTCACAGAAATAAAATTCAGCAGTTATATTTCTTACTGCATCCATCTCCATCTTCACAGAAATAAAATTCAGGAGTTATATTTCTTACTGCCACCATAGGGCAATAGTTTACATCCAGAATTGATTGACAGTCCTTGAAATTTTATGCTAACTTGTAAGCTGTAAGTGGTAGCATGTGTATGTTGACCTATTTTTGTTATCTTTGCTTTAAATAGAGTTTTGGAATATCCTTCTGCTGTTTTCTTAGTGCTATTCTTCTTTTCTGTACATAATCATTTCTCACAAAAATATGAAAATAAAAATTAAAAAGAGATGAAGGTGAAATGGCTAAGTTTTTACCAGGCTTATGATGTCACCCTGGTGGCATAAATCACAGTAAATAATCTGTACTGTTATTTTGTTTTCTTTTCTCCAACACGGAGCATATAATAGTCTACTGAAGCCTTTTCAAGAAGTTGTAAAAATTAGAATTCTAACAAACCACTGCATTTTAATTTTCATTCCAGTTGATGCAAAAGGTGTTAGCCACATAAAAGTGGCATCAAATCTAATAGAATTTACAATATTTTTTCACAAATATGAAGTTATGAACTATCAAATTATTTTGCACACATCAGTAGTTTCTAATGAACTCAGAGGTTATTCATAAACCTAGACAGAATTAGGTTGGAGAGATAGAGACTTGGGGATTTACATGTACTTTAGATAAACATATACATTTTTATGTTACTGCTTCATATAGTAAGGTGGTGATGCTAAACCAAACAATACAGCGAAGAATTCCTCCCAACTATTTAGATAGTCCTGAAACTTTAAATTATATTCTCCCGGTCTCTTTTTTTTCCCACTTGCTTATAAATCAATTATACAATTTTAGATAAGTTTATAGCCAGTTTTATTATTATCCCTATATCAAAAATCTAAAAATTGAAGTGGAAATAGATTTTTTCCCAAAGATACCAAATATTTGTATTGCTATTCCAGTGTGATAGTCCCTGCTCATACTGAGTGATCTCATCATTTTATCCACTTATTCATTTAAGCTGAACGAATGAAAGAACATCATAAATATTCTGCCAAACTCAGCAATGATAACAAATAAAGGACTTGTTGAAAATAAAGAAACTTATAGTTAAATACTATTATTATTAGTTTTAACATTGGAACATTACACATACAGAAGAATAAATTTTGCTTCAATGTTACTTTATATATCAAACATCTTTATATATCAAACATTATTTCTATCATTCAAACAATTAAAATAGAGAATTATAATATTAATTTAAAAAAATTAACAAGCATAGATAATATTTAAAATAATTGTTTTAAAACTATCTTGTTTTCTTATCTATGAATTCTGTAACCTCTATTTTTACAAAATTGAAGGTCACCTATACTTTCTTCTCTGGAGCTAAAATCTTTTTGTCACTCTGCAATGTGGTCATGCCCTCTTTGCTGATGCTCTCACCTCTCCTGGTATTCAGAGATCTGTACTATCTTGAATTTTCTTTTCCCCTTCCTGCTCTCTTTCTCCTCTTCTATTTCTGTTGAGTTGGTTGTTTTATACATCTCTGACAGTGAGTGTGGTTCAGCATTAGGTCATTAGTCATCTGTTCTTCCATTTTTGCACCATCTTTTAGAGCTTATCTAGTCTCAAAGTGTTAGAAATCTACACCACAGGAATGATTCCAAAATCTTGCCTCATATTTAAATTTTTTTCTGAATTAATGGGCCAAATTTTCAACTGTCTCATGAGCCCTTACACTTGGTGGTCTTTCTGTCATCTCAAACTCAAGGTGCCTAAACTAGAAGGGAAGTTCCTTCTTGATAAGTTTTCCTCTCTCATTCATGTTATCAGTTTCTATACTACTCATTTTCAAGACCAGAGTTTTATCTTCGTGGCTACGCTGTCTAGTTTCCTGATTCCGTCAACTTCAGACTAACAATTATTTTTAAAATGTTATATTAGCCCCTTTCTACAGTGAATGCTACAATTGTAATTACACCACTTTCCCTGAAACACAAATGATCACCATTTTTTTATCTTCATTATGACCAATAATTTCAAAATATGAGCCTACAAGGGGTCTCTAGTCGGCTACAAAATATACACTAATTTATTCATTTTAGACTGCACTCATAATGTATTTACCATCGTTGTGTACTAAAGAGCATCTTTCCAGCCTTAGCCCACTGTTACATTTTCTCAGGCAACTACCATATACAAAATTTGGCCCCAGGCTTAATTTTGTTTTGTTAAGATTTTAAATATTTACTTACTTTGTATTTTATTTATTTTAATTATTTTTTTAAATTTTTTAACCCTAGAAATTACAATTTTGCATCCCTAGAGTGCAAATTTTAGTAAAGCAGAAATCATTTTCTATTTTATTCACTCATGTTCTCTAATGCCTAAAAATATGCCTGCTACATAGTAGGTGTCACAAACTACATAGGCTGAGATTTTATTCTTCTTTCAGA
The DNA here is from genome assembly GCF_000001405.40 of Homo sapiens. Classification (NCBI taxonomy): domain Eukaryota; kingdom Metazoa; phylum Chordata; class Mammalia; order Primates; family Hominidae; genus Homo; species Homo sapiens. The sequence continues at coordinate 20,619,227 of NC_000021.9, read as the reverse complement.
GCTAACCCAAGTCCCCTGCATCAGACATCAGATATAAAAGTGATTTTTTGTTGTTGTTTTTTAATTCAAAGCAAAACAGATGCCATGAGTTTCATGTTTGCTCTTGCTCTCTGTGCCTCTCGGGTCTCATGACAATGATTCAGATTGGTCTGGCTGGATGAAGCCCTTGCAATGTTTTTCTCAAATACAAAGAATTTCAGTTTCAGAAAATGCCAATCTTCTATCAGGCGATACACTCAAACCTGCCCAACATTTGCCTCAGAGGAAAACCAACTTTTTTACTTGTGTCCAGCAAACAAATCTCTTCGCTCTAGAGAAAGACACTATCTGTATCTTTTAGGAAGTTTCACTATATAGACATCTTTGAAAATACAGTCTGGAAAAAAAAGCTGTCAGTACCTCTGCTTGCAAGATGTTCAAAAACAGAAGGAGGCATGGAGAATCCTCTCCCAAAAAGAAGGTGATGTCAAAAATATTTTTAGACTGAATTAATAACAGAAAATCTTCTTTTTACTTAAATTAAGATCTTTATCTGGTTCTCCTCTCTTAAATTAGTCCTGCTTCCTCTACCCTTGATTTCATTTTCAGCAGGCTGTTTTCCATTCTCTTGTAATACTGAATCTACTATCTGTTCCTTAACGCTCAGCTGAAGTCTGACGAGACATAACCCATTTTCTGGTCCTCTAAATCTTAAGAGTGCCTAACATATAGTTCAGCCTATTTCTTCTCTATAAATACATATTTCATTGTGATTAGGAGATACTGAAAGGGAAACAATGCATTATGACTCAAATAAATCATTTTCTTAAAATTAAACTTCTTGTTGCACAAAGTTCTACTAACCCCAGATTTCTGTTTAAACCCTTCTTCAGTTGGAAAATTGCTATTATATTTAAGTGCATATAGTCACATTCATAGGTAAATATCTATGATAATATGCCAACTAATGGGGAAGGAAAACTCTAGATAAACATGTATTATTCCTAATAAATAAATTAACTGATATTGTTTGTAGTTTAAGATGAAACAGTCTCTCACAAATGAGCCACCACAATTTCTTCCCTCTAGAAATGAAGTCAATGGGTGGGCCACACCATGAGGGCAGGAGAACTGAGAGATCATCCTAAATCAGGGATGTTTCTCCCAGGGCTTACAGTCTAGTTGAAAAGTAATATCTAAGAGAAATAAAATAACTATCATCAAGTAAAATGAAGCAGCAGCAGAACTCCTAATGAGGTTACAGAGATTATCAGTGAAAGAATTCGGAGAAGTGACACTGAAGAAAACAATCAAGAGGAAAGAACAAACTAGAGGTTATATTATTATAACGTGCTCCAAAAATGAGGAAAGGGATATGGCTTTCTTTTTTGAATCTTCCACTTACCATGATTGCATTGCTCTTTAAGTTGTATAAGTAATAGTGCTTCCAGTGAAATGCCCTTCTTCAAGCCTGTCTTCTAAAAAAAATATGAAATCCAGTTCATTTTTATGACACTCAAGTATTAAAGGAAAAAGAATGGAAACATAGATTTCAAGAGGCATTATTTATCTGTTCTAAGTTCTTGTTAGGCAAAGAGGAAAGTATGTCTCTGATAAATCTTTTAAAATATATTTCTCTTAGTTTTTAAATACATTGGTTTGGACTTATAGGCTAGTGTGGCAGTGCTCCTTATACGGGAGCACCAGCTGCAGGGAGTCTGTCCCTTGCATACCTCTGACCCACGACAGATGAATGAAGTACACTGGCACACAGATACTCTGCTTTGCCAGTCCTGCTGAGTGTTCGAATGGCTTACAGACTCCAGCAGAGTCCTCTAAACAGTTGGGACTCGGCCCTGATCACCTAGTGAGACTCGCATTTATTCAGTATGATTAATTAACAAAGGCTTGAGTCAACACCATTAGAGGGTAATAATTGACATTGTGGACTTCTTGAGTAAAAAGCACTTCAGCACCTGCGGTACATCAAAGGTTAGTCTTAAGATCACATGAGTAAACAAGCTAGCTAGGTAAACTACTCTGCCTTCCTTTGCTACTACTTTAATTTGTTTAACTAAAGGTAAAGGGACCAGGCCGCCTTCAGCCAGGTCTACTACCAAAGTTACGCAAACTTCTCGGCCTTCCGAGAAGATTTGTGTCTATCTCTATAACTGTCTCTAATATTTTTCCCACCAGCCTGATTGAATCCCAATAAGCTACTTGGTAAATCTCTATTGCCATTATTTAATTAACTTTTCAGATGAATTTTGCATAATGTTATCTTTGCTTTAGCTTAATAACGTCAAAATTTTATAATGTTTCCAAAACTATTGCATGCTCTAAGAAATAAAAAGAGAATAAACTCTATTTCCATTGTGATTACATAAAAAATTAAATATTAGTATCTGAATACAATTAGTCTATTAATTTATGACTGCCAATAAATACCAATATAATGAAATACAATTAATAATTCACTTCAACCCATTTGATCTGAATAAATATATATAAATACATATTATACATATACATATATGTATATGAATACATATGTGGATTTATATGTATTATATGTATCACTGTATGTATTTATATACAGTGGTTTGGGAATGACAAAAGGGTGTTCATGTTTTATTCCTCAATAGAAATATTTTTCTTAAAATTATACTTGCTGCACACTATCTGTTAGTATGTACTAGTCACACCACATTCTAGTTTTCATTTTAATTCGGTAGAAAGATTGCCTTTATATTTGAGGGGATATAATGATATATTTTGTAAATATATGTTGAAATACATTAACTGATATGGTAGGTAAACTCTAGATAAACATGTATTATTCTTGATAAATAAATTAACCAATATTGTTTGTAGTTTAAGACGGGACAGTCTGTCACAACAAATGAGCCACTGCAATTTCCTCCATCTAGAAATGAAGTCAAGGGTTCGGCTGCACCATACGGGTGGGTGAATTGAAAAATTATGCTTCTAATTAAAAGGGTTAATTAAAAGGCGGTTTCTCCATTTGCTGATTGGAAGAAAATAATGCCTCATAATAACCGTGGACTCTATTTCAACTCTCTCTTTTCCATAATAATGTAGGATGCTGAGCGTCCTCTTGTTTTTTAAAAAATTATTAATACAATTATATTAAAATTCATTTGAAGCTTTGAACACGTACCACAAGTATGTACTATTCATTTAAAAATTATATTTGATTTAATGGAATAAAATCATTATAATAATATCTTCTTTATAAAATAATTTAGATCACCTCCATTTTTCCATTATCTTAAAATTTCCTTAAATTAAAAATTCTATTTGACCTTTACATGATTTTAGCTTCACAGGCAGTTGATATCCCAGTTTTCATAGTGTTTTATTTCTATTTGTTTTCTTGCACACTAAAGATGGAATGTTTTAAATATATATATATATGAAATAAATGGCTGTGTTCTGCCAAATTTTTTAAGAAATGAAGCATTAAATGAACCTTGAATCACATTTGTGCTCCTTCTTTTTAGTAGACTCTAATATTTCTAATTCTATGTTGTTTAATGCCGTGCTTATTAACATTATACTTCTATCTAGTAGCTAAATATCCCAAATTATACATTAATTAATTTTGCATTGTTTGAATATACTCTAAGTCAATATTTATTTTACAAATGATAGTCATTTTCCCATGTTATTCCCTGGTTATTATTTCTTTTTTTATTGTGGACAATACAGATAGTACATGGCTTTCTCTGTACAAGACTATCTTCCAAGAAATGCTATTGCTGGATAATAAAGTATGTGTCCATTTAATTTTATGAGATAATGTAATGCCAAATTGATTTTCTAAATGCAATACCAATTTATTCTCAGCAGTGTGTGCATACTCCCATTGTTCCACATACCATCAACAATTGAGATTGTAATACCATTTACTTTTTTTTCCAATCTGGTGGGTAAACTTGTTTTCTCTGTCTCATTCATGAACAGTATATGTTCTTCAGCAACATAAACTTCTGTCTATGTCATACTGCAGATGCTCATATATGACAGTGTCTTTTTGACTACTCTCTTTTGTGTTTCACTGAACTATTTTCATCCCTATGCACACTGTCTTGGATCTGTATTAGTCTGTTGTCACACTGCTATAAAGAAATATTTGAGACTGGGTAATTTATTAATATAAACAAATGAGGTTTAATTGGCTCACAGTTCCTCATGGCTGGGGAGGCCTCAAGAAACTTACAATCATGGCAGAAGGGGAAGCAGGCACCTTCTTCACAAGGGAGCAGGAAAAAGAATGAAGGAGGAACTTCCACTTGTAAAACCATCAGATCTCATAAGAACTAACTGACTATCATGAGAACAGCATGGGGGAAACTGCCTCCATGATCCAATCACCTCTCTCCCTCAACACATAGGGATTACAGGTCCCTCCCTCAACACGTGGGGATTACAGTGCAAGAGGAGATTTGGGTGGGGACACAGAGCCAAACCATATCATTCTGACACTGGCCCCTCCCAAATCTCATGTCTTTTCACATTTCAAAACCAATCTTGCCTTCCTAACAGTCCCCCAAAGTCTTAACTCAGTCCAGCATTAACTCAATAGTCCAAGTCCAAAGTCTCATCTGAGTAAAGGCAAGTCCCTTCTGCCTATGAACCTGTAAAATAAAAAACAAGTTAGCTCTTTCCAAGATACAAAGGGGGTACAGGCATTGGGCAAATACATCCATTCTAAATGGGAGAAATTGGCCAAAACAAAGGGGGCTACAGGCCCCATGCAAGTCCAAAATTCAGTGAAGCAGTCATTAAACCTTACGGCACCAAAATGATCACCTTTGACTCTATGTCTCACATCTGGGACATGCTGATGCAAGGGGTGGGCTCCCAAGATCTTGGGCAGCTCCTTCATGGACTGACATTGAGTGCCTGTGGCTTTTCCAGGCCCACAGGGCAAGCTGTCAGTGGATCTATCATTCTGGGGTTTGGAGGACAGTAGCCCTCTTCTCACAGCTCCACTAGGTAGTGCTCTGTGTGGGGGCTCCAACCCCATATTTCCCTTCTACACTGCCCTAGCAGAGGTTCTCCATGAAGACTCTGTCCCTGCAGTAAACTTTGGCCTGGACATCCAGGTGTTTCGATATAACCTCTGAAATCCAGGCAGGGTTTTCCAAACCTCAATTCTTGACTTCTGTGCACCCACAGGCCGTCATCATGTGAAAGCCATCAAGGCTTGGGGTTTGCACCCTCTGAAGCAATGGCCTGAGCTGTGCCATGGCCCCTTTTAGTCATGGCTGGAGCTGGAGCAGCTGGGATATAGAGCACCAAGTCCTGAGGCTGAACACAGCAGCAGGGCCCTGGGCCCTGCCCACAAAACGATTTTTCCCTTCTACCCCTCTGGGCCTGTGATGGGAGGGGCTGCTGGGAAAGTCTGTGACATGTTCTGGACATGTTTACAAACAAAGGTGGTTGAATTGACTCACAATTCTGCATGGCTGGGGTGGACTCAGGAAATTTACAATTATGGTGGAAGGGGAAGCAGGCACCTTATTTACAAGGCAACATGGAAAAGAAAAAAAAGAAGGAACTTCCAAATACAAAACCATGAGATGTGAGAACTCACTCACTATCACGAGAACAGCATGGGGTAAAGTGCCCCCATGATCCAATCACCTTCCTCTCTTGACATGTGAGGATTACAACTGGAGATGAGATTTGGGCAGGGACACAGAGTCAAACCATATCAGATACTATAGATATACAATTTCCCAATATCTTGTAGGGCAAGCTTCTTCCCTCTCCCTCTCTTCATGAATGTCTTTCAAATCTTCTATTTCTTTACATTATCTCTACTTGAGTGATTAACATAAAAATTACTGTGGTTTAATATTTGACAACACTGAAGAAATATTGAAATTTAAGTTAACAAGGGAAAAATTTAAAATATATGTTATATACCTTAATTTGTTTATATATATACATGCATATATGTATGTGTAAATATATATGTGTATATATACATATGTATGTGTGTGTATCTACTCCCCTTATAATATGAAACTATCTGGTATATGTTGCTCAGAACTGATTTCTCTAAAATGATAAAACATGCCTGAAAAAACTAAATCTTATTTTTTAACAGTTTTAACATACTTGTTTAGTTTCTACATTCTTTTTTTTCTATAAAATGTATAACATTTGATGGGAAAATAAATTATTTATGGGCCTTGAATACATAAACAATATAAGGCAGGCATCTATGAGTAGGATAAAGGGAGAAAAAAGGAAATACTGTAATTATAAAATTACAGAAATACCTAAGAGATATTGCAGGTTCAGTTCCAGACCACAGCAATAAAGTAAACATTGCAATAAAGTAAGTCACATAAACTTCTCAGTTTTCCAGTCCATATAAACGTTATGTTTATGCTATATTATAGTCCATCAAGTGTCCCATAGCATTATGTCTTACAAAAGCAATGAATATACGTTAATTTAAAAATATTTTGTTTGCCTGTAATCCCAGCACTTTGGGAGGCCAAGGCAGGCGAATTATGAGATCAGGAGATCGAGACCATCCTGGCCAACATGGTGAAACCCTGTCTCTAATAAAAATACAAAAAAATTAGCTGGGCATGGTGGCACGTGCCTGTACTCCCAGCTACTCGGGAAGCTGAGGCAGGAGAATCCTTTAACCCAAGAGGTGGAGGTTGCAGTGAGCTGAGATCACACCAGTGGACTCCAGCTTGATGACGGAGCAAGACTCCGTCTCAAAAAAAAAAAAAAATTGTTGAAAATAAATGCTAACAATTATCTGAGCGTGCAGTGAGTTGTAATATTTTTTCGACGGAGAGTCTGGTCCTTGATGTTAATGGCTCCTAACTGATCAGGGCTGTGGATACTGAGAATTGAGGTAGCTGTGGCAATTACTTAAAATAAGACAGTCATGAAGTTTGCTGGACTGAATCTTCCTTTCAGGAAAGATTCCTCTGTAGAATATGATGCTGTTTTTGATATCATTTTCCTCACAGTAGAAATTATTTCAGCATTGGATTCAACCCTGCCAAACCCTGCTACTTTTTTAACAACTAAGTTGAAATAAAATTTTAAATTCTTTGTTGTAATTTCATCAATATTTAGAGCATCTTCATCAGGAGTAAATTCCATCTCAAAAACCAATTCTCTACCTGGGTGTGGCGGCTCACATCTTTAATCCCAGCCCTTTGGGAGGCTGAGGCAGATTACTTAAAGCCAGGAATTTGAGACCAGACTGGGCAACACAGTGGGTCCCTGTTTCTACAAACTAAGAGTAATAATAATAAGAAAAGTTAGCTGGGTATTGTGGTGCATACATGTAGGCCCAGCCACTTGGAAGGTTGAGGTGGAGGGATTGTTTAAGTTCAGGAGTTCTAGGCTGCAATGAGCTATGTCTTGCCACTGCACAGTAGCCTGGGTGACAGCAACACCCTGTCCTAAACAATGAAAAAAAATAAAAGCAACTTTCTTTGATCATCTATAAAAAGAACTTCTCATTCATTCAAGGTTATCATTAGATTTAAGCAATTCAGTCACATCTTTAGGCTTCACCTCTGATTCTAACTAACTTGCTATTTCTGCCACATATGTAGTTTTGTCTTCCCTTGAAGTCCTGATCCCTCAAAGTCATCAGTGAAGGCTGGAGTCAACTTCTTCCAAATGCCTGTTAATGTAGATATTTTGACTTCCTCCCATGAATTACAAATGTAATTACAATTGTAATTACATAATTACAATTAAAGGCATCTACAATGATAAATTCTGTCCAGGAGGTTTTCAATTTACTTTTCCCAGATCCATCAGAGGAATCAGTATCTGTGGCAGCTATAATCTTACAAAATGTATTTCTTAAACAAGAATAATCGAATATAAAATGTCTTTTTGATCCATGGGCTGCAGAATGGATGTTGTGTTAATAGGCATGAAAACATCATTAATCCCCTTGTACGTCTCCATCAGAGCTCTTGGGTGACCTGATACATGGTCAATGAGAGGTAATATTATGAAATAATTTTTTTTTTCTAAGCAGTCTCAGCTGCTTAAGTCTCAGCTGTGGACTCAACATACTCAGGAAACCAGGCTATAAACAGACGTGCTGTCATTCAGGCTTTGTTGTTCCATTTCTACAGGACAGGCAGCGTAGATTTGGCATAATTCTCAAGGGCCCTAAATACTTCAGAATGGTAAATGAGCATAGGCTTCAATTTAAAGCCATCAGCTGCATTTGCCCCTACCAAGAAAGTCAGCCTGTTTTTTGAAGCTTTTTTTATTAGTTTTTATTTTAATGTTTTTGAGTACATAGTAGGTGTATATATTTATGGGGTACATGAGTTGTTTTGATACAAGCATACAATGTGACATAAACACATCATGGAAAGTGGGGTTTCCATCCCTTCCAGGATTTATCCTTTGAGTTAGAAACAATCTAGTTACACTATTCAAGTTATTTTAAAATGTACAATTAAGTGATTATTGAGTATAGTCACCCTCTTGTGCTATTAAAAGTAGGTCTTATTCATTCTTTGTAACTGATTTTGTACTCATTAATCATGCCCACCTCCCCCCAACCCTCCATTACCTTTCCCAGCCACTGGTAACCATCCTTCTACTTGGTGTCCATGAGTTCAATTGTTTTGATTTTTAAATCCCACAAATAAGTGAGAACATGTGATGTTTATCATGTAAGATCCAGTCATTTGTAACAACATGGATGGAACTGGAGATCATTACGTTTGTGAAATAAATCTGTAATCAGTTGATGAGTTCTAACAGTTTTCCTGGGAAGTCTTTAGATTTTTCCAAATATAAGATCATATCATCAGCAAACAAGGATAATTTGACTTCTTAATTTCCAGTTTGGATGACCTTAACATAATGATGCCCAGTTCCATCCATGTTGTTGAAAATGGCTGGATCTCATTCTTTTATATGACTGAATAGTACTTCATCGTGTATATGTACCACATTTTCTTTATCCACTTGTCTGTTGATGGACACTTAGGTTGCTTCCAGATCTTAGCTATTGTAAACAGTGCTACAACAAACATAGGAGTGCAGCTATCTCTCAAATATGCTGATTTCCATTCTTTCGGATATATGTCCAGTGGTGAGATTACTGGATCATATGACAGCTTAATTTTAAGTTTTATAAGAACCTCTGAACTGTTCTCCATGGTTGTTGTACTAATGTACATTCCCACCATCAATGTACAAGGGTTCCCTTTTCTCCATACCCTCTCCAGCATTTTTTATTGCCTGTCTTTTGTATATAAATCATTTTAATTGGGATGAGATGATATCTCATTATAGTTTTACTTTGCATTTCTATGATGATCAATGATGTTGAACACGTTTCCATATGCCTGGTTGCCATTCGTTTGTCTTCTTTTGAGAAAAGTCTATACATATTTTTTGCTCATCTTTTGACTGGATTATTAGATTTTTTCACATAGAGTTGTTTGAGCTCCTTATATATTCTGCTTATTAATCTCTTGTCAAGTGGGTAGTTTGTAAATATTTTCTCCCATTCTGTGAGTTGTCTCTTCACTCTGTTGATTATCTTTTTCTTTACAGAAGATTTTTTAGCTTGATGTTATCCCATTTGTCCATTTTTATTACAACTTTGATCCTGTTACTTGTTATTGGTCTAACCAGGTTTTGAATTTCTTCCTGATTCAATCTAGGCAGGTTGTATATGTCTAGGAATTTGTCCACTTCTTCTAGATTTTTTAAGTTATTGGCATATAGTTGCTCAAAGTAGCCACTAATGATCTTTGGAATTTCTGCAATATCAGTTTAATGTCTCTTTTTAAATTTCTGATTTTATTTATTTGGATTTTCTCTCTTTTTTTTCTCAATCTGGCTGAAGTTTGTCAATTTTGTTTAACTTTTCAAAAAAACAAATTTTTTTTCACTGTTTTTTTTTTAATTTCAATTTCATTTTTTTCTGCTCTGATCTTTACTACGCATTTTTTTCTACTAATTTTGAGTTTGGTTTGTCCTTGCTTTTCTAATTTCTAAGATGCACCATTAGATTGTTCGTTTGAAGTTTTTTTCTCTTTTTTGATGTGGGCACTTATAGCTACAAACTTCTCTCTTAGTACTGCTTTTTCTGTATCCCATAGGTATGGTAAGTTGTGTTTCCATTATCATTTGTTTCAAAAATGTTTTCAAATCTCTTCTTTATTGCTTCATTTTCCCACTGGTGATTCAGGAGGATGTTGTTTAACTTTGATATATTTGTATAGTTTCCAAAATTCCTCATGTTATTTATTTCTAGTTTTATTCCACTGTGGTCATAGAAGACGCTTGATATGATTGCAATTTTTTGGAATGTTTTTAGACTTGTTTTGTGACCTAAAATATGGTCTATCCTTCAGAATAATCCATGTGCTAAAGAAAAGAATGTGTATTCTGCAGCTATTAGGTGAAACTATTCTGTAAATATCCATTAGATCCATTTGGTCTATAGAGCCAATTAAGTCTGATGTTTCTTTGTTTATTTTCTGTCTGGAAGATCTGTCCAATGCTGAAAGTGGGGTGTTGAAGTATCTGGTTATTATTGTATTGGGGCCTATCTATCTCTTTAGCTCTAATAATATTTCCTTTATATATCTGAGTCCTCCAGTGCTGAGTGCATATATATTTAAGATTGTTACATCCTCTTGCTGGATTGACTCCTTTATCATTATATAGTGAATTTCTTTGTCTCTTCTTATAGTTTTTGTTTTGAAGTCTATTTTGACTGATATAAGCAAAGTGACTCCTGCTCTTTTTTGGTTTCCATTGGCATGAAATATCTTTTTCTATCTCTTTATTTTCACTCTATTTGTGTTTTTATAGGTGAAGTGTGCTTCTTGTAGGCAACAGATCAATGGGTCTTATTTATCTCATCCATTCATCCAGTCTATTCTTTTGATTGAAGAGTTTAGTTCATTTACATTTTTACATTAAGTAAGGACTTACCCCTGCCATTTTGTTATTTGTTTTCTGTTTTCTTTATTTTTTTTCTTCCTTATTTCCTTCCTATCTTTCTCTAGTGAAGGTGATTTTCTCTGGTGATATAATATTTTTTGTGTGTCCACTGTATGTTTTTTGGTTTGAGGTTACTAGGAGTCTTGCAAATACTATATTATAACAAATTATTTTAACCTGATAACAGCATCATTTGCATAAACAAATAAGAAAAAAGAAAACTAATAAAAATAATATACCTTAACTTCATCCCCCCACTTTTTAACTTTTTGTTGTTTCTATTTATATTGTTTGTACTGAATGTGTTTTGCAAAGTTGTTGTAGTTATTATTTTAGATTGGTTCATCCTTTAGTCTTTCTACTTAGAATAAGGGTAGTTTGCACACCACAGTTACGGTGTTATAATATTCTATTTCCAGTGAGTTTTCTACCTTACTATTATTGTGAGTTTTGTACCTTCAGGTGATTTTTTATTGCTCACTAATGTTCTTTTCTTTCTTTCAATATTTCTTGTTGAAAAGGTCTGGTATTAATGAAATCCCTCAGCTTTTACCTGTCTGGGGAAGTCTTTATTTCTTCTTCATGTTTGAAATATATTTTCACCAGATATACTCTTCTAATAAATGTTATTTTTCTTCAGCACTTTATACATGTTATACCACTCTCTCCTGACCTGTAAAGTTTCCACTGACAAGTCAACCACCAGATATGTTGGAGCTCCATTAAATATTGTTTGTTTCTTTTCTCTTGCTGCTTTTAGGATCCTTTCTTTATCTTTGAACATTCGGAGTTTGATTATTAAGTGCCTGGAGGTATGCTTTTTCAAGCTAAATCTGCTTGGTATTCTGTAGTGTTCTTGTACTTTGATATTGATATCTTACTCTAGATTTGGGAAGTTCTCTGTTATTATCCCTTTGAATGAACTTTCTACTCCTATCTCTTTCTCTACCTCCTCTTTAAGGCCAATAAGTTGCAGATCTGCCCTTTTGAAGCTATTTTCTACATGCTGTAGGCATGCTTCATTGCTTTTTATTCTTTTTCTTTTGGTCTCTTCGACTGTGTATTTTCAAATAACCTATCTTCAAGTTCACTAATTCTTTCTTTTGCTTGATCAATTCTTCTATTCAAGGACTCTAATTCTTTTTCTAGTATGCAAATTGCATTTTTCAGCTTTAGAATTTCTGCTTGATTATATTTAATTATTTCAATCTGTTTATTAAATTTATCTGATAGGATTCTGAATTCCTTTCCTGTATTATCATACATTTCTTTGAGTTTCCTCAAAACAGCTATTTTGAATTATCTATGGGAAATGTCACTTATTTCTGTTTCTCAAGGATTGGTCCCTAATGCCTTATTTAGTTCATTTGTTGAGGCCATGTTTTCCTGGATGGTGTCATTGCTGGTAGATGTTCTTTGGTGTCTGGGCATTGAAGAGTTGGGTATTTATTGTAGTCATCAATGTCCAGGCTTATCTGTAGCTGTCCTTCTTGGGAAGTCTCTCTGGGTATTTGAAATGACTTGGGTGTTGTGATCTAAACTCCATCTGCTTTAGAGGGTACCCAAAGCCCAGTAATACTGTGGTTCTTGCAGACTTGTAGAGGTACCATACCACCTTAGAAGGTCTTGGACAAGATCTGGGAGAATTCTCTGGATTATCAGGCAAAGACTATTGTTCTCTTCCCTTACAACCTCCCAAACACACAGAATCTCTCTCTCTCTCTCTCTCTCACTGTTCTGAGTTACCTAAAGCTGGGGATGGAGTGACACAAGCACCCCTGTGGCCACCATCACTATAACTGTGCTGAGTCTGATCTGAAGCCAACACAGCACTAAGTCTTGCCCAAGGCCTGCTGTAACCACTCCCAGGCCACCACCTATGTTAGCTCAAGGCCCTGAGACTCGACTATCAGTAGATATTAAAGGCAGCAAGGCTTGTGTCATTCCCTTCAGGATGGCGAGGTCCACCAGGTCCTGGGTGAGTCCAGAAGTACAGTCCAGTAGTCAGGGACTAGAGTCAAAAATTGTAGAAGTCTACCTGGTATTCTATTGTATTGCAGCTGAGCTGGTACTCCAACCACAAGATGCAGTCCTTCCCACTCTTCCCTGTTTTTTTCCAATGGCAGGGGAGCCTCACCCCAGAGTCACCACCACCCCAGGTCACAAAGAGTACTTCCAGAATACTGCCAATATTTCCTTAAGGCCCAAGGTCTCTTAAGTTAGCTTGTCCTGAATGCTGCCTGGCCTGGGACTCACCTTCTGGGAAGTGGGCTCCCGTCTGGCCCAGGGCAGGTCCAGAAATGCCATCTAAGACTTTAGTCCTAGAATCAGGGATTCCAACACGCTGCTTGGTGCTCCACCCTGCTGTGGGCATGCTGATACCTAAAGGTGAAAGATAAAGTCCCCTTTAATTTTTGCTCTGCTTTTCTCAAGCCGAAGGAGTTTTGCCCTGTAGCCACCACAGATGGTAGAATGCTGAGTCTCACCTTAAGCCAGCAAGTTTCAGAGGCTCACAAAGGCCCTTGATGTAGGACTTGGGTATCACTGCTGGTTATTCAGGGTCCAAGGACTCTTTAACTAGCAAGTGATGAATGGTGCCAGGACTGGGTTCTTTTCTTCAAGGCAGCAGATTCTCTTTGGCCCAGGGTATGTCTAGAAATGTCATCTGGGAGCTAGGGCTTGGAACAGGGACCTCACAACTCTGGCTGGTGTCCAGAGTTCTTCTGTGGCTGAACTGGTATCCAAAATGCAAAACAAAGTCCTATCTGCTCTTCCCTTTGCTCCCCTCATGCAGAAGGGAAGAGTCGCTTTTGGAGCTCTGAGGTGTGCAGCCTGAGGTTAGGGGAACTCCCTTGCCGGAACTCCTTTGGCTACCCCAGCTTCTATCTCAGTACGTCATGTGACTCCCTAGTTACCCTTCTCTGGGCCTAGTTCAGCCGTAGGACTCACCTAAGAGTTGCAGTTCTTATGGCCTAGAATGCTTTTCAACTTCACTTGGAGTCACAGAGAGCTGTAGCCCTTGGTGGCTTACTATTCCACCAACTTGCCGCCTATTTTTTGAAGCTTTGAAGTCAGGCATTGATTCCTCTCTAGCTCTAAAACTCCTAGGTGGTCTATTCTTCTAATAGAAAGCTGCTTTATGTACATTGAAAATCTGTTGTTTAGTGTAGCCCCCCTCATTGATTTTCTTAGCTAGATCTTGTGGAAAACTGGCTGCAACTTCTACATCAGCACTTGCTATTACATCTTGAACATTTATGTTATAAAAACAGCTTCTTTCCTTAAACCTCATGAACTAATTTCTCTTAGCTTCAAATTTTCTTTTGTAGCTTCCTTACCTTTCTTGACTTTCCTAGAATTCAATAGAGTTAATACTGGCCCTCAATTAGGTTTTGTCTGAAGGGAATATTGTGGTTTGATCATCTACCCAGATCACTCGAACTTTCTTTATATCAGCAATAAAGCTGTTTTGCTTATTCTTTATGTATTCACGGAAGTAGTACTTTTTAATTTCCTTTAAGAACTTTTTCTTTGCTTTTCTAACTTGGCTAACTGGTGCGAGAGGCCTAATTTGGGCCTTTCTTGGTTTTTGACATGTCTTCCTACCTAAACTTAATCATTTCTAGCTTTTGATTTAAAAGGTGAGATATGCAGCTTTTCCTTTCACTTGGACACTTAGAGGCCCCAGTATGGTTATTAATTGGCCAAATTTCAATATTGTTTTGTCTCAAGGAACAGAGAGACCCTAAGAGAAGGTGAGAAGACAAGCGAAACGGTGGTCAGTAGAGCAGTCAGAACGCACACTCCCGCTATCAATTAAGTTTGCTGTCTTTTATAAGTTTGGTTTGGGATTCCCCAAAACGATTATAATAGCAACATCAAAGATCACTGGTCACAGATCACCAAAATAGATTTAATAATAATCAATATTAAGTTTGAAATATTGTGAGAATTACCAAATTGTGACACAAACACATGATGTGAGCATATGCTGTTGAAAAAATGTTGCTAATAGACTTGCTGGATGCAGGGTTGCCACAAATCTTCAATTTGTTAAAAAAAGACTGTATCTGCAAAGTGCAGTAAAAGGAAGTGCAATATAACAAGGTTTGCCTGTAAATTCATTCAATTCACATCATAATCTAATTTACTCAAGATTGCAAATGTTAATATCTAGTAACACTAGGGATTCTTCTATGATTCTTTATTTGGGTTGGAATTCTATACAATTAACATATTTGGAGTTTACTTCCAGTAGGAGACACCAATGACTATAATGCAGTAACAATTCACATTGTTTGGTGCTTTGTTTTTAATAATAAGAAAAATTGACCTTAGCTCATATTCTGAACAGGACAATTAAGTTGGAAAAGCTATCAATTTGCATAGAGTTTATCTTATAGAAATAATAAAAATAATAATGACTCAGCCTACGTGCAGTGGCTCACTCCTGTAGTGCCAGCACTTTGGGAGGCCAAGGTGGGCGGATCACGAGGTCAGGAGATTGAGACCATCCTGGCCAATATGGTGAAACCCCGACTCTACTAAAAACAAATAAATTAGCTGGGCATGGTGGCGCACACCTGTAGTCCCAGCTACTCAGGAGGCTGAGGCAGGAGAACCGCTTGAACCTGGGAGGAGGAGGTTGCAGTGAGCCAATATCACGCCACTGCACTCCAGCCTGGGCAACAGAGCGAGGCTCCCTCTCAAAAAAGAAGAGAAAAGAAAAGAAAAGAAAAAAAAGAAAAGAAAAGAAAAGAAAAGAAAAGAAAAGAAAAGAAAAGAAATAATAATGACTCAGCAAAATGTTGGGGATATAAAATTATAAACAAGTAAAATAGAATAAGGAAAATAAATCTCTTTCTTTTTATTTAAAATAAATATAAAATAGAAATTTAGATTTTTCTGCTAGTCCATCATTCACTACTTTGCATCATTTTAAAACCCCAGTTATACAAATTAATAGAACTGTGCATGGTTCCAAGTTAAACACACACATTTATGAGAAAAAATGACTGTTCTTAATGTTATACTTCAAGATAGTTTTCAAACTGTCAACTACTGTACATTTCGGGCTAATTTAGATTTATATATAATCCTTAATGAATGCACAAGGATGAAAGAAGTACTCAGTAATTACTTTCTCTAATTATCTATTTTAATTACATTCTAGCTATGTGCAAAAAGAAAGCAATCTAAGAGATCTGTATTTAAGAAAACTAAAATCAAAGGCTTCCTCTATATGAGTGCTTTCTTACAGGTGCCTAGGCAATTATTGCTTTAAGCTCATTAATCTCCCTCTCCCAGCAAAATGAAATTTAACATGCTAATAAGCAAAATCTAATTTTCAAAATAAGTCTATTATAATAGAAATATGGAAGGGTACAAGTCTGCCATTTTCCTAAATATTAAACATTATTTTTCAAGAATGGCTTAAGATATAAGCCTTGTTTTGCAAGGTATAAGCCTTCCATCTTCAATATATGTTTTTTTTAAAAAAAATTGGCTTTCAAAGGAAATCCATAACTGCATTTTGTCTCATCTAATTGATTATATGCTAGTTATCCTTTATAGTTACTTTTGATTTTATTCTAAATAATAAAATACCTTAAATGTATGAATTACTTACTCATATATTTTTAGGAAAACACAAGAATTTTGGATATATATTTAAAATATTAAAGTTATACATTTTACTAACATATACTGGGGTATATTTTGTATAGCAACAGTTATGTACAATTATAATACTTACAGGTTGTGGGATCTCTTAAAATATAATGTTGTCCCTGTCCCTGGAAATATTGTAGCAGAGCCTGGTTAACCTCTTTAAAAACGGTATGTGTACAATTATTGACACAGATGATTTCAGAGATAGCTTTAATAAATATGTATGTCAGTAACAATAATGAAAACAACAAAAACAGCAATAAAACTAACATTGTTGAGCACTTACTTCTTAGCATTGTACTGAGTACTTTACAAACACTGCCTCATCTAGTATCCATGGTTACACAAATAAAGTCTTCGTTGGACTGATTCTTCAAGTAATGAAATTGAAAATGAGGGAAAATCAATAATTTGTTGAAAATCTCACAGATAGTAGAGGTGGGATTCAAATTGAGATAAATGTTTCTCCAAGCCCATGTCCTTTCTCTAACACTATCTATTATTTTCATTAGTTCATATTTCTAGTAATTTCATTTAGTTATATACATATGTGTATATATATATATTTATACACATATGTGTATATATATGCAAATACAATCAAATTACATAAATATATAATATGCAATATTATGCATTTAATTTGGGGGATTCTGGCTTTTTAACATCCGGAAAGGAAGATAAAATAAATTCTTCCACTTTTAAACATTTAAAAATATTTTCTTCTTAAAATTACATTTCAGAAATCTCTCCTTATTCTTTTATGTTTATTAACTAAGGTCTGAAAAACAAGGCTACTTTAAATCACCAGTAACACATAAATTTTTTAAAAAATAGAGATTACATAGTTTAATCATATAATCAATGCTATGCTACATTACTGTTCACATATTTGTACACATCTACATAATTCCTCTATAAATAAAATTCTTAGAAGTAGAATCATTGTACCAAAGATGTATGCATGTGTCAAATATTCGTACATATTGCCAATTCAAATACCCTGAATTTATTCAAAAGTACATGTCAACTGATAACCTTTTTTGCCGTCTTTACCGATCATATGGACAGAAATGGCTTCTATAATATTAAACTGTAGACCTAGTGATGGAAGCCATAAGCTTAGTATGACTAACACCAATCTGCCATTTTATGGTCCTGGATAATTCCACAGAGGAGAAACTCTACCAATATTGGAGCATTCACCTATGGACTGCCATGTGAGAAAGAAATAACGTCAATGTCATATAAGCAATTGAGCATTCCCTCTTATTGGATCTTGACTTAAAGAAGTCCTTTCAGGTTTAGCTCCATTTTGGAGCTTTGGAATATTTCATGGACTCACTGCCTTTGTTTCACTCTGGCATTAACATTTTCTCTCCACACCCTATGAATGATAAGTTTATATGTTCTGGGAGCAGCCTGATCAGTCTCAGCTTTTTACATATTGTTTTTTTCTAAGGCCCATAGGATGCTCTTTTAATGATTTTGAGCATAGTAGTGACTTCAAAAGAATGTTTGCTGTAGTTTATCTAACAGCCTATTATAATATGTTAACAAGTCCTTTAACAACTATGCTCTGCTTTACTGGCCCTTACACATTTTCTCTTTGTCCATTTGTTTTTAAATTATGTATTTTTTGTTAATACTGTAGAGTTTTTGCAGACTAATTAACTTATTTCACTTTATGGGACTACAAACAATGAAACATTCTGTAGCTAATGAACACAAAAAGAGTTTCATGTATTCTCACATGCAATGATTCCTTTTTCTATTTTTATTTTTTTGAGACTTGGTCTCACTCTGTTGCCCAGGCTGGAGTGCAGGAGTGTGAGCATGTAACTGTAGCCTCAAACTCCTGGGCTCAAGCTACTCTCCCACCTCAGCTTCTTGATTCCTTTTTTAATTCTAACACACACACATACATATACACAGAGACACAGAGACATATGTACACACACACACACACACACACATATGTACAGCACCTGTTATTACAAATGCCAATGTTTAACTTAAGATAGTCTATATATTATAAACTAATAGCAAGTATACAGAAAGTTAAAATTAAGAAAGTCTTTTAATTTCTACTTTATGTATTCTGAAATTTTTATTTTATTTTTTGAAATAGAACTTTATCACGTTTTTGATTTAGATAAACACAGATGTTAGTATTTTGAAATAAAAGTTTGTTGCAAACTTATTTTTAATCCAAAATATACAATCATTTGGACAAATTACTTAACATAGTCAAATTCTATTTAACTAAAACAATCATATTTAAAATATTTTAAAATCTTTAAAGCATTGACTTCCATGCACAATACATTTAACGTGTAAGTAATACTACATAATTTGAAATAGATTTGTTGTAAAATCTATTTTTTTTTTTTTTTTGGAGATGGAGTCTTGCCCTGTTGCCCAGATGTGAGTACAGTGGTGAAATCTCGGCTCACTGCAAACTCTGCCTCCTGGGTTCAAGCAATTCTCCTGCCTTAGCCTCCAGACTAGCTGCAATTAACAGGCGTGCACCACTACGCCAGCTAATTTTTGTATTTTTAGTAGAGACGGAGTTTCACCAAGTTGGCCTGGTTGGTCTTGAACTCTTGACCTCAAGAGATCCACCTGCCTCAGCCTCCCAAAGTGCTGGGATTACAGGCATGAGCCACCTCTCTCACCAGTGATAAAAGCTGTTAAGTGTCTACAGATGTTTGAAAAAGAAATGCCTACACAAAGGCAGTTTGCTTTATTTCATTTAAAAAAAAAATTTGGTTTTATCTGCAAAGTAAAAAGCAATATTTAACCAAATAATTGTTCATGAAATTTTTAAAGACTAAGTAATAACATAAATCATAAATTAGTCTACTCATTTTTATTGTATGTATTTAAAATGTACAATATGACGTTTTGCTACATATAAATAGTAAAGTGGTTACTGCATCAAGCAAATTAACATATCCATCATCTCACATTATTATAAATTACTTTAAAATGTAAAGACTAAAACGCCCTTTGTCCTGAGGAATATAATGGCAGCTTGAGGACCTTAGAAATTTTTATATAGAAAATAAGTTGATAAAAGAATATGCAAGTTATAATTAGAGATTATATAAAACATTATGATGTAAATTTATGTTAAAATTGATGATTTGATGGTTTTATAAATAATATATAACTATACATATATATGTATTTGTGTATATGTGTACACATATGCACACAGACACCCAAACAATTACCATGCAACACATATTAACAGGCCTGTCAGTCATCAATCTTCTTTGATTTTTAATAATGTAATCGATAATTCTTATTGTTTAAATGTATTAATATATAATTGCCTTTTACTGCTGTTATTCTTCCACATAGCTTGTTATATTACTGATCTAATGTGTTGCATACACATTATATGCAACAAGAAATTTCTTGTTTTCTAAAGAATTATCTCAAGAATGTATAAAATATTTATAACTTTCTAAATATCTAAATGAATAAACATGTTACAGTATTTTCTTTTTTTCAACCTTCATTAAGGCAGTTATTAAAAACCCAGATCTAACATTATACTTGAGGGTGAGACTGGAGGTTTTCTCTCTCAGATTAGACACAATATATTGTTCTATCACAGTGCTCTCTTTAATTCAAGTGAAATATCCAAATAACAAGCAGAAATAATGACAAACAGTAAAGGGCAATATATGAAAATAATATTTCACATGAGACTATACTCCATAATAAACTTTACATCCTTACAGATTAACCCCAACTCTTTATTAGCAAGAAAATAAGATAAATATTTTTACACCAAAAAAGAGAAGTTTTTCCCATATGAATAAAAGGTGGAATATATAAAATGGGTGAGGATATTCAGAACCTTCCAGATAAGGTGAATAAGAAAAATCTCAACAATAATCAAATACTCATTTTTCAATGGCCTATTAATCACAGAAGAATTAAACAACTATATAAAAATTAAACCTACCTATATATTAGGAATACATTTTAGTTCACTCTAAGATTCAACACACTTTAAAATGGATAGAAAAATACTTTAACTGGCTTAAAAAAAACCACTGCCCGTTAAACTCATACTGTTGATTACGAAGTATCTGAGCAATTCTCACCTCAATGTTCCCTTGCAAAAGCAGTGAAAATTGTAGCGCAGAGACCCTCTTTCATAATGAACCACTGATAAACACAATATATGTGTAACTCATATACTATTTCTTTCATGTTTTGAATTTTCTCAAGCACTATACAATAATTAATTTGTTTCAGGATTTCCATATTACTTACATTTGTAGAATTTCATTCTAGTAGTTTTCATGTGACTTTTAAAATAATTGTTGAAATGGAGAGCTTTTCAGTACTTCCATACTACTTGGGTTTCAGTTAGGTGTGCATTCTTATATTTTCAAGGTCCATCTCTAATATGCATTATCATGTGTCTTTGAATGGATGTGAGAAAATGAAGCATTCCCACATCCCAAAAATTCATAAAGTTTTTCTCCAGAATGGATTATTTTATGTCATCAAACAGAGCTGGAACCACTGAAGACATTACCACATATCTAACATTCTTAGGACTATTCTTCAGTGTGAGTCCTTTTATATTTCCAAGCCACATTTCTTATAGTTGGGGGTGGGTTTCTCCAGCTTGATTCTATTTTAGTAGCATATTTTCGACCATTAATAACATCCTATTATAAGAGGTAAAATATGTTCTTCTTAACTCACATTAAAGAGCCCAAAATGTTCTTCCATAAATGACAGGCTATTTTGTTTTTGTTTTGTTTTATTTTCCCTGATGCAGTGTCAGCCTATTCACATGCTCTTTAGATCCCTCAACTTCCCATAATATCTTCAAACTTACAGAGTTAACTATTGCGACTGTAGTCAAGAAAGGTGACTATAAAGTTGAGGATAAAATGGCCTTTAGAGATGAAAAGGCTCAATTGAATGGGCGTTATTCTCGCACCAGATGATGCATGCGATCAGAATTATCTCCTGATTATTACATGGAAAAAAATCAAAGTCAAACCATGCGACTCTCTCTCCCTCCTTCATTTTCTTTGCCAGATTCCTATTTTGGATGAGAACTATTATTACCTAAACAGAAGAAAAAAAAGTATCTATTTTTGACTTCCAACTAGGAAGATAATACTCCAATTATCATTCTGGATTTTTTGTCTGGAAGCAATTTTAATCTAAGGAAAATGAATTTGTAGACTCTATGAAGATGAGATTTGGGAGAAATACAATTTCCAGAAAATGAAAATATATTTTCTCTTATGATCCTTTTATATAATTGGCTAGTCTGCTGTTTTTCATTGTCAACTAGAGGTAAAATAATGTATGTGTAGCAATAGAAACATAGCATTCATAATATTGACTTAGAGAAAAATATAAGCAAAATATAACCAATAGAGATCTGGCATATTTCTATGCCAGAAAATGCTTGTGTTTCAAAAAAATCAATGCAGAATTATCTACTCATTAAAAGAATTGTAAATGTTTTTGATGCTTTTCAATCAATTAGCATAATTTTTTCAAGGGAATTGTCTTTGTTTATTCTTTGATATTAAACACACAATAGCAATAATGCTTGTTAAAAATCTGTTCAGAATACAAGGGCAAATTTCAAGGTTTTGTACTGAAACAAACTAAAGAAATAAATGCCACAAGTTCTGCAGTTTGCAGGCTTCATAGTGAATTTCATGTGCCCTTCAGCTTTGATCGAGGCAATTGCAATCGATAAATGGAATAGGATCTTGTAGGCAAGGTAACAGACATTTCCCCAATTTCTAAACAATTTCATTGCTTATAGGCTTTCTTTGGAAGGGACATTTCAATTTACACACTAGATCCTACTCAGGAAAGCTGGATGAAGGAAGAAATATTTTAAAAGACCAGAATTCAAGACTATTGGTAGAAGTGTGAAGTGGTTAGATCAGACATAGGAGAGTGGCCCTGCCTTAGAGTGGAAAAGAAGAGCCATAACCACCTGCTATTAAATTTCCCTCTGACTCTTAATGTTGTTCAATCATTTCAAAATTGCTTAGCCCTTTTGATCCTCATTTTTTCCTCTACAACATATGATAATAGAATCTTAGTAGGTTGGGAAAATCAAAAGAAATCATGTTTGTGAAAAGTAAAATTTAAGCTAAAAGGCATGACATATTTTAAAATAATTTTTGTTTGGTCTAACTATGGTGATAATGAATTAATCTGAAAGAAATTACTTTTAAAGGTTTTTAAATAGGAGCCTTTGGAATCGAATCCACCTGGAAAATTTTAACAGAGGGCAACCTAATATTAGTTTTGGAATAGAAAAATAAAATACATACATAATATTGAAACTAAATAGCAGTTAAAAATGAGGTAGATCTTCGCAAACTGAGATTAAATTTTGTCAAAGATATATTATGGTCATAAACACTCTAATTATAGAATATATATATGCTATGGCCACATTCTTATAAAAGTGTATACATTATAAATTTGCTACAGCATTGTGATAGTCACAATGATTGGTATAGTACTACTGACATTTAGTGAGTAGTAACAGGTAATATTAAATATCCCTCAAAAATGCACTACGCAACAGCAAAAGCAGAAAAAATGATCAAATAATGCACAGATTTTAAAACATCTCACTAAGTAGGCTAAAACAAAACAAAACACATGGCTAACACTCATCTGAGATTAGTTTTTAAATTCAATTTGCTTCTGCATAATAAGAAAGTACTTAGCATTATTTTAATGTACTTCTAAAAATTCCGTACACTGTAGAGGCAGTGAGAGTCTCCAGGAAAAGCTCTGCTTAAGGGGACTGGCTTTTGAAGGAGTTAAAAATGTACCACCCTGGCATAAACAGTAAATTAAAAGCACATGAAAAACAGCAGGTGCAAGAAGATCATTCTGACCTTCATGCTATGTCTTAACAGCAGAAGAAATTCGGGGCCGGGTGCAGTGGCTCACTCCTGTAATCCCAGCACTTTGGGAGGCCGAGGTGGGCGGATCACGAGGTCAGGAGATCGAGACCATCCTGGCTAAACTGGTGAAACCCCGTCTCTACTAAAAATACAAAAAATTAGCTGGTTGTGGTGGCGGGCGCCTGTAGTCCCAGCTACTGGGGAGGCTGAGGAAGGAGAATGGCGTGAACCCGGGAGGCGGAGCTTGCAGTGAGCCAAGATCGCACCACGGCACTCCAGCCTGGGCGACAGAGTAAGAGTGCGTCTCAAAAAAAAAACAGAGAAAATTCCCATGTGAAAGATACCGTCCCTATACTAGAGAAAAACATTCTAATCAAGGACGAGAAAGTTGAGACTCAAGCCAACCCTTATCTTTTTAGCTACTTCTAAAGGGTTAGTACACCAACCCTTATCTTTTTAGCTACTTCTCTACCCAGTTAACTGTGTTAACCCAAGGCCCTTTGCCTTATCACATTCTCAAGTTGACTATTTGTCCAATTCAGTAAATAAGTAACTGACTTTGTTTTTTTGGGGTCTTCATTTCTTTATGAGGGCTCCAATGCTACATAAAATTTGTATTAGACTTTTTCTCTATTAATCTATATCTTAGATCAGTGTAATTATTCGACCCATTTGGAACGCTAAGAGCATCGAGGTGAAATTTTGTTTCCTCTACACTTCATTTGTGTGGAAATGGAAAATGGAAAACCTCATGCCAAAGGATGATGTTAAAAAAATGAAATAGCAAAGACTTGGAACCAAGCCAAATGTCCAACAATGATAGACTGGATTAAGAAAATGTGGCACATATACACCATGGAATACTATGCAGCCATAAAAAATGATGAGTTCATGTCCTTTGTAGGGACATGGATGAAGCTGGAAACCATCATTCTCAGCAAACCATTGCAAGGACAAAAAACCAAACACTGCATGTTCTCACTCATAGGTGGGAATTGAACAATGAGAACACGTGGACAAAGGAAGGGGAACATCACACACCGGGGCCTGTTGTGGGGTGGAGGGAGGGGAGAGGGATAGCATTAGGAGATATATCTAATGTTAAATAACGAGTTAATAGGTGCAGCACACCAACATGGCACATGTATACATATGTAACAAACCTGCACGTTGTGCACATGTACCCTAAAACTTAAAGTGTAATAAAAAAAAATGAAAGAGATCTTGTTAAAGAAAAAATAAGAGGGAGTTGGTAGCTCCATAGTAAGTTTAATAGAGAGAAACAAGGAATGAGAAAGTCAAGAATAGGCCTTCTGGAATGAGAGACACCCTGGGATTTAGGGAGCTTGTGCACTAGTTTGTAACATGATCTAGTTTGCACCCACTCAGGAGCAATCAGAGCAAGACGTGGGGTTGACTTGAGTGTATCCACAAGCCACAGACAGACTCATCAACAGAGGATAAAAGATCCACTGACATAAGGGCTTAAATAAAACCACTAATTGAATAAAAAGCTACTGGGAACCATGAGTGATTCTAGACAGTTAGGATTAAAACAAAATTACTTAATTCCTGGCATTCTGGAACACTGCGTGCATCCCAAGACCAAATTCACTTAGGAGTGATGAAATAGGGTGACTTCAAACTAGTGGTGTCTAGCTGAAACTTAGAACATAAAAAGTCACACACAGAGACATACAGACACACACAAACACACACACACACACACACAGAGTCATCTCACAGCAAACAGTAAAATCTAAATAGCTCAGATGCCTTATGTAAACCCTTTGTAAAATAAAATAAACAGCTTAGGCCAACTCAAGAGTGACTGAACCCACTGATTCATGGGAAGTTCAGCTCAAATATAAAAATAAGGGGAAAATAATTTAAGCAGAAATATTGGAGGCTTTCAAATGCAAAGAAAAGGTATTTTACAGGATTAGTTCAGTAAAATCTATAAAGAAACAAACAAACAAATAAAAAGTGACCAAGCAAGAAACAACAACAGCAACCTCTGGGAAGGGACCCTCAGGATATAGAGTTGCCATCCTGTATCATCAGAAATGGCCAGCTTTCTAAAAACAAATAAACAAACAAGTAAGTGTACACATACTTAGAAACCAAAAACAGGAAATAGAATCTGTCTTTGAAGGGGCCCAGATGATGGAACTAAAAGACAAAAACCTTATGTTAGTCAAGGTTCTTCAGAGAAACAAAGCCAGTAGGAGATAGATGATAGGTAGATAATAGATGCATATAGATACATAGATAGTGTCAGGCCTCTGAGCCCAAGCCAAGCCATTGCATCCCCTGTGACTTGCACGTATACATCCAGATGGCCTAAAGTAACTGAAGATCCACAAAAGAAGTAAAAACAGCCTTAACTGATGACATTCCACCATTGTGATTTGTTCCTACCCCACCCTAACTGATCAATGTACTTTGTAATCTCCCCCACCCTTAAGAAGTTTCTTTGTAATTCTCCCCACCCTTGAGAATGTACTTTGTGAGATCCACCCTGACCGCAAAACATTGCTCTTAACTTCACCACCTAACCCAAAACCTATAAGAACTAATGGTAATCCATCTCCCTTCGCTGACTCTCTTTTTCGGACTCAGCCCACCTGCACCCCAGTGAAATAAACAGCCAAGTTTCTCACACAAAGCCTGTTTGGTGGTCTCTTCACATGGACACGCATGAAAGATAGGAAAATATATTATGAGGAACTGGCTCATACAATTATGATGGCTGAGAAGTCCCACAGTCTGCCATCTGCAAGCTTGAGACTCAGGAAAGCTAGTGGTATCTGAGACTACAATGAGAGAGGAGAAAGGAAGAAACTGGTCAGGCAGTCAGTTAGGGTGGGTCCTTGGGTAAATTGTTTTAAACCAAAGAACAGCCTAAAAATTCAAGCTGCAGGCATAGATAAGGGAACTTACACAGAGGGGCTTGCCTAAGACATGCCCACAGCCACATAGATAAGAAAGGCTACACATGTGACTTGCCCAGACATGCCCACAATGGAAAATTCCATCCCTCAACACAGGCACAGTAAGGGGAGCAAAGCAATATGGAGTAACTCAAACTAAGGGCCCATATGCACAACAGATTGGGGTGGAGCTGCCAGAAATTTGCTCCTTATGCAAATGAGATGCCCAGCCCTCATTTGTTGTTTATAAGAGCCTTTGCATTCAACTGTAATAACAGCAACCTTTTTGGGGGTTGCAGCAGAGAGCTTTCTCTCTTTCACTTATTAAACTTCTGCTCTAACCTCACCCTTGGAATGTCCATTTCCTTGATTTCCTCGGCTGTGAGACAAAGAAATTCATGTGGCACTCAGACAACGAGGCTGTTTCAACAGGACTGAGAACCAGAGAAGCTGATGATATAAATCCCAAAAGAGGGCAGGAGAAGACTGAGGTCCTAGTTTATGGAGGCAAGCAGGAAGAAAAAAAGGGCAAATTTCTCATTCCTCCACCTTTTTATTTTATGCAGGCCCTCACAAGATTAAACAATACCCACGCACATTTGGAGGAGATGCATCTAATTTACTGAATGCACTGATTCAGATACTAATTTCATCCAGAAAACTCTCAAAGACACTCATAGAAATAACGATTTTTGGCACTTCCTGTCTCAGTAAAGTTCACCATAAAATCAGCCATCACAAACCCAATGTAGCTACCGTAAATATGTTCAAAAAGTAAACTATGCAAAAAAAAATGCAAGAAGATAAAATGAAAGTATCTTATTAAATACAGAGTATTGATAAAATCATAGAAATTATTATAAATAATGAAATGGAAATTCTGCAGTTGGAAAAATGCAATAACCCAAATTAGACATTCACCAGAGGAATTTAAAAATAGTTTTGAATTGGGAGAATAAAAGAATGATCAAACTTGAAGATAGATCAATAGAGATTATGTAATCTGAAACACCAATCAAAGAACAATTCAAGAAAAATAGTGCCTGAAAGGATGTGATACACATTTATCCCGGAAAATATGTATGAGAAGGGAGAGAAAGAAGAAGAATCAACATAGAGGAATAAGGGCTGAAAGACTTCCAGATCTGATAAAAATTTAATCTGCTCACTCAAGAGGTATGACAAACTCCAAAGAGGATAACCACAAAGAGATCTACATTCAGATACCTCATAATCAAATGTTAAAAGTCAAAGACAGAGAGAAAATCTTTAAAACATCAATGGAGAAATGACTCAGTATGCATGTTTGCATCCCAGTAAGACTGTTGGCTGACTTCTTATCTCAACAATGAATTTCAGAATGGTACAACAGATTCAAAGAGATGAAAGTAGGAAAAGAAAACAAAACAAAACAAAAGAATTGCAAATCAAGAGTCTTATATTCGTGTTTTGCTAATTATAACTAAGTTCCAAAAATTATGAAAAATAAAGACAATTTTAGCTTCACAATCATTGCTTAAAGACATACCTTACAAGAAATTCTAAAGGAAGTTCTTTAAAATAAAAGCGAGACATTAGATTAGAATAAAAAACAATGAGTGCAGGTAAAGCTAATTATGTTGGTAGTTGCAAAAGACTGTATAATTGCATTTTGTTTCCTCTTTTCTTCTCTTTACTGATTTAAAAAGCAATTGTCTCAAAAGTATATGTATGTACTTCACTGCTGAACCTATAACTTTTAGAAATGTAATACATTTGCCAATAACAGCATAAAACAGTTGAGTGAAAAAAAAGCTGTATTGGCACAAACAAATGACACTAGTTAGTAGCTCAAATCCACAAGAAATGAAGAGAGCAAGAAACAGTAAATAAAAGGGTTGCTATAACAAAATCTATAAATATGTCTTTGTTTTTCTTCTTTCGTTAGCCTCTTTAAAATACATAAGGTAATACAAAGTAATATGTATAACCATGTACTGTTAGGTCTATATCAAATATAAACAGTATATATACCAGTAACTGCATAAAAAAGTGGAGAAGGAAATGAACAGTATAGGTGGAATATTTTAACATCTTATTGTAACTAAGTCATTATAAAGCTAGAGTATGATCAGTTAAGATTTATACCATAATCCCTAGTGTATCTGCTAAGAAAAACCTCAAAAACTAAAATATTAATTGAATTAAAATGTTGGAAAATATTTAATGCAAAAGGATGCAAGAAAGAACAAATGGAGAAACTAAAAAATAGAAGATATATAAAAAACAAAAAGCTAAATGTAAAATATAAATGAAATCCTATCAATTACAGCGTATGAATGGATTAAATAATCCAATCGAAAGTGAAGACTGTCAGGCTGAATTAAGTAAGATTCAACTATAGGCTTTCTAAAGAAGATGTATTTGAAATTCAAATAACACAAATAGGTTGAAAGTAAAAGTATTAAAAAGAAAATACTCTGCAAACATCATAAAAAGAGCCAGAAAAGCTGTCAGACAACATAGTCTTTAAAGAAAAAAATATTACTAGAGGGACATTTCCTAATTATAAAGGGTCAATCCATCGGAAAGATGTAACAATCATTAACATATATGTACTTAACAACAAATCTACAAAAGACATAAAATAGAAACTGAAAGAATTGAAGTAAAAATTAGACATTGCAACAATGATACAGTAATGTGTCACTTAATGATGGGAATATGTTCTGAGAAATGTGTCATTAGGTGATTTTGTTTTCATGTGAACATCATAGGGTATACTTACAAAAACCTCAATGATACAGCTTCCTACTCACCTTAGCTTTAAGGCCTATGCTATTGCTCCTAGGTTACAAACCTGTATAGCATGTTACTTGTATGAAATACTATGGACATCTGTAACACAATGGTAAGCATTTGTGTATCTAAACATATATAAACATAGAAAAGGTAAAAAAAAAGTACTTTATATTATGGTTTTAATTTGCACTTTCCTGATAGCTAATGAAGTGTAATTTACATAACATTTTTTGTGAAATGTCTGTTCAAGACTTTAGCCATTTTTTTTTGCCTCATAGTTAATTATTCATTATATTCTAGATTCTTCATTCAACTCAATCATTACATATATTTGTATATTGTGAATATTTCCTCTCCCTTTTAAGGAGTGACTTTCTTTTAAAATCTCTCTCTTTCTTTCTCTGTCTCTCACTCTCCTTCTCCAGTGTTGTTTTTCAAATATATTTTTGATTTAGATGAAGTCCAATTGATCATTTTAAGAAGTGTTTGTATTCTTTGTAAAATTGTCATATTGGCTCATCTAAAGGTCAGAAATATTTTTTCCAGGAATTTTTAGAGTTCTAGATTTCAAAGTTAAATGATCTCTTCAACTCTAATACACAAATTAATTTGATTAATTATTTTTATTAATTACTATTTTAGTATTATATTAATATAATTAATTATACTATGCAACCATCATGTTTTCTAATACTATATTATATTATTGTATTATAATAATTATAATTAATTATTAATTGGAATACTAAATTATTAGTTATAATACTACATCTTATAAAACTATATATTATATTATGATAATTATAATTATATTATATTGATTATATTTATTAATTATAATAAGGCTGTGGTATGAGGTAACATTCAAGTTTTATTTTTTATTATTGATAGTCACTTGCTTCAAGACAATTTATTGAAAATACACTCTTTTGTATGTTAAATGCTTTCATAGCTCTATAAAAAACAAATTGGTTATATATATGTATATAACATCTATTACTAGACAAGCTGTTTCCAAATTTATTGAAGAAATGCAAAGCAACAAAGCCGAAATAAACTGTAAAACAAGATTTTTAAAAATACATACAGGGCATATATTTTTTATATTGATATATTTATAAATCCATATCTATATATTTATATATTATATTCTGTAAAACGCACCAATCACCAGGAGTCTAAAAGTAGCCAATTGCAGTGATACATATCTATATATCGATATAAAATATCTATATATTTTTTTATATAGGGTATATATACATACACATATACCAACTCCTGGGTATATATATACACACACATATACCCCTCCCGGGTATATACACACACACACGCACACACACACAAACACACATGCACACACATATACCCCCTCCAGGGTATATATATATATATATATATACACACACACACACACAAACACACACATATAACCCCTCCTGGGTGTGTGTCTGCATATATATATGTATATATACCCACTCCCAGTTGTATATATGCATATATACCCACTCCCTGGTGTGTGTGTGTGTGTGTGTGTGTGTGTGTGTGTATATATATATATACACATATATATACACACACACACATATATATATATATATATACACATATATATATACACACACACACACATATATATATATATATATATATACCCCTACCCCTCTTGGGTATATATATATATTCCCTCCCCCAGGTATATATATACCCACTACTGGGTATATATATACCCACTCCCGGCTGTATATACCCACTCTCGGGTGTATATATATATACCCACTCCCGGGTGTATATATATATACCCACTCCCGGGTGTATATATATATATATATACACATACACATACCCACTGCCGGGTATATATACATCCCAACCCCACGTATATATATGTATAACCCCTCCTGGGTATGTGTGTGTGTGTGTATATATATATATATATATATATATATATATACACACACACACACATAACCCACTCCCATTATATATATATTATACCTGCCCCCATATATATATATACACACACATATACCCACTCCCAGGCATATATAGATATATATATCTATATATACCCACTTCCAGGTATACATATACATACCCACTCCCAGGTATACATATACATATATATATATATATATATATATATATATATACACACACACACACACACACACTCTGGTGTTTATATATATATATACACACACACACACTCTCAGGTATGTGTGTATATATATATATATATATATATATATATACCCACTCCTGGGTGTATATTTATATACCAACTCCAGGGTGTATATCTACATATATACCCCCTCCAATACCCACTCCCAGGTGTGTATATGTGTGTGTGTGTGTGTATATATGTACACACACACACATATATATATACACACACACATATATACCTACTCTCGGATACATATATATGCACACACTCCTGAGTGTGTATGTATATATATATACACCCACTCCCGGGTATATAAAAATATATACACACACCCCTCCTAGGTATGTATATATACCCCCTGCCAGGTATATATATATACACATATATATATGCACCCTTCCAGGTATATATATATACACACACCCTCTTGGGTGTGTATGTATATATATATACACCCTCCCGCATATATATATATATATATATACACACCCTCCCGCTTGTATGTATATATTTATATACACCTGGATATATGTGTGTGTGTGTGTGTGTGTATATACACACACCCTCGCTGTATATATCTATATATGCACCCTCCTGGGTATATATATATATATATATATACGTGTGTGTGTGTGTGTGTGTGTGTGTGTGTGTGTGTATATACATCCTCTTGTCTATATATATACACACACTCCCACATATATATGTGCATATATGGATATATACACCATTCCAAGTGTGTGTGTGTGTATACACCCTTCTGCATATAAATTTATAAATATATACACACACACAGACACATACACACCCCCTCCCAGGTATATATACACACACACACCCCTCCTGGGTATATGTATGTATCTGGGTATATATATATATATATATATATATATATATATATATCTGGGTATATATATATATCTGGGTATATATATATATCTGGGTATATATATATATATCTGGGTATATATATATACATATATATATATATATATATATCTGGGTATATATATATATAGGCTCTACTTCTTCCATTGGCATATTTACCTTTTCTGTCACCAATATACCACTTTCTTAATTATTGTACTATTATAATAAGTTGTGAAATCAGACGTTAATGTCCTCCAAGTTTTTCATTTTTAAAATCTTTTCTGGCCAGGTGCGGTGACCCACATCTGTTATCCCAGCACTTTGGGAAGCCAAGACGGGTAGATAACCAGGTCAGGAGTTCAAGACCAGCCCGACCAATAAGACAAAACCCCATCTTTACTAAAAGTACAAAAATTTGCTGAGCATGGTGGTGCTATTCGGGGGGCTGAATCGTAAGAATCACTTGAACCCGGGAGGCAGAGGTTGCAGTGAGCTGAGATTGCTCCGCTGCACTCTAGCCTGGGAGACAGAGCGAGACTTCATATATATATAAAAAAAAACTTGTTCTACAGTTTATTTTGGCTTTGTTGCTTTGCATTTCTTCAATAAGTTTGTAAATAGCTTGTCAATATCTAAAGCGAAGCTATAAAAATTGTTGAAATTTTCTTTTGATTGACTCTATATACTAATGGAGATGTATGACTTTTTAATAATATTGAATCTTTCCACCCATGATTCTACGATATAACTTAGCTTCTAAAAGTCACCTTCAATTATTTCCTAAAATGTTTTATAATTTTTAGCATATAATACCTATAACAATAGCTATCTTTCTATCTATCAACTGTTATCTATTACCTTTCTATCTAAACTTACTTGTATTTTAAGCAATTTGATGATATTTTAAATGGCATTGTGCTCTTAATTTTATTTTCCATTTTTTTGGTAGTATGTAGGGAATGCAATATGTGCCTTGTAGTACACGGGCTTGAAAAACTTACATATGAATTTCATTAATTGTGGCAGATTCCTTACTATTTTCTGTGTATCTAACCGTTTTATGTCTGAATACAGTTATTTCTTCCTTTCAATTCTTATACGTATTTTTGCCTTATTTAATTGGCTACAGTCCATAATTATGTTGCTGAATAGAAGTGATGATAATAAACCTTATTGCCTTTGTTCTCATTTCAGGAGAACTTCAAGCTGTCATTCACCATTAAATGTGGTATTAGCTGTTTTTCATTGATTCCCTTTCTCAAACTGAGGAAATTTTCTTCTCTTTCTAATTTGCTGAATGGTTTAAATAATACATTTTGTCAAGATGTTTTTCTTCATCTATGGGAATAATGATATGTTTTCTTCTCTATTAGGTTACTGGCGTAAATTGCATTGATTGATTTTTCAAACGAAATTTCAATACAGCACATAGTTAAGTCTTGCTTTTTACATAAAAGCTGCCAATCTCTGTCTTTTATACTTGGTTTATGTTTAAATACCATCTAAAAACATTTATACCTTGCCCTTTCCACGTTTGTGTGTTCTGTTTTTTCTCTTTCCTGTCTTGAGTTAATTAAATACTTCTAAATATTTTCCA
The DNA here is from genome assembly GCF_000001405.40 of Homo sapiens. Classification (NCBI taxonomy): domain Eukaryota; kingdom Metazoa; phylum Chordata; class Mammalia; order Primates; family Hominidae; genus Homo; species Homo sapiens. Next base: position 20,585,282 of record NC_000021.9, on the reverse strand, counting down.
TTTATTTTCTCTATTTGCTTTCTAGCAATACTGCTTTATATTTTGTTTGGGAAGTCACTGCTCCTGAAATCTAAATAGGCATCTTCTACAAGTGTCTGCTAAGAATTAATATTGTACCACTTCAGGTAAATCATAACAAAATGAGAAAAATATGACTCCCTTTACCTCTGCCCAACATTTATGTTATTGTTCCTGTATATTTTTCTTCTACATATAGTAAAATATGTTAAACTGTGTCCAGACTTGGTTCCTTCCGGTGTGTGTTCGTGGTCTCGCTGACTTCAAGGATGGAGCCGCAGACCTTGGAAATGAGTGTTACAGCTCTTAAAGACTGCATGGACCCAAAGAGTGAGTGGCAGCAAGATTTGCTGTGAAGAGCCAAAGAACAAAGCGTCGACAGCGTAGAAGGGGACCTGAGTGGGTTGCCACTGCTGGCTGGGGTGGCCAGCTTTTATTCCCTTATTTGTCCCCTCCCACGTTCTATTTTTTGTTTGTTTGTTTGTTTGTTTTTGAGATGGAGTCTTGCTCTGTTTCCCAGGCTGGAGTGCAGTGGCGCGATCTCGGCTCACTGCAAGCTCAACCTCCCGGGTTCATGCCATTCTCCTGCCTCAGCCTCCAGAGTAGCTGGGACTACAGGCACCCGCCACCACGCCCGGCTAATTTTTTGTATTTTCAGTAGAGATGGGGTTTCACCATGTTAGCCAGGATGGTCTCGATCTCCTGACCTCATGATCCACCCGCCTCGGCCTCCCAAAGTGCTGGTATTACAGGTGTGAGCCACCGCACCCAACCTCCATGTTCCGTTTTTGTCCTATCAGAGTGCCTGTTTTTCAATCCTCCCTGCGATTGGCTACTTTTAGACTCCTGCTGATAGGTGCGTTGTACAGAATGCTGATTGGTGCCGTTTACAGAGCGGTGATTGGTGCATTTTACAATCCTCTTGTAAGACAGAAAAGTTCTCCAAGTTACCACTTGACTCAGGAAGTCCAGGTGGCTTCTCCTCTCAAAACGAAATAAAGTCATTTTATCTTTTTTTTTTTTTTTTTTTGCTTTAAACTGATGGCAGTCATTTAAGAGAATAAGAGAAGAAAACAATTGTGAGGGTTCTGTATATAATTAAGGTTACAAACTTTAAGATAGGGAGCTTATTCCGGCGGGCCCAATCTAATCACGTGAGATTTTAAACACAGAACTTTCTCCACATGTAGGCAGGCAAGTTGTGCTGAAGAGGAGGTAAGATTCAAAATTTGAAAAAAGCTTACAACACTTTCGCTGAGAAACTTCTCTTAGACCAAAATCAGGGGCCAATATGGGATTCACCTCTTTCTATGTATTTCTCTCAAATATCACATCCTGTCCTGCTCCTACCTGCTGTAAAATACTGAAAAATCTTTACCTCCTATATTCTGTAGTTTCATAGATGTTCATGATTACTCCATCATAGCTAGACACAAAAATTCTAACATAGCATGATAGAAAAAATACATATTGTTTGCTTAACAAATAAATATATAGGCATATATATTAATAGACTTTCCATCTTTTTTCAGCATGATAATGTGATATTTGATTATTGTCTTACTCTAAACTTTAAAGAAAGTTTTCCTGTATAAACAATGACACTTTTTGACAATATTTTTCCACAAGTACAATGGTAACTGAAGAAATTTTGAATTTAGCATCTTGAGTCACTTCAGTAACTTCATCTAAAAAAAGCAATGATTTCACAGTTTAGTTCTTCTTTACTTTACAATAATGATTTTGTAAGTTTTCTGACCTTCTGTTTTTACATATAGCTCAGAAAAAACTCCAATCAATGTGATAAAGGCTTGTGTTACATAAAGCAATAAGCATGTTAAGTATTTACATAACTGCTCCTACGTTTGTCAATTCTTTCTTTTTTTTTTTTTTTTTTTTTTTTTTTTGAGATGGAGTTTTGCTTTTGTCACCCAGGCTGGAGTGCAGTGGTGCGATTGGTTCACTGCAACCTCCGCCTCCCAGGTTCAAGGGATTCTCCTGCCTCGGCTTCCTGAGTAGCTGGGATTACAGGCATGCGCCACCACGCCCAGCTAACTTTTGTATTTTTAGTAGAGACGGGGTTTCACCATGTTGGCCAGGCTGGTCTTGAATTCCTGACCTCAGGTGATCCGCCCGCCTTGGCCTCCCAAAGTTCTGGGATTATAGGAGCGAGCCACCGCACCCAGTCTGGCAATTCTTTTTAAGACATAAAAATATTTTTCTAATGTTTAATAAGTTTTTTCCCATTTTAGGTGTTTAAAAATATTTAAACAGCAGTACTTTCTCAATTATAATTTGATCTTGTTATTTTATTAGCTAGTATATTTACATTTTCTGGAAAAATATGTTAATATAGCCTTTTATCCTCTATGTTTTAGGAAGTTAATTCAAGGACATTGATTATGCTGCATTATAACATAAAAGTTAGAATTAACTGGTAGCAGCTCAAAACAAACACAATACAAAAACCATAGGTACATTTGAGTCTCTAACTGCTAATCAAAATTTTCTTTGCTCTGTTTTTGTGAGCACCCAGATATTTCCTAGTTGTCCTTGCAGTTGGCTTCATTGCAAGGCTAATCGAAATGACCATATAAACATCTTGTAATCAAAGGAATTCAAGCAAAAGTTATATTTTGTATTTGGAGGCAAAGCCTTTTATAGCAGAGCTGTGCTGCCTCCGTGCTTTCTTTCTATTTCAACACCTAGGAAAATGAGGACGCAGGTGTTGGCCAGGCTGAAAGATGAAAGAACTAATCCTTCTGTCTCACAAGGCATGTTAAAGGTATCCATCATTGCCTTGAAAACGTATATCATCTTTGGAGTAGTCAGTCTTTTCTTTCATAGAAGCACTCACTGCTTCCCCTCTTGTGTCATTGTTTCCGCATTTGTAATCTAACGTAATCTTTTTAGACATAGAGGTTTTTATGTGGGAGGAAAAAAATCCCAAAATATTTTAGAGGTTTTTTTCTGAAAGGACAGTTGTCTCCTATTTGAATTTGTCATAAGTTGTCATTGAATTTGAGAGATGAATACTAGAAGGAGAGTCTCTTTTGCTAGTAAAAGAAACATGTTTCCATTTAAAATATAACTCCTACTTGTTCTTAGAAAAATATCCAATACATTTTTAAAAAATTTCAAAAAAGTTATACATGTCAGAGACATACTTACAATATCAAATTCCAACGTATGATGTTAGAATTTAGTGGCGTATAAGTTTGTTTTAATATAGAGCAAAGGAATGTAATAGATATAATAATGTTTATCTAACAAAAAACAGCTGTTTGAATAGAACATGCAAGGGAAATTAGTGAAAAGGCTACCTCACAAATACAGCCATGCATATAGCTTGTAATGGAGCATTCTTTCTGTTGCATATAGATATGAAGATTTTTACATAACCCCAAACCTCTCTTTAAATTGCTAGAGTTAATTCTTTCATTATTAAATTTCAAATGTATTAAGATGTTTGATTTGGGAAATATTTTTCTGCAAGTAAAATATGGTGGTAAATAGTTTGAGTATCTCTACATAAATCTTTTCTATTTGCTATATGTGTCTTTTAAAGCACAAGCCTTTCAGAGAGAGAAGCACTAAATTAGTATGCAGTAATTGGCATGTTTACCTCTATTGAATTCATTCTACTCAAACTCTGCTAATTTCATATCATCATAGTTTATGAGAGTCTGAGGGGACCTCAGAGATCAATTTGTGATTCCTATTCCCTTTAGTACCGATCAACAGACTGAGGCTCAGAGAAATTAAATGATTTTTCACAGGCCTCACAGCTTCTTAGCAACAGAGCTGGTACTGAAACTCAGGTTATATTTAATTTAATTTTAAGTGCTATGATTACATTTTTTCCCTAATTAGATATCCTTTGTATAATCACAGGCTTTTTTTTTTTTTTTGGCTAAGAAATAACTATGTGCTCTTTATTTCTTCCATATAAACATGGCAGTTAGATATGATTTAAAAAGGTAACCGTGTATCCTTTAAAGATTTTTTACTTTTTTTATACTTTTAATAATTGTATCTACTGCTTTCATACTCATGGTGCTATATGAAAGTACTCTTCTTATTCTACTTGCATATCTGTATAAACATAACAATAATCTTAAAATCTTCCAACATCTGTTTGGAAGAACGATTAAAATAGTCTTTTAATGAAAAGACTGGTTATAATGTTATTTTACAGTATAGCACTGGGTACTTATAAATAAGGGCCTATGCTAGGGCTGTTGATATAATGGGACTGTGGAGTCTAAAGTAATTCCATCTTGGATGCTAATTTGCTATACTGATGTCTAATTAACCCTAGTTTAAGGAAGGTCTAAGATATCTAGCTTACCTATTGTTCCTTAGGTAAAAGCAGGTATGCAAATCCTGCCCTTAGGTCAAAACAACCTTGATTTTATCATACTTCAATTGCACTACATATCTCTTCTTAATCATGTATGCCCTTTCTCTATGGTATAGAAGCCCTGAGTCTGGGGGCTGATGGCACAAGAATTCATCATCTTGTCTCACTGCTGCCCAAGACACAGACATGGCTTTTTTCAATGTTTCTTTCTGAGAAACTGGGTATGTCAACCTCTTTCTTCCCTGTCCTCTTAGCTTCCTTGGACTTCGGGGTAGGTTTGCACAGGCCTGCCACCAGTGGAACAGGGATCAATGTGAGTTTATATCATCTGGCCTAAAAGCCCTAGTGAAAAATGTAAAACATGATATTGTAATGTATTTAGCATGTAGTTTATAAGAACTTGCTCTTAAACTATACTTGAATCCTGGCTCTTCCCCTTAACTGTCAGGGAGGCTTTGGGAAGTGTCTTTTTCTCTCTGTACTCGTTTTCTTACTTATAAAATGGAAATGATAGCAAGTCCAATCTCACAGTATGCTTGGTGTTAAATCAGTTGGTATATGCAATGATTTCAGCAAACTACCTGGCTTGTGGTAAGTGCCAATAAATAAAATCTTTTAAAATTTGTCATTAGTTATAGCAATCTAAAATAGTACTTTTTGTTAATGAATATAGAATATAATGGCAAAGCTGTTTTATTGCTGCAAATATGAATATTATGTTCATGGGAAAAACATTAAATCATGTCAACTTTTCCATTGTCAGTGAAGCTTTCTTTAAAGAGGAACACAAAAAGTCACTCCATTTGTACACATATTTTAAATGGTATGTTTCTAATTTAAAACTTAAAGCCAGAGATCAACCGGAGAAGTAAAGGGACTTGTCAAATACCTCAGAATCATGATGGTGTACATGTTTCCCAATTCTGATTCTCTACCCTGAAACAGTATTAGACTGTGTGTGTGTGTGTGTATTAGTTTTACATGAAGTGCTTTTTCTTTTCCAATTTTGCAAAGACTGTCCTATTTTCTCCCAGATCCTATAGAACTGACAACATTTCACTGCCATAGCATTTATACCTTCCCATTGTAACTGTTGACTTCTTTGTTCATCTTACATAACTATAAATGTTTTAAGAAATATGACTGTCTTGGCCAGGGATGGTGGCTCACACCTGTAATCTCAACACTTTGGGAGGCCGAGGCAAATGGATCACCTGAGGTCAGGAGTTTGAGGCCAGCCTGGCCAACATGGTGAAACCCCGTCTCTACTAAAAATACAAAAATTAGCTGGGCGTGGTGTCATGCCACTGTAATCCCAGCTACTCAGAAGGCTGAGGCAGGAGTATCTCTTGAACCCGGGAGGTGGAGGTTGCAGTGAGCTGAGATCCCACCACTGCACTCCAGTCTGAGAAACAAGAGCAAAACTCCGACTCAAGAAAAGAAAAAAGAAAAAATAAAAGAAATATGACTGTCTTATTTCTCACATCACCTGTTGCTAATATAATGTCAATAAATGTTGAACAAGTATTCAATTCCAGTTGACCCTAATGCATTTCACAAGAACTTCCTGTATTTACTTCCATAAGTACCTGACAATTTTACATCCATACTTTTCTGACTAAAAAGAGGAGAGCTAATTTGGATTGTTTCTTATGTAAGCCATTCAAATGTTTGCATGTTTTCCCATTTTGGTTGATTATGAAACTGTGTCATATAAAATCATCTCAAATATATGATGTATATCTCATTGTCCCATCTTCTAAGTATAATGATTAACATTTAGATAAGTCTATAGGTGTAAAAATATATATATCAGTTTTTTCTGGATGTAGTTGAAATTACGTTTTGAAAGTAAACTTGTCAATATGTAAAAATAAGTACTCACAGCCACATATTTTACATCTTAATAGTAACTCATTTTGCTTTCTTACTGAAAGTGCATAACTTTAGAAAATGATTTTACCTAAGCTGAACTCCAGTGCTAATTCCCATTGTCAGTTATAACACAATATTCCCTCAACTCTGTTTCAAACTCAGAAGCAAGAGAGCAAGAACATTTTTTCAGAGGTTAACTTTAAAAAAAAAATTTGTCAATATGATCTGTGTGTAATCTCAATCGTAATATCAAGAATTAATGGACATTCCAAGTGATTTCTAACTCCACGTGATATAGAATGAAGTGTTTTGTTTTACGCAGACATTTCTTCAGTACACTCTTTCAAATGAAAATATTTCAAATATTTCTCTTATAAATGGATAATTTAAAGAGGAAGGTTTACTACATCATAGAAGACAGTGTAGTAATTCTTCAAAGATCTAGAACCGGAAATATCCTTTGACCCAGCAATGCCATTACTAGGTATATATCCAAAGGAATATAAATCATTTTATTGCAAAGATACATGCATGCATATGTTCAATGCCGCACTATACATGATAGTAAAGACATAGAATCAACTCAAATACTCGTTGATGATAGACTGGATAAAGAAAATGTGGTACGTACATGCCACGGAATACTATGCAGCCATAAAAAAGAGCAATATCATGTCCTTTTCAGGGACATGGATGAAGTTGGAAGCCATTATTCTTAGCAAGCTAACACAGGAACAGAAAACCAAACCCCACATGGTCTCACTTATAATTGGGAGCTGAACAATGAGATCACAGGGACACAGGGAGGGGAACAACACACACTGGGGCCTGTTGGGGGATGGTAGGGAAAGGGAGAGCATTAGGAAAAATAGCTAAAGCATGTTGGGCTTAATACCTAGGCGATGGGTTGATAGGTGCAGCAAACCACCATGGCATACGTTTACCTGTGTAACAAAACTGCACATCTTGCGCATGTATCTTGGAACTTAAAATAAAAATAAAAATTATAAAAAAAGAAACAACAACAAAAAAGAAGAAGGTTTAGAAAGAATCCCCGATGAGTAGATAATCTTGATGAGCATACGATCCCTCTCACTGATATAAGACAGGTGTATACACTCCACAGCCACACTCTGTTTCTGTATATTTATCTAACATTCATTCATTCACAGTGCTCAACTCTGGATATACTCTGGATTTAGTTCAATTATAATTTCATGATATGCCACAAAAGAGTTCCATTTTGGAAGGATTTTAATTTTTCACAAATGAGATAGTCTTCACATATGTTTCTACTTGCTTAATATATTTTTTTCTGACATTTGCTCTTCTTTGTGGATATAATTGTTCTTAAAGGAATAAACTTATTTTTTAGTTATTTTTATGGAATATTAAATGACTTTGATGAGTTTCTAAGTCATCTAAAATTCTAAAAAAAGAATTTTTAGAATTACAGTAAGTCCACTTGGAAATTTCAACAGACAATCTTGATGGTTTAACTTATCATTTTTATTATAAAATACTGTAATTTTAAACATTTATTAACATTTTACTTTTAACTCTTATGCTCCTTCTTTTAAACTCATTCTCATTCCCAAGTGACACTGCATTCTGAAAATGTTTTGCTAACAGTACTTTAATTTTTAGCTTGATTTACTCTAGTAAGTATTAAACATTTCCATGACATACTTTTTTTTTTTTTTTGAGACAGAGTCTCACTCCTTTATCCAGGCTGGAGTACAATGGCATAATCTCAACTCACAGCAACCTCTGCCTCCCGGGTTCAGGTGATTCTCTCACCCCAGCCTCCTGAGTAGCTGGGATTACAGGTGCGAGCCACCATGCCTGGCTAATTTTTGTATTTTTAGTTGAGTCGGTGTTTCACCACGTTGGCCAGGCTGGTCTCGAACTCCTGACCTTAGGTGATCTGCCCACCTTGGCCTCCCAAGGTTCTGGGATTGCAGGCACCATGATACACTTAATATTAACACTGTTAGTTTTTCTGGAACTTCTTTCTCACCATGATTGGTATTACCTAATTGTAAATGGTTCACACTTCGCTGAAATCCTTTCCATTAACAGTGCCCTATTACGTCTTTGAGCAAACATTTCACATTAATGAGTAGGAAAACTTCACTAACATAAAAAATAGGGCTGATTTGAGCCTTAAGTAAAATATAATTTAATAAAGAAAATCACACCTATTAATGTAATTAATAAAGCAATGTTTTTCTGGAATATAGGAGTTAATTACATACATTTTGCTTTGATATAGGACATAAAAACTTAAAATATGTAAGATTTTTGAGTAGTGAAATTTCATATTTCATATCATTACTATAGAAATAAAAGATTTATTGCAATCTAGAAGTGAACAGCAAAAATTATACTCAGGAAAATTAGTAGATAAATGATATCTCATAGCTGAGAGAAGTCTTGAAGTGATGAAAGCAATTCCAAGGAAACATTGTCCAATTCTGAGAATACTTTTCATTTCTCCACTTCCAAATCTATGTATATTCAAGAATTTTCCAAATCTGGTGTTAGCGCCATAAGGTTTAGAAATGTGGCTTTAGGAATTATATCTCCATCGTTTGCTTACTGGGAGGTACTTCATTTGTGGGAAGGAAGATGGTCTATTGCTAAATATGCCCTCAAATGACAGCTACCACTTATTGATATTAATGTGTGCTAGACGCTTATGCTAATTACTTTGCCTATGTTATCTTAATCTTGATAATAAATCTGCCCATAGGTATTATTATTTCTATTTTGCAGGTAATATATCTGAGGCTTAGCCATTTGACTACTTTGCAGAAGATTATGAGATAAATACACAGAGGAGACATAATTTAAACCACATTAGAGTCCATGAAAAGTCCTCAAATATTTGTCAAAATATAGCACTTTAAGCCAAAATGTTTGGGTTTATATGAATATTTCTAAGGATTAAAATACAAAACTGTTAAAGATACATCAGTAAAAGTATGTACTCTTCATTTCTACGTTTATGTTTATTTCACTTAATTCTTTGTGATCAAATACTAAAATAATTACATTTTTTAAACATTGACAAATTTCTACCTTAATTGCAAGTAAACCTGTAATCAAACCAGTTGTCACCATTTTAAGCTACTCCTGGTAATATCATTATTAATAACTATGCAGTTTGAAACAATGACCACTTTTAAGTACATTGTGTATATGTGTGTGTCAATGTGTTTTAGTTTACTTTACAATTAAATTAAAATGAACGTAAGGATGTTTGGCAAAGAAGCAAGTTTACGTAAGCACTTGGAAGTTCTTTGACATAATGTGCGTGTCATTGTACATTCAACTCTTAACACATACAGGTGCTCAATAAATAATTATTAAATGAATGCAAATAATAAATGGAGAAAAGCATTAAGCTTATATCTTTTCTGTGTTTTTTTAGCATTAACCTTTACATCAAGAGGGTAGGTTTAGGGACCATGTTTTGAGACATTTTTATGGAAGAGGGCAATGGGAACCTGAATGGTTCTCTCTCAAGACTCGGGGCAAAGGATGAATTATGATAGTGAGAAGAAACAAAGAGGTCCCATATAAAGTACCTGAGAAAGGAATACGTGAAAACAAAGCTAATTTTGTAGTGTTTTTGTTTGCTTGTTTGTTTGTTTGTTTTTTGAGATGGAGTTTCTCTCTGTCACCCAGGCTGGAATGCAGTGGTGTGATCTTGGCTCACTGGAACCTCCGACTTCCGGGTTCAAGCGATTCTCCTGCCTCAGCCTCCTGAGTGGCTGGGATTACAAGTGTCTGCCACCATGCCGGGCTAATTTTTTGTATTTTTAGTAGAGACGGAGTTTTGCCATGCTGGGCAGGCTGGTCTTGAGCTCCTGACCTCAGGTGATCTGCCTACCTCAGCCTCTCAAAGTTTTGGGATTACAGGCGTGAGCCACTGCACCTGACCAATTTTGTAGTTTTTAACCCACAAGAAGTCTTTATTTCTTCACTCAGGCTTATTTTTCCCTTAGTATTCATCAAGTAATAAGAAGTGGACAACATACATTTACACTGAATATTTAAACACCAGCATATGTATGACTTTTCTCATTGAGGCTAGTTGCTGCATTGAATATAACTTCTAATAATGGCCATTTTCTTTTTGAGAAATTGGGCTTATCATACAATTTAGACTTGAAACTTATGTAAGTTTTTTATGGGCCATGGTATGCCATTTAAAATAAATTAGTACTAGAAAGAAAAAATATAACACTGTTAAATTAACTTCTTGTTGTTTGTGATATTAGTTGCCTCCCAAATATCAGTTGCATTTCCAGATATAATGTAAGCAACAAAAAACACACTAACAATGACTAAAATAATTCCCACTGGGGAACAATGGTTGCGTTTGTATATTGTTGGGCATTTATTTCAGTCAGCGTGGCAACCACCGTGATGAATTTAGTTTCAAACAATGGATCCATACTGCTGCCAACACAATTCCAGCGATTTATTCTAGAATTCAAGTCTCTATGGAGCATCGCGCTTCGTTCCCAGGAGACCATCATCGTTCCGCTGTCCTTGAACTCTGACTCTCCTTGTCTCTCATGTAACACTAGTCAATGAAATAACAATTGTGTTAAGAAGGAACTTGGGCTCCTTGGTTCCTTAGTCAATATAGTAATTGCCCAGATAAATCTGTTGCCCTCCGAAGCAATTTCTTCATGCATGACAGGTTCAGTGGCCTCTTCAGAGACAAAATCAATAAGAATTCAAAAATACACTATTTAATAAGTTCAGAATCATATAGTTAAAATGGCTTATAATTTAGATAATTTTTCCTTTGTTTGTTCATTAACACATAAACACACACCCAGACACACACATAAAAACACTGCAATTTTATTTGATATATATAAAACAGTGAAAACAATGCAATAGACAGAGTCCATACCTTGAAAGGACATAAATAATTTTTCTTTTAGTTAGTCGACTCATATATATTTTAAGTTTTAATAAATTTTTATCTCTTTGTTTGTCTATTTTATTATTTTTCTCTTATTTCTTATCTCTCAGCCTTCAGTGTTCTGTACATATAAAAACAGAAAAGAAAATGTGTAAATGGCCACAGAAATTTTGATATTTTTTTCCTGAGGCAGTATCGTAGTTCTTTGGATATTAAAGCTATTAATGATTTGGAAAGATATTTTCAATCCCAAGTGTAATGGATACTACTTTGCTATATAAAATTCCTTAGATTCAAAATTTTCTGATTTGCTGGAGACATAGGCTTATAAAAAATAAGATCAGCTAACATTACAAATTGTTATTCATTTAAAAATCAACACTTGTGCAATTAGACTGAAAAGCTTATTAATATATTTTTACAAGGAATATTTTTCAAGAAACATTATTATTAAACACCTCACGAACTATTCTATTTAGTCTACCCTTTGGTTTTCAAACTTACATATATTCTTCCTTTATATTCTTTTATTGTTTCTGCATAAAGTTCTATGTGCTAGAATTTTAATAAGCAATGATTGTCACATAAAACCATATAAATTTATGTTCAATCTTAATGTACATTTAAGTGAAAAAAGTTCAAAGACATCAATTTTGTAAATCTTAATTAGGTTATTCTTACAGTCAAAGTGATTATAATAATATCAATTATGTACTAAGTGTCAACACACATGTTAACATTTATATGTGCAAAGACATTTGTGTGTGTGTGTGCTTGTATGTGTTATTGTTATAACATTGACAGTTATGTGGCTTTTATTACATGCCAGGTATTGCTATACTCACTTTACGGAAATTGAGTTATTTAGTCTTCACTAGAACCTTCTGAGTTAACAAAAGGAAACTTAGGCGCAGAGAGGTTAAATACATTAACCAAAGTAACACAAAAGATAAATAGTGAGTTAGGATTCAATTCTAGGCAATTTGGCTATAGAGACCACTAAGGGCATAGAAAAAGTAAACATTTAATAGTTGAAGTTTTTGGTTGATAGGGTTAGGTTTGATTTATTAGTTGAATTATTTGATATCTTTATATTTTTGAATTGTATATATGTTTTACAAAAAGACTCCTTGTTGAAAAGAGCCCCTAATCATAGAATTTAAATGCTTGAAGTAATCTTATTTTAAACATGAAGATTTATTTTCACAGTTTTATATAATGCATACGTAATTCAATTCACCCATTTAAATTATACAGTTCAATGTACTTTAGTATATTCACAAGATTGTGCAATCATCACTATAATTTTTAAAAGTTCTTATCACTCATAAAAGAAACGGAGTACTCATTAGCAATCAATGCTCATTCTTGTTATCACCTTCTCCAAACCCAGTCCCGAATTCCACGAACCTACTTTCTATCTCTATGAATTTCCCCATTCAGAACATTTCATACAAAGCAATTGATACATATTTAGTCTTCTGAGTATGACTTCTATTGTTTAGTGTAATGTCTTCAAGATTCATCTATGTTTTCTATGTTTTCATATGTACCCATGATTACTGTTATTCCAGATAATATTCCATTGGACGAAAATACCTTTTATCTATTCATCACTTAATATACCTTTGGGTTTGTTTTTTTTTTTTTTTACATTTTGGCTAAATAGTGCTACTTTGAACATTTGTATACAATTTTTTGTAAACATATTTTTAAAATTATCTTCAATACATACACCTAAGTGTGATATTGCTGGGTCATATGGTAATTTTATGTTCAAGTAATTTAAATAAATTCAAATAATTCTATTTGAGGAACTGCCAAAGTGTCTTCTGAAGTCCTGCGCCATTGACCTTTCTATCAGCAATACGTAAGGATTCATATTTCTCTATATCCTTGTCATTACTTGTTATTGCCTGTTTTTTTTTGCTGATAGCCATATTAGTGTATGAGAAGTGGTATTCTCTTGGAATTTTTATTTGAATATCCATAAGGATAAATGATTTTTTAATGTATTTATTGGTCATGGTTATATATTCTTTGGTGAAATATTTATTCAAATAATTAATTCATTTGTATACTTAGTTCATTTGTCATTTTTATTGTTAAGTTGTCGGAGTTCCATACATAATCTAGATAGTAGACTCTTGATCCGGCATACCATTTGCAAAAAAAAGTCTTCTATTACTTGAGTAGTCTTTTCACTTTCCAAGTGTTTTTAGAAGTACGATATTTGTAAATTATAATGAAGTCCAACTGATTTTGTATTATAATGTTGTATCCTATAATTGTGATAAACTTGTTTATTAGCATTGTTTTATGAATTCCCTAGGGTTTTTCTACATACAAGATCATGTAATCTGCAAATAAAGATAGTTTTACATATTTGCTTCTACCTTAATGAATTTTATTTGTTTGTCTTGCTTAATTTTCCTGGCTAGAACCACCAATGCAAATTTGAAAACAAATGGCAAGAGCAGACATCCTTGTTCTCTCCCTGATTTTAGGGAGAGAGTTTTGAGTCTTTTACAATTGATTATGATGTTAGGTGTGCGATTTTTTATATGACCCTGGACTGAGGAAGTGTCATTCTATTTCTAGTTTGTTGAGTGTTTTTTTTTCTTTTTAATGAAAATGTGCTGGATTTTTCAAATGTTATTTCTACTTCAATTGAAATGATAAAGCATTTCTATCCTTTATTTTATTAAACTGGTGTATTACATGTATTTATTTTTTTTAAAAAAAGTTGAACCTCTCATGTATTCTGGAGATAAAACCCATGTATTCATAGGGTATAAGTCTTTCAATATATTGATAAAATTGGTTTATTAATATTTCATTAGGAACTTTTGCATCTATATACTTAAGTACAGGGAGTTTGAGATTTCAGGGCTGATCAAGGAAATGGATAAGATCACAAGGAGGCAGTAGCACACAATTTTTCCTTGGATGGTACTTTTGACTGGCTTGCCTTGGAGGGTAAGTCCCTCACAGCATGAGTCCTTTCAGACACAAAAGTGCAAGGCCACCACTGGGAAGGAGAAGAAGGAAAACGTACCTCAGAGACAAGGGAACAGGCAGGGCCTTACATGTTAAAGTGATGACATGGATCAGCATGATGGGAGTCTCTGAGTCAGAGAACTCCTAAGAGCAGCAGCGCTCCTGGTCTTTTATGGCCTCAGGGGTTTTCTTATCTATGGATAGCAGATTTGGGGTGTAGTTTTTTGGAGTGTGCAAAACAGATAGACTCTAAATGGGTAAAAATCTGCTTATTGAGGTTATATGTAAAGCAACTGGACAGGTAAAAACTTGAATTTGTTGCCAGTGGATTTTGAATTAACTAATGGTCCCAACTGGCTTTAAAAAAGCAACATATGCCCAAGTCTTATTTCTATAACAATATCAGTTGACATTTTTGTTTTCTTTTGATGTGCTTGTTGCATTTGTGTATCAGAGTGATACTGGCCTGACACACTTAGAAAACGTTTCTTCCTTCTATATGGTTTGAAATAGTTTGAGAAAGTTTGCTGTTAATTTTCTTGAAATGTTTGGTAGAATTCTCTCTTTTCCTGTTTTTTTTTGTGAGAAGTTTTTGATTACTAATTTAATGTCTTTACTTTTTAAAGCTATTTTCAGATTTTGTATTTCTTTAAGTTACTTTTAATATTTTGTGTCCAGGCCTTATCCATTTCATCTAGTTATCTAATTTTCTGATACTCAATTGTTCATAATATTTCCATGTAACCATTTTTATTTCTATATGGCCAATAATAATGTTTTCTTTTTCATGTATGATTTTATAAATTTGAATCTTTCTTTTTTCTTGATCAGTTTTCCTAGATATTCATTAATTTTGTTGATCTTCCAACAACTTTAGTTTTGTTGATTTTTTTCTATTATGTTTCTTTTCTGTATTTCATTTATTTTATTATTTAATAAAATTTTTATTTTCTTCCTTATACCTGCGCTGATTTTCTTGCCCTATCTTTTTCCCGGTGAAACACAAGGTTATTGATTTCAGATTGTTTTTCTTTTTTAACAGTGGAATTTACTGCTACACATTTCCCTCTAAGCATTGTTTTAGCTAAATCCCTTTATATTTAGTTTTTATTTTATTTTGTTTTTGAATTTCATGTTGTGTTTTTATTTTCACTTATCTCAAAGTATTCTCTAATGTCCCTTGTGATTTCTTCTTTGATCTATTGGTTACTTAGGAGTTAACTGTTTAGTTTCACTTATCTGTGAGTTTACTAAATTCCTTCCCCTTGCTGTTTTCCAGCTTAATTCCACTATGATCATAGAATACACTCTTTTTTAATTTATTGAAGCTAATGTTATACTCAAACACAAAGTCTATCCTACAGAACATTCCGTATACACTTAGATAAATGTGTATTCTGGTGTGGTCTTGTGTTGGACTCTTCATCCTTTGCACTGTTATTGTCAGATAAAATCCATCTGTAAACATTATAAGCCTATCAATAAACTTTTATAATAATTGCTCATGCAGTTGTATTTACAATGTAGAGAAGAAGTAGTTACACTAGAAAATATTTGTATTGTCTTTTTTAATACCTATGAAGATGGCTTTATTGATGCTCTTTATTTATCCACATGGACTTGAGTTACTGTCTGGTTTACTTTTATTGCAGCCAAAAGAACTCCCTTGTCTAGCCAGGAGTGGTGGCTTATGCCAGTAATCCCAGCACTTTGGAAGCCTGAGGCGGGTGGATCATATAAGGTCAGGAGTTTGAGACCAACCTGAGCAATATGGTGAAACCCTGTCTCTACTAAAAATACAAAAATTAGCCGGGGGTGGTGGTGGGCACCTGTAACCCCAGCTACTTGGGAGACTGAGGCAGGGGAATCACTTATACCTGGAGGCAGAGGTGGCAGTGAGCTGAGATTGCTCCACTGCACTCCAGCCTGGGCAACAGATCAAGATTCCATCTAAAATTAAAAAAAGAACTCCCTTGTCTATTTCTTGTATGAAAAGTCTCTTGGCAACACATTTTCTCCATTTTTGTGTATCTGAAAACGTTTTAATATATCCTTCATTTTTTCGAAGAAGAAGAATTTAGTTGTATCCTAAATGTTGGCTTGACATTATTTTTATTCAATATTTTGAAAGTATCATTCCATTGTATTTTGTCCTACGGTTTCTCAAGAAAAATCAGTTCACAGTCTTACTGGAGTTCTCTCATATTCGTGAGTAATTTTAGTCTTGCTGTCTTAAAAATGTTCTTGTCTTTGTCTTTAAAAATTTGAGCATGGGGAGTATGAGTAGATCTATTTGTTTTTATCCTCCTTGGAACACACTGAATTTCTTGAATATGTAGGTTTATATTTCATATCAAATATAGGTAGTTTTCCATCACAATCTGTACGCCTTCCTCTTCACCTTCTGGGATTCTCCTTATGCATATATTGGTACAGTCAATATGTCCCACAGTTCTGTGAGGCTGTATTTATGTTTCATCACTTTCTTTCTGCTCCTCAGCCAGGATAAATTCTATTGATCTAATTTTATGTTTACTGATTCTTTCTTCTAGCTCAAATCTGCCATTGAGTTCCTCTAGTGATCACTCATTTTTTAAATTAACTATTGTACAATTTTTATTTGGCTCATTTTTGTAATTTCTGTTTATTGATATTCCCCACTTGGTGATAGAAACACTTCCATACTTTCTTTTATTTTTTCATTTTTTAAATGTTTTCCTTTATTCTTTAAACACATTTATATTGGTGATTTAAATTATTTGACTGTTAACTCCAAAATCTGGGGAACTTTCCATAGAGAAACTGTCAATTATCTGCTTTTCTCCCTGCAGATTTACACAATTTCCTATTTATTTGCATACTACATAATTTATTTTTAAAAACTAGACATTGTCAATTTTAAATAATGTATTGCAACAACCATTATTTATTCCTCCATCCTCAGAGTTTATTTTTGTCCTGGTTGCTGAGTGTTTGTTTAACAACTTTTCTGGAATAATGTGTATTCTCTGTATTGTGTGATCATTGAGATCTCTGCTACTCTTCTTAAAGTATTTTTTTTTTTTTTTTTAGTTTACCATCCTTGCATTCCCATCTGGGAAGTATGATATATTAGCTGGCTGATGATTGGCCAGATTTCTTTAAATGCCTTGATGATATGTTCTTCACCCTTTGACAAGGGGACCAAGAAGACACGCATTCAAACTGTAGACACTTTACAATACAGCCTTAGATTTTACTTCCTACTTTTGCAGCCAGAAGTCAGTGCCTGGTGCCTTTCTCTTTCCTGGGTCTTCCTTGGGTATGTGTACAGTCTGGTACATGCATTCTACATTTTAGATTGACAAAGCTATGGTGGCACTTTTCAAAATTCAAGTCCTTATAGATTTGCAATTTGACTGCTTAGTGATACCAGGATAGATAAATGATAAATCCGAGAAGATAAATAGTTTAACAATATTAGAGGTAGAGTGAGCTGGAGCTGAATACTGAAATAGATATCTAAACACTCTTTCTCCCAAATCTAAAATACTTCATGCAGTAGGTAAAAAAAGTTTATTACTAATTATTACCTTAAATATATTTACTTGATAGCTTCCCTAATAGTCAGTGGAAAGATAGATGCCATATTTTTTTCTGAAAATAAAAAAGCTTTCCATTAAATGGGGGTAAAAATGTAAAGCTGATGTCTGAAATATTAACAACAGAGTCAAGTAAATAATCACCGACAAAGACAATTAATTTTTACTGATGCTTTATTGGTATTTCAATAAAACCTGCTAACAAGATGTAAAATATAAGCCTATTGATTATAACATCTTACTATTAAGGGAAGTTGTCAGACCACTTAACTATTACTTTTGGACCCTAAATTATCATTCGTAATATCTGGACATCATTTTTAATGATGATGTAGAATTAATTTTTTAGATGTAAGATAAGTAATAATCAAATCTAATCCTAAGCCCCCAAACTTGTTAAGAACAGTTTCTAAGAACATATTAAGTTTAAGCTGTTTTAAACAAATTCAAAATATTCTTTAGAATTTTATTCTAATTAGATTAAAAATACATAACTCTTTGGGGCACAGTGACAATTGCTTGTAGTCCCAACTACTTGGGGTGCTGAGGTGGGAGGATTGCTTGAGCCCAGGAGTTCAATTCCAGCCTGGGCAACAAAACAAGATCATCCCTCTTAAAAATTACTTTTAGGGACATACTCTTAACCATAGCCTGTTTTGCTAAGTAGAGATCATTATTAAAGGAAATTATTCAAGAAAAACTATTAATTGCATTTCCATGAAGCAAAATAATAATATGCTCAAAGTATTAAAATAACCCTTTGCTGATGTTGCATGACAGGTAAAAGGGATCTTATAACCCTGAGAAAGTTATAAAATAAATGTTATAGATTTATTCTAAAGAATGATTTATTTATTTATGATTTATTTTAAATAATTAAATCATAAATGATTTATTTTAAATAATTACATCATAAATGATTTATTCTAAAGAATAAATCTATGGCACAAGTAAAATAAAGTCTGAAATAGTAAGAAGGAGCATTTTTCATAAATATTAAAATTTAAATAACTTGAATTAATACCTCTATGATATATTTAATCCAGCAATATAAAATTAGAATACCAAATGTAATTGGGAGGAGACACATGCATGAGCATGCACATACATGCATGCACATCCGAAGTGTGAAATATCGGTTGGGCGTGGTGGCTCACACCTGTAATCCCAGCACTTTGGGAGGTCGAGGCAGGCGGATCACCTAAAGTCAGGAGTTTCAGACCCTCCTGGCCAACATGGTGAAACCCCGTCTCTACTAAAAACACAAAAATTAACTGGGCGTGGTGTTGCACTCCTGTAATCCCAGCTACTTGGGAGACTGAGGCAGGAGAAATCACTTGTATCCAGGAGGCGGAGGTTGCAGTAAGCTGAGATCATGCCACTGCACTCCAGCCAGGGCAACAGAGTGAGACTCAGTCTCAAAAAAGAAAAAAAAGTGTAAAACATCAGTCATTTCAATGAATAACATTTTACAGAACCAACATCTGAAATTGGGTAGAGTGTTTACTTATCATCAGACTATATAAATATACTTTGGTAACATTTTGGGGAAATAAACTGAATAAATTGGAAATGTTTTCATGGTTCAATAAGCATGTTTTTGTCATCAATAGTATTTTTATAGATCTATAAAGTATGAAATACTTCAGTTAACATTTTAGAACTAAAAAAATACATTAACATTGAAGAGATATAAAATGGAGATATGTACTTAAAGTTGTACATACTTTGACTTCTTCACGCACTTTAAAACAAGATAAATTGATGGCTCAAACATCTTTTAAAATGAAATTTTGAAACAATGTATTTTATTTTCAGGTTATGCAGGAAAATGGATAGATTATCTCCTTTTTAGAAGTTATATTTTTATGAATTGAAAAAATAAGTGTACATTTATGACAGCCGGCAGAATTATAAACAGTATGTATAATGATGAAATCCAATGTATGCGAGACATGGAGTCCAATTCTAATTAAGTAAATTCTCTAAAATGTAAATTAATTGTGTTTACCACCAAAACACCATCTGCTTCTAATAACTGAAAATTGTTAAGTAAATGGAAGAGTTGTATTATGCTGAAAAATATCTGTCTTTTATTTCACAGTAGAAAAAGCGAAACAACAATCTCAACTGTTGGGCACATTATAATAGGGCTTTTCTCATCACTTAAAAATTGCGAGATATATAATCATTTCTATCTAGTTATGTAACTATGGATATGTGTGTATGCATATTTGCTTATATCTGTATTCCTTTCCATGTTTATGAATCAAATGCATTTTGTTCTACTGGTGAGAAAGACAATTTATCAAATAAGTATTGTTTTTCATATATTCTCTGATTTTTTTACCTTTATATGATAAAATCTGGATTAAATGGACCAAGAGCATATCAGTACTGAATTTCCTATGAAAAAACTACCAGAAAGCTTATAGACTAACTAAATATTGAATTACATAATTTTGACAGTTATCAATTGGTAAAGTAAGAAATACTCATAAAATAAAGCTTAGTTATATGTATTCATTTTGATCTCTACAAAATGAAATAATAAAGTACGTGAGGATGAATATCATTATCATGATTTTTTTCTTTTTGCCTCAATATATCTAGAGCTTACCACTTCTAAACCTATTAATATATTCTCAATAGGAAAGCCATATAATTTGTTTTGCAGTATCCTGGATACACTTCTGCTACTCAAATTGTTTTGCCATAATTGTTTAACAAGTCTGTGGAGTATTATCTTGATAACAACTCTAAGTAAAACTTTTCTTAAATTGAAATGGAAAATATGTTGCACTGCCTTTGCTCCCTTTCTTTTCTCCTTCCATCAGTTGGCTGTTAATACATTAAATTCCACCCAGAGGAATTTAAATTAAGAAATTTTATGATTTTAAAAAGCAGGTAATCTCATGGTAATGTTTAAAAGAGCTTGTATTTTATAATCTGTTAAAATTGTAAAATATAGTTTCTCAAAAATTTTGTCTCTATGCATTTCAAAAATTAGAGCAACTGAGTACTATACACAGAATACATTTAATTAGTTGATATTAAAATAATGCTTTTTGAGCCAGTTAGTTAAATTGACAAGTAATGACGGAACATAACACCCAACATCACTCCTTTATTTATTTCATTCTTTTTCTCCTGCTTCTGTGTTTGCTTTTATTTTCCTACAGCCTCCTAAATTTTGTCATTTTCATTGAGACCTTATGTATCTCCTCCATCTTATTAAGAAAAAAAAAGATATGATATAGAAACAGCGTTTGATGGGAATTCAGGAAAATCATATATGTCTACTAATAGTTTCAAAGACATAGTGCCTATAAAACCCTGGGTATAAAGTTACAATAAAAATGAATTACATTTGACTAACAGTTTTACATGAGATAAAACCTGTTTAATAGTGAGAAGTGAGAGGAGGGGAAAAATTTTAATTGTTGGCTGATGTGAGTCATTTGATAACACAAAACCCAGGGTAGAATCAGGGACAGAAAAGGAACCAACCTGTGGAAGTATTTTAGTATGATTTGCATGAATTAAACTATGACAGCTGTGTAATCAAGCTGATTATACTTTTCTTCAACACTGTGTGTTCTGAGCCAGTAAAACATATCAGAGTCTGCCACGGATGTTACAGATGGCCTCAAATTATTGCTACTTCTCCCATTAAGAGGTGGAGTCTAATTCTACTCCCTTTGAATCTGGGTTTGCCTTGTTTACTTGATTAATTGAATTTGTGGAAAAGGACATTCTGAGATTTCCAAAGCTACTTTATAAGAAGCCTTGTAGGCTGGGCACAGTGGCTCACGCCTGTTATCCCAGCACTTTGGGAGGCCAAGGTGGGTGGATCTGGAGGTCAGGAGATCGAGACCGTCCTGGCCAATATGGTGAAACCCCGTCTCTACTAAAAATACAAAAATTAGCCGGGCGTGGTGGCGGGCACCTATGGTCCCAGCTACTTAGGAGGCTGAGGCAGGAGAATGGCGTGAACCCAGGAGGCAGAGCTTGCAGTGAGCCGAGATCGTGCCACTGCACTCCAGCCTGGGCGACTGAGCAAGACTCCGTCTCAAAAACAAACAAAAAACAAACAAACAAAAACAAACAAACAAAAAAACCAGAAGCCTTGGAGCTTCTACCCAAGCCTCTTGGAATGCTGCTGCTGGGAGAACCTTGTCATGATGTAAAGAGTCCAACAACCTTGAGACTTGTACCGTTCAAAGACAAAAAGTTGCCCAGTCAACCTCCACTTGTCCAGCTAGCCTAGCCCAGATGTCAGACATGTGATTGAAGAAGACATTTTGGATCAACAAACAGCCAAAACTAAGACTTCATATCTATGGTCCTCAGTAAGCCATGACAGTCATTTCCACTTGTTTGAACCACCTAAGCTCAGTCATTGTGGAACCGAGCTGAGTCCTCTCTGTGGTGGTTTGCACAGATTTCTGGTCCATAAAATCGCCAACATATTACAATGGTTGTTACTAGGTTGATGCAAAGCAGTTGCGGTTTCCACCATTAAAAATAGTGGCAAAAACTGCAATTCCTTTTGCACCAACCTTCTCCTAGGAGGTCCTATTTTTGTGGTTTCTTAGGCACTATAGATACGCAAAGTAACATCTAATAGAAACAATCTGGTGAATAACAATGACACCCAAAAATTCGTCTGTCGTGCATGTTGAACAGCGGTGAAATGGACAATATTAACGCTGATTTTCTCTGGCCAAAGGGTGAGTGTATCAATTTGTATGGCCTGTATATGTCTGCGTGTGTTGAGTGGAATGGATATCAAATTGTATTGCACAGGGAACCAGGAATTCTATTTTATCCTCCATGTAGGAAATGTTGTCGTTTTGTCCCCAATTACTGTGTTACTAGTTCCTCAATTTAAAACCTTCAGTATGAACTACAAGGACAGATGTTTAAAAGGCAGCTACTAAGAAAATATAAAGCTCAAAATAGAGTATTTCATGGAATCGTATGAAAATCAGGCAGCATGTCACGGAATGTGCAATACATTCTTGCCTTACATATATTTAGCATTTGTAATTTTGCCTATACTTGGTACAACTTGTAATAATAAGAATTGAATGGAGGCATACATGTTTCCAGACTCTTGTAGGGGAGATTATCTTTTAATTGGATGACCAATGATTTGACAGACCTGTATCCATATGGATAATATTTTTCAGTCCCTTTATTGGTTGTTTTCTCTGGCATGCTCTGTAATTACATTCTGGGGAAGAATGTAAAAGCCGCCTCAAGAGAGCAGAAGATATGAAAAAGAAATATGTGAATGAGAGTAGGGTAAATTAAGAAGTTTGGGTTCAGTGGGGCTTGTTTCTTCCTCTGCCTTCAGGAATGCACCTGAGGGCAGAGGGCCCTGGGCTATAGAAACATTTGGAATAATTTTCTGCCTGTGGCAATATCACCAAAAGGAGAGAATTTAGAAAATGTTCTCTTTTTCACAGTGAGTAAGAGGGTGGTTCTGAAATATAGTAGGATGTTACACATTCTGCAAGGCATGAAACGATCTGGCACAAGGAATACTTAGTCTGCCCAAAACACCAGTAGATGGTGCTTTCTCACCCAGCAGCCTGGTTTAAAAGAAAGTCTGGGTAAAAGCCTATGACTCAGAGAGAGACCCTGTATTCTCGCTCTCCCAACGTTGAGTCTTGAGTTCAAAACCTTGACTCTACTACTTATTTTCTAGTTAACTTATGTAAACCATTCAACCTTTCTATGCTCCATTTTCCTTTTTCTTCAAGTAAGGTTTAACTGTGTTTTGTTGTAGTTGTTGTTATTGTTTTTTTATAAGACAGGGTCTCACTCTGTTGCCCACGTTTGAGTGCAGTGTTACAATCACGGTCCACTGAGGCCTTGACCTCCCGCGCTCAAGCGATCCTCCCACCTCAGCCTTCCCAGTAGCTGGGACTACAGGCGCACAACACCATGCCCAACTAATTTTTTACTTTTTGTAGAGACAGGATTTAGGGGGTTTCACCATGTTGCCCAGGCTGGTCATGAACTCCTGAGCTCAGGTGATCCACCTGCCACGGCCTTCCAAAGTTCTGGGATTACAGGCTGGAGCCTGGCCTAGTAGGGTTCAATTGTAATTGTTTCAAAGAATTGTTTGAGCATATTTAAACATATTGAAAATGAAATACTTATATATATTACACACATAGCTGCTGCTCCCATGTCAAAATAGTACTTCTAAACGGATCCCTCTCATAACCTCAAGGAGTTTCCCTTTTGCCCCTGCTTGAAACTTCTCAGCAGATGACCCAATATCTCATGACTTAGTATCAAACCTCCCCAAATTCCTCTCTTCCACATCCAAATGGATATTATTTTTTATCTGTCTTTATGCTGCTATCATAAAGACAAATATTATTTCAACTATGGGCAAATTAAATCTCTTCTACACATGGTTTTCATTATAAAGAATCTTGTATTCTTTAACCATTTATTTCAACAATTCTTACTACTTCCATATTTGTATATCCAATTACTCATTTTCCAATATTTTTTTTTTTTTCTTTTTTAAGACATTGCCTTGCTCTGTCACCCAGGCTGGAGTACAGTAGCTTGATTATAGCCATGTCAGCCTTGAACTCTGGGACTCAAAGGACTCTTCTCTCTCAGCCTCTCAAGTAGCTGGGACTACAGGTGTGTGTCACCACCCTCAGATAATGTTTATTTTTTGTAGAGACAGGGTCTCTCCATGTTGCCCAGGCTGGTCTCAAACTCTTGGGCTTAAGTGATGCTCCCATCTATACCATCTCAAAGTGCTGGGATTACAGGCATGAGACACTGTGGACAGACTTTAAAAAAAATAAACGTACATATAAAATCATTCAGGAATTTTACTTTATAAAATGTTCTATTTTGACCATATTATCTCCTTGAACTATTATGTTATTTCTATTCTCTCCACTAAAAATTCTAAAAAGCTATTATTTGAAAAAACAATCTATAATTCCTAGCTCCTTTTTCCTTATATACATTTCAATATAGCACTGCCTTGATAATCCCAAGGAAGCTATAATTGAAACAATTATACCTTTTAGGGGTCTTTCAATTTACCTTTTCCAAAATTGCTTCTGGTATCTTTTATGAGCATAATTTACGTTTTTTATTCTCCCCCATATATTTTAAACCTATTTTAATATTTAATTTTAATACAAATATTGGCATATTTGAATACGTATCTAACATACACAAATATTGTATTGGTTTCACCTATTTTGTATTCATTTTAAATTCTTTCTCTTCATCTTTTAATACATCTTCATTTTTATATACACACACATAAAATCATTCATAAAAATAATTACAAGGTAATGTATAGGCAGCCTCAATTTTCAGTTTCCTAGCAATCTTTTTTTTCTGGAAGATCTGCATTCTATCATATATCATTTCCCTTCTTTCTGAAGATTCTCATTGACCATTTTTTGTAGTTCCTGTCTGTTGAGTGCAAAATCTCTGAGGCATTTTTGTTTGAAAATGCTTTTGTTTTAGCTTCATTTGAAAGGATTGTCCCACTAGATAGATAGTTCTGGGTTGACAGATTACAAAATAATCTTTTAGAACTCTAAATATGTTATTTTGTTAAATTTTAGTCTCCATTACTTCTAAGAAGTCAGCCGTA
Source organism: Homo sapiens (assembly GCF_000001405.40). Classification (NCBI taxonomy): domain Eukaryota; kingdom Metazoa; phylum Chordata; class Mammalia; order Primates; family Hominidae; genus Homo; species Homo sapiens. Next base: position 20,559,840 of record NC_000021.9, on the reverse strand, counting down.
TGACAGTGTTGCACTGTATGTAATATTCCCTCTAGCTCCTGGCCAATTTTCAGTTTTCTCTTTGATTTCCTGGGGTAGACTTTAAGAGGAAGGGCATTGAGGTCTGATGGCCTGGGTTTGAGTACCAGGTGTGAAATTTCTACACTCTGTAATATTAGCAGATTATTTGGCTCTCAACTGTTGAGTGCTTCTATCTAAAAAGTAGGAGTAATAATAATAAATCACAGCATATTAATAATTAAATGAGGAAATATGTATGAATGTCCTGAACAATGTAAGACACGTATTAAATAATCTGTGAATGATAATTATCAATACTTACACAAGTGTTTACTCATATATATTGTACACTATGCAGATTGTAAGCTGTTTGAGATTTAAAAATAACATGTGTTATGGATGGATAAAGAAAATATGGCAAATACACATCACGGAATACTCTGCAGCCATAAAAAAGAATGAAACCACGTCCTTTGCAGCAGCAACTTGGATGCAGCTGGAGGCTATTATTCCAAGTGACTTGACACAGGAACAGGAAATCAAATACACCATGTTCTCATCTTTATGTCTACGGCTACCCAATGCTAACCTCACTTATAAGTGGATGTTTCAAGGAGTACATGTGCAGGTTTGTTAATATGGGTCTATTACACGACACTGAGTTTTGGAGGCACTTATAAGTTGAAAGTTAGCCTTGGGTATCCATAGACATAAAGATGAGAACAATAGACACTGAGAACTACTAAACAGGGAATAGATGAAGGAGGACAAGAGCTGAAAAACTACCTATTGGATACTATGCTCACTATGTGGGTGACAGGATTATTTGTGCCTCCAAAACTCAGTGTTATGCAATATACCCATATTAACAAACCTGCACATGTATTCCTTGAATCTAAAATAAAAGTCCAAATTATATTTTTTAAAAAGTACCCATTTTTTCCTGTTTTATCAGTGCCTGAAATTTTTCTCATTTATTAGTATTTATAGAGAGCGTAAATTTAGAAATTATTTGTGAATTTTTGTCCATTGATATTTATTTTGTCAAACCTTATTTTGAGACGTATGTGTCCTTATGTGTATTCCATTTCTGTGTTTAGTTTTAGTGGAAATATTCTTTTCCTGGTTGATTTTCAAGGTTCATATGCTAGAAAAGAGTTACTCACAAGAGAAGGAGCAAAAATCTTCAATAAATATTGATTACCTTAGTTAACAATGATAATTTTGTACCTATTGTATCTTAGGCATTACTTAAATGCTGGCAACCTACTACTAAATTAGAGAAAGCATTTAAATTAAATTATGTAGAGTTTTTTTCATTGTAAGAGGTGGAAAAAGCAACAATAATGAAAGCTTGTAGAGAGGGGTGTCAAAATTTGTTCATGACAACTCTGATATGTGGAGAAAATAGCATTTTCAACTTGTTATAACCTGTTATGTCGATTTCTTCAGAAACTACAATTGGATGGTTAATTGGATTCCAGCATGCTGCTGCATAACCAGAATGGAGATGGAAACGCCCTGTTTTCATTAGTGACATTTATCACAGATACTAATTTAAACAGTCTTTGTATATAAGGCTTTGTTTCATTAAAGTATCCAGACTCTCAGCTACATATCCCTCTCTAACACTTGCACCTGCTTCTCTCCTTCACATAAGTGTTGGGTGCTTGGCAAAGAGAGGGCCCCTGGCTCTGCAAAATGTCTTTGCCTCGTTCACTGGGTCTGTAATACTCAGTGCAAGCTGAAATCCATGTTTGACTGAACTCATAATTTAAGTTGTCTTTTCCAGTTGATTCAAAACCTGGCAACTTTTGCTTACTGATTTGGCTTCATCTGCCCTGACAGAAGCAGATCCTGAATTTCTGCTGTGTTCTCCAACCAACTTGCTGATGCTACTGTCCCCCAGTAGCACCTGTTTATTGTCTAACTCAACCTAAAATAGTGGTCCACTCAGGAGATCCACCAACTCTCACACAGTACCCATCTGAGATGGGTTCCCTGAAGCCATGGCAAGGTGTCTTCATGTACTCATAGATTTCACGCTTGCACTCTTTGGGTCTCAATTTGCATCATCCATTTGACTGGCCCATGTTCTAGGCATGGACAGCACGGTCTGACGTTGACATTTTCCTCAGAATTGTAAAAGAGTTATAATTATTAATATCAATGCACCCCCTAACTTGCAAAATCTAAACTCAGAAAGAAAAAATAAGAAAGAAAAAAAATATATATATACACATATATATGTGTAAATTTTAAAAAACCTGCTTATTATGTTTCTCTGCTTCTCTCTTTCCAAATCCTCCACAGGTTCCCCTTCCCCTGATAAGATATTCTTCTCCTATCATCATCAGTTTCTTCCTCTTGTCATCCTTCTGGTTAATGCCTAGCTGTGTATATGGTAGTCTAACAAATCAATTTGTTGGGGGGATGTCAAAATCCATTTCTTCTTCTTTTTTAATGGTGATGGAGTCTTGCTCTGTTGCTCAGGCTGGAGTGCAGTGGCACGATCTTGGCTCACTGCAACCTCCACCTCCAGGGTTCAAGGAATTATCCTGCCTCAGCCTTCTGAGTAGCTGGGATGACAGGCGCACGCCGACACGCCTGGCTAATTTTTTGTATTTTTTAGTAAAGACGGGGTTTCACCATGTTGCCCAGGCTGGTCTCAAACTCCTGAGTCCAGGAAATCTGCCCACCTCGGCCTCCCAAAGTGCTAGGATTATAGGCATGAGCAACCACGCACAGCCTCAAAATCCATTTCTAACCATATCCACTAACAAATTTTATATAAAACTTGACAGCTGCAGCTTTAAGGGAAAAAAATTCCCTTTATAGGAAAAAAAATTAGAAGAAATGCATAAGACCTACTATTTGATAGCACAAAAGGTTGACTATATAGTCAATTATAACTTAATTGTATATTTAATTGAATATTTTAAAATAACTTCAGTGTAATTGGGCTGTTTGTAACTCAAAGGAAAAATGCTTGAGGGGATGGATACTGCCATTCTTTATGATGTGCTCATTTCACATTGCATGCCTGTATCAAAACATCCCTTGTACCACATAAATATATGCACCTACTTGTACCCACACAATTAAAAAAATGAATAAATAAATAAATACTTTTATTATAATGCTGGAGATAGTCTTTCCTGTTTCTGTAAAACTTCGAATGTTTAAATTGTATAATTCCATAAGCAGATATTTAGAGAGGTGGCATTTGGATGGAAATTTTTGCAAATCATGCTTAAACATCTTTTTTGGTCTATAATAAAGGGAAGTCTGGGCAAATAAATGAATGACCTGAGATTTAAAAAATAGTACCTAATACTGACTTCAAGAAAGGAAGTGCTGAACTATTATATTGTTATCTTGACTGAGCTTTGAGGTTGTGGAGTGTTTAGAATTTTCTCAAACATATAAGCTGGGAAGATTTAATTCTGAGGCAGTATCAGAGGGCTCACTGAGGCAGGACTAAATTGAAGTGGAAGAAAATTATTTTTCTCTCTGGGGTCCAAGAGTGAGCTAGGTTCAGACTTTTACATTGATTTTTGTGATGGTGGATAAGCTATTCTTGACTGCATGAACACACGAAAGTGACCAATAGGAAGCTAGCCAGGGGAGAAAACCAAGTGCAAGGTAGCTTCCTTCAGAAAGAATGGAGACCATGCTTATTCTATCACAACTTGTATTACAGTTTCATTAAGTATCTGACTACTTGGCTGTCATGGGTGCTATGGATATTTCAGAAAACCCTAGGACCTCATTGCCTGCAGGTTTTAGTAAGATCCCAGAATACTCCAAATTTTCTCTTGGTTATCAGGCCTGGAAAACTTATAGTCTATATGGTCTCAAGAGAAAAAAAATGTTTCCTTGAGATAAATTATGGCCTAGGTTTGAACTTTGAACAACATGTTCACTTGTCTTTAGAAATCTTTTGTCTTTTCTGAGCTGGAAGTGTAAGTAGGAAAATAGAATCAGTCTCAGAGCTCACCACAAATTTAGAATACATAGAAAGACTATGTAATGGTAAGCTTTGTCTACCTCTATCAGCAATAATTTTGAAATATTGTCCTTTATTATTTAGAGAGATGTCTTTTTGTGAGTTTAAGGGTGAAACAAGAAATCAGGCTACTGATTCTACCTTTGAGCACCTCCATTGCTCGCTCAATTTTTAAATTTTAGCTTATTAATGTAGGTTGATCTTTTTCTTCAAAGTCCTTTCTGTTTATATAATCTATAAGAATATTTCCCAAGAGAACCATCTATCCTACTGTGTTTAGTGACTGCAGTAGGGTCATTCCCATTTTTCGTTTTCTCAAAGCCAACAATTTAGTATAAGATTTATTTTATTTTTGTTAGCCTTCTTCAAAATGCACAGATTGGTGTTGTAAATCTGGCAATGGAACTAATTGTCATTCTAGTTTTTGCCTGTGTAATAAATTCCTTATTTTTGGTTTAACATCATTCAAAAAAAAAGTAGAGAAACCCAGGCACATGTGCCTCAGGATCTACATCTGAATTCTCTCTGCTTGAGCCTTTATCCATGAAATTGCAAAAGCACTCTTTGCCTATGACACTGAATCAGAGGAAAGGCTTTAGGTGTAGGCTCTAAAAGACCTTTTCCAACATCCACAGTTTTCCTAAAAACCTCTGGTGGCCTATGCAATTTCATGTCTTTTATGTGTCAATATGTTTCTGTCCTGACTCCTTTTTTTGATATTTCAAGTTTAATGGAAAATAAAACTTTTAAGATTTTATGCCTGGGCAGCAGGCAGCTAGTCAGAGGCAAGAAATGTTACTGCAATATCACCGTGCATTATTACTGGCTATGTGCACAGGGAGGAGTTCAAAATGACCCTGAATATTATTAAACATAAAATGTTCAGCACCAAATCCTTGATGTGGGATTACTGGATTCTTGAATTAAAAACACATTGGGGGTCACTGCGGTCAGCAAAGAATTTTGAAACTTCTGGTAAAAACAGTGATTTCAGGAGTAGACTGAGAACAAAACAATAATATCTTTGTAATGTTCTGAAATCACCGCATTAATAAAACTGAGACTGCATTTCCCAGTTTGATTTGCTGACCATCTTGTCTGCCCGTAATTATTATGTGCCATTCATTTTCTCTAATAGTCAATTATTACTAAAAAAATTATGAAAAAAGTGCATGTCTTTGTCTCCTGTGGCTGATGAATGCAGTGAAGTCTTAGATCAGGCCAGTGCATCATAATCTTTTCCATTACAATGACTTATACTGTCACAAACAGGATATGCTTGGCTAAGAGGCCATAAATGGTGCTGAATTAATATGAACATATTGTCAACAATGATAGCAAGAAGTTAGAACAGAGACTTAGCTCTCCACTTTTTGAAAACACACTGGTTTTTGTCTCTGATTAAAAGTAGTACATGCTTATTTATCCTGGAGACAAGTTAACATTTGGTGTGTGAATTTTTAGCTCTTACCTCTTTTTTATATATACATATTTTTAAGCAAATGGGACTGCACCATATATATATATATATATATATATACAATTTTGTAGCCTTCTTTTTTTTACTTAACATTTACTATGAACAGTTTCCAATGTCATTTTTTCAGTTCAGATTTTTAGTTTAGGTTTTTAAATATTCCTCCCCCCAAAAACCATCAAAACGATCTGTTCATAGAATAAAGCTCAGTTTATTCCTACTTCAGCAAAGGAGATCACTACTTTAAAAGAGTGTTATTCCTGAAGTCTTTGTTTTATTTAACAATTTATTTGTGGGAATTATTCAAGTGCCAAAATAGTGGTGGATTCCTACAGAGGGAAGGTATATTTCATCTGCCAGACATTAGTGCACTATTAGTCTGGAATCACTTTAAATTAACTTGGTTACTTTATGGTTTCTTCTGTCCTCTAAATTTTAAATTACAGCTTCACGTCAACATGTAGAGCTGATTGAGGATGTAGCTTCTCACAGAATTTCTGTGTGGAAGCCACACCTACTCCATAAGAAAACGTATTTTATCAAGATTCCCAAGTGATTCTTATGAACACTGGTATTTGGGAAGAACCTCTCCAATATAGCATTTTTCTAGCTGGGTTGTACCTCCATCAGTTGGGGAATCTGATTCCTGACTTCCACACCCACATGATTCTGATTTAGAATCATTAGACTGATAACGTAAATTGGTATTCTGAAAGACTTTCCAGTTGACTCTAATGCTCAGGGAAAGTATAGAGTCAACTTTCTTGGAGATACTGTTTTATTTCTTCGTTGATCCTTAACAGTGTCTTAACAGAAATGTTGCACTTAGTTGATGCTCAATACATGCTGATTAAGGCTTCTCTAGGCGTGCAGATTATTTTTCCTAATGAGATTGGAATAGTATCTACTTCTTTATAAAGATAGAAGTATTCTTAACTTTAAAATACCTTTTCTTCATTGCTTTACTAGTCATGGGTTGAAATTTAAATAAAATAATTAAAGGTAAATGCCTTTTTAACTAGTTGCTTTTACAATGACTAATTTCACAGACTCAACTCAGATGTAGACAGTTTCTTCCCGAAAAAAGAAAAGTTCATAATAGTGATATCTTACATTTTGTAACACATTACCAGATACTATTTATAGACCCCAAAGGTTTATACCTAGCTTACACTTTGGATATACAGGCCACTTTTTAACAGACATATTTGTATATGTAAAAATACACACACACACACACACACACACACACACACACACATAAACATATGCTTGTACCCCCCCAGGCTAGGACTTATGGATTATCAAAGTTTAATTTTTTTTTTTACAGACATAACTCATCGCAGCAGGCTGTGCTTTCACTCCATAAACATTGCAAAGTTCTGTGCTGTTGAACAGTTTTGAGTTGATTACATTTCCCCAAACTCAAGAGATCTTGACTTTCTAGAAAAGACTCATTAAAATGGAAAGAGAAGAAACCAATGTAGAATTCGATATGGAGCAGTACGTTCAAAGATTTATATAGGAAACGAGATAAAATTTGAATATTTTTCAAATCCAAGTCATCATCTAGGACATTTATTATTTTATCCCTGCTCTTGTAAGATGCTATTGTTTTTCTTTTTTCTAAACAAACAAGAGTAAGATACCTTGTTATGTACCTGTCTCATTTCAATGACATAAAGTGTATGATTTTAAGTATATAAAAATGAGATTTATTTTCATACTTACATCATTTAAAGTGAAAAATAAAAACAAATCTCTATTCTAGGAAAAAAAAATGAAAAAGAATTAGTCTTGTCAAGGTTTTTACTCTTTACACAGAGTTACTTCTGACTTCTCTGATATTTTCTACATAGCACTGTAATGTATTATAATCTTCATTTCAAGGTTAATTCTGCTTATTTGTTATATCAAAGGCAATTTTTTCCCTCATGGCATATCTCTGTAAAGGGCTTCCTAATCCATGCAAAATGAGTTGTTGCTTCAATAGAATACAAACAATTATCATGAACTCTATAATACATTCCAATACAAAAATTTACCCTCTGGAGACAGCAGGTTGAGTTTGGGAATTTAGCCCCCTGAAGCTTGCCCAGGCAGTTTTTGGGCACTTGGCCTTAGGCGGCATTTCTCTCCTTACTTTATCTGTAAACAAGAGACTTTTTTTCTTCAAGGCAGCCCATCTGGCTATTGTCTGTAGATCTAAATTGCTTCATACATTCTGGATGTGTGATGAGCCAGATTTTCCAGTGAGAAACCAAGTGTAAACACTTTAGGAAACTGCACTAACTCTTCAGCCAGGGTGTCCTGTTAGCCCTGAGTTGTTAGGCATCACTAGATAAGTTGGTGGAGTCAGAGTGACAGGTTCAACTTCCCTGGGAAGTTGCAACTCAATTAACTCAAGGCCTGACAGCATGTTCTAATCTGCATACAACATTGCGATAGTACACATGTCCTGTCCAGGGTTTACAAAAGGAAGTTTAACTCCTCTTAAAAGAATATATGTAGAGTTTATAAGGCCAAAACAGATCAGTTTCTGCAGGATCTCTTAGTTCTTACTCAATGTTTTTAATTTAGGTGTGTATAATTATTTGCCTTTTCAAGTATTTTTATACTTACTTAATATTTTATCAATTTAGTCACATCTTTGGCTAATACTAGGAAACAGTTATTATGAAACTTAAAACATGGCAGTTTTAAGGCTACAAACTATTTTTTTGTAATGTTATTGATTATCTTCTCTATTTCTGATACTTAGAAATTAACAAGTTTTGTATTCTTTCTTAAGTAACTCTCACTAGTGAGCGGGGTGTTGGGAGGGGGACAGAGAGATGGAAAACCATTGTGATAAATTTTTCCATTCTGTCTATCCAAATGTGTTTCTTTGTTGTGGGCCCCAAGCATTTCAGCTGTCTCCCCTTTTAATAATATACCACTGAAGAAATCGGCACATCAAGAATGACCAAAACTTTATTGACATTATAATCTTTTAATGATTCTCTATAATATTTATAATAATTTGCACAGTAATTAGCTTTGCACCAAAGTTATTTCATCATCTAGTTTTTACTTGCTTCCTCCATCTTATTTCCAATGGTAGTATTTGCTCTAGGCTTGTGAGATGGCCTTAATTGTCATAATCCTAAGGGTAATATTATTTCAAATCTATTGGTCATTCCAAACAAAAAGCCTTCCTTTCTATTTTTAAAATGGTATAGATAATCCCTATGTATTGTTCATGAATCACACTGCCTATAGAGAAATTTTCTGAAAAAGTCACTATCGTCAGTTCCTTTATGCCTATACCCCCAAATTTATGCAAAACATTCACACAAACAATTATAGCAGGAAGTGCTATCCTACTTTCATTGACTTACTCTCCAGGTACACTTTAAGACCCATAATAGCAAGAAACATATTTGAATCTGTTTTCCCATAACTGGCTGAAGCTGGCACATCACAAAGGCCCAATAAATATTTGTTAGTTTGTAGTAGACTTTTCTTGCAGTTTTTGATGCCAAACAAAATGAGACTCTTATAACCTTTGCAAAGTAGGGCAATTTAAATTTTCTTTTTAATGAGAGAAAAAATGTTGGAATTATACATTGTTTTAACTGTGGGTTAACCTAAACATTACTTTTAGAGACCATATTTATAATGAACTCCAGTAACAGAGCACAGTAAGATTATTTTAATCCATATATGTTTCAACAACATTTGCGTGATGTCCTTCCAGAATCTCAATACTTGTACTTTGTTATCTTTTGCTAAAAATATCAACATTTAGTATTATGTTTTTATTGATAAAAGGTGGCTTGGAATTTGGTTTTAGACATAATCTTCTCAGTAGTCTTTTTTCTCTCTCCCCATAAGCAACAAAACTTTTCAGATTTTCCCAACAAACATGGAAGTGCGATTTTATCCCACTTACTGTTTTGTAATGAGTTTCCTATTAAAATTACCAACTTCCTTTCCGGCCAACCAGTTTTCTTACACTGACTTGCTAGTCTGATAGCAAGAAAGGAGTGTTCTATCCAAATTTACATTAAAATGAATTTTAAAGCAATTCAGAGCATTAACTTTTGGCAGGATTTTACTTATTATGAAGAAGAATCTGCCTATCAAATGATGAAGGATCTGCCTATCAAAATGATGAAACGGAGCACATGTCTGCCAAGAGCACTATGTACATTGCTGAAATGTATTATTAACCTTGAGCACAATATGTTTTGTCAAATAAAAGAAATCCCTTTAAGACTGCCAATTTTAATATCAGTGACATAGCTCTAGTCAAAAAAAAAATCCATGAGGCTTTTATAAATCACGAAAATGCAAGCTAGATGTATATTCTTGGGGCAAATCTAGTGATTGTTATCTGTAAATGAAAACATGACATGAAATATGTAATTTTCTTTTTCCTATTAGAGGTTTTGGATGGTAGGGGAAAAAGAGGGTCAAGAGCTGCTCATAAATAAAAGCACAGCTATATTTAATAATCTTTCAAATCTTTAGCTCATGGAAATCCCAGACTAGTTTATATTATGAGCGTGTTCAGACTTTTGTTGTTGTGAAGGCTTATAAAGAGCAATATACAGAAAGAGTTGGGGTGATCTGTCCTGTCAACCAATAGAAGTGGCAAAGACCAGTGTTCAGCACACACATATTTCAGTGTTATTCGTTCTCCATTTCTCCATGGAAAGCTTGGTTACTATAGGTTGTTGGGTTATTTTTTTTTTTGGTTGCTATCACAAACCTGCCACCTCAGTTTACTTGGTAGTCTGCTTCCATTTGGCTCTTGGATATTTCCTTTATAATGAATGTATTAGTCCATTCTTGCACTGTTATGAAGAACTACCTGAGACTGAGTAATTCATGAAGAAAAGAGGTTTAGTTAACTCATGGTTTCACAAGCTCTACAGGAAGCACGGCTGGAGAGGCCTCAGGAAACTCACAACCATGGCAGAAGGCAAAGGAGAAGCAGGCACGTCTTACATGGCCAGAGCAGGAGGAAGAGAGAGAGAAGAGGGGAGTTTACCAACCAGATCTCCCAAGAACTTACTCGCTATCATGAGAACAGCAAGAGGGAAATCCACCCCCATAATCCAATCACCTCCCACCAGGCTTCTCCTCCAACACTGGGGATTACAATCTGACATGAGATTTGGGGGATGACACAAATGCAAACCATATCAATGAATAACTACTATTAACATAGTATTGCATTCAGCATTTGTTTTTCTATAGATAATTCCATATTTGTACTTATTATTGGAATCTTTCAAAACCCACTACATTTCCATATAGGGTATATATAATTCTAGGTTTTATTTTTATTTTTTTTTTTTTGAGATGGAGTCTCTGTCACCCAGGCTGGAGTGCAGTGGCGTGATCTTGGCTCACTTCCAGCTCTGCCTCCCGGGTTCATGCCATTCTCCTGCCTCAGCCTTTGGAGTAGCTGGGACCATAGGTGCCCACCACCACGCCAGGCTAATTTTTTTTTTGTATTTTTAGTAGAGACGGGGTTTCACTGTGTTAGCCAGGATGGTCTCGATCTCCTGACCTTGTGATCCGCCCGCCTTGGCCTCCCAAAGTGCTCGGATTACAGGTATGAGCCACCGCGCCCAGCCTCTAGTTTTATCCTTAAATCAACATGGCCTGAATTAGAATGTTGCAGTGATTAAGATATATATATATAAAACAGAGATGGTGGGAGTGCATGCATCCCAAATGCTGGTTGCCCATGTTATACATTCCAAGAAATGAAGAGGCTGTCCTCAAACGACAGAGTTCATAATGAGATCACACACAAAAAAATCATCCCTTTTAATGCCATTCATGATAAAGATACCTATTGTTGACTCTGAGATGTGGGGTTGATATGTTCTTTTGAAAATTAAAGTGTGTGAGAAGTTCCAGGCTGTAGATCAGTAAAATTTGGAGTGGGTTTTGCATTTTTTTCTTCACAATCTTTAAGTAAATAACTCCTATAGTCAAATATTTGAATTGCTATCTACCATAAGCAATTGAAATATTTTGCATGCCAGACCAAATCCTACTGGACTAAAAAGGGATTCTCCCACTCTTACTCTAGTTCCTTCCATCTTTTTATTATTTTTTAAAATCTTGTTACATTGAGAAAAAAATAAAATAGTGAGCTGTGCCTTGGTGTTGTGCTTTTGGCTCATGTGGTGGTACCAATATGCAGGTCAAAATCTGTTTCAAATTAACCTTTTTTATTTGGGTCCATAATATAGCCACTTTAATTTATTTTTTTTATACAGTGAATATTGATCTAGTCAAGATTCAACACATATTTTTTATTTTAAAAATAAAAATTTCATTAAAATGATTGGAGTGTCATCCCAGTGTGCATTTTCCAAAATGCATTTAAAACAAAATTGTGCTTTCAAAGGAACTTCAAGTTATTTTTAAAAATACACATGTGCAATATAATATGTAATATATGGAGTTTTATTAATTCTGTAACTAACACTTTTTTTTTTTTTTTTTTTTTTTGAGACGGAGTCTCGCTCTGTCGTCCAGGCTGGAGTGCAGTGGCGCGATCTCGGCTCACTGCAAGCTCCGCCTCCTGGGTTCATACCATTCTCCTGCCTCAGCCTCCCGAATAGCTGGGACTACAGGCGCCCGCCACCACGCCTGGCTAATTTTTTGTATTTTCAGTAGAGACGGGGTTTCACCGTTTTAGCCAGGATGGTCTCGATCTCCTGACCTCGTGATCTGCCCGCCTTGGTCTCCCAAAGTGCTGGGATTACAGGCGTGAGCCACCACGCCCGGCAACTAACACTTTTTGACTAGCGTCAAAAATACGTCTGCCTTATATCAAACTTCATTAAATTAATAAGATATAGTCAAGTTCCCTTGTATACATGCATACATTTTTATGAATTTAACAAACTCTAAAAGCATTGGCATATTTCAATTAAACATAAACATTGAAAGTATGTAAATAATTTACTAAAATTGATCACAGTACAGTTGGCTCATATAAATAATATTTATGTATACAACCATAATGAATTTCTGGCAAAGGCTACCCTATTGGTTGGAAGTCTTCAGAATGAAAATCCAAAATGAATTCTGTAAAAAGACAGCTGATTTTAACCTTAGAAAGGGCTCTAGGTTTTGTTTTTGTTATTTTCTTTTGAGAGCAAAGGTCTTAACATCATTTACCTTTTTATTTCTGTAGTTCATCATCGTGTGAGATGTAAGAAGGGCTTGTTGAAAGTAAAACTGAATAGGTTGTTCTATTTCAAAAGGATTTATCACTATAATCTTTCCCCATCTACAAAGTACTTGACCTAATCAAAGTCATTCTGCCAATTTTGTAATTTCTGCTTTGTGATTTGAGAGAACTTTCAATACAGCTAATAGAATTGAAAATCTTGAATTGCACAAATGTTCTCGAAGCCACTTTTACCTTTTGGCAAATGTAATTACTGTACCTTTTACAATGTAGTTAAAATTATAACTTTAATATTATGTATTTCCACTATTCTGAATATAGGAAAACAATATTTTTCTTAGTGAATAAAAAAATTAACTATTTATAAGCTGGTATATCTCATCATACAACTGTATAAATACGTTTTCTGCTATTACTCGTTAATCTCACAAAAATTAAAAATTATCAGTTTCTTGACAAGCAAATCTAGGCTGGGTCATCAGATTCAATGGGATTTTTAGGTGGAGGAAAAGAAAAAGCCACAAATTTCAATTAGCGTTTTAAAAACTTGGAATAGCATTAGGTTTTCCTAAGTACAAGAGAACCTAAATTTTAAGATCGTTACGTTATTTTACACTTTCAATTAATTTTTAAAAATTGATAGAATTTACAAATGCACACTAAATAAAATTACATAATCTATTCACTCTTCTTTGCATTCTTCTAATAGTTTTCTAACGTACATGTTTGATGAATAAAAGTGAAAATTTTCCATTTGGTAAATAAGCTATTATTTCTCAAAAAATTCTGTCCTCAAGAAGATGATATTTTCAGAGGCAGGCCTTAAATGTCTCAATGCCATATTTTCATGGTTATTCAGAGAATTCAAGATTATCAAGGAGAAAGAAATATATGAATCTTTAGGTAAGCAAACCCTTATACTGATGATGCTGTGTACAAGGATAAGATTTATTATGAGATTTCTGAGATATAGAAATAGGAATTTTCTTCAAACACTGGATAGCTTATGTACAACTTTCATTTAAAGTAAACAAAATGTTGTAGTGTCGTACTATCACACCATGGCACATTTATACCTATGTAACAAACCTGCGCGTTCTGCACATATATCCCAGAACTCAAAATAAAAAGAAGAAAAGAAATACAGTGTATAGTAAGACAAAATTTTGAAGTACTGTTTTTTAACCCGATTAATAACTCAAAGTCTCTAAATTTGACCCCAATATCTTTTATTTATAATATCATGTTCTGAGAATTGAACGGGTGTATTTAAAAAAGAAGCAGCATATTAATAATTCAATGAAGCATAAAAACTACACATCCTATACATCCCATGGACGTAGCCATGAAGGGAACAGAAGGCAGGGGATGTAGTTCCTCAGCATCTTACACAGACCTTCGCTGTCTCCGCTTTGTCAGTCAATACTCCGCTCAAACATGGCCTCCTCAGGGAGGTTAAGCACCGTGTCCACAATCTACTGTGAGGAGTGGCAGCTCTAGACCAAACAGCACATCCTCTGGTTCCCTGTTTGCTGCTATTTCCTCTATGCCGTGTTGATTTATAGCTATACGTTCATTTTTCAGGCCTGAGAAAAAGTGCTTAAAGTGCTAAATGTGCTTTCGATCTAAGTAGGTCAGAAAACGAACTTTCGGAGATTCAGAATCTTGTGATTTATTCTTACCCATATGTGGAAGAATCATTAGACATATGGGCATCATGGATGCTTACTAGTATGGAACATGTATTTTGTTTTCAAAAAAGTAATTTTTTATTTTATTATTTTATTTTATTTTATTTTATTTTGAGACGGAGTCTCGCTCTGTTGCCCAGGCTGGACTGCAGTGGTGCGATCTCGGCTCACTGCAAGCTCCGCCTCCCGGGTTCACGCCATTCTCCTGCCTCAACCTCCCGAGTAGCTGGGACTACAGGCGCCCGCCACCATGCCCGGCTAATTTTTTGTATTTTTAGTAGTGACGGGGTTTCACCATGTTAGCCAGGATGGTCTCGGTCTCCTGACCTCGTGATCCACCCGCCTCGGCCTCCCAAAGTGCTGGGATTACAGGCATGAGCCACCGCACCCAGCTCAAAAAAGAAATTTTAATCTAAGTAGTTTAATAAGTATATAACTGAGACCCAATATTTTGTTCCAAAAAGCATGGAAGAGACCTTTTTTTATCTAAAATATTTAAAGTGTATATTAGTAACAGAAACCACATTAAGAAAAATCCATTTGTGTATTTTTAATGTAAGACCTAATTTTGAAAAAATCTGCCTTTTTGGTAAGCCAATTAAGATACAGAAATATAAAATGTTCCCCTAAATAGCTGAGCAAGTTCAGAGACTGAATAAGATTATTAGGTATCATACATTTACCTGCATGATTATGTTGTCCAAATTCAACAATGCTCATTTTACTGTATTCGATCTTAAAATATTTCCTCAGTTAATAATAGGCTTTATTGTTCACAATGGACATTCATGGTTGAGATAAAAGAAATAATATCATTTAGAAAGAGAGCAACGTTGTTCTTCTTGTCTGTTCATAGCTGGCCTGCAGATATCTAATTTATCTGACGAACTAAATAAAGTAAGTAAGAAAATGTTAAATATAATTAGAAAGTACATTTGATTCCCTTTCAAGTGAAAATTTGACCTAAAAATGATCTCTTTAGCCCAATTTATCCTAGCAAAAGGAAAGATGCAATTTTGGTTGATATGTTGAATTAGAATACCCAATTTCAATAACAGATGATTTATGCATATATTATCAGACTTTGTCAAGAAATAAGTACAATGAAAATATTATTAAAAATACATTATGAAACAGATAAAGAGAATATACTAGTTTTCAGAAAAGGCCAGTTTTTTACAACTGGCTTGCTTGGCTGTTTTTTTATAGTCTACTATACCAGAGATCTTTTGTGTAATCTGTTGACATGAAATATTGTCCTCAAATCTTGAGACTATGATTTGGACTGAATAGAGGAGTTTCAGTTTTCAAAAACTTTATTAGTTACCTTTTTTCTTTTTTAACGTGTTACAGATTACTCTGTATTCTGACATAACTAACTTTGCCTTTGTCTCCATATACGGTTCAATTACACAGTTTAATAAAAAGTAGGGCCCACTACAATGGAAAGTAGCTGAATGGTTTTCCTATATTCTGTCTTCTCTCAATATCTCTTTGGAATCCTGGTGGTTGATTGACAATTAATGTACTTATTAAATCAAAGATAAGAATAAAACTAAACAATAGAACTGGAAAAGAATTTTACATGTTTATGTGAGCTTCCAAATATTTCTCATATAAACTATGAAATAGAATGCAAAAGCCTTTCTACTTGTATGATAGTCCTGATTCCTGAAAGCCCAATCTCTCATGTATATTCATTTGCAATATATTTTTAAGGTCTCTAATTTAGGTAAGGTAATTTGAAATTTAAACTCCTATGGGGACTTCCTCTTCAGAATGTGATGAAGTAATTTAGTTTCAAAAATTGCAGAATAATTAAACATAGAATATATCATGTACATTGCAAAGAAGTCCATTCACCAAAAACAGATTCACATTTTTAATTAAACCTTAATAAAAACTCCAATAGGTTTTTTGTAAAAATTGATAACCTGATTATAAAATTTACATGGAAATACAATTGGCCAATAATAATCAATTCTAAGACTAATAAAGAAAGGTTAAGAAAGAAAATTTGAGGAAACTCAGACATTGAGGTTTATAAAGCCAAATAATCAAGGCAGTGTGGTATTGGCATATTCATAGTCTAATGAAGCAGAATAGAATCCACCAACAGATTTACACATATATCACAAATTGATTCATGACCAAGATGGTACTGTAGAGCTATATAAAAAGGATTAATTGGATAGTCTTATGGAAAAAAAATGAGATGATACTCCAACTCACATAAAGAAATGTCAGTTCCAAGTGGGTTATTCACCTAAAGGTGAAAAGTAAATAAAGCAAGATTTTTGAGAAAAATATAAGACAATATTTTCCTGGCTTTCAGATAGGCAATAATTTTAAAAACTAGACACGAAATCACTATTCATAAAATTACAAATAGATATAGTGGATTTCATTAAGATTAAGAACTTCTGATTATGAAAAGATACCATTGAGTTAAAAGCAAGCCACTAAATAGGAGAACATATTTATATTATACATTACCTATGAAGTCTCAACACTCACATTGTAGAAAGAACTCTTATATTCATTGAGGAAAAATACAGGCAACCCAAAAGACAAAGAGAAAAAAACTTAATAAGTCATTTTAAGAAGAAGATAGCAAAATACTTCATATGCATATTAAAAAATAGCCAAATTCATTAGCCTCCACCATGAATGATCATTTCACAACCACCAGAATGACTAAAATGAAAAAAAAAAAACTAAAATTAAGGAGGCTATGAAGCCACTGGAACACTCATACAGTATTGATGGAAGAAAAAAATTGGTTAAAACCTCTTTTAAAAACTGGCAATTTCTTTAAAATCATACTGAAGGACTCAGGAATTCCACTTTCTAGGTACATACTCAAAGAAATGAGTATGTATGTTTACCACAATACATGCATATGAATGTTCATAAAATCAATATTCATAAAAGCTATAAAATCGTAGATATCAAATATTCATCACTAATGGATATATTAATTCATAAAAATTAATATGCAGTAATGTAAATTAACAAACTATTTCTACATGAAATAACAATGTACAGATCTTGAGACTTCACCTCATGGAAGTAAGAAATGAAACGAAAACTACTGTATAATTCTATTTACATAGTTTTAAGACAAGCAAACCAACGTGGTATTTTGAAAGACAGAATAGTGGATGCTAGTCAAGGGCTAGAGTGATTGAGAGGGAACTTGGGTGTTCTGGTTGTTAATAGCATTCTATTTTTAATGTGGATGACAGTTACATAGGTGAGTTTTCTTTATGAAAAATGGCTGAGCTAAAAATTTATTATTTTTATACTTTTACAGAGGAATGTAATACTTTACTACAAGATTAAAAATTAAATTAAAAATTAGAAAAAAAAGTTGAGTTGGGGATACAAATTTTGTTTAAGGTGTTATCTTACTATCAAATATTTCTTTTCTTTCTTGACAATATTAAAGGGCAAAAAAATTGATCAATCTTGTTATTGTCCAAAATAAATAGGGAAGTCACTGCTGGGTTTAGGCTATTAAAGATTCTGTTGGCTTTCACTTGAAGCTGTATATTATGGAAAAAGAGCTTTAGTAAACAACTAAAATGTAGGCCTCAGAATGTCACTTTGGAAAATGCATATTTCTTGGTTTTATTACCCTTCTATCACCCCAAAGTCCGTATTTCTTTGGTATACCTACGAATTAAAGTGGGTGCACCAGTGTTAAGCAGTAGAATATGCTTTGGGGAGACTGAATATTTCTACTCAGTCTAAAATGTCCACTATAATTTTGGATAAAAGGATAAAAGGGAAAATAATTCTTTTAAATCAATAATGTCTTTGTCTTGATTACTGTGAAAGTTTCCCTAAACCTATTTTCTACTTTCATTTTCTCTATTCAAAAATAGTCCAAGGTAAAAATCATATGCATTTAAGGAGTCTGTTTTCATATAAATTACACATGCACATGTATACTTATTTATATAATGCATATATGTATGTGTGTATAGATGTATATGAATATGTTTGCCTCATTAAAAATTAAAAATAGTATCAGGAGAAATAATCTTTATGACTGATGTTTTTGGCTTGGTGTCTTTCTCTATGTTGTTAACTTGAAAGCCTAAAACCATGGCCATCAGCAGGTGTTTTTCCTAAAATTTACCTCATTTATAAACAGATAATGAGAAGAAGGCTAAAATGGTTGAAATATTTGATGAACTAACCCTAAAGCATTCTAGAAAAAAGAAACTCACTATCGGATGAAACTCTCAAAATACGTATTGAATTGGACAAAAATAAACTTCTCCTTTTGTGATTGAAAGTGGAGGTCCCTATTTTCTGAAAAGTGATAGCACAGATGTGGGAATAGCCTGAGTCATATTCGTGGGAAATGAGAATTGAACTCTTTGTTCTGTGGAAATGTCAAAATTAAAGGATGAAAATAATGATCTAGGAGTAAGTTTCACAGTAGCAGGCTGAAAGAACTTCAAGGAGAGAAATACAGGAAAAAATATTGACACTGGGAATTATATTTGTAAGTATTTTTGCTTTTTGCCTAATTCACAGGAGAGGCGATGCTCCTGACTAGATAAAAAAAGATTAGGCAGACAAAAAAATTAAGAAGTGCTGTTGTCAAAACCATGAGCTACAACAAGGAAAGAACTATATATATGGTCTGATTCTGTTGTATTTTGTTTACTTTGAAGTGGCTCAAAAATATCTATTATTAGCACCATTTAATTTTTAAAAAAGCATCAGTATATTTCATCAGCTGGCTCTGTGTAAACAGACTCTGGAACTTAGGCTGAGCCATGGATTTCCTATTATTAAAAAATGCCTCAAATTTTAGTCAAGCACTGACTTTTAAGATGATTTTTTACCTTATTGTCTTACTAAAAAAAAATTCAACTATGTGACCACAGTTCTGATAAAGGGTAATAATATAGCGATGCCTTCAACCCCAGGCAAATATCTTCCTGACTTTCATAATAAATGCAAGGAATTGGGTATAATTATCCATACGGAGAACAATTTTAGCTTAGTGCATTGTAAGAGCTTTATAACATTATTTTACTCTGGCCTCTCAGAAGTCTTACTGAGAATTTTAAATATTTTTAGAGCTAAAATTGTTCAAGGGTGGTGAATTTTTTCTAGACTATTCTTGCCCAATTATACCAATATCAGTCAATAAAATACTCTGAAAGTCAGTCTTAGCAAATTTCCACCAGCAAACCAGTTTGGATCATTCATTGGAACTCATAGTTTTTCTAACATGAAGCAAAATGATTCTGAAGTAATGAAAGAAAATAGTGGACCAGAAGCTTCTGTGAGCTGTATCTGGACATTTTTTTGTTTTTTGTTTTTTTGTTGTTGTTGTTTTGGTTTGTTTTGTTTTGTTCGAGATGGAGTCTCGCTCTGTCACCCAGGCTGGAGTACAGTGGCGTGATGTCGGCTCACTGCAAGCTCCACCTCCTGGGTTCACGCCATTCTCCTGCCTCAGCCTCCAGAGTAGCTGGGACCACAGGCGCCCGCCACCACTCCCAGCTAATTTTTTTTTGTATTTTTAGTAGAGACGGGGTTTCACCGCGTTAGCCAGGATGGTATCGATCTCCTGACCTCATGATCTTCCCGTCTCGGCCTCCCAAAGTGCTGGGATTACAGGCGTGAGCCACCGCGCCCGGCCTGGACATTTTAGAGTATACATCTCCTTGGTATGGAAATTCTAGCCAGCAACATTGTTTAAAATATACCTATTATTTTGTTTAAGGTTTTACAGTTCTTTCTTTCATCACCTTAGGAATATTGTGTGTGTGTGTGTGTGTGTGTGTGCATTTTGCTACCGTGGATTAACACACAAGAACTTTCCATGACAAAACATAACTTGCGACTGAAGTGGTATATCTTTGCTATTTCTGGTACATTGTAGATGTTTGGTAAATACTTGACTGGGTGGCTGTGGCTAGCAAAACTGAAAATTATACAGAGTTTCTGGGGTTCAAAATGGTGGAAGTCATCTTTAGTGGCTGATTCAATTATAAAAAGAGATCAGAGGATAAAGCTTGGAAATTAAATCCAGGAAAAGGAGCCCACCTGAAACAGGTAGAAAATAAAGAAGAGAGAAAAGTGCCAGGATGGTTCTAGGTTCATGCCAGTTAATGCCTAGGCATGAACCTAGAACCACCCCTACTTTCTTACACCTCTGTTATTGGGCCGCTTTGGTAAATGACCTGGCTGTAAGAGTCAGACGTGGATTTGGAAACTTGCCGCTATCAAGGGTATAACACGCATTTTAGTAAATTGTCAAGAATTTTTATTCCAAAGAGGATTTTAGGATAAATTTTGAAATTATTTTAAGGGTCTAAAGGACTTGCAAGAAAGTATGACAAAAATAGGCACTTAAGTTACTTCTGTCCAAAAGGATTGGCACATTCTAGTTTTTTTCTTTGAAATAAAAACAAATGAATGAAAAAATGTAAGGGTAGAAGACAAAAAGTATTTTGTGAAATTTTAAAAATAAATTCTATGGTGTAGATCTTATATGATGAAAATTAAATATATTAAAATATGAAAGAATATCTTCTGGCCCAAAAGAAACAAAGCTGTGAAGAAAGCTCGGGGCGTACATGGAAATCAAGCTTGAAGAAGCATTTCCTGATGGTAACTATTTAGGCAAACTATTGTAAAATGGAAATGAGATCCAATGAGTTAGAAATTGGAATGTGATATTAAAGGACTTCAGTAAATGCCTGAGATTGCTTTGAATCATCATATGTATTCTGGGATTGAAATAATGTTTCTGAATTGACCATAAAGATTCCTGGGAGTAATTGATGGCAGCAGCTACTGGCTGCCATCACACCTGCTACAGCAGGGAATCACAGCCGGGGCTGCAGGCTCCATGGAGCCAGCAGGAGCTGGGGACAAGGAGGAACCCTGCCCCTTCTGAGTTAGTGCAGGAGCTCCCCGGGTGCCGCTGCAGCTGCCCAAACTGCGACTCCAGACCCAGGCCTCCTGCTCCACAGAGCAGGCAGGAGCCCTGCCTTCCTGGGCGCAGCTGCAGCCACCCAAACCAGGGCTGCAGACTCAGGCATCCCTGTACTCTTGGGGGCCCAGGAAGGATCCCCTGCCCTTGCAGGCTGAGAAGTGCCTGTTCCCACTGCCTAGCTCCTCCCTGCTGTCAGCACCTGCTCTGATCTTGGGGCAAAGTCTGGCCAAGCCCTGGTACCATGAAGGCAGAGGAGGCAAACAGGTTCCTGCACAGATGGGGGCAGGTCCCCAGTGAGGCCCCACCTTCAGGCCAGGGAGGGCCTGAAGGCTGGGGGCTGGGCTGCCAGTCCCACTGTTGAAGTGAGAACTTGTGGTGCCCTTTCCAGGCTTGACCATGGCCACCCATGGACCAAAGGGCATGCACTTTCTCCCCTCTGAGGCCCATAAAAGCTCCAGGAATATCCAGAGCTGAGCAGATGGGATGATCAGCTGCAGAGAGGAGCTACCCTTCACTGAGAGCTTCAGAGACCTGAAGAGAGGCAGGTCTGCCAGCTGCAGAGAGGAGCAACCCATTCCAGGGCCTCTTCTCTGCTTGGAGCTGGGCAGACGTCGGGACGACCAGCAGCACAAAGGAGCTACCTTCTCCAGGGCTTCTTCTCTGCTGAGAGCTGAACACTGGCTAGGATGAACTGCCTACAGAGAGGAGCTACCCACTGCAAGTCTCCTCTGAGCTGTTTTAACACTCAATAAAGCTCCTCTTCTTGCTCACCCTCCACTTGTCTGTGTACCTCATGCTTTCTGGATACAGGACAGGAACTCAGGCAAAGGCCTCACTGGCCACCAAGGTTTCCAGCCAGAAAACCAACACTCCAAAGATCCTGTAACACAGTGATGCTTCAGAGAAAATAGATCATGTATCTCATATACTGTATGGATTTAAATGTCAGCTCAAGTCAGAAACAGCAATTTACAGCCATGGGTTTTAGGTTTCCCATTTAATAAACATACATTAATTTTGGAAAAAAACACAAATTACTGAAGACCTATTTGAACTAAAGCATCATAAATTAATTTTTTAAGATGGCAAAAAAGCATTAAGTTTGTTGATGATATTGCACAATACAACATTATTTCTAAGAGTGATTATCAGTTGCCGCACTTTCTCATTTGGGTTCCATGGCAGCAGAGTTTTCTTTACATCTTGTTTCCATATACAACCTTGTGAGTTCTAACTGTTCCTTCTTATCCAAACATTTGTATGCTGAAATTTTTTTAAGATGAGTTCTCAAGTCATTTCATTGTTTATAACATGAGTTATTGGAAAATAGGTTTTTAAAAACATTCAATCTCCAGTTGGGTGAAGATTTTATTTATTAACATGTTGTTAATGTAGTCTAATTTAATTGCATTGAGACCATAGGATTTGATGTATATGACAATTCTGTAAAATTTGCTCATATCTACTGTATGGCTAATATAAAGTGAATTTCTGCAATTATACTTTGCTTTATATCAAGGTTAATTATTCCAAGCTCATTAATCACGCTGCATGAAACTTCTTTGTTCTTAACAATTTTTGCATCTGTTTTCTCTCTTTAGGATATCACAAGGTTGAAATTAAGATGTTGGCTGAACTCAGCTTTCATTTGAGGGTCTGGAAAAAAATTCTCTGCCAAGTTCATTCTTTTTGTTTATTGAATTCAGTTCCTTGCATTTGTAGGACTGAAGTCCCTATTTCCTTGCTGTCAGCTGTTAGACACTTTCAGCTTCTAGAGTCCTTACTGTGATGGCTAACACTGAGTGTCAACTTGATGGGATTGAAAAATGCAAAGCATTGTTCCTGAGTGTGTCTGTGGGGGTGAGATTAACATTTGAGTCAGTGGATTAGGAGAGACAGACCCACTGTCAATCTGATTGGGCACAATCTAATCAGCTGTCAGTGTGGCTAGGATAAAATCAGGCAGAGGAACGTGGGAGGATTAGACTGGCTGAGTGTTCTGGCCTCCATCTTTCTCCTGTGCTGGATGCTTCCTGCTCTACAACAATGACTCTAAGTTCTTCAGCTTTTGGACTCTTGGAGCTACGCCTGTGGTTTGCCAGGGCCTCTCAGGCGTTGGGCCACAGATTGAAGGCTGCACTGTTGGTTTCCCTACTTTTGAGGTTTTGGGACTCGGGAGGGCTTCCTGGCCCCTCAGCTTGCAGACGGCCTATTGTGGACCTTTACCTTGTCATTATGTGAGTCAATGCTCCTTAGTAAACTCCCGTTCATATATACATCTATTAGTTCTGTCCCTCTAGAGAACCCTGACTAATACACTTACTGTGTGCTTCCTCATTTTCAGTTAGTCAGATCCTTCTCATACTTCAAATTATTGACTTCCCTTTCTATTACCAGAAAAACAAAAAACAAAAAACAAAAAAATCTTTCTGCTTTAAAGAGATTTTGTGATGTGCTCAGGAACACCTGGATAATCTATATTTAAACATTTGTGCCATATAACATTAGCTAATTATGAGGGTACAATTCATCATAACAGTCTTGGGGATTATGTGTGTTGTGTATAGCAGGTGAGTGGAAAATTTGAGGATCATCTTAAAATTCTAGCAACCACAAATATTACAGCATGCATCCTCACTTGATCTTAACCAAAAGACTGAGAAGCGGTACAGCATTCATCCTCACAAAAGACAATAGTTAAATGGCCTGTTGATCTTCTTTTTAGTTCATCTATTTTAGGTTTGATTATCAGAGATTTTTAGCTTCAAAGTGACCTTGGATATTTCCCATCTTTGTTCTGGAACAATTTCTGTAACATATCTATTCCATAAGTGTTTGAAATGACTTCCCATAAGAGCACTTAGTACTGGGAACTTTGTTCAAAGTAGTCCTTTGCCAGATTCCAAAAAAAAAAAAAAAAAAAAAATTCAACCTATAGCAATTTGTCTAATTTTTTAGTAAACATTGGAGATTTCTACTGTTTTAAAAATAATGTGCTTTATCTAAATTTTTAATAATTTAGTTTAAAATTGCACATAAGACTTTACATTTAAAAGTCATGAGTGATGTGTAATGTTGATATTTATTGTTTTGATTACTCATTTTCTAAATATATTTCATTAAGTTTAAATTTTCTTTCTCCAAAATATAATTAAATAAAACATTTTATATAAAATCCCAAGTTCTGTAACATTTATTTTCTTTGCCTAATAACACAAATGAAATTCTTCTTGTTTTCCTTCAGCTTATATCCATGATATCTTAAACTTTGTCCTATAATTTTTAAAAACTCATGTTTTTCTGCATATTAAATTCTGTCTATTTTGACACATTACTAATGTTTGACTCTTACTGTAAACTTATTATTTTTATTCAGTTTTTCGTGGTTAATTTGTTCATTCAGTCGTTTTTGTTTTAGATCCTATTCATCAGAATATATTGCTTTAGAATCACTTCATTCGTTTTAAGTTTTAAATTTATAAAATAATTATGAAGATTATCCGGAGTTCCCATGCACCACACACTCAGTTTCCCCTATTATTAACATCTAATGATAGCATGATACATTTGTTAAAATTACGGAACCTATGTTTATAATTATTATTAAGATCCACCCTTTGCTCAGATTTCCTTAGTTTTACCCCTAATGTCCTTATTTTCTCTAACAGTATCTCATCCAGAATACCACTTTACACAGTGTTCACATCTCCTTAGCTTCTGCTTGCTTGTGTCAATGTCTCAGGGTATTCTTGAGTTTTATAACTGTTTTAGGTTCTTATTGCTGCTGTAACAATCTACCACGAACTTCAGCAAAGTAAACTTTCACTTCTGGAAATTAGTCTCACTGGTGTAAAGTCAAGGTTTCAGCAGGGACATTTCCTCTTGGAATCTCCCATTCCTTCCATTTCCCAGCCTCTAGGTTGCCTATAATCCTCAGCTCATTGACCCCTTCTTCCCATCACTCCAATTTCTAGTTCCATTGCCAAATCTCCTATTTCTCACTTTGACTACCCTGTCTCTCTCGTATAAGAACTCTTGTGGGCCAGGCGCAGTGGATGACGCCTGTAATCCCAGCACTTTGGGAGGCCAAGGTTGGTGGCTCACTTGAAGTCAGGAGTTTGAGACCAGCCTGACCAACATGGTGAAACCCCGTCTCTGCTAAAAATACAAAAATTAGCCTGACTTTGAGGTGCATGCCTGTAGTCACAGCTACTTCGGTGGCTGAGGCAGGAGAATCGCTTGAATCCTGGAGGCAGAGGTTGCAGTGAGCTGAGATCACGCCACTGCACTCCAACCTGGGTGACAGAGTGAGACTCCATTTCAATAAAAACAAAAGAAATCAAAAAAAAGAACTATTGTGATTACACTGCTATATAATAAGTCTAAGGACTCTTGTGATTACATAAAATATTGTATAATCCAGAATAATCTGTCAATCTCAGAATGCTTATTTTAATTTTATTACAAGGTCCCTTTTACCATGTAAGATATTATAGTCAAAATTCCTGGGATAAGAAGATGGCCAATATTCGGAGCAATTATCCAACCTACCAGAATCACTGACAGTTTTGAGGTGTACTGACCAGGATTTTATAGCAACTGCCTTAATTGGTATTTGTCTAATGGTGTTCTCATGATTAAATTAAACTTGTATATATTTTTTAGAAGAAGGCCACAGATGTAAAGTGTCATTTTTGCCATGATATATAAAAGGTACATATTTTCAATATGACTTATCATTACTGAAGTTAAACTTGATAACGTGGCTAAGGTAGGGTTTGTGAAATTTCTCCACTATGAGGAGTATTGTACTCTTTGGAAGGAAGTTACTATCCATAGCCTGCATGTAAGAAGTGGGGATTTACACTCCCCTTCTTGAAGGTGCTCTAACTACATAAGTTACTTGGAATTCTTCTGCACAGATTTGTGTATTTTCCTTTATTTAATTTACATATTCAGTTATTTATGTATTACTGTCAGTATGGACTCACATATATACTCTATACTCTGGGTTATAATTCACTGTCATTTTATTTATTTTATTGCTCAATTTTTTTTTCATTTTTGGCCATTGAAGGCGGTTTCAGTTGGCTCCTGGTCTTTTGACATATTATAGTTATTGCAGTTTTTATTTTTATTATCATTATTTTTAACGTGTTTATCTATTTTGAACACTTCCTCACTTTCTGGCACTATAAGATGCTCCTGGCTCATCTTGTTAATATCCTACGAGTTATCGAATCAGCCAATTCTCTGAAGATCCGTGGTTTCATTTATTAGAAAGTTGTATTACAAACCACGATCTGGGAGCTGAGGGTACTCATGACTACTGAGATGTCATTGTTTCTAGGACCTCTCAGCTGACAGTGATGAAATATATGCATATATACGTTTTGTATTTATTTATGGGATGATCTGTCAGATATGGCCAAAAAAGGAAACACGGGGGAGACTTGGAGAAAAAAAGTTTATTATACTCGTAAGCCCAATGAAACAGGAGACATGGCGTGTCACACAAGGCAACAAGGGAAGGACACCAAGGTGGTCAGGAGGCAGGACACAGGAGTGATAGGAAGGTTTAGGTCACTGATTTTATTGAGGCAAGACAGGACAGGGTAAGATGAACAGTAAGGACTGGCTAGTTTGAATGATTTCTGCTTTCTTTGAGCTCTAAGGGTGGTCTCTAGTTGCCTGGTATTTTGCCTTGGGATGATTAAGACAGGAATATGGCCTCCGGAGGTGAACAGGCTAGAGGAGGTATGTCTCTGCATTGGTTAATTTGCTATCAATTAGATGCTCTGGCCAAGCCCTTTGTTAACTTTATAAATTGGCTAGCCTTGGGAAGAGCAGTCTCTCCCCAGCCAAAAAGGTTTCTAAGATGTCAAAACATAATATACAGAAAATTGAAAAATATTTAAAGTACATTCTATTAAACCATATATACACATATCTATAAATACTTATATGTGAAATCAGCTATCTAATTAAACTAAAATCGGTTCATAGTCGTTTATCCAACCATAATTTATCACCATATGTGTGTTAGTCTGTTTGTGTTGCTCTAAAGGAATACTTGAGGCTGGTTAATTGATAAAGGAAAGAAATTTATTTTGGCTTAGAGTTCTGCAGGCAGTACGAGGAGCATGGTGCTGGCATCTGCTCCTAGGAAAGTCTCAGGAAGCTTACAATCATGGCAGAAGGTGAAGGGGCAGCAAGCATATCACATATTGAGAGAGACAAAGAGAGAGAGGGAGGAGGTGCCAAGCTCTTTTAAACAACCATATCTCAGGCAAACTCATAGAGCAAAAAGTCACTGATTACCATGACAATAGCAATAAGCCATTCAAGAAGGATCCACCTCCGTTGGCCCAAATCCTTTCACCAGGCCCACCTCTAACATTGGAGAGGACAGAGATCACATATTAATATGAAATTTGGAAAGGACACACCACCAAATTATAACAGTATGGATCACTCGAGCCCCCACTACTTCCTACTCCAATAAAGAAAATCATAGCTTCTACCATCTGCTATCACCTATTTAATTGTTCATTTCATATATAAAGTGTTTTCAGAAATGTGAACAGGTACCTCCGTGGAAAACCTTTATGTAATTACATCTTCAATCTTCTACAATTTCTTTTCTTTTTTTTTTGAGTGTCGCTGTGTCACTCAAGCTTGAGTGCAGTGGTGTGTTCTCAGCTAAGTGCAACCTTGGTTCAAGTGATTCTCTTGCCTCAGCCTCCCGAGTAGCTGGGATTACAGGCACACACACATCACCATGCCCAGCTAATTTTTGTATTTTTTGTAAAAACAGTTTTGCTATGTTAGCCAGGCTGGTCTCGAACTCCTTGCCTCAAGAGATCCACCCACCTCAGCCTCCCGAAGTGCTGGGATTACAGGCGTAAGCCACCACGCCTGGCCTCATCTTCTACAATTTCTTTCATCAGAATTTTGTATAATAGTTTTCCACTATAGGTCTTGTACATACTTTGTTAGCTTTGCAACTGAGTATTTCCCTTTTTGGTGCTAGTGTTAATAGTACCGTTGGATTTGTTTGTTTTGTTTGTAATCTAAAATTCCCATTATTCATTGCTGGTACATTGGAAAGTAATCAACTTTGGTTATATTAACATTGTTTTCTGCAACCTTGCTGTACTCACTTATTAGTTCCAAGTTTTTTTGTTTGTTTGTGATTTTGTGCAATTCTTTAAGATTTTTATGTAAACATTTTATCTACAAATAAAGAAAATTTTATTTCTTTTTTTCAAATCTATATACTTTGAATTTAATTTTCTTGTCTCATTGCACTAGCTATGCCTTAAGGAGTAAAGACTTCTGTTTCATTTTTTTCTCACATTTTGTCTGGTTAGCCAGGCTAGGGTTTTATCAATTTTTAAAATCTTTTCAAAGAATCAGTTTTTGGTTTTCTTATTTTGACTTTCATCGATTTCTGTTGTTTTTTCACATTATTTCTTCTGTATTCGGTAACCTAACTTGCTCTTTCTTTCCCTCTCTTCTCCAAGGCAGAAGCTTAGGTTATTGAATGTTGATCTTTCTTTTTTCTAATGTGTTCATTCAATGCTATAAATTCCTCTCTAAGCACTGTTTTGTTGTATCCCACAACAAAATTTTGAAAACTCCCATATTTTTATTTTATTTAGTTTACAACATTTTTAAATTTCTCTTGAGACTTCTCATAAAGAAGAGTTATCAATTTGGCCTTTCAAACTTGATTCAATATCACTGAGGAGAAATTCCTGGACCTTACTTCACTTGGAGTGGAATTCCTACCAATATACTAATGTTGGTAAAACATTTATTTTGTTATGTTATTTGAGAACATAAACTCCAACAAGATTATTCTTGAGACTTCCACTTTCAATTTTTTATACATATTTATGAAAAGAAATATAAATATAGATGCATATTTATTACAGGTTGGGTGTGAAATTATCTGAGTGTGAATGACAGATTACTAACCATGTCTTTACACACCGTGATGTATGTGAATTTTTGCTTGATGATGTGTTATTTTTGGAAATAAAAAAATTCTATAAAACAACTAAAAAAAAGAAAAATGTGTACTTAAATATATGTTTCTTTAAATATTTACATAATACAATAAAATTACTGTTGCCTATCATTTATGTAAACGTAAAATGGTACTGTATTTAAATGTCTTTCCCAGTTTATTAAGTTTATCAGCTTCAAGGTTGTGTTGACATCTGGTATTTTGGATTTTCATTTGTAGGCATATAAAATGATTATTTATATGTTGTGTTTGTATATATATGTAACTGCTTTCAATATTCTCTGACAGTAATTTTATACTACGCCTTTGTTTTCATTTTTTAAAAAAAATCTTAGTTGACTGGAATATAACTTTGTGGATGGAATGTTTTTCATGAAATTTTTGTGGATGATACATTTTCTGAGATCTGCATATCTAAAGAGTATCATTTGATTACCTTCACACGGGAAGAGCAAAGTGGTTTTGTTTTGAATTTTTATGCCATAAACCTTTGTCTCACAATAATGTAGCAATTTCTCTTTTGTCCTTTGACACGTTATGTGATAGAAGATAAACCCAAGACAGTTTTCTTTCTTTCCATATGAATTTATAGGCTTTCTTGGGAAATTTGAATTCTTGGCACATTTAAATGCATTCATTTTATCTAAATTAATTGAAGTGTTTTCTCTTGAAATTAATCTTGTTTGGTTTTAAATAAATGAATAATTTAGCAAATTATGTCTTTCTTAAACATAGAGAATTTATTTCCTATTTGTTAAATGTCTTCCTCATTAACCCCAAGCATTTCTACCATTTCCTTATTTTAGTTGTTTTCCTTTTAATGTCTACATTCTCTGTTAGATTATCTTCCTATTCAGGGTATTAAATTATGATGTTTTACTAATTTATAAAATCCATATTTTCTTTACTTTTAGACTTGCAGAATTATTTTAGTATTTTCTTCTCCCATATTAAAAAATTTTCAAAATTTTTCTGTTAAAAAATAATGCAACCCCTCCCCCCATAAAAAGTTATATGCTACTTTCTGGAGATTGTAGAAAATTTCCTTATGTGAAGTTTTTGGTCTCTTTCGTCTTCTATTCTTAGAGCCTTCTTCCTTGTGCCCCTTTTAAGCCTTATCTCTCTTCTTTCATTTTTTTTCTTCCTCTGTTTTTCACCTACACAGTTCCTTCCCATGCAAGTTTCCTTAAAATGGGAATAAAATGGCAGGAGAAAGGGGCTATTGATAGTGAATTGTTGTTGTTTCCTGGTAAAAACAAAAAAACTGTCAAAGTAGGGAAGAATACTTGAAAAGAAATGATCTAACATCAAATGATTTAACAGGAGCCATCAACATTGTTTTTACACTAATTGTACATGTCTGTGTTTGTGTGTTGCTGATAATCCTGTAAAATTTAAATGTATGTTGGTTGATAACAAATGAAAAGTAGAATTACCAGACACTAGTAACTATTTTCGAAATTGGAGCATTAGAATATGACTTTGAAAATAATGTGTGCATGACTGCAATTCTTCCTATTATCTCCTGATTCACATCAGCATCATCTAAAATCAAACTGCTATTGTCACAAACCTTCTACTGATACACCTAAATGTATACATATATATTCCTAACTATGCCTACTACTGACCTCTACAAAATTGCTATAGGAGCTTAATCTTAATATCATTTAGGGTGATAAATGTTCTCAGTATCCTTTAGTAACTTAGTATCATTTAGGATGATAAATGTATTCCCTTCTAAGTGTAATGGAAATAAGAAGTTTGTTATCTGGAACACTGGCAATTATGTGTGACTCCTGCAACGCGGCTTTGAAAGAAATGCTTGTGGAGAAGATCATGGGAAGCTCTTCCCTCTACGGAGAACTACCTAGGTGGATCTGCAAGTAAGCATTTAGTGTGAGACCCGGGGCTGTGGTGCTCCAGCAGCACCATAAATAGGAACATAAGCTGAATTTATAGTGAAGGGAACTGACCAGATACTTTTTATGTCACACGTTTAGAAAAGTTTATAAATATTTAATATACAATTTAGAAATGTATTGGCCTTTCTTTCTGTTGCAGTGGAAAAACCGACACACATAATACACGTATTAGGCATGTCACAAAGTAAATTTTTATAAATCCTCTCAGTTCTCTTGAAACCTCCATTAGGAAGGCTATTTAAGCCACAGCTTGACTCTATTACCGCCACATTGTGCAAGGAAATCATTTTACTATTAAAACTCTGACAGTAGTTAATATACAAATAACCAGATGATTCCATCTGGTTAGCTTTCTTATAAGTGACATAGACACCCTGGAATAGAAATAAAATTGCTAATCAAAGAAGCTTCATGAAATACAACATGATTTCTTATTAGTAAAACATCGGGAACCAAATACTAATAATAAATGCCTTAGAAATGTTCTTATGAATGAAAAATAACATAAAGAAAAATGCATGTGTTTCACTTATTTTTTACATCAGCAAATATAATTGAAAGACTGGTTGTATGATATGATCTATAAGCAGGGGATGGGAGCTCTGCCAAATGTTGTGAAGCCAATGTTTCACAGGAGCCTGCTGCAAAGATCTGTGTTGTAGGAGTGTTGATTTCTATGGCCTTGTATAAGCAACAAAGTAATGAATATATCCCTTGGGAATTCATGTCTGGCAAAAGGACTCTGCTTCCTTTCCTCTTTCCTCTCCAAAACAAACTATTTTCCATCATTTGATGATACATTACAGATTCAATGAGTCTAAATAGTTTATTTAATTTAAGGTTTCTGACTTGTTGAAAGATACTTCCATCTCGACTTTCTTCTAAATTTTAAGCCTTGATCAGATTATTCAGTTATTTGTACATGTATAAATAAATTTCAAAATCCACTCCAAGAGTCTGTTTTTAAAGAAGCAAGAAGTAAAACAAGGGTGAAACTGAGTGAGTAGCTATGAAATATGTGTACCTTTATCTTGCATCAATCATTGATAAAAGTCATATGCTGGTAAATGATAGTAATTATTTTTCTATTTAAAATAATAAAGTTTATTATTTTTTGTCTTTTGAGATAATTTATACTAAGCCTTATAATAACAAGAATGTATCCTTTGACTCAGAAAGTTTGCTTCCAGAAATTTATCTTATAAATATACTAAGATATGTGGGAAATGACTATTTATGTGGCTATTTACTGTACCATTATTTGTAATGGAAGCAAATATGTCTTCCAAATAATTGGAAGCATACTAAATGTCATTTTTAGGGATCTGGTGAAACAGATTTGATACATTCTCACATAGATAAAGTGTGTTTATGAAAAAGAATGAGGAAGTCCTTTGGGTATTGATATGGAATGATTTCCTATGAATATTAAGTTAAAAACCAAGGTGCAGAACAGTGTGAACAATACTGTTTTCTTAAAAGAGGAGAAAAATATGTACGCTTGTTTCCTTGCTGCATAAAATATCTCTGAAAGTTTACTTTTTTAAAAAAAAAGGATAATTTGAATTCACCAGGAAGGAAGGAAACCAGGTGGTTTGGAAGCAGATATGAACAGGAAAATATTAACTGTCTACTCTTTTTAGAGTTGACTTTGAAACAGATGAAGCTATTACCTGTGCAAATTGTAGAAACGTCTGAACAAACAAAAATTGTACCCTATATGGGATTAATCCTAAATGATTAGATTTTAGTTTCTCTTGCCACAAAAACAAACAAAAAGTGTTCCTATGTGAAATGATGAATATGTTAATTTGCTTCACTATGGTCACCTTTTTACTCTTTATGTGTATCCCACAGCTTCATGTATACCTTAAATGTACACAACAAAATTTATTTTAGAAAAAACTAATGAAAAACAAGAAAATAATTACCTAAAATTTTAATCTTCGTTTTCTTTTTTAAGCATAGGTTATTTTTCAATGGGGAAGTCCTTAAAGCAGGGCCTATGGCCATATTCATAGTAAAATTTGTATGTAAGTTGCAAAAGAATGCAATACAGTATAGTGTAAACAGTGAAAGAGACACACATGCGGGGATAGACCAAAAAAGTTGTGTAGGTCATCTGAGCTGAGAAATCGACTAATTTTAGGCTAAGGCATAAAATATTTATTAAGAATATTTTTAAATAAAAGAAGATTTTTAGATCTATGTTTTTCTATACCTTTCAAAATACAATTATTGGGCCTTAAATTCTATTTTTCTGTGTCTTCAAATTTTCAGTCATAGAACATTTAGGTGATTATCAAATATACGTCAATTATATGATTATTCTGAAAAAATAGATATCTGTCAGACACCAATTTTGAAAATTTAACTTTGTATAACTACTTAAATATAAAATAAAATCTACTTAAATATATAATATAAAAGTTTTTATCTTTATTTAATTTTGTTTTAAATACAAGGTGCTTGATTTATCAAAAT
Source organism: Homo sapiens (assembly GCF_000001405.40). Lineage (NCBI taxonomy): Eukaryota > Metazoa > Chordata > Mammalia > Primates > Hominidae > Homo > Homo sapiens. Next base: position 20,526,042 of record NC_000021.9, on the reverse strand, counting down.
AGTTGTCTTCCTATATTTCAATAGCTTATTCCTATTGCTTAGAAGATTAGGGTTAAGACATTCTTTTTTAAGTAGCAAAAGAAAAAAAGGACAAAATAAATATTCTGAAACATTTTTCAAATACAAGAAAAATATTTTTCTCCCCTTTTTGTAAATTTCTTCTAGTATTTATATCAAGTATGTTAAATAAGCATAATTTTACCCTGAATATATCTATATTTTCTGGTTGTAAACATAATATAAATTTAAAAATCAGACAATAAAATAGAAAAAAAGAAAGTGAATATTGTTAACATTTTGGCACATACACTTTCAGACTTACATTCTTCATTAATAAATAAAAATACACATTTATGTTTTAAAGAACTGTAGTGTCTTATCATATATGCAGTTTGTACTGTTTAACAATACACTGTAATTAGAATTTATATATCTGAAATGATATGCATAGATGTATGTACATGTATATATTTGCAATCGCTTCTTTATATGTATTTACTCTATTAACTAACTCCCTTTAATAATTATAATTTATTTTCAAATTTTTCACTTTTGTATGTTATTGCTGTGATTAACTTTGGAGTAAATGTATCTTCATAATATTATTTGATTTATATCTCAGGGGACCAAATAATCAGTGGAAATATGATTTGTACCTTATTTAACTTCATTAGATAGTGCCAAGTGGCTTTCCAGGAAGTTTCCAGAACTTCCCCAATAATGAGTTTTTATCAGTTGTTAATTGTTTGTGCATAATTCACTGAAAGCTATCTTAAATTAATTACCACTGTTTCGATATACTTTCATAATTATTGTTCATTTTTAAATTTTATCATTGTATTTTCTCTATAGCTATATCCCCCACAATTTCAACTGGGGCACTCTTTATCATTCTCCTACTTAATTAAAAGGGCTTCTTACATATCCAGTAAGGCAGAGGCTATGACTTGTCTACCCGATTGTCATTCTTCTCTTAATAACAGAACCAACAATTTTGTTGTTATTGTTGTTCTTAGACAAATACCCTGATGTGGTTTGGCTCTGTGACCCACCTAAATCTCATATCGAGTTGTAATTCCCAGTGTTGGTGGGGGGGGTCTGATGAGAGGTGATTGAATTATAGGATCAGATTTCACCCTTGCTCTTCTCGTGATAGTGTGTGCGTTGTCACTAGATCTGGTTGTTACTCATGCTCTGATATAGCTAATCATATCTTTCATGATATGTTTATTTGCTTTATTTCATAACAATTGAACCAAGGTGTCCATGCTTAAATATAAAAAAGTGTATTTGCACTTTGGGAGGCCGAGGCGGGCAGATCTCGAGGTCAGGAGATCGAGACCATCCTGGCTAACAGGGTGAAACCCCGTCTTTACTAAACAAAATACAAAAAATTAGCCGGGCGTGGTGGAGGGCACCTGTAGTCCCAGGTACTCGGGAGGCTGAGGCAGGAGAATGGCGTGAACCCAGGAGGCGGAGATCAGTGAGCTGAGATCGCGCCACTGCACTCCAGCCTGGGCGACAGAGCAAGACTCTGTCTCAAAAAAAAAAAAAAAAAAAAAGTATATTTGAGGTTAAAAATGTTCACATTTTAGCCTTCCTAATGATTTTTATCACTCTGTCCTTCACTTGCCCAGAGGTGAATAGTTAAGTATGTAAGCTTCCCCAATCCCACTCCAAGAAGACTTCTTAAAGCTTTTTTTATTTGGAAGCATAGTTCTTTTAATTGACTGTCACTATGTTTTCCCTGTCATATATTTCATCTTTTCAATTAAAAAAACTTACTTAGCAGATAAGGTACATGATTCATCAGCCTATTCATCTCAATTTGAATATAACTACAAATATGTAGTACTATCCACTTGTTTTACAGTGTTCAGTATTTTAGTTAAGAACTTCAAGTTCAGTCTACTTCTTTTTCCTCCACAAATGTTGTGTTTTTTTCTTCCGAAAGTTTGTAAAATTTGAATTAGAGGATTTACCAAAATATGCCAAGAGGTGTATATCTTCATCAATTCTGCCTTTCAGTCCATGCGAACTTTTACTCGGGAGATGCAGATCTGATATCACTCCTGACACATACATTTTTTGTTTTTCATTTCTTATTTTTTGTTTTTCATTCTCTTGTTTATTTTCTAGTATCTGCAAAAATTCACATATATAAAGTCTTCTCAAGAAGTCTTCCAAGTCATTTATATTTCCTCTTCTTTCTGATTTCTCACTCTTCATACCTTGGCTCTGTTTTGGATATATTTCTTCCACCTGAACTTCCGAGTATCTATGGTGTTTTTTTTCAATTCCTCTTTTGGACTTTTAAATTATGATCATATCTTTTATTGCTGTAGTACTAGAAAATGATGTCTAAGAAACTGTAATGGACTCTCCTTCAGTGCTGCTGTTATGTAGTGATGGTTGTTAACATTTCCATCTGTCTCCTTCAGTAATTGCTCTTAAGTTTAGGTTACCTATTTTAGGTATTGTTCTCCAAATCTCTGGTTTCTTTTCAGACAGAGCTTTTGTATGACAGTATATAAAGCAGCATCAACTTTGTAAGTATATACTTCTGTGGCAAGTGATGAGCCAGGGAGCCAGTGTGTTCTCTAGTCTGCTCTGGTGCAATAGCTAGTGCCCCCAGGCTTACTAGAGAGAAGCCACACTACCTGTTGAGTTCTCTTGCAGATCTGTGTACAGTAAACATTCCAGCACCAGCCATCCAGGCATTGCTACTCTCTTCTTTGGTGCTCCATGCATCTTCTTCTGCCAAGCTCTCTTCTATTATTGTAGAGTTTGTCAGATTTGTAGCCTTCCTCACAATCTTCCTGCTTTTGCCTCTAGCAACCCTTTGCTGTTGATTTAAAGCTGGTCGTGATGTATTTGGGAGAGGTTTGTATGATTCAGGATTCTGTCTTTTTGAAATCCCCATGTAGGTTCTAACAAGTATGTGTGACTAATCTGCACATAAAATTACATTTACTTATTTTTCAGAAAATAAGTGAATTGTTTTATTTTTTGAAGAACAGGCTGTGCAAAAATGTATACAGATGTCAAGTAAGCATATGAAAAGATGTTAAACATTATATGACATTTTTAAAATGGAAAATTAAAACAAGATACCATGGCACACCTATTAGAATGGCTAAAATCCAAAACATTGATAATAACAAATGCTGGCAGCAGGAACTCTCACTAATTGCTGATGGGAATGCAAAATGCTACAGCCACATTGTAAGGCAGCTTGGCAGTTCTTTACAAAGCTAAAAATAGTCCTACCATATGATCCAGCAATTGTGCTCCTTGGTATTTACCCAAATGAGTTGAAAACTTATGTCCATACAAAAGCCCATCTATGAATATTTATAGCAGCTTTGTTCATAATTGCCAAAACTTGGAAGCAATCGAGATGTCTTTTAATAGGTGAATAGATAAACTGGGGTGCATACATTTCATGGAATATTATTCAACCATAAAAAGAAATAAACAATTCAGCCACAAAGAATACATAGAGGAATCTTAAATGCCAAGTGAAAGAAACAGGTTCGAAAACACTACATACTGTTTGTTTCTAACTATATGAGATTCTGGGAAAAGCACAATTACAGTGACAATAAAAAGGTCAGCAGTTGCTAGAAATTGAGGAGAAGAAAGAAGGGATGACTAGCTAGAGCAGAGGGGAAATATTAGGGAATTGAAACTATTCTGTATTATAATTGCAATGTGTCTACCTGACATTATATAGTTGTCAAAACTCATAGAACTGAAGACTACAAAGAGTGTACTCTAAGTTAAACTATGGGTTTCAGTTAATAATAATATATCAATATTTGTTCATCAATGCTAACAAATGTACCATACTAACGCAAAATATTAGTAACAGGAAAAACTGGGGAGGAGGAAGGTAGATTGGAGAAGGATGTATGGGAACTCTGGACTTTCTCCTCAATTTTTCATAAATACAAAACTACTCTGAAAAATAAAGTCTGTTTACTTATTAATAAACAAATAAGAAGCAGCAGCTCTGGTAGGCCAAATAATGAACTCATCAACCTTAGGATGTCAATTCCTTAATCCCTGACACCTGTGAATGTGTTATATGGCAAAAGGAACTCTGCAGATGTGATTAGGGATCTTGAAACGAAGTGATTATCCCTGGTTACACAGTGGATTCCAATGTAATCACAAAAACTCTTAAAAACCAAAGAACATTCCAGAGCTTGAGTCAGAGAGATGCCCAGAAAAGAGGCAAGAGAGATTCTAAGCATGAGAGAAACTCAGCCTACCTTTGCTGGCTTCGGAGAAAAAGGAGCCATAAGCCAAGGGATGTGGGCAGTTTCTGGACTCTGTGAAAAACCAGCAGTTTATAACCTCAAGGAACTGAACTCTGCTAACTACCTGAAAGAGCCAGCAACACATTCTCTAGAGTCCTCAGAAAGGAACACAGCACTATTGACACCTTGATTTTAGCACACTGAGACCAGTGTCAGAATTCTGACCTACAGAACCAGAATGGAATAAATATGCATTGTTTTAAGCAACTGAGTACATGATAATTTGTGATGCCAGCAATAGGAAACTAATACAGAGGCTAACTGGGTGTGTTCTGTTATTCTGAGAAACACCAAAAGACTGAAACTTGTCAATAGATGTGGATGTGCATCCGGTTTCAGTGCTTCAGACTGACGCACGGTGTTTTGTCTTTTGCCCATGACACGTTTTTCTTATATTTTAGGTATTTCTTAGTGACAATATACCTAGAATAAAATAAGCCCCTCTAAGCCTAATACTGAAGAACAAAATCCTCTTTATTTAATTATTAATTATAACTACAAGAATATATTTTAATAAAAACAATATCTATTTCAAGGATACATATATGTATATATGTATATGTATGTATATATATGCGTATATATATGTATGTGTGTGTATATATATATATGTAGCAAATGGCTTGGAAGAAAGAAAACGTCAGTGCATTTGGGACATATCTCAGAAAAGAAAGATGAAATCAGGAATAGAGGATAAACAAAAACCAACAATGCCAAAGAAACACAAAACCTAGTCATATAAAACTCAACCCTAGTGTGGGTTGATTCTCGATTTTGTGCTATGCAACTAAAGATCTCAGAAATTAAAAAAAAAGAATAAAATTACATTAAAATTGATTTTCTCCCTTAGATATAGTATTGCCTTGAATGCTGGAGTTGCAAAATCACAAAGTTTACTACCAAGTTAAATTATAAATCTTCATTTAGGGAGATTTTAAGGCACTGAACAAGAAAAGATTTGTGTAACTTATATTTATCTTCCCGTAAGAAAATCAAACTATTAATATATGAATTCGATCTTTAATGATTTCTTTTAGATGCCTTATCCTGAAATTAAATATATTATCATACTAGAATACTGCTATAGATTCAATATTTGTGTCCCTCCAAAATTCATACGTTAAAACCTAACCACCAAGATGATGGTATTAGGAAGTGTGGCCTTTGGGAGGTGATTAGGTAATGAGGACAAAGCGCTGATAAGTAAGATTAGTGCCCTTATAAATGAGACCCCAAGGAGCTAGCTCATCCCTTCTACCATGTGAGGACACAGTTGGAAGATGCAGCCTATGAAAAGAAACAGTGCCCTCACCAGACATCAGATCTGCCCTACCAGTACCCTGGTCTTGGACTTCCTAGCCTCTAGAACTGTGAGAAATAAGTTTTTCTTGTGCATAAGCCACTCGGTATATGGTATTTTGTTCTAACAGTTTGAACAGACTAAGAAAAATATCATGCATGCAGTTAAAACTCTCATAGTAGATACTCAGATCTGCCACTGAATGAAGTGTAAGCTTAGTCAAATCCTTAAAGGTTTATTAGCCTTAGGTTAAGTGTTGTCTATTCCTAATGTTACTATATCTGAAAGTGCATTATAGACTATAATGTAAAATTATCTCATTAATTTATTTACAAATTTTGCTTACCAATTTGACTGCTGCTCCATAAATATATAAGCCCCATAAGGACAGAGATATTTTTCATTTCCACAGAATGCAAATCACATATTAGACAAATAATATATGTAGAATTAACAAATTACTCATAATGTTGCAGAGGCCAAAAATATAATTAGAGTATCTATTTGCCAGAGCTTGTTAGAAAATCTGGGATCTAGGCCTAATTCTGACTTTAAGTAGAATGCTTAGCTAAAGCCAGTTTACATTAGTTCATCCTCAGTATTGACGTTACCATTGAAGCCAGTATTGAATCAGAGCCATGGATGCCGTTTCCATCCTTCAAATACAGCATTTTTGATAGAAGTCACATTTGCTTACAGTTTTGAGTTTTCCACACATACAATACTATGGAAATAAATATCACATTTTCTGTCACATGGTAATGGAGCTTTAGGTCTAGAATAAGTTTCTTTTAACTCTCTTTTCATCTAGTTAATTGAATATCAAGAATTGTATTTTAGTCACTTTCAGTAAATAGTGTTAAAAAGAATTCTCATTTTTTAACACACAGTATAACATAGTTATATTGTACCAGCTACATTTTACATGCACTATTTTACTTGATTTTATTTAATTATCAAAACCATTCTACACTGTAATTTCATATTCCTACCTGTCTATCTCTATTCATCATCTGTCTACCTGTCTATACCACCTTTAAAGGTGGTAGAATCTAAATTACTTGAACTGTTTTTCTAATGTGTCCTGTATTTACTTCACTGTTTTATTTCTTGCACTTTTCTTGAGAAAAGAACTCTGAAAAAAGTGATGATTTGGCAATAACATTTTGACTATGAACGATGTGATACTTTTCCCCCATTAAACGTTGTTTTGTGTTCTAATAAAATGCTATCTGCAATTATGTAAAATATTCTGTAATTCCTTGTCCAATGCAGTACGTACTGGCCACATATGGCAATTGAGAACTTAAAATATGGCTAGGGAACTTGAGAAAGGAAGTTTTCATTTAATTTAACTTTAATTACTGTAAATGTAAATTTAAAAAACTAAACCTGACTAGGGGCTAACATAATGGTAGTGAGTTTCTAAGGAATACTTGCTATCTTTTTCTTCTACTAAGTCTTTATCTTGTATTCAATTTACTAATGTTTCCTTTTTTACAAAGATGGACTACTCATTGCTTTCTTTCTTTTTCAGGCCCTAGAGTTCCTAAATATGTCTAATTAAATGTCTGAATGTATTTGAAAATTTAAAACTGAGAATAATTTTTAAAGCAATTGCTTTAAAAAGTCTTAAGAATGTTTCACATTTTTATAAATTAATGCAAAATAACTCACTAATTGTTTGTTAACATTAAGTAGGAGATATTACCAGCATATGATGGACCTTTTAAAATCTGTTGTAAATCTCCTTTTGAAACTCTCTTTAGTTTTGTTGAAATTATGTGCATTTAAAAATGAAGTCCTAAATATTGCAAGGAAAAACATCAATGTAGATGCAAAAAATAAAACTGACAGCCGGGCACGGTGTCTCATGCCTGTAATCACAGCACTTTGGGAGGCCAGCCTGGCCAACATGGTGAAAGCCCATCTCTTCTAAAAACACAAAAATTAGCTGAGCGTGGTGGCCGGTGTCTGTAATCTCAGGTACTTGGGAGGCTGAGGCAGGAGAATTGCTTGAACCGAGGAGGCAGAGGCTGCAGTGAGCTGAGATCACACCATTGCACTCCAGCCTGGGTGACAGAGCAAGACTCAGTCTCAAAAAAAAAAAAAAAAAAAAAAAAAAGAACTGGCTTCTGAAGCATGGAGACCTTGGTTTGGATCTAACTCATGTTTGCTAATAATATAACTCTGAATGATATGTTTTAGGTATGTAAACTAGTCTTTACCTACTTCATTGAAAAGTAAATCATAGAAGAAATACCTAATGTAAATGACGAGTTGATGGGAGCAGCAAACCAACATGGCACATGTATACCTATGTAACAAACCTGCACGTTGTGCACATGTACCCTAGAACTTAAAGTATAATGAAAAAGAAAAGTAAATAATATATATTATGATATTATAAAAGTTTTCATTTTACGTACTCTGTAAGATATTTTGCATTTTCTAAAAGCACAAAAAAGAGACAAAATAAGTAGTCTGCAATTGAAATAGTACTGCTAGTAAGCAGTAATGCTACACTTAAATCTGGGCAGATTGTCTCCAGAACTCACCCTAGGTCACGGGGCCTTGATCACTCTGCCATAGCACTCATGCAAAATGAATGATTGGACACCACGGACTTTAATGGACACATCCCTGTGCTGAAATAACATTGGGACTGCTATTTACAAATTAGTTTTCTGTATTCTAAAACCTCATTAAGTGAATACCTCTCTGTTAATGGAATGCTAATACCACTATGTGGTGAGGAGAAGTTGGTTTCCTCATATGCTGTTGGTAGAAGTATGAATCGTTGTAATATTTCTAAGTGCAATGTGATAACAGGCATTAGAGTCTTCGAAATATGGGTACTTTCATCGGGCTAAATTTCATCAAGAATTTGTCTCCAGGTAATAACTAAGCACAGCTGGGAAATTTCTGCATTAGTGATGTCAGGAAGCAATGTTCCTAATAGCAAAAACGTCCATGGAATCTGAATGCTCATAATGGAAGATCCGTTGTAGTCCATAGTAGTAATTCTTTTTAATATCCATGAAATAGAATATTATATAGCCATTAAAATGATAATGCAGTCATGTATTATTTTGGCATCGAATGGGTTTATATTTTCATTGTAAACGTATGTTGTAAATTAGTCACTAGACTATAATCACTTTAAAAATAAATAAATATTCATTTATACATACATATATATGTAATGTTACCAGCATATTGCTGACTGTTAAAAGTCTGTTTTAAATATTTTTTAACCTATGTGAGTGATCTGGAATATATTACATCAAAATGTTCTTTGTGAATGAAACATGTACTTTTAAATTTTAAACGTGTTACATTTTATTTTTATTAATGAACGGTTTGTATAAGAATAATTGTATAAAAATTAAAGAAAAAATATAGTGAATTATGATCTTATTGAATGAAAGTTTCATCTAATTTTTCAGGAAGCTTGACCAGAATACCTCTGATTGTTTGAACTGAAGGATACTTACCTTAGACTGTGTAAAAGCAAAAGCAAAAAAAAGTAACAATGATAATAAACAAAATCTGTTTGGGCAGGATTCCCAAACTCAAGTCTCTACTGGGACCTTGTTGTTTGTTTAAATAGGAAAAAGAAAAAAAAAAACTCAAAAGGCTGAGTTGAAGTTTGTAAGCATTCACTATGTCACCAGAGAATATGGTGGGCACTGCCAACTGAAGTAAACATTGCCATTCAACTGCAGCCAAGTGTTGCCAGGTTAAAATTAGGGTCTATTACAACCAGCATTTCCCATTTTTTTTCAAGAGAAGCCTTATTTTAACATGTTTATGTGAAATCTTCCAACTTTTGAATGTTAGTGGCGCTATTTTTAACACTGTAAAATCAAACTAAACATGTCTGTAGAAAAGATATGTTTCTTGGACTGACAGTTACATCCATTTTATTAAGAATCTAACCCAAAAACGTATGCCATAAAGTGTCAATAAACAAGAAAATGCCTCTTACAGCCACCGGAGAAGAATCTATTAACTAGTACTGAAGTACTGCTTTATTTCATAGCATTTGTGTTTTTATAACTGGAAAAAATTTGCTTCAAAGAAAATTATAGATTAGTATTTATTTATAAATATTCAAAATATAAAATGCAATTCATATATAATTTACATGTAGAAGAACTAAGTATGTGAAATTATAGAAATAAATCATAGTACAATTAGAGCAAAGTAATATAGGAAAATATATATATATAATGACCATATTGTCCAATGGAATCATACTCTGAGATAGGCTTCTATTTCACTCCAATGAAACTTAATTTGTAGTACAATGTTTCATTATAAATATTTCATTATCTCTTTTGTATATTTTTGTAGATATTAGAAGAATAGCAAGCAGAGTGTGTTCCAAGAATATCACTTCTATAAAGGATGAAAAAGGCATAGCTTCTCAATATGACCTCTGAAAGAAAAAAATTATCAGAGAACTATATAAGATGACTAAAATGTTTCTCAGTATAATGAAGGAAAAACCAAATGTTAGATAATGCCAAACTGCATGAATAAAAAAAAAACACAAAAAAATGTTTGGGCACAGAATGGGCTTATTCTTCTAAATTAGATTTCTCACTTTGCTGTTTGTGATTCTTCAATAAACGGGTTTTTGATCTATTTACACTTTGTATAAATGGAGAAAAACAAAATTACCATGGGGAGGGAGAAAAGGAAATCCTGAGCAGATTTGTGCTAGCAAATGTTTTAGTACTCTACAACTAGAATTCTCCTCTCCCATCTCACAGCGCCAGATGCTGCCTTGTCTGTGATGCCACAGGCTGCAGTGGATCCCCACGGCACTATAAACAAAATCAAAAGCTGGCAGTGTTATAACAGTTATAGAAACACCTATGCTAAATAGCTGCATGTTGTGAAACTGGGAAAACTCTATATGCAGAACCTTCACTATGTTCTTTTATCTTAAAAACCTCTGATTAAATCACCCATTCAAGAATGAGCAGTAATAACATGATAAGAGGAACCAGCCTCAAAGCAATAGAGTATTACCATGAACACATTCCACACATAGTCTATTTATTCCATTCTCTTGACAGAAGGGACATGATTAAATCAGCTTTTAAAACTTTATGTATACATATGGCCAGGCGCGGTGGGTCACACCTGTAATCCCAGCACTTTGGGAGGCTAAGGTGGGCGGATCACTTGGGGTCAGGAGTTTGAGACCAGCCTGGCCAACATGGTGAAACCCCGTCTTTACTAAAAATACAAAAATTAACCAGGCAAGGTGGCCTGCGCCTGTAATCCCAGCTACTCGGGAGGCTGAGGCAGGAGAATTGCTTGAACCCGGAAGGTGGAGCTTGCCATGAGCCGAGATTGCACCACTTCACTCCAGCCTGGGCGACAGAGCGAGACTCCATCTCAAAACCAAAACAAAACAAACAAACAAGCAAAAACCATATGTATGCCTATATATATGTATTTATACATGCATGTGTTGTGTTTATAAATTTAAGTGAAATATGAACTTTATTGTTGATTCGTGCTTAAAATAGTCTATACTTTCCCCAGAAGAACTTATACTTAAACAGCAAAAAATTATTATTCTATTGTTAGTTACTTTTCATAATGTATTGTCTATAAATATTTTGCCTAAATTGAGCATTTACATATATTATCTGCATTGAATATTGATGTATATTTTTCATTATATTAAGATGAATATATACTTTCTTTTCTGAGTTGTTAGTAAAGGTTTGAATACATGCAGTTATTACATAATCAGTTTCTTTGGAAGACAATTGACATATATGTAAGGCATATAGATTATTGTGTAAGATTAAGGAAGAATATTTAATAAAATGCTGTCATGACTTTATCTCCAACTTAAGGGGCAGGTAATACCAGAGTGTATTTCAAATTTAACTCGATTTGCATTCCTCTTTCTTTTTTTTTCTCTGCAGTCCATTGGCATTGCCTTTTGCCTTGCAAGGTATTTACTATCTTCTTCGGTGATTAAGGTAGAGTTAGATAGCTAAGGCTGGCCCTGTTCATTTTTCCCCTAGTTCTATGGAGAAATTACAGCATGATTTCTTTGTTTGACATTTACATGATATTATATGATGCAGGATGAAGGGAAAGTCATGAATGAATGTAAAAAAAACATCATTTGAAACAAGATTCTGGGAATGCTTGGTTCAATCCATCTGGGGGTTTTTGTAGTGGCAAATTATTGCTTCTATAAGTTCAAAGATGCAACTGCTCACTAGAGTATTTACGATCTTTAAGGAAAATAACTCTGAAGACTTTCTCAACTTAATTTACTGCTCACTGCTTCTGTTCTTCCTTGTAACCAATATTGATGATGTTCCACCCAGATTTTTTTTTTAACCAGGCTACTACTCTCACCATTAGCTGCTGCAGGTGTTAGAAACCAGCAACTCATACTTGCATTCTTCATCAAAAATTGCCCATAGCCAATAGGAAACTTCTTGGCTAATGCCTGGGATGCTATACCGTCCTCCAGTTCTTAGGGCAGCTTCTAGACAATTCCTGAGCTCAGTTCCCTAATATTTGGGAAAAATCTGGTATTGGAGTTTATGCTCCAGAGCTACTCACGTGCTCATATGAGACTACCCTTCACCTGAGCCTTAGCGTAGCCTCTTTCCCTTCCCTGTTTATGTATCTCTCACTGCCCTGTAGGTTTCTTCTGCCAGTACCCCCTGAAGATCACTTATGTAAGTATCTCTCCCACAGAGTCTGCTTCTGAGGAAACTGCCTTTTAGACATACCTGTTTGTATGGCAGCTGAAGGGTGAAAGTTGTTAAAGTAATTTCATGAGACTAAATCAGGAAATGGTTATAAGCACAAACAATCACAAACCTCCTTAAACAATATAATTATTGCTAAGCAAATGTCTTCGATATTTACTTCAAGTGGAACATGTAAGTGAAAGACTTTTCTTAAAGTTCTGAAACCCAACTAGCCAATTTTGATTTTCCTGGCACCCAGGAAAGTAACAATCACTTGAATTTATAAAAAAGCACAACTTACCTGTTATTTTAAAATAATTTTTAAGGCCAGGCGCAGTGGCTCACACCTGTAATCCCAGAACTTTGGGAGGCCGAGGTGGGCGGATCACATGAAGTCAGGAGGTCGAGACCAGCCTGCCCAACATGGTGAAACCCCGTCTCTCTACTAAAATACAAAAAAGTTAGCCAGGCATGGTGGTGGGCGCCTGTAATCCCAGCTATTCAGGAGGCTGAGGCAGGAGAATTGCTTGAACCCAGGAGGCAGAGGTTGCAGTGAGCTGAGGTCGCGCCACTGCACTCCAGCCTCGGCAACAAGAGTGAAGCTCCATCTCAAAAAAAAAAAGCCATAAATAAAATAATTTTTAAAGGCATTAAGAAAGGGATGGGATGGGATACCTATGCTAAATATCAGTTACATCAACTTATTGTACAGAGTTTCTAAAAAGATTGAAGTTTAGCATTCATATCGTTTGAACTTTGCTGATAGTCAATACCATTCTCAAGTCTAGATCAAGCTTGTCCAACCCCATTGCCCATGGACCACATGTGGCCCAGGGTGGCTTTGAATGTGGCCCAACACAAATTCATAAACTTTCTTAAAACTTTATGCGGTTTTTTTGGTCATTTTTTTTAGGTCATTAGCGGTCGTTAGTGTTAGTGTATTTAATGTGTGGCCCAACACAGTTCTTCTTCCAATGTGGCCCAGGGAAGCCAAAAGATTGGACACCTATGCTAGCATCTAGAGCCTATGTAAGAAATGGGATTTAGGCAAAACTGAGAGATTTGGAAACATTAAGGTTTTAATCATCTTTGCTTCATTCTCCTTAAGAATTCCATTTGGCAAAAAGTTAAATTTTAATTCCTACTTCATCTATTTTTCCTTCATTGCTTTTTTTTTTTTTGTCCTACCTTTTCTTGCTGCCGTCTAAATAGAATAGCAGCAGCTACCCTTATTTATAGATTGTAATTCAGCCTTCATCCAGTTACTTTTCCTTCCATTATGCTGTGTGATGATTCTGCAGTCCCTATAAGTTAACCTTCATGATATAAACATCCTCCATCAAACACAGAAAAGTCTGCTTTCAAAACCAGAAGCACAGTTGTTTCTGAAAGCAGTCATGACAGCCTGACAGAGTCTAGCCTGGAAGGAGAATATCTATTCGCTTTGGAAAATTGATGGTGGGATTTGCGACAATGAGAAGAGAAAGCTATGGCCTGGGAAGAGCTGCTGCTGCAAATCTAAGAATTCCAAAGATACATTCACAGAGAAGCATGATATAGTTTGGCTGTGTCCCCACCCAAAATCTCATTTTGAAATATAATCCCAATAATCCCCATGTATCAAGGGCAGGACCAGGTGGAGGTAATTAGAGCATGAGGGCAGTTTCTCCCATGCTGTTCTCTTGATAGTGAGTGAGTTTCACCAGATCTGACGGTTTTATAAGTGTCTGGCAGTTTCCTCTGCTTGCACTCACTCCATCCTGCCACCCTGTGAAGAAAGTGCCTGCTTCTCCTTTGCCTTTCACCATGATTGTAAGTTTCCTGAGGGCTCCCCAGCCATGCAAAGCAGTGAGTCAATTAAACACCTTTCCTTTATAAATTACCCAGTCTCGGACAGTTCTCTATAGCAGTGTGAGAATGGACTAATACAGTAAATTAGTAGTGAGGTAGTGGGGCTCTGCTGTAAAAATACCCAAAAAATGGGGAAGTTACTTTGGAACTAGGTAACAGACAGAAGTCGGAACAGCTTGGAGGGCTCAGAAGAAGATAGGAAGATGTGGAAAAGTTTGGAACTTCCTAGAGACTTGAAAGGTTTTGAGTAAAATGCTGATAGTGATATGGGCAATGAAGTCCGGGCTGAAGTGGTCTCAGATAGAAATAAGGAACTTGTTGGGAACTGGAGCAAAGATGATTCTTGCTATGCTTTAGCAAAGAGTCTGGCAGCATTTTGCCCCTGCCCTAGAGAGTTGTGGAACTTTGAACTTGACAGAGATGATTTATGGTATCTGGCAAAAGAAAATGTTAAGCAGCAAAGCGTTCAAGAGGAAACAGAGCATAAAAACTTAGAAAATTTGCAGCCTGATAATATGACAGAAAAGAAAACCCTATTTTCTGGGGGAGAAATTCAAGCCAGCCACAAAAATTTGCATGTGTAACAAGAAACCAAATGTTAATCACCAAGACAGTGGGAAAAATGTCTCCAATGCATGTCAAAGACCTTCATGGGAGCCCCTCCCACCACAAGCCCAGAGGCCTAGGAGATACAAATGGTTTCGTGGGCCTGGCTCAGGGCCCCCCTGCTGTATGCAGCCTCCAGACATGGTGCCCTGCATCCCAGCTGCTTCAGCTCCATCCGTGGCTAAAAGGGGACAACATACAGCTTGGGCTGTTGCTTCAGAGGTTGCAAGCCTCAAGCCTTGGCAGCTTCCACATGGTGTTGAGCCTGCAGGTGCAGAGGAGTCAAGAATTGAGGTTTGAGAACCTCTGCCTAGATTTAAGAGGACCTATGGAAATGCCTGGGTGTCCAGGTAGAAGTTTGCTGCAGGGGCAGAGGCCCCATGGAGAACCTCTGCCAGGGCAGTGTGGAAGAGAAATCTGGAGTCAGAGCCTCCACACAGAGTCCCCACTGCGGTCTAGGGGAGCTATGAGAAGAGGGCCACCATCCTCCAGACCCCAGAATGGTAGATCCACCAATGGCTTGCGCTGAGCACCTGGAAGAGCCACAGGCACTAAATGCCAGCCCATGAAAACAGCCGGGGGGGGACTGTACCCTGCTAAACCACAGGGCAGAGCTGCCCAAAGCTGCGGGAGCCCACCTCTTGCATCAGCATAACCTGGACGTGAGACATGTAGTCAAAAGATATTATTTTGGAACTTTAAGGTTTAATGACTGCCCTATTGGATTTTGGACGTGTATGGGGCCTGCAGCCCCTTTGTTTTGGCCAATTTCTTCTGTTTGGAATGGTTACATTTACACACCCAAGGTGTGTAACCACATCTTATCTAGAAAGTAACTAATTTGCTTTTGATTTTACAGGTTGACAGTCAAAAGGAATTGTCTTGTCTCAAAAAAGACATTGGACTCATACATTTGGGTTAATGTTGGAATGAGGTAAGACTTTGAGAAAGTGTTGGAAGGGCATGATTGTGTTTTGAAATGTGAGGACATGAGATTTGGAAGGGGCCAGGTACAGACTTACATGGTTTGGCTGTGTCCCCACCCAAAATCTCATCTTGAATTATGATCCCCATAATCCCTACATGTTAAGGGCAAGACCAGGTGGTGGAACTCAGATCATGGAAACAGTTTACCCCAAGCAGTTCTTGTGATAGTGAGGGAGTCTCACAAGATCTGATGGATTTACAAGCATCTGGCATTTCCCCTACTTGCACTCACTCCATCCTGCCACCTGTGAAGAAGGTACCTGCTTCTCTTTTGCCTTCCACTATGATTGTAAGTTTCCTGAGGCCTTCCCAGCAATGTGGAACTGTCAGTCAATTAATCCTCTTACCTTTGTAGATTACCCAGTCTTGGGCAGTTCTTTATAACAGCATGAGAATGGACTAATACAAAGTGTAGATTCCTTTCTGGATTTTTGATTAGTATATGACTATATAATTATAAAAATTTAAATAATAGTTTAAAAATCAGTTTGAATGTTGTAGTGTGATGAAAAGAACCAGAGTTCTTTAAGAAATATTCAATATAAGTAATTCAGACCAAATTTTCAATCTGTCAAATCTTTGCTCTACTGACCGTCAGGGAAGAGTGAAAGAGCCATACTTTTTAATTGGTCTTTCCTAATGGGGTGATACTTTAAGGCTGATAGTTTTTATATGGTACATGTGATTTTAACTACTGCTGCATTGTTTTATGTATTCAAATTGAACACTTTACATGTTTCACTTGGATCTTTAAACTGATCTAACCATGAAGGGCACAATGTTATAAATTGAAGATTGACTTAGAGGAGGGTATAACAATTTGAAAGAGAAGCAGAGAATATGTGTAGTCAGGAAGGTTAAAGCCCAGAATTAAAGAAAACTTCTGAGGAAAGTGAAGGACAAAGGAAAGCAGCTGGTTTGGCCTCATCGAAAGCCTGAAAAATGTACTGCTGTGGTGTCAGTTGTATTTTTAATAAAGGACAGATATAGAACATTATTTGACTATGTTTGATTTACAGCTTTTTAATTCAAAATATTATGTTAAAATTAAAAATGGTAAAATAAATACAGTTAACAGAAAAAATGAAATGTGATGAAGTTAAGGAGAGTAGTAAAACAGGATTATTGTCTCTAACTGAATTCAAATCTCTGAAATCAGGTAAATGCCATTTAAAATAATTACAGATGAAATCATACAACTACATCATAAATCTCTGGGACTTCATGGAGGGAAAGGGAGTGAAGGTAGCATAGAGATAAGTATATATTCTAGTGTTCAGAATTGGACAGTCCCTCCATTTGGTACCATCTAACTTGGAATGGGCAAATACTTTGCTGTGTCTAAAAATGTACCTCTAACATTACCAGTTAAAAGTCAGCAGACCGAGGCTTTTTTAAGTGAAACTTGAGGTTGAAAATAAAAAATTACAGAAACAACCAAAGTGCTAACAATATTAGTTTTCAACAATATTCTAGAAAGAGTAATAAAATAAAATGACATTACAAAAAATATTTAAAGGAACTATTACTTTCTAGGAGCTCCCTTGAAATCATACTGTAAGTAATATTCCTAATACTAAATATGACCAATGGATGGATAGTTCCCCTTTATTTTAGCAATAAATTTGAGACAATTCCTCATGATGGCTGAAAAACAAAACAAAACAAAACAAAAACAAACAAAAGCAGAGGTTCTGGTTCAAGATGGCTGACTAGAAGCAGCTAGTGCATCAGGCTCTCACAGAGAGGAAGCAAAGTGGTGAATAAATGCTAGCTTTTAAAGTGGATTTTCTAGGCGATCACGTTGGTATTCACCAAGAAAGTGACAGGAGTTACGGAGAATAGAGCACAATGAAGCCAGGCAGCCTCCCTCCTGGGACTGGTGTGGAGCCAGGGGAAGCTCTGTAACATGGGGAATGGGTGAGTCCGTGAAAGTCCTTGGGGCCCACAATTCTGCCACAAACGTTTGCTACACTGGGCTCAGGAGAACACCCCTGACACTCCCAGGCCTCCAGAGTGACACAAAGAACCACCTGGAGTCTGTGCAGAGTTACCGCTCAAGCCCACATGAAGCCCCACAGGCCCTGGATCCCTGAGCAGCCCAGTACTAGCTGCCGTATACCCACCAACAAGAGAGGACAAATTCTTTCACACACCTGTAGGTCAGAGGCTACAGCTGGGTGCTGAGGAGCAGACGGACCGCAGACAGTGTGACCCCTGACCTTGCTGCTCCTCACCAGGCAGGGCCCACTGGCTTGGACTCCCAGTGCACCCGCCCCACCCCTGCCTGAACACTTTGGGGCAGTGCAGCTGTGACTGTGGAAGGCCCCTGCCACCACTGCCCTCAGGCTAGGGAGGGAACAGAGAAGCTGAAGGCTTTCTCACACCTCCAACACCCTGCCCCAACCTGAGCATTTCAGCTGAAGTCAGCTAAGCCCTCCTGAAAACCCTACCCTATAGGTCTGTGACCTTCTTTTAGGCTCCTACCACATAAGCTTTCTGCCTGCCTGCCTGAGATTTCAGCTTGTGACTCAGGGACAAGCCTGCCCCTCCCCATCTCAGCCAGCACCCAAACCTGGTCCAGCCCCTTCAGGAATCATACACACTGTCCAGTGGGCAATCGAGGGGCCTGGAGACTGGAAAACCACCTACCCTATTCCAACTCTTCTGGCACCTGACCACTTCCAACAGAGCCTGAGGTCAGACTGACCCAACCAGCTGACACCACAACCGACACCTGCCTCCTTCCCTTTTACATGAAGCAGCAGCCTTCCACATCAGAGAACAAGAGAGCTATAAAGGTGCCTGCATTAGACTGACTGACAAGGTTCTGCCCTAAAACCTCTCCGATGGACAGTCACACAGCAGCGTTTTCTATGGCTCTCATCCATACTGGGGTCCAGAGGTAGACTACAATGTGCATCTGAATGAGGAGTCACATGGAACTGGGGTGTGACAGGAAAATAGATTATGCTACTTCCTATCTAAGATGGGGAGCCAGTGCAATGACTTCATGCTCTGGCAGAGACCTCAGTGCATTTCACCAGGAGCTCTTCCCAGCCACCCTTGTCAGGACTGGTGCCTGTGCTCTCCATTGGTATGTTCATGGGCAAGCCTGGGGCCCCAGCTCAGGCCAGAGGTGTTCCCCTATTGCCAAGGAACAGGAGCTCAGGGCACTGGCCACCCCACTGTCCAGCCCAACACCTGAGACAACGGAGAGAACCTCACAGTAAGCAAAGATCAGGTATGGATTCGTCTGCTTGTGCCGCAACTAGCTCTTGTGAGTAAGTGCCATCCACTAGCCTATAGGTGGAATCCCACAGCCCAGTATGAAACCTGTGGACAGAAGTGGACATGGCTGTAGCAGCAAAGCCAAAGAATCCTACGCAACATACTCCACAGTCACACCTCCTAGAGAGTGGTGGTAAAGGTAAAGAAAAAATACATACAGAGAAAGAAAAGGAAATCATATCTGCATGAAAATAATTATAAAAGTTAGAAGTGCCAGACTCTCCAGATGAGAGGAAACCAGCATAAGAATTCTGCCATCATGAAAAATCTGAATCTTATGACACCACCAAAAAAATCACACTAGTACTCTAGCAATGGAACCTAACCAAAATAGGAACTCAGAAATGACAGATAAAGAATTAAAAACATTAATTGCAAGGAAGCTGAATAAAATCCAAGATAGATTTAAAAATCAACACAAAGAAACTACTAAAGAAACCTAGGAAATCAAGGAGGAGATAAACAACTTTTTAAAAAATCAACAGAGCTTCTGAAATTGAAAAAGTCCCTTAAGAAATTTCAAAATACAAATGAAAGCTCTATCAATAGACAAAACCAAGAAGAAGAAAAGAATATCGGAGCTTGAAGATTTCTCTTTTGAACTAGCCTAGTCAGACAAAATTAAAGAGAAAAGAATTTTAAAAAATGAACAAAATCTTTGAGTAATATGGGATTATGTTAAACAACAAAACCTACAAATTATTGGCATTTCTGAAAGAGGAGAAAAAGTAATCCACCTAAAAAACATTTGAGAGAATAATGCAAGAAAATTTTCTTAATCTTGCTAGAGTTGGATATTCAGATACAAACAATCCAGAGAACATCTGTAAGATATTATAGAAGATGAACATCACCAAGGCACATAGTCACTAGACTGCCCAAGGTCAGTGCAAAGAAAAGATCTTAAAGGCAGCTATGGAAAAGGGTCAGATCACTTTCAAAAAGAAGTCCATCAGGCTAACAGCAGACTTCTCAGCAGAAACTTTAAAGGCTAGAAAAGAGTGCAGGTCTATTTTCAGCACTCTATATTTTATTTTACAGACAGGATCTTGCTCTGTCACCTAGGCTGGAGTGCAGTGGCACATCATGGCTCAATGCAGCCTTGACTTCTTAGTCTAAAGCAATCCTCCCACCTCAGCCTCCTGCTAGGGTCATAGATGAGTACCACCAGGCATGGCTAATTTTTAAAATTTTGTGGAGAGATAGGGTCTGACCATATTACCAAGGTTGGTCCTAAACTCCCGGCCTTGAGAGACCCTCTCACCTCAGCCTCCCAAAGTGTTAGGATTACAGATGTAAGCCACTATGAATGGCCTCAACATTCTTAAAGAAAGGAAAGTCCAGCCAATAATTTCATAACCTACCAAACTAACTTTCATATGTGAAAGAGAAATAAAATGTTTTCCCAACAAGCAATCACTAAGGGAATTTGCTACCACTAGACTAGCCTTATAAGAGATCATTATGAGAGTTCTAAACACAGAAATGAAAGAGCAATACCTGCTACCACAAAAACACACTTAAGTACATAGCCAAAATAATTTATAAAACAACTATAGAATTAAGACCACAGAGCAACAAGCTAAAAACATCACAACAGGATCAAAACCTCACACATCAATATTAACCTTGAGTGTGAGTGGTCTAAATTCCTCACTTAAAAGGCACAGAATAGCAAATTGGGTTAAAACAACAACAACAAGATTCAATTGTCTGCTGTCTTCAAAAGACCATCTGACATGTAACAACATCTACAGGCTCAAAATAAAGGGTTAGAGGAAGATTTATGATGCAAATGGAAAACACAAAAGAGCAAGGGTCACTATTATTATATCAGATAAAACAGACTTTAAACCAAAAACAGTATAACAGGACAAAGAAGGACATACATAATGATAAATGGTTTAATTCAACTAAAAGACCCAGCTATCCTAAATATATATGCACCCAACATTGGAGCACCTAGATTCATAAAACAAGTATTTCTAGACCTATGAAAAGACATTGTCCCACAATAATAGTGGGGGGATTTCAACTACCTACTTACAGTGTTAAACAAATCACTGAGGCAGAACACTAACACAGAAACTCTAAATGTCTATTATAACTTGACCAATTGGACCTAATACACAACGACAGAATACTCCACCCAACAACCACAGAACGTATATTCTTCTCATTTGCACCTGGAACATACTCTAAGATTGACCACATGCTTGGCCATAAAGTTTCAATAAGTTAAACAAAAAATCAAACTCTATACCAAGCATACTCTCAGACTACAGAGAAATAAAAGTACAAATAAATATTAAGAAGCTCTCTAAAAACCACACAATCACATGGAAATTGAACAACTTACTCCTGAACAACTTTTGAGTAAACAACAAAATTATGGCAGAAATAAAAAAATTCTCAGAAATAAAAGTGTATTAGCTCATCTTCACCCTGCTTTAAAGAACTATCTGAGACTGGGTAATTTATGAAGAAAAAAAGTTTAATTTACTCACAGCTCCACAGGCTTAACAGGAAGCATGACTGGGAGGCCTCAGGAAACTTACAATCATGATGGAAGGTGAAGGGGAAGCAAGCACATCTTACCATGGCAGAGCAGGTGAGAATTTGAAGCAAGTACTACACTTTCAAAAAACAAGGTATCATGAGAACTCACTATCATGAGAACAGCAAGAGGGAAGTCTGTCTCCACGTTTCAATCACCTCCCACCAGACTCCTTTGCTGACACATGGTGATTACAATTCGAGATGAGATTTGGGTTGGGACATAGAGCCAAATTATATCACACAACATACCAAAATCTATGGGATGTAGCAAAAGCAGTGTTAAAAGGAAATGTTATAGTGCTAAATGCTTATGTCAATAAGATAGAAAAATCTCAAATTAGCTATCTAAGATTGCACCTAGACTTCTAGAAAAACAAGAAAAATGTAACTCTAAAACTAGGAGAAGAAAATAAATAACTTAGAGTAGAACTGAATGAAATTGAGAATCAAAAATTATACAAAGGATCAACGAAACCAAAAGTTTGATTTTTGAAAGAATAAACAAGATTAATAAGCTACTAGCTAGATGAACAATGAAAAAATAAATCCAAATAAACATGATCAGGAATGACAAAAGTGATATTACAACCAATGCCACAGAAATTCAAAAGATCCTCAGAGACTATTATGAACACCACTATGCACACAAACTAGAAAATCTAGAGAAAATAAATAAATTCGTAGAAAAACACGACTGCCCAAGATCGTATCAAGAAGAAATTGAAATCCTGAATAAACAAAAAGGCAATAAAGAGTTCTAAAATTGAATCAGTAATAAAAAACCCATTACGCAAAAACATAAAAAAAAAAAAAACCTCCTGGACCAAATGCAGTCACAGCCAAATTCTATGAGCAAATAAAAAATAGCTGGTCACAATCCTATTGAAACTACTCTTCAAAATCAAGGAGGAGAGACTGATATGGTTTGGCTGTGTCCCCACCCAAATGTCAACCTGAATTGTATCTCCCAGAATTCCAACGTGTTGTGGGGAGGACCCAGGTGGAAGTAATTGAATCATAGGGGCCAGTCTTTCTCATGCTAGTCTTGTGATACTGAATAAGTCTCATGAGATGTCATAGGTTTATCAGGGGTTTCCACTTTTGCTTCTTCCTAATTTTCTCCTGCCATGATTCTGAGGTCTCCCCAGCCATGTGGAACTGTAAGTCCAATTGAACAACTTTTTCTTCTCAGTCTTGGGTATATCTTTATCAGCAGCATGAAAACGGACTAATACAGTAAATTGGTACCAGGAGTGGGGTGTTGCTGAAAAGATACCTGAAAATTTGGAAGCGACTTTGGAACTGGGCAATGGGCTATTGTTGGAACAGTTTGGAGGGCTCAGAAGAAGAGAAGAAAATGTGGGAAAGTTTGGAACGTCCTAGAGACTTGTTGACTGGCTTTGACAAAAATGCTGATAGTGATCTGAACAATAAGGTCCAGGCTGAGGTAGCCTCAGATGGAGATGAGGAACTTCCTGAGAACTGGAGCAAAGGTGATTCTTATTATGTTTTAGCAAAGAGACTGGTGGCATTTTGCCCCAGATCTAGAGATCTGTGGAGCTTTGAAATTGAGAGAGATGATTTAGCATATCCAACAGAAGAAATTTCTAAGCAGCAAGGCATTCAGTTTTATAAGGGAAGCAGAACATAAAAGTCTGGAAAATTTGCAACCTGATGCTGTGATAGAAAAGAAAAATGCATTTTCTGGGGAGAAATTCAAGCCAGCTGCAGAAATTTGCATAAGAAGCAAGGAGCCTAATGTCAATCTCCAAGATCATAGAGAAAATGTCTCCAGGCCATGATAGAGACCTTCACAGCAGCCCCTCCCATCACAGGCCTGGAAGCTCAGGAGGAAAAAGTGGGTTAGTGGGCTGGGTCCCGTGTCCCTGTGCTGTGTGCAGCCTAGGGACTTGGTGCCCGGTGTCCTAGTCACTCCATCCATGGCTGAAAGGGGCCAACATACATCTTGGGATGTGCCTCCAGAGGGTGGAAGCCCCAAGCCTTGGCAGCTTCCATGTGGCGTTGAGCCTGTGTATGCACAGAAGTCAAGAATTGAGGTCTGGGTACCACCTAGATTTCAGAGGATGTATAGAAACACCTGGAAGCCCAGGCAAAAATTTGCTGCAGGGGTGAGGTCTTCATGGAGAACCTCTGTTAGGGCAGTGGGGAAGGGGATTGTGAGGTCAGAGCCCCCACACTGAGTCCCTACTGGGGCACTGAGTAGTGGAGCTGTGAAAACAGGGCCACCATCTTCCAGACCCCAGAATGGTAGATCAACTAACAGCTTGCACGGTGAGCCTGGAAAAGCTGCAAACACTCAATGCCAGCCCATGAAAGCAACTGGGAGGGAGGCTGTACCCTGCAAAGCCACGGGGGTATAGGTCTCCAAGACCATGGGAACCCACCTCTTCCATCAGCATGACCCAGATGCGAGACATGAAGTCAAAGGAGATCATTTTGGAGTTTTAAGATTTGACAGCCCTGCTGGATTTCAGACTTGCATGGGGCCAGTAGCCCCTTCATCTTGGCCAATTTCTCCTATTTAGAATGGCTGTATTTACCCAATGCATGTACCCTCATTGAATTTAGAAAGTAACTAACTTGCTTTTGATTTTACAGGCTCATAGGCAGAAGGGACTTGCCTTGTCTCAGATGAGACTTTGGACTGTGGACTTTTGAGTTAATGCTCAAGAGAGTTAAAACTTTGGGAGACTGTTGGGAAAGCATGATTGGTTTTGAAATGTGAGGACACGAGATTTTGAGAGGCCATGGGCAGAATGACATGGTTGGCTGTGTCCCTATACAAATCTCAACTTGAAATGTATCTCCCAGAATTCCCACACATTGTGGGAGGGACCCAGGGGGAGGCAGTTGAATCATGGTGGCTGGTCTTTTCCATGCTATTCTCGTTATAGTGAATAAGTCTCACAAGATCTGATGGGTTTATCGGGGGTTCTGCTTTTGCTTCTTCCTCATTTTCTCTCGCTGGTGCTATGTAAGAAGTGCTTTTCACCTCCCGCCATGATTCTGAGGCCTCCCCAGCCATGTGGAAGTAGAAATCCATTTAAACCCCTTTTTCTTCCCAGTCTCAGGTATGTCTTTATTAGAATCATGAAAACGGACGAATACAGGGACTCCTACCTAATTCATTCTACAAAGCAAGCATCAGCCTGATACCAAAACCTGGCAAAGACACAACAAAAAAAGAAAACGACAGGCTAATATTTCTGATGAAAATTTCTCAACAAAATACTAGCAAGCTGAATGCAGCAGCACATCAACATTCAATTCACCACAATCAAGGTTTTATTCCTGGGATTCAAGGTTGGTTCAACATTCACACACACACACACACACACACACACACACAGACACCACATAAACAGTGTTAAAAAACAAAAACCATATAATCTTCTCAATAGATGCAGAAAAAGTTTTCAGTGAAGTTCAACATCTCTTCATAATAAAAAACCTCAACAAATTAGGCATTGAAGGAACATACCTCAAACTAATAAGAGCTGTATGATAAAATGACCAGCCAACATCATACTGAATGGGCAAAATCTGAAAGCATTCCCATTAAGAACTGGAACAAGATAAGGATGCCCACTCTCGCCACTTTTATTCAACATAGTACTGGAATTTCTAGCAAGAGCAATCAAGCAAGATAAAAAGGCATCAAAATGAAAAAGAAGTCAAATTATCTCACTTCACTGATGATATGATTCTATACTCAGAACACCCTGAAGACTCTGTTAAAAGACTATCTGAACTGACAAGTAACTTCAGTGAAGTGTCAGGATACAGAATCAATGTTAAAAATCAGTAGCATTTCTATACACAAATAATGTTCAAGCTTAGAGCCAAATCAAGAACTTAATATTATTTACTATAGTTATACAGAAAAAGAAAACCTAACCAAAGACCTGAAATATCTCTACGAAGAGATCTACAAAACACTTCTAAAAGGAATCAGAGATGACACAAAGAAATGGAAAAATATTCCATCCTCATGGATTGGAAGAACCAATATTGTTAAAATGGCCATACTGCCCAAAGGAATGTAGAGATTTAATGTTTTTCTCATCAAACTACTACTATCATTTTTCACAGAATTGGAAAAAGCTATTCTAAAATTCATATGGAATTGAAAAAGAGTCCAAATAGTCAAAATAATTCTAAGCAAATATAACCTACCTGGAGGCATCATATTACCCAACTTCAAACTATGCTACAAGGCCACAATAACCCAAACAGCAAGGTCCTGATGCAACAACAGAAATGTAGACCAAAGGAAGAGAATAGAGTACCCTGAAATAAACCCACATGCCTACAGCCATCTCATCTTTGACAAAGTTGACAAAAATAAGCAATGTGGAAAAGACTTTCTATTCAGTAAGTAGGGCTGGAATAACTGGCTAGTCACATGCAGAATGAAATTAGACCCACATCTATCACTATATTTAAAAATTAATGCATGATGGATTCAAGACTTAAATGTAAGACCCAAAGCAATCAAAATCCTAAAAGAAAACTTAAGAAATACCCTTCTGGACATTGGCCTTTGCAAATAATTTATGGCTAAGTCCTTAAAAGCAATTGCAGCCAAAACAAAATTTGACAAGCGGGATCTAATAAAACTGGAGTTTTTGACCAGCAAAAGAAACTATCAACAAACAGACAACCTACAGAATGGGAGAAAAGATTCACAAACTACATATCTAACAAAAGTCTGATATGGATTGACTGTGTCGCCACCCAAATCTCAACTTGAATTGTATCTCCCAGAGTTCCCACATGTTGTGAAAGGAACCCAGGGGGAGGTAATTAAATCATGGTGGCCAGTTTTTCCAGACTTTTCTGTGCTACTCTTGTGATAGTGAATAAGTCTCACGAAATCTGATGGGTTTATCAGGGATTTCTGCTTTTGCTTCTTCCTCATTTTCTCTTGCTGCCACCATGCTAGTAGTGCGTTTCGCCTCCTGCTGTGATTCTGAGGTTTCCCCAGCCATGTGGAACTGTAAGTCCAATTAAACCTCTTTTTCTTCCCACTCCCAGGTATGTGTTTATCAGCAGTGTGAAAATGGACTAATACAGTAGATTGGTACCAGTAGAGTGGGTCATTGCTGAAAAGATACCCAAAAATGTGGAAGCAACTTTGGAACTGGGTAACAGGCAGAGGTTGGAACAGTTTGGAGGGCTCAGAAGATGACAGGAAAATATGGGAAAATTTGGAACTTCCTAGAGACTTGTTGAGTGGTTCTGCCAAAAATGCTGATAGCGATATGGACAGTAAGGTCCAGGCTGAGGCGGACTCAGATGGAGATGAAGAACTTCTTGGAAACTGGAGTAAAGGTGACTCTTGTTATGTTTTAGCAAAGAGACTGGTGGCATTTTGTCCCTGCTCTAGAGATTTGTTGAACTTTGAACTTGAGAAAGATGATTTAGAGTATCTGGCAGAAGAAATTTCTAAGCAGCAAAGCATTCAAGAGGTATCTCGGGTACTGTTAAAGGCATTTAGTTTTATAGGAGAAGCAGAGCATAAGAGTTTGGAAAATATGCAGCCTGAATATGTGATAGAAAAGAAAAATCCATATTCTGGGGAGAAATTCAAGGCAGCTGCAGAAATTTTCATAAGTAACCCTTTTGTTTTGGCCAATTTCTCCCATTTGGAACTGCTGCATTTACCCAACACCTGTACCCGCATTGTATATAGAAAGTAACTAGCTTTGTTTTTGATTTTACGGGCTCATAGGTAGAAGGGACTTACCTTGTTTCAGATGAGACTCTGGACTGTGGACTTTTGGGTTAATGCTGAAATGAGTTAAGACTTTGGGGGACAGTGGGGGAGGCATGATTGGTTTTGAAATGTGAGGACTTGAGATTTGGAGGGGCCAGGGGCAGAATGATATGGTTTGGCTGTGTCCCCACCCAAATCTCAACTTGAATTTTATCTCCCAGAATTCCCACATATTGTGGGAGGGACCCAGGGGGAGGCACTTGAGTCATAGGGGCTGGTCTTTCCCATGCTACTCTCATGATAGTGAATAAGTCTCACAAGATATGATGGGTTCATCAGGGTTACTGCTTTTGCTTCTCCCTCATTTTCTCTTGCTGCCACCATGTAAGAAGTGCCTTTTGCCTCCCACCATGATTCTGAGGTCTCCCCAGCCACATGGAACTGTAAGTGCATTTAAACCTGTCTTTCTTCCCAGTCTCAGTTACGTCTTTATCAGCAGCATGAAAACTGACTAATACAAGGTCTAATGCTCAAAATCTATAAGAAATGTAAACAGCTCAATAAGCAAAAAACAACGCCATTAAAAAGTATGCAAAGGACATGAACAGATATTTCTCAAAAGAATTCATACAAGTGGCCAACAAATATACAAAAAAAAGCTCGTATCACTAATGCTTAAAATCACAATGAGATACCATCTCTCCACATCTCAGAATGGTTATTATTTCTCAACAAAATACTAGCAAACTGAATTCAGCAGCACATCAAAAAGTTAATTCACCACAATCAAGCAGGCTTTATTCCTGGAATGCAAGGTTGATTCATCATGCACACACACATAAAATCAATAAATATGATTTACTATGTAAACAGTGTTAAAAAACATAAACCATATGATCATCTCAATAGATGCAGAAAAAGTTTTCAATAAAATTCAACACCAAAGATCCCAGAGTGCTTCTTTGCTCCCTTCACCATGTGAGGACACAGTGAGAAGACAGCTATTTATTAGGAAGCATACACTCACTAGATACCAAATGTGCTGGCACCTTAATCTTGGACTTACCAGTCACCTGAACTGTGAAAAATACATTTCTGTTGTTTATAATCCAGACAGCTTATGGTATTTGGTTATAGCAGCCCAAATGAAGTAAAATATCGACTATGTAGTTTCTATTGGTTTTGATCTATAATTTCCATAACTTAAACTTAAAAGTTACTAAAATTTGATGAGAATAATTTGTGCTGTAGAGGATGCTCCCTATTTTGTTGCTAGCAGAATAAGCTATTTTCTCATTAACAAATTTCATGTCACTTCACCTATTGTCTACCCTACAATTTCACCAAACACTTAAATATTCTGTTTTGTTCTCATTAGAATGGCTTATAATGTGCTGTTGTTGTTGTTATGTGTGTGTGTGTGATTGTATGTGTGTTCATAATGTTGTTCTTCTTCTCCATCTTGTTTAAGTATTAGTGGACATTTCAGGAGTAACGTGTTCAATTTACACTATTTATTTATTGTCTTTTATCTTTTTTGCTTGTTTCCTCAATCACTTGTGATAAACTTTACTTTCCCCAGTGCATTCTGATAAATAAATCATCAATCTGAGAACAAGACTGGGGTACTTATCTTCAGTGCCTCATGTCATTTGGCTCATCTGTCTCTGCTCAGGTAATTCTTCTCTAATTTCAGATTTTCATCAAAAGCTGTCAAACTCAAGAGAAGACCCCTTGCAGAGTGACAAATCACCTCTAAAATCAATGATACAGTGGATAGATGGATACATTTTTCAAATGCCCAACTCTAATATGGGAGTACTAAAGAAAGACTTGGTATTGTTTTCTGAATCACATGCCTCAAAATGTTGAAGGTATTTTTTCTTAAATGAGATTGTATTTCCTTTCTTTAAATATCATGTGAGAGTCTTAAATCCTCTAAGACTACAGACCTTAAATATTTTGAATTCTATTTCTAAAAACATAAACAATATGCTTTTTTAACTTAGAGGCAATAAACTTATTGTTTCTCTATGCTTGATGACACAGCCATCATTTTATGCTTAGAGAGTATTTGCTATTTTATACTTCGAATTACAAACTAATGAATGAGTGAGAACAATCATTATGTTAATGAAATGTCAATGAAGCATGTTTGCTTTTCCCACTTGTCATGAAAATAGTCTTACTTCACCTATTTTATTTTAATCAGAAGTCATAGAAAATAGTCAATGTTATGCAAATTATTTTAACTACCATATCATAAACAGCCTGTGTGCCTAAAGAACTAGTTACCTAAACTCTATACCATTTATGGAAGTTACATTATAAAATTTTGTCCAAGAATTTTTCTAGTGCCTCATATACACCATGGAATACTATGCAGCCATAAAAAAGGATGAGTTCATGTCCCTTGTAAGGACATGGATGAAACTGGAAACCATCATTCTCAGCAAACTATCGCAGGGACAGAAAACCAAACACTGCATGTTCTCACTCATAGGTGGGAATTAAACAATGAGAACACTTGGACACAGGAAGGGGAACATCACAAACCAGGGCCTGTTGTGCTGTTGGGGGAGGGGGGAGGGATAGAATTAGGAGTTATACCTAATGTAAATGACAAGTTAATAGGTGCAGCACACCAACATGGCACATGGGTACATATGTAACAAATCTGCATGTTGTGCACATGTACCCTAGAACTTAAAGTATAATAATATAAGAAAATTTATTTTCTGGTGCTTAATTTATCTAATTTCATCTGTTTTGAAAACTATACTAGCATTCAAAATAGCATGACCATGGGGAGCATAAAGCCCATTGAATTCAGGATCATCTCTGTTGTAATCACTATTACCAGACAGAACACATGGGAAGATGGTAGCTTG
The DNA here is from genome assembly GCF_000001405.40 of Homo sapiens. Lineage (NCBI taxonomy): Eukaryota > Metazoa > Chordata > Mammalia > Primates > Hominidae > Homo > Homo sapiens. The sequence continues at coordinate 20,495,746 of NC_000021.9, read as the reverse complement.
AGTTGGGCAGTGACGTGGTTTGGCTATGTCTCCCCCTAAATCTCATCTAGAATTGTAGTTCCCATAATCCTTAAGTGTCATGGAAGGCACTTAGTGGGAGATAATTAAATTACTGGGTGGTTATAACCATGCTGTTCTCATGATAGTGAGTGAGTTCTCATGAGATCTGGTGGTTTTACATGGAGCATTTCACCCTTTGCTTGACACTTCTTCCTGCCACCATGTGGAAAAGGACATATTTGCTTCCCCTTCTGCCATGATTGTAAGTTTCCTGAGGCCCCTCCAGCCATGTTGAACTGTGAGTCAATTAAACCTCTTTTCTTTAGAAATTACCCAGACTTGGGTGTATCTTTAATGGCAGCATGAGAATGGATTAATACAGGCAGGGTTCCTTTTTTTTCCCAAATCTAACACATATACCTACTTCTTTACAAATAAGCAAAAGTTGCAACAGGTAAATTTTGGGGTTCAAGTGAGATATCAGATTCTACTAGAATTCTAATATGCTAGAATCCATTACAGAATTTTATCTTTTAGGATAAGATCCCATAAGAGAGTAGCTAGTCCACTTTTTTAAGCAAAAATTCGATAAGCACTTAACTAGCCTGGCTAAATCTTTCTTGTCCTTAATCCTAAAGATTATGGCCATGATGAGCTATTGTGTCTTCCTTCTGCAGTTTCATCAAGATGTTAAATATGATCACTGAACCCTTATGCTTCCACAGGCAGAGTTTACACTCCCACTTCCAGGAATGGAAATACCGAAGATGCACTATGATATGGTTTGGCTGTGTCCCCACCCAAATCTCATCTTGTAGTTCCCATAATACCCACGTGTCATGAGAGAGACCTGATAAGAGGTAATTGAATCATGAAGGTGGTTATCCCCATGCTTCTTTTCTTATGAGAGTGAGTTCTCATGAGATCAGATGGTTTAATAAGGGGTTTTTCCCTCTTTTGCTTTGCATTCCTCCTTGCTGCTACCATGTTTGCGTTCCCTTCTGCTATGATTGTAAGTTTCCTGGGCCTCCACAGCCATGCTGAACTGTGAGTCAATTAAATTCCTTTCCTTTAAAATTACCCAGTCTCGGGTATGTCTTTGTTATCAGTGTGAGAACAAACAAATACATACTGCATCTAGTTGCTGTCAACATGGAACAGACAAAAAAGAGGAATTGTCCATCACAAGTATTGAGAAAGGGAAGAATATTAGCTTCTGAAATAAACTATAGGAAAAATTTCTGACAGACTTTGAAATGGGCTCAATCATCAGTGCTTTTGCCTTTCCTTTATGTGTCTTTATATACCTGTAAGTTTTACATAAGTTATATCAATGGCAATAACAATGGTTCACAAATATGTAATTATATCTGACTTAATTACTGTTGAGAAATATCAAGGTGTCTCAAAATCCAATGAAATAAAAATCTGTTTTTTGGAAAATAAATAAAATTAACACACCACTAGCAATACTGATATAAATAAAAAGAAGACACAAATCACCAATGTCAGAAATGAAAGAGATGAAATAGGAGATGTTACTACAGATCCTGCAGACATCGAAATAATAATAAGATAGCGCTACATGCAACTTTGTGCTCATAAATTTGACAAACTAGAAGAAAGGCACTAATTCTTCAGAAGCCATGAACTACCAAAATCCAACCACGATTAAACAGAAAAGCGAAATAATTTTATAACCATTAAAAAATTAAATTTGCAATTAAAAAGATAATCAAAAGAAATCTTTAGGAACAGATTGTTTCACTAGAGAATTCTACTAGACATGTAAAGGAAAATTAACACAAATTTTACATAGCCATTTCATAAAATTATTTTACCCTTACACAAAAACCAAGGAAAATACAAAAAAAAAATGCAGACTAGTATTACTTAAAAACTTGACACAAAGATCCTCACCAAAATTCTGGCAAGTAAATTCTAGAATTGTATTCAAATATATTAATCCTGACTAAATTTGACTTCTTCCTTTTTTTTTTTTTTTTTGAGACCGAGTCTTGCCCTGTCGCCCAGGCTGGTGTGCAGTGGCGTGATCTTGGCTCACTGCAACCTCCGCCTCCCGGGTTCAAGCGATTCTCCTGCCTCAGCCTCCCTAGTAGCTGGGACTACAGGTATGCGCTACCACGCCCGGCTAATTTTTGTATTTTTAGTAGAGATGAGGTTTCACCATGCTGGCCAGGCTCGTTTCGAACTCCTGACCTCATGATCCATCTGCCTCAGCCTCCCAAAGTGCTGGGATTACAGGCGTGAGCCACCACACCCAGCCCAAATTTGATTTCTTCTATGTTTGCAAGATCGGTTGGTTCATCATTCTCAAATAAAGCAATGTAATCTGCAATATTAAGGATGCAAAAAAAGTAATATAATCATACCACTGATGTATAAAAGTGTATGAAAAATTGATGCTTTATTCATGACAAAAATTCTTAGCAAATTAGGCATAGAGGAGAATTGTCTCAGCTTGACAAAAAGCACCTATTAACACCCACAGCTAATATTACACCTAATGGGGAAAGCCTGATTGCTTGACCAGTAAGATCAAGGGTGTCCATTCTCATCATTGTTATTAAATATAGTATAGAAGCTCTAGCCCTTGCAATAAGGCAAGAATTAAAGCATGACAATAGGAAAATAAGAACCAAACAAACAATTTGCATATAACCTGATTATCTATGTGGAACATGAAAGAAAAATCTACCAAAAACTTATTAAAGCTAAGAACTGAGTTCAGTAAGGTAGGAGAATACAAAAGCAATTCAGAAAACAAATCACATTCTGATGATACATTTACAGTAAACATATGGAAAACCAAAATTAGAACTCAAAACCATTTAAAATTGCTTCAAAGAAACCGAAATCCATCCACTGACTAGAAGGATCAGAAAAAAAAAAGAGAAAATGAAATTCTTACTTTTGTACTTAGCAAAATACATACGAAATTGTATACCGAAAATTATAAAAAGCTGAGTAAATAAATAAAGACCTAAGTGAATGCAGAGGCATTCTATGTTTATCTTTTGTGAGGATATCGGTTTTTCCAAATTAATCTATAGATGGAATGCAGTTGTTATCCCTTTTTTTGTAGACATAGACAACCTTATTTTAAAATTTATATGGAAGGGTGCAGGCCCAAGAGATCCTAAAACAATCCTGAGGAAGAAGAATGAAGTAGGATAGATTACTGTATCTGCTAGTAAGGCTTACTGTGTATCTATAGGACTCAAAACGCTGTGGTATCAGCAGAAGAACAGGCATGGAGATCAATGAAACAGAATGGAGAACTCAGAAATAGACTCACACACATATGCCCAACTAATTTTTGAAAATAGTTTAAATGCAATTTAATTAGAAGAGATAGACTTTTCAACAAATGGTCCAGATAAATCACCATACTTTAAAAAAAATAACCCCAATATGAGCCCAACACCTAATAAAAAAAATTTACTCAAAATCCATCACAGACCTAATAGTAAAACAAACATTTTAGAAAGAAAACATAGGAGAAAATCTTCAGAGTCTGGGTGAGGCAAAGATTTTTTCTGATTTGATCTTAAAGCATAATCCAAAAAAAGAAAAGAATGCTAAATTAGATCCCATCAAAAACCAAACCAAAACAAAAATCTCCACTGTGAAACTGTGAAAACCATGTGAAGAGGATGGAAAGATATGCTACAGCCTGAGAAAAAATATTTTCAAACAATGTATGCACCTAAAAGTTAGTATCTAGAATATGTAAGTTACTCTAAAAACTCAACAATATAAAATAAAAACAAAACAATGAAAAAACCATGCAATTCAATTAGAAAATAGACACAAGACATGAACAGACCTCTCACCAAAGCATACATACAGGTGGTAAATAAACTCTTGAAAAATGTTCATTAGCCTTTAAAGAAATTCAGACTAAAGCCACAATGAAAGATCACTACACGTTTTGTAGAATGGAGAACAGAAAATATAGCAACAAAACCAGATGTTGTCAAGGCTGAAGAGAAGCTGGGTAAGTTGTACATTGAAGGAGGGATAGTGACTGTGGTCTTGGATATACAAACCTATGCATATGATAGAATTTCCACTAAACTAAATATGCACAAATGCACACACACACACACGAACATACATATGCATATAAATACATGCAAAACCAGGAAATCCAAATAAAATCAGCGTAATTTATTAATATTACTATCCTGGTTGGGATATAATACTATAACGTGTAAAATGTTTTTACCATTGGAGGAAAAGTACCCGAGATCTCTGCATGATTTCTTACAACTTCATGTGGATTTACAGTTATCTAAAAAAGAAAGTTTATTTTAAAATAGATTATATGCGAAAAATTTTCAAAAAAACCCTCAAGAAACAAAGCTTAGAAGAAATTGAAATCAGGAGGAAAACAATAAGGGTGTTCAGTAACATGACTATAATCCTTAATACGCAGGAAGTGTAAGGGCCAGGGGGAAAGAAAGCTCCTTAAACTGGACAAAACCCAACAAGTAACAGAAAAAGCAAGCCCTGGTAAATTCCCAAACTGCAAAGATAAAGAGAAAACACGTAAAGCGTTCATATAGAAAAACAAGGAATGGGAATAATAAAGATGTACTCAGATTTACATTAAATATTCAATTGCATATTTGAAAGCCAGAATATGCTAAAATAATATTAATAGTTTACATGCAAAGGAGTACAACTCAAGAATCTCTTAAAAACTAATAAATTAGTCATCTTTAAAGTAAGAGAAACAGGCCGGGCACGGTGGCTCATGCCTGTAATAATCTCTAGCACTTTGGGAGGCCGTGGCAGGCAGATCACCTGAGGTCAGAAGCTCCAGACCAGCCTGGCCAAGATGGCGAAACCCCATTTCTACTAAAAATACAAAAATTAGCTGGGCGTGATGGCGGGCGCCTGTTATCCCAGATACTCGGGAGGCTGAGGCAGGAGAGTGACTGGAACCCGGGAGTCAGAGGTTGCAGTGAGCCGAGATTGCGACATTGCGCTCCAATCTGGACTACAGAGTGGGACTCCGTCTCAAAATTATAAAATAAAATAAAATATAAAATAAAATAAAATAAAATAAAATAAAATAAAATAAAATAAAATAATAAAATAAAATAAAATAAAATATAAAATAAAATAAAATAAAATAAAATAAAATAAAATAAATAAAATAAAATAAAATAAAGACTTCCACAAGGATTACTTGCAGCCTCCGAATTAGGGAATGCTTAAGAAAAAAGCCATAGTAAATGGTAAGTGAATCGGAACTGCAGATTCAAAACAGGAAAAATTAAGAGGGAAGAAAACAATGAGCACAGGCCTTGCTGTATATGTGTAATAGATCTATATACAAAATAACAGACTTCCAAAAATTAGCATGAATCCTTTAAAAAGATGCAACAAGAGACGCGTTTCAAAGTAAATCTTTGTAATAAACAAGGACTCAAAATATTAATTATTACAATGTGACCTAATATTAAAGACTGAGAAGAGGCATAATCTCGTGAGGGTGGGAGAGATGTGTGGAAGTGAAATTATTTTAAAGAAATCATTGGAAGAAGAGAGTGCCTTGGAGGGGGAAATAATTACCTTGTCTTCACATAATAGTTGAGAAAATAGATTTGAATATGAATACCAGGAAAGGAAAAGTAAACTTTAACAGATTAATAATTAAAGAAAATCTCCATAAATATGCATAAAAAAAGAAGAAAAGAGATTTAATAGCACCCTGATGCTTCCAGAAAATAATTGGAAAAAGAAAAATGAAAAAAAAACAGAAAAAAATTGAAAAATAAATCATATATCAGTTATTACAATAAATGTGGACTGAATTCTACAAAATTACAGATGCATTATTTTACGTTAAATACAAAAACTGCTTATAATATTTCATTTACCTTTCTTATTAGGACATAAAATGGGTGAAAATAGATGGTGTTACCAATGAAAAAAGAAGCAGGAAGAGCAAAATGAAAAATTATAACAAAAAAATACAACCACCAACATAGTAACTAATCATATAAAATTATTCTAATTAAAGTGCTTATTTTGATAAATAAAAAATGTTCAGAATATAAAAACAAATAATAGGCCGGGCGCGGTGGCTCACGCCTATAATTCCAGCAGTTTGGGAGGCCGAGGTGGGTGGATCACCTGAGGTCAGGAATTCGAGACCAGCCTGGCCAAAACAGTGAAACCCAGTCTCTATTAAAAATACAAAAAATTAGCCAGGCATGGTGGCGGACGCTTGCAATCCCTCAGGAGGCTGAGGCAGGAGAATCGCTTGAACCCAGGAGGCAGAGATTGCAGTGAGCCGAGATCGTGCCACTGCACTCCAGCCTGGGCAACAAGAGTAAAACTTCGCCTCAAAAGCAATAACAACAACAACAGCAACTAAATAATAAAAACAATTTTTAAAGACCTTTTCGTTTGTCACTTTTGGATAAAACACTTAATATTCCATAGTGAATGAAGGATAAAATTGTTATTAGAGCTACATTTGTGTCCTTCAGATTTCATTGCATGTATCATATATATATATATATCCAGTTGTACTTAATCTCTTTGGTCATCTGTAAGTGTATACATGCATGTGCGTATGCATTTTTGTCAGTTTAATGAGTGCTGTGAAAAATAAACTATATAAGTATAGTTGTAAGCAAAAGTAGACAGATTTTAAATCATTTCAGAAAAAAAGTCTTTAAAAAGTCTTATTTCTGTTTGGTGTTTCAAATGATACATGTAGCAAATGTACATGTAGCAAATATACTCTATATAAAGTCTGACATAGCGTTGGTTTTTTTTTTTTTTAACTTTTTCTTTTAACATCTTTAGGCTGTTTAAAGTTTTATCCTCTGCTATTTTAGAAATCTTTGAGATTAGGTCGTTTATCTATTGCAATAATAACATCCAAGAAGATAACACTCCTCATTGTATTGGACTTTCAATTAAACCAAGTAGTGTAATGTCAATTCAATCTTGTAATTGGGAAAAGATTATTTTATTGTTGGCTTCTCTTGGCATGTTGCCTATGGGCCATGTACCATCTTAATAAAAATATTCAGTGTTTGGTGTCCCAGATATTTTATATCTTTGCTGTTCCTGAACCAGGGCCAGTATGTTCTCTTTGAGTTTTGCAATTCATTTTCTCTCCTGAGTCAAATCTCAAATTGATTTCCCTTGAATACAATTAATAAATTGTTCAGGTGGACATTCATCAAGTAGATTGTCTTTGGTATATTCATAAAATATTTATGATATTTATAAAATGAGACAGAATCTCTTTAATTTTATTTTTGGTTAAAAAAAAAGAATTTTTAGTTGTTACTTTATGACAGGATTCAAGGAACTGCAACTCATGGGCTGATTCCAGCCTGCTGCTTGTGTTTGGATATGATGCTTGTTTTAGAGACACAGCTACGCCCATTCTTTTATATATTATTTTTGAGTGTTTAGAAGCTACAAGAGCAAAGTCGAATAATTGTGACAAAGCGCATATGGCCAGCAAAATCAACATTTATTTATGGTTTGGCCTTTTAGAGGAAAAGTTTGCTGACTTTTGCTATGAGAATAAATCATTTTGAATTTTAGTTTTTTGCCTAGCAATGTTTCTTATAATAGTAAAAATAATAACAGCTAAAAATTGTCCTATCTGATAGACTCTTTTCTGATCACTATACCTATATTAAATTATTTAATATTCATAACAACTATATTTAGGAGTTAGAGTTTATCCCAAAATTAGAGATGACAAGACTGAAGCATCTAGAGGTGAATTAGCTTGTCTAGGGTCACACAGCTAGCTAGTAAGTGGCAGCACAAGATTTGGAACCACCAGATCTAACACCACTTCCTAACTTTTACCCATTATGCTATTTTCATGACTGTCAGATGAGACCATTGCTTAAACTTTTTTTCTCCTTGTGTTCACTGACATCTTGATGTCAATAAGTAACTCTGTTACTACATTCTACTTTTTAACCTAGAAAAATCACACAATGTGGAGTGGTATTCCTCTGATATCATATTGTCATACTTATTAGTAAAGGACCCAAAACATATGCCAATATAATTTTGTGTATTGTGTTTTTGTTTTTGTTTTTGTTTTTTTGAGATGGAGTCTTGCTATGTTGCCCAAGCTGGTCTCAAACTTCTGGGCTCACCCAATCATCCCACCTCAGCCTCCAGAGTAGCTGGGACTACAGGTGCTTGCCACTGTGCCCGTCTTTTGCTGGGTTATGCTGATACAGTTAAGATTCATCTGATTTTTCAGTTTTAAATATAAGAAAACTATTTTCTTGCACTATTTATAGCAACAACATTATAATAATATTAAATATAATAGTGCAGTGGCACTTCCCAGTATTTTATAGTGTCAGTTTATTTTAAGACCTTTGAAATATTAATAACTAACCGGGACATTTGATTATCTAGAATGTTTATTTTGCAACTATCCCAAAAAGTTTTTCCCCCTTTATTTATAAATGGGACCACTTGATAGGTACAAAGAGTATATCAGTTATATCAGGCCCTGGCGCTGACACTACTGTAAGTCACTCAAATCCCCCTTCAGATCTCTTTTTTTTTGAGATGGAGTCTCTCTCTGTTGCCCAGGCTGGGGTGCAGGGGCGCAATCTCGGCTCACCACCACCTCCACCTCCCAGATTCAAGCGATTCTCCTGCCTCAGCCTCCCAAGCTGGGATTACAGGCACGTGCCATCACACCCAGCTAATTCAGATCTCTTTACCAACTCTCTGTACTCATCCCCCAGGTCTTGTTCGTTTTGCTGCTCAGAGGTGGCACCTATGACTATTAGAGATTTGGCCCTATCCAACTCCTTTGACTCAAGGAGAGACAATTGGGTATAATTTGGACTCTAGATCGTCCAGCAAGATCAGAGTGAATGTGCGATCCTTCCTAGAAAATTCCCACTCTAGCTTGTTCTTACTATTTTCCATTTTGTTTTTTTGATACATTTAATGCTTTCTTCAGGGTATACTTCCTTAATTTGTAACTTTCACTGGAATCTATGTCTCAGGTCTGCTACTGGTAAAACTCTCCTGGACATCATTGAGGACCCTGGACTAGGTCACTGAATCCATTAGGGAAGATATAATCAAGAAAATTAGAATGTTTCCCAGATAAACAAATGTTTAAAGAAAAAAGAAAAAGAAAACCATAAAATAACAATAGTAACAGTAAAAAGTATAAGCAAAATGCTGACACCTTTATTTCTATGATTCTCACATACATAGTACTGAGTGAAGGAAGGAGCAGAGAAGACATAAGTCCCTCTGGTAGAAATATCTCCTCAATCTAGGTGACTTTTCTTCCTCACTCCTTTCTACATTAACATTCCTTTGGAGCTAATTAAATTGACTTTAGTCATATGTAAATTTGTGTTTGTGTGCTTCTTTGTGGGTTTGTAAGTAGACAAATATATATGTATAAATGTGCCTTTGTGTGTATGTGTGAATGTATATGTCATTCTCATATATTTATTTCCTTCATTTGGTAAAAAAGAGAGAAGTAAGGAAGGAAAGACAAAAATATGTTTTCATTGTCCTTATTCTTTTTTATACTCAAATTAAAGTTACAATGGTAGAAGTAATGCTGCATTTAATATTAATTGGTTCTTGGCAAATTGAAGTAGATTTTTTTTCTTTTTGGAATTAATTGTAATATGTTGTTAAAGGTATGATTTTGTAATTATCTTGATTTCATAATTCGTTTTTAATTATAAACTCGAGTGTCCTAAAGGACTAAAGACATTTAAGAGCTTCAGCAGATATATGACTGATTAATGGGTCTTCTCAGGATATTTTATAATCAGGGGAAATCAAAGCATTATATGCTGAGTAAATACAGTGTTTTCCCTCTACTCTACTTTAGAGCAATAGTCTTAAACTGGGACATTTAAATGTCCAATTTTCTAAAGTTGATGTGCATCAGAAAAGGTCCATAGGCTAGTGGCTATGCCAGTATCCCTTACTCAGGCATCCTTTACAAAGGACCACTTTTGTTCTGATTTTCAAGGGAATGACATATTTTACCCATATTTATAATGTTATTCTGCCCTACAGTGTAAAATTCTAAAAAATGTGATAATTCCTGTCAATGATATATTTACAAGGAAGAATTGAACTAATCAAATCCGTTTTCAATTTAGGCTATTTCTAAATCATAATTTTAGTAAAATTAAAAAAACTTAATCTAATTATTTACTAATAAACATTTTTATATTAAATTGTAGTAAGTTTTGGATATAATTTAGGAAAACGTAGAATAAACATGTTATATTGTTATGAAAAGTCTGTTCCATTTCTTTCTACTTATTTATTTATGAAAGCAACTTATTAAGTGCTTAGAGTTGTTTTTAAAAAGGGTGGGGAGAAGTAGAATACTGAAATTTTGTCTCATTCTGAAAATAAATAACATTCATCCATAGATAAAAGTAATGATTGGAAAAACTAGAGATATTCCTGTCTCATTAGAAGCTGTGTTTTCAATTAAATATATTATTTTAAGACTTAATACAATGAAAACCTACAGAATATTTGTTTAGTTTTGATCAACTGTGTACTATTTTGCAATAATTTATTTTAGTGCTAAAAGGACTCTGTGGCCTCTTACTAAGGACTTACATATGTGGGTCTATTTCTATACTCTGTTCTGTTTCATTGTCCTTTCATCTATACCATGCTATCTTGATTTTCGTAGTTTTATGTATGAGTATTGATATCAGGTACTGTGGCTGCTTTAACTTTTTTCTTCTTTTTCAGAGAAATTGATTGGAGTATTGAGCTATTCCAGTTCACCTTGTCTTCTATATTTTAGAATTCAGGTTGTAGTTTCCAATAAACATTTTTCCCTAGAGATTTTATTGGTTTGTGCTTAATCTATATGTACATCAAAAAAAAAAAAAAAAACCCTGACACCTTTATTTGTTGATTCTTCTAATCCATGAGCATAATACATGCTGTAAATACAATAGAGATGTTTTCCATTTTCCTCTCCAGTTCCATTCTTTCCCCTCTCTACTACTGACCTCTATGGACTGCATCAAGGATTTCCTTACCCTCTGGATTTTAATTGTCTTTGCCCAGTGGGTTTAACAACAGATGATTAGAGATCAGAAGATAAGAAATCATGAAGCATTTTGGCCATTCTTCTTCAGGCTGTGGTTTTGGCAGGGGCTGTTTCAGTCCCAAAGACACAGCCCTTATTGGGCAGCCTTCTTCCACTATTATAACTCTTACTGGGGTACTATTTTTCAGGGTTACAATTGGCAACGATATTCACTATACTTTATTGATAGTCATTAAGTCTTTGTCAAAGCCTTTGCAACTGTTTCTCTGTTAGACCTTTTAAAAGTACGCTTTTGGAATATGCCATCACTTTACCACCATGACCATGTCGTGGTATAAGTATTTTTAGGTATAGTGTTATTGTAAGACAATATAAATTTGATTACACACACAAACAATCAGGCACACCACACATGCGCACACACAGTCTTTACTGTTGGTAAGTATACTTACATGTTTATGGCTTAAATCAGATGACCTGGCCTTTTAAAATGTATCCTCGTTTTGTAAGCCATAGCTATATTTGTATATAGAGGGATAGTTACTTGCTTGGATGGATATCCATGTCCCATGAACTATCTAACACACAGACTAGTATATGTTGTGAACTTTGAAATGATATATCACATATGATAGAATAGTAAACATGAAATGATTTATTCTCCCTAGATGTAGAAATGTCAAATTGGTAGATCAATAATTCTAAAAATTTAACATATATTTTTGAAAGAGTAACTGTTATAGATGCTATCTAAAGTATAGCATTATATTTGTAGTTTAAAAAGAGGTCTGCAAGATTTAGCTTATTAAGGTGTATATCATAAAGTTACATTAGAAAAGGGGAAAACTCCTTATGTGTTCCTTTAAAGGGGAATGTCTATTGAATGAAACAGAAAGTATTATGAAACAGAAAGTATTAATTATAAACTGTCTTCATTTTTATCAGAATTTTGAGAAGACCGAGTACAAAATAAGGTAACTCAAGAAGACAAAGACCTAATGTCATCATTTTTCCACATATCTGAATTATCACTGATGAGAAACTCTTAATTAGCATTTTGACCTTTAAGCAGATAATTCAGTGAAACTTTCATTAGTAGTAGATCAAGAAGAAACTGCAAATTAAAATACAATTTTCTGATTTGTTACAATCCCTGCTTACTGAATTCAAGGGTATCTATATATAATCATATAATTTTCATTGCCAATGAAACACACTTGAGCAGAACCATTCAAAAAGGTTTTCAAAAGGATATATAAATTACAAAGTTTAAGAATTGATTTTACCTTTTCCACACTACTCAAAGAATTCATTTAGAGTAGAGTTATTTAAAAGGAGCTAAAGAAATAATTATGTACTATTTTTTCCTATTTCATTAAATTTAAAGTGCTGTTTTCCTTTTTCTATTCATATACTCTTACTGAGGTTGGCAGTGAAATATTTTTAATAACAAAATGAAAAAATTTTCCTTTATTATAAAAATTTTCACCACTTTCTAGGTCGTGAAAAGTGAAGAAAATAAGTTTACTGTTTTCAAACATTTTCAGAGGTAGGCATGAAAATAACCAATTCCATATCCAGCCATTTCTATTGTCTTATTCTTTTGTATAATTGCATAAACTAGTCTTCATGATGGTTTAGGAAAGATCATAATTTTCTTTAACCTGTAGATTCATATTCACTTTAATGTCTACTTAATAATATTCCACATTATGGTGTATATTTATTTTTGGCATTTTATTGTTACAAATAATGTTTTTACTTATATCTCTGTAGTCACATATTTGTATAATTGTGTAAGCATTTTTATGGTATAAATTTCTAAACATGGAAATATTGGATTATAACTTTATATAGCTTAAGGTTTCATTAATTAGGTACCGAAAACATATCACATACTGTGTGAGGTGATGGTAATAGAATGGTTCCTATAGACCTTACCTTCTTGTATTTCTCTTCATTTATCATTTTGCTGGCATTTTTTGACTCCATAATTCACTGCCCTCAGATTGGTCTTTTACAAAACAACCTCACTCTGTGCCTAATCATCAGCCATCTCTTAGTTTTTCTGAAGAAGAAGCATGCTATGGGAAAATTTTTTTTTTTTAAAAAGAATGAATTACCGTGCTCCTATTGTCACCAAATGTAATAGTTCCTAAAACCTGCTGTCAAATTCTTTCTGTTTTCACCTTGTTTTGCTCTACTTCCTGGAAATTACTTTTCACCTTTTTCACAGCAATTACTCAAATAGAATCTATTATCCATAAATATTTAAACCTATTCACTCTTAGTAGATCATCTTGCCTTATCCATTACACAGAAGAAACCATGTGATAAGACCGCCTTTAAAATCCTGGTATTGAACTATAGTCTTTTTTTCTTATGAAAACAAGAGTATTATTATTTCCTTCATCTAAAGCTTTACAAAATAAAAAAGAGCAAGACCTGATGTTTCCCAAAGAACACAGGTGTTGGTTGGTAGACAAAAAGAGAAGAGAAACATCAACGTGGTACAATCATGTATTTTATAGGTTCAGAATCTCAATTTTTTCACTATTCCTGAGATGAGCAGCTATTGAGTGCTTCTTACACACACACACACACACAGAGAGAACAAAATATACCTAAAGCAACAATATATGTAATTAATAAATCAAAAAAATATTTTCCATAATGAGAACTTCAGTAGCTCTGATGACTGGTGGCTATCAGGGCCACCAATCGTGACTATTGTCATTTGTATGAAAAACTGAATTAAATCACAAGTTAGATTAGCACAGAAGCAGAAGGAATGGAGTTAAATGTTTGATGTACCTCCTTCCACTGTAGAAATGTTTAATGTACATGCTTAAAATGTTTGATGTACCTCCTTCCACAGTAGAAACATACAGATATCTGGTGCGAAAAGGAGAAGGATACTGTCTTCCTTTATAATTGTTTACTTTTACTTTAATTTCTGTTTTTATTCTAATGTCGAGCAATTATCAGCAAAATTTATTATTACCTGATTGACAGATCTTGTCTAATGTAAAGTTCGGAGTGGGCTCCTCAGTGGTACCTTATGCTATTGGCATAAGACCTCACAAGTATAAGTACCTACTATGCACCTGATATTCTTCCAATTATTAGAACAATGATTGGCATTATATGTTTATTTCACAACATATACTATGAGTGTAAAGGCCCTTTGAACAGTGGAATGTGTAAAATAGAGACACATTCTGTTGTGGTTTCTAAAATTGTCTGTACTTTTTTTTGACCATTGAACTCTACTGATTTTGGCATATGATAAATCTCAAAATATTGTTTCCTTTGTTGGATAAAATCCCTGAAGAAAAGACAGACCACTGAGAAACTTACTGCAATGAATTAATATTTTTTATCTCTGTGAGATTATATAAGCATGAAATCTTTTGTTATTGTAACAAAAACGGAGAGGGATAGAGCTGAGAAGACTTTTGCTAGACAAAGATTTTTAAGATATCATTGTTTAAAAAATAAAATCCGTATTATGCTTAATTAAGCTAAACCAAAAAATAAAAAAAAACCTAAGGTGAGAGAGTTTGTGCTAAAAACAGTCTGTTTCTACAGAGATTCTTGTTTCCATTGGGCAGCAGAATCACCTAATGGCTAAGCTACCCAATGAAAGAACAGTCAATGTGAAAAAGACATCAACCTATTGATTACAAACACTGCATAATTAGGTGAGTGAGGAATAAAGTTTTGTTTTTAAAATTGTGCTAAGAAAACAACATGAGACCTACTCTCTTACATTTTTAAGTGCACAGTGCTGTGATAAAACAGAATACTATTCAGTTTTTAAAAAGAAGAAAATCTGCTGTATGTAACCACTGGAAGAACCTTGAGAATATTAAGCTAAGTGAAATTAGCCAGTCACAGAAATCATAAACCCTCAAGCCATTGAAATTTGGGGGGTTCTTTTTTACAGAATCTAATGTTGTCTTCACTAATACAGATAGTATGTGGAAGTGTTCATTTAACGTGGATTTCTCATAAGTGGCCTTCCTGGAATATTTCAAGAGGAAAAACAAAACAAGACAAAAACAGGACTCCTGACTGACCTCATGGCGCCTTTATGCCCTGTTTCTAAGGAAGTTAGGCAGTGTGAGCTGAGAGTGACTGGGAATGTCATAGTTCTGTACTGTATAGAGGTTGCAGCAATGCCTCTGTGAGGAGATGATCAAATGTTAGGAGTAAGATAGAGAGAACAGCATGCCAAGAAAAGAAAGTGTTCGAACACCCGGGGCTTGAATGTGCTTGAGTTAAATTAACAACAATATAAGTATTTCTGGACTCTAATAAGAAAATAATAAAATGAGGGGATGCTACAAACTGATGCTTGAGTTGTAACAGGTGATGACTCATGAAGTATGTTCTAAAAAAGTGGTTTGGAATTTCATCTAAGGACAAAAAGAAACCATTGAAATGTCCAAGCAAGGGTGCGAGCTGTTTTAATGTATTTTGTCTGGACAGTACTTGTCTTTAAGCTACCAATGGTTGATAATGGACTAAAGTAGAACCTCAGATTAAAAAAAGGATTTTGCAGTTTTCCAGAGGGGAGATGAGGATGGCTACAGCCAGGAGATGAGGATGGCTGCAGCCAGGTGGTCACAGGGCAGATAGAGAGCAGTTGTTGGATTCATCAGAATAATTTATATGAAAAGCATGTTCTTAGTGGAATTTGTAGTTCTGTTCCTCAAATATTACTCAGAAAAAAAGTTCTACATATTTGGAGATGAAAGAAAAATAGTTAACCAACCAATGACCTTGTCCAAAAATGTTTTGGTACAGATACAGGAGTTAGGGATATTGGTATTCATTCTATATTTTAAAACTAATAATAAAAGTGAGCAGAAAAATTTTGATATGGTTAGCAATTCTTGAACAAAAGGCAAATACAATGTAAATAGTTAATGGAATATGTAATTTTTGTTGGTCATATTTAATTACATATAGTGGACTAGTGTAGCTTTAAAAATAATTTTGTCTGCCGTTGTTCAATTTCATTTACTATGAATTGCCAGTGGAAAATGACAGATAGACATGGAAACTTCATAACAAGAAGCTTCAAGTTACAAATTTTTTCTAACTGGATTTTCTAACTAGATCGTTTTCTGGATTTTTATCTCTACATGAAATAGGGCATTAATACTTTGGTAGTCTATTAAATGTAGTGTCACTTTGATGAATTAGGTAATGAGCTGACATCACTACATCAAAACAATTACTTTCAGGAGATTTTCAAAGGGCCCTATGAGCTTAAATTCAAAGATATTGAAAATTGAATGCTAAGTAGCAATTAGTAACAGAATATGGAATTTAGGAATGTTAAGGTGTTCATATGAATTAAATCTAAAATGGCAGAACTCTTGTCTCCAAGGCTATATTTAGAGGACACTACTCTCTATATTAAATAATATTAAGTAAAAATATTCAAAATATATATACAAATATTGAAAGTTCTAACAAAAATGTATTACTTAATATGCTGTTTTTATCAGTTTGGTTTAAAGAGCATCATGTACAAATATGAAACCATGCAGCAAACTCCAAAATAAAAAAAAAGTAAATCTATAGAATATTTATTTGCATAATACAAATGCTGAATTTGGAAGGCCATTTTTCTTGATGAACCACAATGATTCATAATCCTGCTTCACTGGTAAATAACAGGATTAAATTATATGGTTGGAAATTATAGACATACCTTGGAGATATTGCCAGTTTGGTTCTAGATCAACGTAATAAAGCAAATATCGCGATAAAGCAAGTCACACAATTTTTTTGGTTTTCCAGTGCATATAAAAGCTATATTTACACTATACTGTACTCTATTAAGGGTGTAATAGCATTGTGACTAAAAAAATGTACAATCCTTAATTGTTAAAAATGCTAACAATTATCTGAGCCTTCAGCCAGTCACAATCTGTATGCTTATGGAGGATGATGCCTCGATGTTGATGGCAGCTGAATGGTCAGGATGGTTGTTGGTGAAGTTTAGGGTGGCTGAGACAGTGTCTGAGAATAAGACAATGAAGTTTGGAACATCGATTGTTCCCTTCATGCAAGATTTCTCTGTAGCATGCCACAATATTTGATAGCATTTTACTCACAATAGAATCTCTTTTAAAATCAGAGTCCGTCCTCTCAAAACCTGCCACTGCATTATCAATTAAGCCATATTCTAAACCCTTTGCTGTCATTTTGGCTATGTTCACAGCCTCTTCAGCAGGAGTAGATTCCATCTCAAGAAACCACTTTCTTTGCTCATCCATATAAACCAACTCCTTGTGCATTCCAGTTTAATCATGAAATTGTGGCAATTAAGTCACATCTTAAGGCTCCACTTCTTATTCTATTTATCTTGCTATTTCCACCACATCTGCAATTACTTCTTCCTCTGTCAAAGTCTTGAACCCCTCAAGTCTTCCTTGAGGGTTGTAATCAACTGTTTTCAGACTTCTGTTAAAGTAGGTATTTTGACCTTCTACTGTGAAACACAAATGTCCTTAATGACATTTAGAATGATGAGTCCTTTTCAGGTTTCAATTTACTTTGCTCATGTCTATCTAAGAAATGATTACCTATGCTAGCTAAAGTCTTACAAAATGTATTTCTTAAATAATAAAACTTGAAAGTTGTAATTACTCCTTGATCCATAATATGCAATACGGACGTTGTTTTTGCAGGTATAACAACATTAACTTTTGTGCTTCTTCATCAGAGCTCTTGGGTGACCAGAGGCATTGCTAAAGAGAAGGAATATTTTGAAACTTTTTTTTTCTGAGCTGTAGGTCTCAACAGTGGACTTAAATTATTCAGTAAGCCATTCTGTGACCAGATGTGCTGTTCTCCAGACTTTGTTCTTTCATTTCTAGAGCAAAGGCAAAGTAGATTTAGCATAATTTGTAAGGGCTCTATTATTTTCAGATAGCAAATGAAGATTGACTTCAACTTACATTTGTCATCTGCATTAGTCTTATCAAGAGAGTCAGCCTATCCTTTGAAGATTTGAAGCCAGGCATTGACTTCTCTTCTCTGGCTATGAAAGTCCTAGGTTGCACTTCTTCCAATAGAAGGATGCTTTGGCTACACTGAAAATCTATTGTTTAGTGAGCTTTCTTCATCAATTATCTCAGCCAGATCTTCTGAAAAACTTGCTGTACCTTCTACATCAGCACTTGTTGCCACACTTTTATGTTACAGAGATGGCTTCTTTCCTTACATTTCATGGACCAACCTCTGCTACCTTCCACCTTTTCTTCTTCAGCTTCCTCACCTCTCGCAGCCTACCGTCATAGAATTGAAAAGAGGTAAGGCCTTGATCTGGATAGGCTTTGGCTTAAGGGAATGTTGTGGCTAGTTTGATCTTCCATCTAGACCACTCAAACTTTCTCCATATCAATAATAAGGCCATTTCACCTTCTTATCATTCATGTGATCGCTGGAATAGCGCTTTTAATTTTCTTCAATAATTTTTTATTTACATTCACAACTTGACCAACTCTTTAACACAGGAGGCCTAGCTTTCAGTTTGTCTCTGCTTTTGACACACCTTTCTCACTAAGCTTAATTATTTCTAGTGTTTGACTTAATGTGAGATAGGCACAACTCTTCCTTTCACTTGAAAATTTAGAAGCTATTGTAGGATTATTAATTTGTCTAAATTCAATATTTTTATGTTTTGGGGAATAGAGAAGCCCACAGAGAGAGAGACAGACTGGAAGATGAACAGCAGCTGGAGCAGTGAGAACATACATATTTATTGATTAAGTTTGCCATCTTATATGGGTGTAGTTTGTTGTGCTCCAAAACGATTACAATAGTAACTTCAAAAATTACATATAATAATAATAATAATAAAGATTGAAATATTGTAAGAATTACAAAAACGTGACACAGGGTTATGAAGTGAGCACATACTGTTGGAAAAATGGTGCTGATATACTTGTTGGACAGATGTTGCCTCAAATCTTCAATTTGTAAAAAACAAAAAAAGGAACATCTGAAAAGCACAATAAAACAAGGTATACTTGTACCCCTTTTTTATGTTATTAGCTGCTCTAAGATCTCATAGTCATTTCATTGGAAGCCTCAATAGCTCTCTACAGTAAGAATGATGGAACAATTCACTATAGTCTACCTTTTCTCTCTAGCATTAGTAATTTGGAATTGATTACATGTGGTACCTAAAATGCTGTAGCATAGCTATGACAAAGATAATAATTTTACCAGAGGAAATAATTATGTAGCTATTAATCTTCTTGTTCTTCTTCTTTCTTTTTGGAGACATGATTTCCCTCTGTCTCTGTTGCCCAGGTTAGAGAGCAGTGGCATGATCATAGCTCTCTGCAGCCTTGAAGTCCTGGGCTCAAGTGATCCTCCCACTTCAGCCTGCTGAGTAGTTAGTACTACAGGTATGTATCACCACACCTGGCTAATTAAAAAACACAACATTGTTGCTTAAGCTGGTCTTGAACTCCTGGCTTCAAGCCATTCTCTTGCCTTGGCCTCCTCAAGTGCTAGGATTACATACATGAGCCACTGTGCCAGACTATTAATCCTCTTATAGTGAATATATACACAGTTGAGGTAAAAATACAGAATAAATTCTTATTCTTGCAGTAAGTATATGGGAATGCATTTATGTTTGTGTGTGAGTGTGTGTAGGTGAGGTGAGATCTCAGTTATTCCAAACAAGTCACAAGATGAAGTAAAGAGATATACAGTCACTTCTTTTTTTTTTTTTTTTGAGATGGAGTCTCGCTCTGTAGCCCAGGCTGGAGTGCAGTGGCGTGATCTCGACTCACTGCAAGCTCTGACTCCCAGGTTCACACCATTCCTCTGCCTCAGCCTCCTGAATAGCTGGGACTACAGGTGCCCGCCACCACGCCTAGCTGATTTTTTCTATTTTTAGTAAAGATGGGGTTTCACCGTGTTAGCCAGGATGGTCTCAATCTCCTGACCTCGGCCTCCCAAAGTGTTGGGATTACAGGCGTGAGCCACCACGCCCGGCCATATCTTATTGTTTGTGGTTGTTATGCTCTATAAAGTCACCATGAACACTGAATTAGTGAATACTGAATCATTGTTCCCAAGGAAAATACAAGTTTGGGGTCCTGGGAGCCTCTGGTCACATTTCATCAACTGATCAGTACGTAACCTCTTTTACAAATTTCTTTGTAAAGTTATCTTACTTAATATATATTGTTGATTAATTAACGTTGAACTCACAGCCAATACCTTAACTCATGCTTGAATGAAGCCTAACTAAACACATAATTTCTCTGTAAGGCACATCACCGTCTTCCTGCCCGTAGAAAAACTTCATAGCACTCCAATGTTGTTTAGGGGTCTTTTGAAACAGCTGGAATCACCCCCCAAAGAAGTGAAAACTGTAGCACCAAATATCTCACAAAAAGGCACATTTACATTATGAGTTATGAAACAAGAAGCTAGAACATTGCCTTGTTGTACCTCAGCTGGGGAGGAGAGTGACAAATGAATCAAACTTTTCACTATTTCATGCATATCTGCAAATGACCGCAACACGCTGTGACTATTGATTTTAGGGTTACAAATAAATTTTAGTGAGAAGGCATATTTGCAAATACGTATTTGCTTATAATGAGGATTGACTGTGCTGAAGACCAGACATGTTTGTGAAAGAAAAGTACCACAATATTGCAAGTTCCTGTCTTTACTGAGAAAATTTTTTTGAGATAAGTTTCATCTTAGCTCTCAAATTCTTTAAAAATTGTGACTATATGAGACTTGATTTTCTAATGCTATGGTTTGGAAGAGTAAGAGAACATTGCCTTTCTGTTACGTAAATGAAGAACACTGGACTATGAATTTTAAAAAACATTCTTCTCTTAACACTTATTTGTTTTCAAATAATTCACTAAGTAGCTTTGAGAATTTTTCCGCCTTCTAAGTAATTTGGGGTTACTTGCCCATAAACTTGCCATGTTTATGTTTAATCTCCTGATCATTCAAGAAAAAGTAACTGAGATCTTATTATATGTAAGCACACATGGATTGGAGTTATGGTTCTATGACTCCACCTATGTTGACCCTGGTCATTCATAAATTCTACTATTAGACAAATTGGGAGAAGTATCTTACACATCAACTCAAAAACAGTGCTTGAGCATCTATGTTATATTAGGCACTATATATTGCAAGGCATAGAGCAGTGAGCAAATTATCCATGGTCTAATGTTCTTGGTGAGTAATAGATTATGATACTTCATTAATTACAGAGTGCAAACAGCTGCTTGTTTTGGTATATACCTTTATCAGGCTACTCAGATTCCTCTAGTGACCCCTAGAAAAATTCTTATATTTAAACAAAATAATCCATAATTTGAAATATTTTCTGGTTAAAAATATGGCTGTCACTCCACAATCAGTTGAGGAGAGGAGATTCCAGGGCAACTTGATTATATCATCGAAATAATCTATGAATATTACTAATATTGGAAATAATGAATGAATTAATGCTGATACTTCTTTTTGTTAAAAAGTGTTTGAAAACAGGACGGACTACTGTAGATGGAATAAAGGAAACAGCATGTCTTTATAGTCTACATGGAAGGTAAAAGAACTCAGTCTGCTTGTATTTTCCATTTAAAATGCAAAGAGAGTAAACTCATTTGGAAAGGGAAACTAAACGTTCTGTAAATTGCACACACCCACTTGTGTGAAAACAATAGATACAAATACAAATGTGTGCATAACAATTTATAGTGAGTCTTTATGTTTATTGAGTATTGTAGTGATTTAAAGTATGTCAGTTCAGTTTTTGTATTTTATTGGTGGACCATTTACTTAGATTACTGAAAACAGGAACCTCTGCCTGACTTTTATAGCCAAGTTATATTGGCCAAACTTTACTTTTTCTCTGTCCATGTATTTTGCTAAACCATGAAACGTGGAACATGGTGATTATATATCAACATTATTTCATTATTATTATTGAAAAAGGTAAAACTTAAAATGTAAGTAGCTCTGAGGGTGAGTCAACACTACCATAATCACGTATAACCATCAGAGTTTCAATGAGAAGTCATGGGCTTGAGACACTATCCAACCAAACATTGTAGCTATTTTTGATGATATGCATTGAGGAAATGTTTGGGAATATTTGGAACATTTAAGTATTTTTTTCAAAGGGAGTCTTCAACTTAACTGACAAACTCAGAAATCTGAAGGACATCTTATTAAAATTTACAATGTTCTATTATGTGCTCCAGGATTAGTATTGTTTTAGAAATAAAATAAATTGTTAGAATGCTTTTAAAAATATACTTTTACCCTAAACAATTAGAGAAAGTTTAATGAAGATAAACGTACTTATTTACCCACCTCTCTATCCAAGCAAACTTTACATTGGTCTTACATTGAAACTTATTCATTTACATAATATAAAGGGAGGTATGTTATTGACTAAGAACAGAACCATTTTTATTTCTAAAGACCTTTAAAGTATTTCTAAGTATAAGGTTCATCTCCCAATTTATCTAAAAAATACTGAATTCCAGAGAAGTCAAATACGATATTTCAAAGATAAGATTAAATATTAATGCTTTTGTATATCTGAAATGTTTATGAATGAGCTTCTATTTTATTTGTTAAAAGTTAAATAAAATGATTACAACTGCTATTTTTAAATAAATTGTATTATCTAACTTAGGACAAATCACTTCCTTCCTGTTTTCTATCAACCTCACCTGCTATCTCTGTGGTAAAGTTACTAAATTCACGTTATAAATATAGTGGTGACAACAACGACTTAAAAGTTAAACACAGTATGTTGTTACTCTTGATGTGTTTATGTTACACCTGCATAGCAACTGGGACAAACATTTTTGTCTTGAAAATGAAGCCAGGTAAGCTTGAAGTACTTGTCTGTTTTAACCATTGAGCCATTAAATTTTTAATGTCTTTAAAAAGAAGACTGATGTGAAAAAGAAAGACATACAAAGAAGAAAACAGGAAAATAAGATAGCCCTATTTTGGTTGTTTGTATTGACATTTTCAAAGAGCACCAGGTAATATTAAAATCATAAGTTAAGCTGAGCAGAGGCTTTAATGGAGAGATTGGCAAAACAAAAAAGAAAAATTCTTCTTTTTTTAAAAAAAAACAACAACAAAAATAAAAACAACTTTGGTCCAGTTAATGGTCCAGTTCAACTTTGAGGTCATTCTCATGATGACAACTTAATATATGAAGTTGCTTATTACACTGCTCATTCAAAAGCATATAAAGAGATGAAGCATACTTTTAACTCTATTTTTTTTCAAAGCTGTCTTAATTTTCTGCTTGTCAGAGTACAACTAGGTACCCAAATTCAAGCCATGTAATTCAATAGAGAGAATTTAATATGGAAAATAAATTCCTAATTTTCATAAGAAGAAAATGCAAAAATGAAGAAACTTCAATTCCAACAAATACAGGAGGTTACTACCACTCATAGGACTGAATAAACATAGGAAAATGTGGTGATAACAATTTCGGGGGTTCCTAGAGCATGTGGGATTGTAGCAAATCAGCCTGAAGGGAGCTGGGACAATGGAAACATGGTGTGGTTGTATGGGAGCTGGAGATGTAGAGAAGATGCAGCTTCTGCCAGAGACTGTCAGAGAGAAATGTGTGAGAAACACCCAACTTTCAAATGTCCTTCTATCTCTGAATCTTCTTTTGTGCCTTCTATTGGTTGACCCTCCCCAGAAGGCAATAAATAGGCAAGGGAACCTGGGAAATGTGTGCCACTCCAGATGTTATGCCAAGCAGGACTAGGCTGGGGCAGTGAGTGGATCTGAGAGCACATAAGCAACTGACTACTATAGTGCCTTTCCAAAAGCTTCGATATATTTATGTCTCTCGCAATTTTTAGTCTCTAATGCTCCCCACTGCCAGCAGTAAAAGACTTAATTAAACCATTCAGCACGATCTTCAAGTACTTCCACAATCCAGCACTGGCATAATTTTCCAAGTTCGTCTTTGGCCATGCCCCTAACTTTTAGCTATGGAGTTGTATATATTCAATATCAGTTTTTAACACATGGAGTAACTTCAGGTCACTAAACCTTGTTCATGTTATTGCGTTTGCCTGAATGCTTTTGCTCACCCTCTCTCCCCTGATAATTCTATGTCTGAGAATTCTTAACATCTTAGGAAGCCAATACTAATGTATAATTTTGGGGGGAAATTTTTTTGATATGCAGATAGACTGAATTGCTTTACAGTGAGTAACCATAATATTAGTAAAACACTTACCTAATATATTTTGTGTTTCTTTTAAGAAATTGAGCTCCTTCAAGGCAAGGACCAAGTCAATGAGCACAGTGAATGGGTTATTGTCAGTTCTTAGTAAATTTTAAATACATGAAAGAATTATTTTTTTTGGAATCTAATAAATTACATTTGTCCAAAAAATTTTAATGTATTAACATTGTGATGACTTTTCTTTTTGCACCTGCAAGATTAACGCTTTGTGATACTTAACATTTACATTGAAATATAAAATATTTAATTTTCTCATAAATTTCTTTTTTTATTTTGTCATACTTTCTCTTTAAAAATGAGACTTTTTCCCAATAACATTTGCAGTCTTACTTGATGGATAAAATATGTTTATCATTTGTAAATTAATAAACTATCAACAGTATTCACAGAGATCAAAGAAATGTGATCATAGACTTTGAGCCTTATTAGTATTACTCATCATTTCTTCTCTACTCATAACGTTTCCTTTTCTGACCAGCCTTTAGTTAAGACATCATATGTAGTATGTCAGCCTAAACCATAGCCATAAATGACTGCATTATGGAGAACTCTTGACTCAAACGGAGAGAATGTATGTCTTAGAAATATCTTCAGTTGCTCTTCCTCTGTCATTGTGTTTGCATTTCAGGCAAGAGGAAGAAAAATTAGGAAGTAGTGATATTGTATTAAGTTCTCCACAGAAACAGAACCAAAAGGACCTATAAATATGTCTCATTCTGTGAATTCATACATATGATTTACTATAGTAATTGACTTACATAACCTTGGAGGCTGAGAAGTACGTAAGCTGGGGAACCAGGAAAACCGGTGTTGTAATTCAGTCCAAAGGCCTGAGAACCAGGAGAGCTTGTGGTATAATTCCCAGTCTGAAGGCCTGAAAGTTGGAAATTGGGTGGGGGATACTGGTGTAAATCCTAGTATCTAAAGGGCCAAGAACCAGGAGCTTCAATGTCTGAGGGCAGAAGATGATGTTCCAACTCAGAAAGTGAGAGTGAATTCAGCCTTCCTCTGCCTCTTTGTTCTATTCCAGCCCTCAACCAATTGGATAATGCTCATCCACACTAGGAAGAGTGATTTTTTTTATTCAGTCTGCCAACCCAAATGTCCATCTTTTTTAGAAACACCGTCACAGAGACACTCAGAAGTAATGTTTTAGCAGCTATCTGGGCGTCCCTCAGCCCCGTCAAGTTGACTCATAAAATTCAACATAGATGCCTTTTTCAAACAACAAGTTTTTCTCAAAAAACCTTGTTAGATTTTACACTGTGTTTCATTTGGCAGAAATAGGTGACATGGAGACCCTTATTAAAAGAAAGAAATTATGTTTTTCACTTCTAAACCTCTATGATAGGGAAAAGATACTGAGAAAGGAATTGAAAGTTCATTCTTCATGAGCCAACTCATAGTATCTGACCAAACAACATGGGGAATTGGAATTAACAGTGTGAGATGGTGGAGCACCCCTAAGGCAATATGATATCTACCCTAAGCCACACACAAGCCATATTAACCTCAACAGAAAGGAAGGGTTTTGTAGAGAAAGTGTTATGCAGAGTTTAGATTGAAAGGAAAACAAAAAGGAGAAAGCCTGTGTGGCCTCAGAATACAGAGAGAAAAAAAAATGTCTATTGATGACCTGCTAAGTAGTACAGCTATATTTTGAATGATAAGATTTCCAAGATTCATTAGTGTTCCAAAAAAATTGGCAAGATTTCAGACGGTTCAAGAGGTTTTTTTGTTTCTTTACAATCTTTCTTATTTATATAGGAGTAAAGACAGAGAGTAACATAAGTGGAAATTCTGCCAAGATTTGTTTTATTTCTTTAGTATGCTCCCATTCTCACACACGAAAATCATTTCAATTAATGTATGTGTTACGTTCTCCACTATTTTGTCCTTTTGAAATGATCGGCAATCTTGTGCAGAATGCTTTTAAGTGATATCTTCCTTCAACTATCTAAATATTTTGTTAATCATCTAGCATTTCATGGGGACCAGTCAGGAGCAAAATTAAGAAGAATAAAATGCAATGAAACAGCTGTACTTATTTTAGTCACCTCATGATCCACTATTTTAATTCTTAGTAATGTCAACTCATATAATTTCATTTGTAAATGTTAGAAACTTTGAAAATACAACAAAAGATTAGCACTCATCATTGTCCTAATATGATTTTCTTCTCCTTATTTGATATGCTTCATTTCTGTTTGCTATTGAATTCGTGTATATAGTATATTAGAGATGCTACTAGAAGTGTCCAATAACACAAATGTTACCTAAATGATTTTGTCAGGTCTCCCGGAAGAGATCTTTTTCCTTCCTTCTACTTTTTTGAGCATCCTTCCTAAAGCAACAAACTTCCCTATGGGATCAATACATCTTTTTGAAAAGAGGTATCAGATTACCAGGAATAAAGTACAAAATGTAAAGTTTAAAAATATATATGTTAAAATTCTGCAATGGCCGAGAATGGATACAAGAAGAGTCTGCTTTTATTAGCCCTTAACATGATTCAATATTTTGTGGTAGATACATATTTTGTGATAGATAAGAGCAACTTGATCTTTCTAAGAGTTCTGCTTATTCTGAATCACTTTTAATGATACTAGATATCTCACATGCAAGTTTTGTTTAAATTTGAGTCATTGATTATGCATCATATGGATAAATTTTTTATATCTGCATATGTACATATTGAATGCTACATATACACACATATATAATATATTACATTATATATATGTTATATATAATATATAATATAATTATATATACATATTATATATATTATATATTTATATAAATATATTATATTATTATATATTATATATCTTATATATATACACACACACATACTTGTTTGAATGAAAACAGCTGAAGCTAAGTAGGGTCACTGTAAATTCATTTTTCTTTCAACGTATATGCATACACCAATTCTGGGCATGAAAACACATAGATTCCATTTTTATTGAGACTGTAGTATAACAATCAACACTAACAGACTCTCAGAAATTCAGAGCAACCCTAGATTTTAGATTGTGTTCAACACTTTGACAGAGATGGCAAGTTATTTTGCATTTTTGGCGCATTCTTCTATGGCAATAGAGTTGCTAGCTGGGGCTGGACATATGAATATTCATGTAAAGACTGTCCTGACAGTAGATTATGGATATGGCTAGCAGGACGAAGTGGAGGTGGTGTAGGCAATTATGTTTTCTGACCTTTTTTTTAAAAAAAAAAACAACATTATTTTTTCTCTTTATTCCATTCTTGTTGGCAGGAATGTACACCGGTGAAGAGTCTTTATGAACATAATTTTAAAAAAGACAAAACCCACAGATATCAAAGATAAACATAAAAAGGACTCTGGATCCTTAATGCCGCAGAGCTGTGATTCTGGCTCTTAGTTACTAATACATGGAATGTTATTTGATACAACAATAGACTCAATGCTATTTAAGATACTTTTTTAGTAGAATTTTTTTCAGCAACCTAAATGTTTCAGACACAGTTGTCACATCAATAAATGGATGGTCATGTATCATATATTAAAAAATGAAACAAAGACACTTGTATACATATTTAAATTGTATTGCAAATCTAAGTGTTAGGGCTTTTAGGCCAGCATTAAGAAAGCAAAGGACTTTTCATTCCATTTCACTTTTGTTGAGTACATGAGATATGATGATGAGAATAACAGAATAGATTAAAGGTAAAAAGAACTATTAACATGAGTACAGTAATGCTTTCTTTTCCTAAATGGAAATTCATAACCATGCATCCTTTGGTGATACTTTGTAATCTAATCATTGTTTCCTACATTATGGATAAGACCATGGTTTATGGCTTTGACCTGTGTAAGAATTAACATATAAGTCTCATAATCACAGAAGGAAACCATTTTTCTTTAACTAAAGAAAATGCTTTAAAAATATATACATATTATTTGCATTTTCCAGGACTTTCTGAAATGTGCAACAAATTATATGGGATCAAAATCAAAATTCTCTTTATTTATTCTCAGTCTCTGATTAGATAGGAGAAGTCTTAATATATTTTCAATGTTTTCAGCATCTGTCCGGAAAAACTAAGTCAAATTCCTCACATATCAAAATCTGAAAAATACTTTGCAGCTCTTCTTTGTTTTGAAGGTTTTCAAATGGCTTTAAACAAAAACAATAATATTCTGACATTTTGTTGAATTTTGCACACAAGTAAGTTTCTAAACTGTCACTAATTTAGTGAGTATATATGCATATATCTATAACATATAAGTGTGTTCATACATGCACATGTGTGTATAATTTCCATTTTTATAGTTCCTTTCAATGTATAAACTATATTTACAGAGAGTATTTCATTAAACATTTACAATAACTGTTTTTTTTTTTTGTATTTTACGTCAGTGGAATGGAGGCTCACAAAGATGCATCAGTTTATCTTGATTACTAAACTATTAAGAGGAAGAAGATAAAGAAAAAATGCCTCATTGTTTTTCTCTATGACATTGTATGACAGTTTTAATAAGAACACTGTAACATCTGAAATACTTTTAAGGGTTTCAGCATTTAAAAACATAAATTCACATAATATCTGAGAGTTTCCCATCCTAGAGTAATAACAGCTACATAATTTTTAAAATATGCATTATACACATTAAATGCATATCAAATATGCCATTAAAAACTTTTTTTAAAAAAAAGAGAATGATGAAGTTCAAAATCTTTGGAACTGTACTATATGATGCTCTTGCTGAGAAGAAATTATTAGATCACAAAAATTACAACGTTCTCAAAATTTCAAAAAAATCTCAAAATTTTAATTGTATTGAATTTTTAAAAATTATATTTAAGAAAAAAAAAGAAAATGTAATGCAAGATTTACAGCTCTCCACTATATATTTTTGTTGTTGTTCACTAAGAATGGGAAGGAGATTTGTCAAATCTACAAAGTAGTATAAATAGCAAAATCCCACATTATGTCAATGAATAGTTATAGAAAATCCTAAAATATAAACACTATAATTTAAAAAATTTCAAGTTTAGGAAATGAAACAAAAAGCAAATGCTGCATTTTGAAAAGTGTGCCCCTTGGTATTGCTTTTTGAAAACACATATGGAAACGGAGTAATTTTAAATAAAAAGGGTACTGACACACGGACTTTCGGGGACATTTCCCATGCTCATTTCAGCATCATTCATAACAACCAACATATGGCATAAGTGTCCATCAGCAGATGAAAAGACAAAAGAAATGTGGCATATATGCACGACACAATAGTGTTCAGTCTAAAAGAAGAAAACCCTCTCATTTGTGACGATGTGAATGAACCTAGAGGACACGATGCTAAGGGAGATAAGCCAAGCACAGAAAGATAAATATTGCATGATCTCACTTTTTTGTGGAATTGGAAATATTCAAACTCAGAGAAGTAAAAAGTAGAACGGTGGTTATCAGGAGCTGGGGGTTGAGGATGGAAATATGAGGAGACGATGCTGTGAAAGGGTGCATAGTTT